>NC_000001.11:222559587-223184587 GCF_000001405.40 Homo sapiens | reverse complement strand
GATATTAAATAGTCCTTCTGTCTCTGGTAATTTTCTTTGCTCTAAAGTTTACTTTATCTGAAATTTATATAACCACTCCTGCTTCCTTGTAATTAATGTTTGCATTATACATTTTTCCATCCTTTTACTTTCAACTTGCCTGTATTATTATATTTGACATGAGTTTCTCATAGAAGCATAGAGTTGGATAGTAGGTAATATTTTTTAATTCGCTGTACCAATCTCTGTCTTTAATTGTATGTTTAAATCTTAAATATCTAATGTAGTTATTGATGTCTTATTGATGTCTTAGGGCTTAAATCTGCCATTTTATTTTTTGTTTTCTGTTTGTTCTCTGTTTCTCATTTCTTTTTTCCGTTTCCTGCCTTTCTGTGGGTTACATAAACATTTTTTTTTTTTTTGAGGCAGAGTCTCGCTGTGTCGCCCAGGTTGGAGTGCAGTGGCACAATCTCAGCTCACTGCAACCTCTGCCTCCTGGGTTCAAGCAATTCTCGTGCCTCAGCCTCCTAAGTAGCTGGGATTACAGGCACATAAACATTTTTTAGAATTCCATTTTGGTTTATCTATAGTGTTTTTGGATGTCCCCAACCTCATGTCGCACAATCAATGCTTCAAAAGTTGAAAGAATTGGGCTATGAAGTTTTGCGTCATCCGCAGTATTCACCTGACCTCTCACCAACTGACTGCTACTTCTTCAAGCATCTCAACAAGTTTTTGCAGGGAAAATGCTTCCACAACCAGCAGGGTGCAAAAAATGCTTTCCAAGAGTTTGTTGAATCCCGAAGAACAGATCTTTACGCTACAGGAAGAAACAAACTTAATTCTTGTTGGCAAAAATGTGTTGATTGAAATGGTTTCTATTTTGATTAATAAAGATGTGTTTGAGCCTAGTTATAAAGATTTAAAATACACAGTCAAAAACCGCAATTACTTTTGCACCAACCTAATAAATTGCGATTGGTCGTATGTTGCTGCGTATACAAGTTGTGTGATGGGTACATGAGGGCTGATTAGAGCGTTCTCTGTACTTCTGGTTATGTTTAAAATTTTGCATAACAGAAAGTGAATAGTCATATTCACTAATAAAGGATGAGATCGTAGATGAAGAAGATGCATTTCCTATGACTAAGGACCTGATGACACAGTGGCACAACTGGATCAAATCTGGGCATGATTCAGAGCCGATTAAAATTAATAGACATTGTTCTGATGTCACCAAAAAAAGGAATGTTTCAATGTCATGTTAATTACCATTTTTATAAACTGATTTCAAGTCAAAATCAAAATTTCCTTCTGTTGTTCTTTTAGGCTAGATCTGCCAGTAACAAATTCTCCTAGTTTTTCTTCATCTGAGAATGTCTTCATTTCCCCTTCAATCCTAAATAATATTTTATCTGGGTATAGAATTCTGAACTGACAATTGTTTTCTTCCAGCACTTTAAAAATATTGTCCTGTTTCTTTCTGGCTTCTGTGGTTTTTTAGGAGGAATCTGCTGTCATTTGAATTTTTCCTCCCCTATAGGTAAAGTAGCTGTCTTCACAGGCTGCTTTCAAGGCTTTTTCTTTATTGTTAGTTTTCTGAAAGTGAATTATAATGCTACTAGGTGTAAATTTTTTTGGTTTTATCTTGTTTGGGATTTTCTCAGCTTATTGAATCTATAGGTTTATGTTGCACTCCAGATGTGGAAAGTTTAATGATTTTTTGACGACATTTTCAGTCTCATCCTCTTTCTGGTACTCCTGTGACATAAATTTAGGTGTTTGAGGTTCTGTTCTTTTTTTTTTTCTCAGTCTGTTTTCTCTCTGCTATTCAGATTGTATAATTTCTCATGTCTGATCTTCCAGTTCACTTTCCCCTGTCCTCTCCATTCTGCTAGACCATCCACTGAGTTCTGTGGTATTTTTGTTGTGGGTTTTTTTTCTTTTTTTTTAGTTATGGTATTTTTCAGTTCTAAAAATTTTATTTGTTTCTTCTCTATATCTACTATTTCTTTGCTGAGGCTTTCGATGTTTTCATTTGTTTAAAATGTGTTCCTAATTGTTGACTAAAGTGTTTTTATTGTGCCTGCATTAAAATCTTCATCAGATAATCCTAACATCTCTGTCATCTCGGTGCTGGCCTCTTTTGAATGTCTTTTTTCATTCAGTTTGAGATCTTCCTGGTTCTTGGCATGACGCTTGATTTTTTATTGAAACCTGGATGTTTTTGTATTATGTTATGCGACTGAATTTTCCTTAAGCCTTCTGTTTTAGCTGGCTTTCTGTGTCAGCACCCTGGAAGAGGAGAGGGAAGGCACTGCCTTGATACTGCCACGTGGGGTAGACGTCAAGATTCTCCAATCATCATCTATTGACACCCAAGCTGGGGGACTCCTTGTTACTACTGAGTGAAAGTTAGGGTTCCAGATTTCCATATGGTCTCTACTTACACCACAGTAGGAGAATCTTTGTTACCAGCTACTGGAGATGAAAGCCCTGGCTCACTACTTGGTCTTTTCAGACACCACTCTGGCAGGGGTTGTTGAAGTACCCCATCATATCCTCATGAGGGTGGAAGTCTCTGATCCCCACCAGGTCTTTGCTAGCATGGATCGGGATGGGGCCACAGTTTTTACTGTAGTGTTTGGAGCATAATGGTTATCGTCTAAAAGTCTTCTGCCTTGCTAGGCTGCCTCTTTCCTTATCCTTTAGCTAGAGAGAATAGCTTTTTGTTGATTTTTTTTCTCCTTCTCTGCACCTGTTTCTGGCTTCTTCAGCTTCAGGCCCAGGACATATGAGCCAAAAAAAAAAAACAAAAAGCAAAAACAAAAACAAAAAGAAACAGCAAGCTCATCACTGTGTCATTCCTCAGGTCCCACGATTCCCGGCTGGTTCACCTCCTTCTCTCTGCCTTTCAGAATCTTCTAACTTTTATTTATATAAACCAACCCAGAGTTTCTAGTTGTCTTTAGCATGGGGAAAGGGGAACAGTACATCTATCCCATCATTCTGGAAACATGTATATACACACACACCCATACACACACTGCATTTATGTTAGTATCAGTTATCAGGTCCTAATGTTCATTCTCCCTTTGCCTTCTCCTTTGCACTCCCCATTATGTGCCATTTTTCTCTCCCTCCCTCTGCCCCACACTGTTAGATTTGCTGTGCTCCCTTTTCTGGCCTTCCCCCTTGTTTTCTTCTAAGACTGAGGAAGAGTCTATTGGATGTAGCAGAATAATTTGGCAACTATTTAAAACCCATCAATCCTTTCATTCCACCTCATTCAGTCTCACCTCCCACATGGTCTCACCCCACACCTGTGCACATGGGGCCTGGCGAGGCTTGCTGAGCACTGCAGGAATCCACTTGAGCCTTACAGCTCACAGACATCCAGGGATCCCTCTAGGCATCCTCAGCTTGTATGATCCCACAATTGCACTTTCCTCATGATTATTTCTGTGACTAATTCTTCCCCTTGTCTCTTAGTGTGTGGTGCTTTATGCCTTCCACGTTTCATTCTCTGAAGTTTTAATTGATTTCTTACACTTCCTCCTCATGTGTGTGGATTCTTTACTTGTTACAAAATCACTATTGCAAAAGCCTTGATTATAAAAGTCCCTGGCACAAGCTTAGCGTCTGCTAAACTATCTGACTGCCCACACCCTTTCTCTGGACTTGTTTTAACCTTTTTCAGTTCCGCTCCAAGTGCTCTATGGTGTGGTTGTTTCGTAGAACTGGTGCTTAAAGACTAATGTCTCTCCCTGTTGTGCCTGCTGGGTTTCTAAAGAGGAAACCAAGTAGCTAATAGTCTATTTATTTTTCCAACAGTCTCAGGAAACAAACTCATGCAGGGCATCTATCTGCATAAAAGAAGTAGTAGCTCCATTGCTCTAGCTAAAGGGTAAAGCCACATTGGTATGCACTGCACAAAAGTAGAGGCTGACTTTAAGTCATAATTTGCATTTTCTCCTTGCAGAGCTATTTATCTGGAGATGTTAGAGTTCCCTGTATGTGGGAAACTCTCATTTAGCATTGTATAAATGGACTCTGGCTGAATCTGTGGAGCTCAGGCAGATATCTAAAAGTGGGCAACATGTTCTCTGGAATAGCTTTCCATAATTCTTTAACAACTGGTACCTGGTCCTGGTATGAAGGAACGGTTGAACTCAATTATCTCCCCATGAGAGAATTCCAGAAGAGATGGCTTAAACCCCAATCTCAGAGGTTTGAAGGAAATTCACATCTCCAGAAGGGACTGTGGAGGACAATGTCGCTCAACTATTTTAAGTTAGCAAAATGTCTCCCCTAGTCAGAGTAGGGAAAATGTAAGGTAAATATTTAAACAAGCGAAAGGAGGCAGTAAGCAAGAAGACAAAACCAACTCTACCTTCAAAATCATACAAAGAAAGAGGCTGGATTCTATTGGAATTAAATTGATGGAAAGGTCCTGGACCAGGCTGTGTCCTCCCCATGTGGCTGCAGTGGACACTGGACAAGACCCACTGGTTTATTTTGTGACTTTCACTCATGTGATGCCATTTATCAAGGTCACATGGCAAGCTTTTGGGAAAATCCACCCAGATTGCTGGTCTTTACTTCATTCCACTGTGGTCACACAGCTTAGCTACCAAGGGATTGGAGTAAGAAAAGTGTGCAGTGGGAGGCTGGGGTTGATCGTGGATTTATTTGGTAATAAAGGTCCTTGGGCCACATGTGCTCTGAATACAGTGATCTCACACAGACTTGCTCCCATTCAGGGACCTTATTACATATATGTCTCTCTTTGCCTCATGGTCATTCTTGTGTCACCAACCAGACTCCAAGTTTCTTGAAAACAGGGATGGTATCTCAGACTTAGACATTCCCTGGTATCTAACACAGTACTGGGCTCAATAAATGCTACATCGACTTGAGAGGGCCTGACAAAGGCTGGGCACAGTGGCTCACGCCTGCAACCCCAGCACTTTAGGAGGCTGAGGTGGGAAGATCACTGGACCCCAGGAGTTGGAGACAGCCTGGGCCACATGGCGAAACCACATCTTTAAAAAAAAGAAAGAAAGGAAGGAAGGAAGGAAGGAAGGAAGGAAGGAAGGAAGGAAGGAAGGAAGAAAGGAAAGAAAGAAAGAAAGAAAGAAATTGAGACACAGAAGCCAAAAATAACAAAAATGATGTTTGATAGAAAACCCATTTGAGGTAATTTATAAGTAAGAGAAAAAAATTAAAAAATAGAAAGGGCCTGACAAACATGCATATTAGTTCCTATGGTCAGCCTGAGCCACAGAGGGGCCGAAGGCAGAAGGAGCAGGAAGATCTGAGATGCTTCAGCAGAGAAGGGGACCTCTGAGGAGACTGGATCGAAGAACCAGCTACAGAGTCAAGCTAGTGAAGGAAATGCTTAAACTCATTGAAAGAAAAGCACCCCTCCCTCAAAGAGGGCTCCTTACCCCAGACAATGCCTGGAGTTGTCTCCTCTCTCACAGCCAGAACTCAGAAGGCGTGGATTTGCATCGTATCTGCTTGACTTACTGAGGCAGATCAGAGAGGGGCTCCTCCGCTCTGCAGAGCTCAGAGACTTTCCTCTCCCCAGAAGAGTTAGTCTAGTCATTGCTGGTGCCCCTTCTTTCGGATCAGGCTGTCTAATCATCCTTCCATACCTGGCCAGTGGGGTGCAGGGGGTTAAAGGTAAAAGAATCTTTCCTATAAAGTAGTTTAGATAAATTCTGAGGATGAGGATATTGATGAATTGGCAAGGAGAGTGGGGGGTGGGGCATGCAAACCTCTATGTAGGAGAGGAGAATCGATTTGATTAGGTTTTTTAAAAAAAAAGAATGGGGCCAAAACACAAATGGATATCATGGATCTCTCTCTCTCCCCCTCCCCTCCCCCACCATGCACACACTCACACACACACTCACACACACATGCACCCGCCCCAGGGCTTCTGCTTTCCTCCCGGGGCTACCTGTGTGCCAGCATCATAATTAACCTGCATCTCCCGCTTATCACCTGCTGCACCCCCTGTTCCCACTGATGCTTTAGCTTCTCCAGGGCCCTGCTCTTCATTTAATCTCACAGCTTCTCATGGTGCTGTAATTCCAAGGCAGGGGGAGGACAGCACTATGTATAAATCTCTCCAGCCGCTCTCCCTCCTCCCCAGCCTCCCCTTGGCTTACAGGCTCCCTGTGACCCCAGAGACTCCCAGAGATGGATGGAGATTCCTTCCTGGTCCACTGGGCTGTCAGAGTCCCCAAGACTTGCTGTGCAATTTTACACTCTTCCCTAGATTAAAAGCAAAGTCATTATGAAAAATCTACCTGTCCTGAGTGAAAGCCTACATACATACAGCAAAGGCTGCTTTCCCACGGTTCTGCTGGGCTAGGGCTGGGGAATTGGCATTATTGGGGGTGCAGTAAAGGTTAGCCTTTTTGTCTTCTTTTCTGCAAAAGCCGTTTTTACACATTGCTATTTTGAAAATAATAAAGCACTTTCTTTGGGAACTTGGGGTCTTGGTCGTGTTGTGGGCGTTGGCTTCCCAGCCTCTGCTTTATTTCATTTGTCTGCATTTCTCTTTTCTTATTGGGCCTCCCTGAAAGTGTTCAGAATGTCCCCAGACTCGAGCACCGTTTTCTGTCTGCCACTTCCTCATTCCTTGTTCCTCAAATTCCCAGAATACAGTGGTTGACAGCACTGGCGGGTTTAGGGACAAGCCAAGCTCAAGTTCCAGCTGGGCTGTTTGTTCACTGTGACCTTGGGTGAGTTCTCTCACCTCTTGCACTGCGGGCATGATGACAGTACCTGCCTCAAGGGGTTGAGGCAATGCATGTATAAAGCCTCAGTGGGGATCTGGGGTGCTCCCTAAATGTTAGTGATTGTCATTATTATAATTTTGGAAAGCAAGCTTCCAATGCCAGAGTAAGACCTTCACATATAAAAGATTTAGAATGTTGTGGGGCCACCAGGACCCAGAGTGAGAGCACCACAAGGACACCTGTACTAAAACTCACCCCTAAATATCCTGAGCCTGGCCTTTGGACCCTGAGGGGCTACACAGTGGAGGCAGGTGTGGGCAGGGGAGCTGGGATAAAAAGCAGACAGATTGGGCTCTGAAATCTGTCTCACTCTTGTGACCACAGGCAAGTAGCCCCCCTCTCTGAGCTTCTGTTTCCTCACCCATACAATAAAGATAATAATTTCCAGCTAAGAATATTTTAGTGAGGTTTAAAGACCATGCACCTAAACATATAACACCACCAGAATGCATGCTCAGAACTTTTAAAATTATTTATATGGTGACATCAACTTGCCTACTTTGTGATAAGCATCACCTGCAGTGGGTGCCAGACGTGCAGGGAGATGAGCAAAAACAAGGACACAGCCTCTTTCCCTTAAGTAGCACATAGCCATTCCCAAGATCTTTTCAAATACATGATCTTATCCCCAAAGGCACCAAGCCGCTCTAAGTCTGAGCAAGTTTGTCAGCCCCTCCAAGGAGTGGGCAAAGGGGTTGTCCTAGTTCTTTTGAGATGCTGTCACTAACTACCATAAACTGGATGCCTCGTAAACAACAGACACTTACTGCTCACAGTTCTGGAAGCGGGGAAGTCCAAGATCAAGGTGCCAACAGGTTTGGTATCTAGTGAGGGTCCACCTCCTGATTCATCGATGGTGTTTTCTCACTCTGTCCTCCCATGGAGGAAGCAGGGAGGCTGTTTTCTGGGGCCTCTTTTATAAAGGCATGAATCCCATTCATGAGGGCTCCACCCTTATAGCCTAATCACTTCCCAAAGGCCCTACCTCCTAACACCATCACCCTGGGGATTAGGTGTCAACATATTAATTTGGAGAAGAACACAGGTATTTGGCCTATAGCAGGGGTCAGAGGTCAGAGATGATGAGCTATGCCTGAAGCCACGTAACCTGAAAGACAGAGCCAGTCCCCACACCTGCTCTCCCACTCCCATCCCATGCTCTCTGCCACACCCATGGCCATGCCTCTGCAGAACTGGGAGTGTCCTGGTCTTCTGGAGGGGTGGCCATATTAGGACGGAATATGTTTAGTCACCTATGACTAGCATTGTTTAAAAAAGAAATAGAATAGAACATAATAGAATAGAACGCAGCAGAATGAAATAGAACATTTCAGATGCACTGCCCATAAGAAAAGGAAATATTGTTTCATGAAATTTGTTTCACATGTATGTATGTGTTTATGTGCATGTGTACTGCGTATTGATATAAAATGTACTTTTTGATTGGGTCACTGTCTAGAAAAGTTTGAAAAACACTTTATTGTTTTATTGTTTATTCCTATATCCAGAGCTAATATCCTTTTTTCTAACCATCCCAATTATTCTCCATTAGAGAAAAGCATATTTTGTCTCAAATTTTTTTCAGCCTGTTACAATGATATAAAACAAATTCATCCAAACCTATTTTTGTCACAGGGAAACCCCCTTCCAGCTCTGAAAACTCTGGGGCTTCCACATGTCCTACAGGGTAAATCCAAATTTCCACTAGCTTCCAATGTTCCACATTTCCAGCCATACCTTCCGTAACTCCTCAATGCTCATGCTCCTGCCAGGCTTGTCTTCCCAAGGTAACTTCTGTCTGCCTAAGAAGAAGGCGCCCCCTTCAACTCCCCATCTCTATCTCTCAGGCCCTGAGCAAGTTTAACTTGCCTCTGACACTCTTCTGCTTTGCAGGCCATGGTGATTCCAATTTCCTGTGAAAACAGCATTTCTTGTGCAATAAGTGCATGGGGTCCCTTGTCACATGTTGCTGAGTTCCTGCATTAAAAATCACACTCCCTCAGCACAATGCTTTTTGAGATTCGTCTCTGTCTCATACGCATCAGTAGCCTGTTCCTCTTTTCTCAATCTCTAAGTAATACTACATTGTATTCCATGGATAAACAAAAATTTTCTCAGCCATTTGCAATGAGCTTGCCAAACTGCTAAGTCTGGGTGAACAGTCCCCATAAGACTGCCCTCTCCTCAGATGCCAAGTGTGGGGGTCCCCAGGGTTACCCTCACTTCAGATCAGCTGGCTACAAATTCAGAGGTCTCCACAACCACTCTCAGGCTTGACAATTTGCTAGAACAAGTAACAGAACTTGGGAAAGCCCTATACTTAAAATTACAGTTTTATGACAGTGAAAGAATACAAATTAGAAATAGCCAAAGCTTCTACTGCATAGGGCAGAATCTGGGAGAGTTTCAAATATGAAGCTTCCACGCCCCCAAGAACATGTTGCCTTCCCATCATCGATATGTGGCAATGTGCACAGAGTACTGTGGATCTTGGAAGTTCAACCGAGATTTGGTGTCCAGAGCTTTTAATGGGGCTCAATCACACACTGCCCAAGCACCTGGCCTTTAGTCTCCAGCTCCTCCCAGAGGCCAGAGCAAATACTGTGTGTTCCAAAGGCCCATCATAAATCACATCATTAGGCTGTTGCTGGCCAAAGCCCCCAGGCAAACGATGACACTCCTATTGCAGGAGACTTCAGGGGTCTAGAGATCACCTGCCAGTGGCCCAAGACAAAGACCAGACCTCTGTTTGGTTAATTCTGCACTACGCGCCATTCACCTGCCGATGGACATTTGGAGTGTTGCCAGGTTTTGGCTATCAGGAATAAAGCTGATGTTGGTAAATGCAACAACCTAGGTGAATCTCAAAACTATTAGACCAAGTGAAAGAAGTACATACTTATGATCCTATTTATAGAAACTATAGAAAAGTCAAATCTAACCTATGGCGATGGTAGAAGCAACTACAGCTACATAATTTGTAGGGCCCAGTACATTTTATTGTGTGTACCCCTCAATAACTCAATGAAGTAGATTTTTTATTTAAAAAATACCATTTACTGAGCTCTTGCTATAAAACCCCCGTTTGTCAAGGACCCCAAATTTGTAGCCAGCTGATCTGAAGCACTTTACTAAGCACTTTACAATATTAATATATTTGTGCTCAACTGATACTTACAGATGAAGAAATTTAGGCTGAAAGAAGTAACCTGCCCAAGGTTTCATCTGGCAAGGGACAGTATCTGGATTTGAACCCAGGACTGTTAGGCATTGAGAGCAGTGTGCCTAACCACCAAATACCAGTACTCCTGTCCTCTGTTTAACTCCTCCCTAGGTCATGGTCTGGCTTTTCATATATATTTTTCTGGTCTTCCCATCCACTGTAAGTTCCCAATAACAGAGACGTCATCAACAGTTGGGTACGCTGTGGAATACACACAGGAATTTCTTGTCAGACAGTTTTTTCATATGCATATATCTTCATACACAGGGATATAGGTTTTGTTTTTTTAATAAAATTGAGATCTCATTATGTAAACTGTAACATGATTTTTTTTTCATATAATGGTTCATGAGTTCATTTTTCCTCAAATCTTGGTGTTCACTGCATTACTCCTTGGTTGATTTTTCAAAGCAAGAAGGAAGATAAAGTTTTTAGGTTTTTAAAAGTGTCTGTGACATGCTGCTTTGCTATAGATGATAATCCTGCAGTCATACCTGCACAAGATCCTCTTATTACAATTGAGGGTGGTTGTTTCCTGTATATATTGACACTAAAGAAGATCAATAACTTACAGGAAAAAAGTCCTTCTGTCAAGAACATTTGATTCTGTTTTTAGAACAGTTACATTTCTTTAAGGACAGCTCTAAAGTGTAAAACATAAAATGTTTGCAAATATGTATATTATATATACCTTAAATGTGCATCAAGAACATTATATTTAATGACTGCATGTATTCCAAGAAGTAAATGTATCATAATTTATTTAGCCAATTCCCCATTGTTAGATAACTCGCCTTTCCCCATTTCTTTGAAATTATAAACAATGCTGCAATATTGAGACATGTTCGTGAAGTATGAATTTTACTTAAAAGTTTCTGGGGTAAAGAGTTAAGTACTTTAAACGATACGTAATTTTTTTTTAAGTTTTGTTTTTCTTTTATTATTATACTTTAAGTTTTAGGGTACATGTGCACATTGTACAGGTTAGTTACATATGTATACATGTGCCATGCTGGTGCGCTGCACCCACTAACTTGTCATCTAGCATTACGTATATCTCCCAGTGCTATCCCTCCCCACTCCCCCCACCCCACAACGGTCCCCAGAGTGTGATGTTCCCCTTCCTGTGTCCATGTGATCTCATTGTTCAATTCCCACCTATGAGTGAGAATATGAGGTGTTTTGTTTTTTGTTCTTGCGATAGTTTACTGAGAATGATGATTTCCAATTTCATCCATGTCCCTACAAAGGACATGAACTCATCATTTTTTATGGCTGCATAGTATTCCATGGTGTATATGCGCCACATTTTCTTAATCCAGTCTATCATTGTTGGACATTTGGGTTGGTTCCAAGTCTTTGCTATTGTGAATAATGCCGCAATAAACATACGTGTGCATGTGTCTTTATAGCAGCATGATTTATAGTCCTTTGGGTACATACCCAGTAATGGGATGGCTGGGTCAAATGGTATTTCTAGTTCTAGATCCCTGAGGAATCACCACACTGACTTCCACAATGGTTGAACTAGTTTACAGTCCCACCAACAGTGTAAAAGTGTTCCTATTTCTCCACATCCTCTCCAGCACCTGTTGTTTCCTGACTTTTTAATGATTGCCATTCTAACTGGTGTGAGATGATATCTCATTGTGGTTTTGATTTGCATTTCTCTGACGGCAAGTGATGATGAGCATTTTTTCATGTGTTTTTTGGCTGCATAAATGTCTTCTTTTGAGAAGTGTCTGTTCATGTCCTTTGCCCACTTTTTGATGGGGTTGTTTGTTTTTTTCTTGTAAATTTGTTTGAGTTCATTGTAGATTCTGGATATTAGCCCTTTGTCAGATGAGTAGGTTGCGAAAATTTTCTCCCATTTTGTAGGTTGCCTGTTCACTCTGATGGTAGTTTCTTTTGCTGTGCAGAAGCTCTTTAGTTTAATTAGATCCCATTTGTCAATTTTGGCTTTTGTTGCCATTGCTTTTGGTGTTTTAGACATGAAGTCCTTGACCATGCCTATGTCCTGAACGGTAATGCCTAGGTTTTCTTCTAGGGTTTTTATGGTTTTAGGTCTAACATTTAAGTCTTTAATCCATCTTGAATTGATTTTTGTATAAGGTGTAAGGAAGGGATCCAGTTTCAGCTTTCTACATATGGCTAGCCAATTTTCCCAGCACCATTTATTAAATAGGGAATCCTTTCCCCGTTGCTTGTTTTTCTCAGGTTTGTCAAAGATCAGACAATTGTAGATATGGCGTTATTTCTGAGGGCTCTGTTCTGTTGCATTGATCTATATCTCTGTTTTGGTATCAGTACCATGCTGTTTTGGTTAC
Source organism: Homo sapiens (assembly GCF_000001405.40). Taxonomy (NCBI): domain Eukaryota; kingdom Metazoa; phylum Chordata; class Mammalia; order Primates; family Hominidae; genus Homo; species Homo sapiens. The sequence goes on along the minus strand of NC_000001.11, from coordinate 223,172,243 downwards.
TGTAGCCTTGTAGTATAATTTGAAGTCAGGTAGTGTGATGCCTCCAGCTTTGTTCTTTTGGCTTAGGATTGACTTGGCGATGCGGGCTCTTTTTTGGTTCCATAGGAATTTTAAAGTAGTTTTTTCCAATTCTGTGAAGAAAGGCATTGGTAGCTTGATAGGGATGGCATTGAATCTATAAATTACCTTGGGCAGTATGGCCATTTTCACGATATTGTTTCTTCCTACCCATGAGCATGGAATATTCTTCCATTTGTTTGTATCCTCTTTTATTTCCTTGAGCAGTGGTTTGTAGTTCTCCTTGAAGAGGTCCTTCACATCCCTTGTAAATTGGATTCCTAGGTATTTTATTCTCTTTGAAGCAATTGTGAATGGGAGTTCACTCATGATTTGGCTCTCTGTTTGTCTGTTGTTGGTGTATAAGAATGCTTGTGATTTTTGTACATTGATTTTGTATCCTGAGACTTTGCTGAAGTTGCTTATCAGCTTAAGGAGATTTTGGGCTGAGACAATGGGGTTTTCTAGATATACAATCATGTCGTCTGCAAACAGGGACAATTTGACTTCCTCTTTTCCTAACTGAATACCCTTTATTTCCTTCTCCTGCCTAATTGCCCTGGCCAGAACTTCCAACACTATGTTGAATAGGAGTGGTGAGAGAGGGCATCCCTGTCTTGTGCCAGTTTTCAAAGGGAATGTTTCCACTTTTTGCCCATTCAGTATGATATTGGCTGTGGGTTTGTCATAGATAGCTCTTAGTATTTTGAAATACGTCCCATCAATACCTAATTTATTGAGAGTTTTTAGCATGAAGGGTTGTTGAATTTTGTCAAAGGCCTTTTCTGCATCTATTGAGATAATCATGTGGTTTTTGTCTTTGGCTCTGTTTATATGCTGGATTACATTTATTGATTTGGGTATATTGAACCAGCCTTGCATCCCAGGGATGAAGCCCAATTGATCATGGTGGATAAGCTTTTTGATGTGCTGCTGGATTCGTTTTGCCAGTATTTTATTGAGGATTTTTGCATCAACGTTCATCAAGGATATTGGTCTAAAATTCTCTTTTTTGGTTATGTCTCTGCCCGGGTTTGGTATCAGAATGATGCTGGCCTCATAAAATGAGTTAGGGAGGATTCCCTCTTTTTCTATTGATTGGAATAGTTTCAGAAGGAATGGTACCAGCTCCTACTTATACCTCTGGTAGAATTCGGCTGTGAATCCATCTGGTCCTGGACTCTTTTTGGTTGGTAAGCTATTGATTATTGCCACAATTTCAGCTCCTGTTATTGATCTCTTCAGAGATTCAACTACTTCCTGGTTTAGTCTTGGGAGAGTGTATGTGTCGAGGAATTTATCCATTTTTTCTAGATTTTCTAGTTTATTTGCGTAGAGGTGTTTGTAGTATTCTCTGATGGTAATTTGTATTTCTGTGGGATCAGTGGTGATATCCCCTTTATCATTTTTTATTGCGTCTATTTGATTCTTCTCTCTTTTTTTCTTTATTAGTCTTGCTAGCGGTCTATCTATTTTGTTGATCCTTTCAAAAAACCAGCTCCTGGATTCATTGATTTTTTGAAGGGTTTTTTGTGCCTCTATTTCCTTCAGTTCTCCTCTGATCTTAGTTATTTCTTGCCTTCTGCTAGCTTTTGAATGTGTTTGCTCTTGCTTTTCTAGTTCTTTTAATTGTGATGTTAGGGTGTCAATTTTGGATCTTTCCTGCTTTCTCTTGTGGGCATTTAGTGCTATAAACTTCCCTCTACACACTGCTTTGAATGTGTCCCAGAGATTCTGGTATGTTGTGTCTTTGTTCTCGTTGGTTTCAAAGAACATCTTTATTTCTGCCTTCATTTCGTTGTGTACCCAGTAGTCATTCAGGAGCAGGCTGTTCAGTTTCCATGTAGTTGAGTGGTTTTGAGTGAGATTCTTTATCCTGAGTTCTAGTTTGATTGCACTGTGGTCTGAGAGATATAGTTTGTTATAATTTCTGTTCTTTTACATTTGTTGAGGAGAACTTTACTTCCAAGTATGTGGTCAATTTTGGAATAGGTGTGGTGTGGTGCTGAAAAAAAATGTATATTCTGTTGATTTGGGGTGGAGAGTTCTGTAGATGTCTATTAGGTCCGCTTGGTTCAGAGCTGAGTTCAATTCCTGGGTATCCTTGTTGACTTTCTGTCTCATTGATCTGTCTAATGTTGACAGTGGGGTGATAAGTCTCCCATTATTAATGTGTGGGAGTCTAAGTCTCTTTGTAGGTCACTCGGGACTTGCTTTATGAATCTGGGTGCTCCTGTGTTGGGTGCATATATATTTAGGATAGTTAGCTCTTCTTGTTGAATTGATCCCTTTACCATTATGTAATGGCCTTCTTTGTCTCTTTTGATCTTTGTTGGTTTAAAGTCTGTTTTATCAGAGACTAGGATTGCAACCCCTGTCTTTTTTTGTTTTCCATTTGCTTGGTAGATTTTCCCCCATCCTTTTATTTTGAGACTATGTGTGTCTCTGCACGTGAGATGGGTTTGCTGAATACAGCACACTGATGGGTCTTGACTATCCAATTTGCCAGTCTGTGTCTTTTAATTGGAGCATTTAGTCCATTTACATTTAAAGTTAATATTGTTATGTGTGAATTTCGTCCTGTCATTATGATGTTAGCTGGTGATTTTGCTTGTTAGTTGATGCAGTTTCTTCCTATCTCGATGGTCTTTACATTTTGGCATGATTTTGCAGCGGCTGGTACCGGTTGTTCCTTTCCATGTTTAGTGCTTCCTTCAGGAGCTCTTTTAGGGCAGGCCTGGTGGTGACAAAATCTCTCAGCATTTGCTTGTCTGTAAAGGATTTTATTTCTCCTTCACTTATGAAGCTTAGTTTGGCTGGATATGAAATTCTGGGTTGAAAATTCTTCTCTTTAAGAATGTTGAATATTGGCCCCCACTCTCTTCTGGCTTATAGGGTTTCTGCCGAGAGATCCGCTGTTAGTCTGATGGGCTTCCCTTTGAGGGTAACCCGACCTTTCTCTCTGGCTGCCCTTAACATTTTTTCCTTCATTTCAACTTTGGTGAATCTGACAATTATGTGTCTTGGAGTTGCTCTTCTCGAGGAGTATCTTTGTGGCGTTCTCTGTATTTCCTGAATCTGAATGTTGGCCTGCCTTGCTAGATTGGGGAAGTTCTCCTGGATAATATCCTGCAGAGTGTTTTCCAACTTGGTTCCATTCTCCCCATCACTTTCAGGTACACCAATCAGACGTAGATTTGGTCTTTTCACAAAGTCCCATATTTCTTGGAGGCTTTGCTCATTTCTTTTTATTCTTTTATCTCTAAACTTCCCTTCTCGCTTCATTTCATTCATTTCATCTTCCATCGCTGATACCCTTTCTTCCAGTTGATTGCATGGGCTCCTGAGGCTTCTGCATTCTTCACGTAGTTCTCGAGCCTTGGTTTTCAGCTCCATCAGCTCCTTTAAGCACTTCTCTGTATTGGTTATTCTAGTTATACATTCTTCTAATTTTTTTTTCAAAGTTTTCAACTTCTTTGCCTTTGGTTTGAATGTCCTCCCGTAGCTCAGAGTAATTTGATCATCTGAAGCCTTCTTCTCTCAGCTCGTCAAAGTCATTCTCCGTCCAGCTTTGTTCCGTTGCTGGAGAGGAACTGCGTTCCTTTGGAGGAGGAGAGGCGCTCTGCTTTTTAGAGTTTCCAGTTTTTCTGTTCTGTTTTTTCCCCATCTTTGTGGTTTTATCTACTTTTGGTCTTTGATGATGGTGATGTACAGATGGGTTTTTGGTGTGGATGTCCTTTCTGTTTGTTAATTTTCCTTCTAACAGACAGGACCCTCAGCTGCAGGTCTGTTAGAGTACCCTGCTGTGTGAGATGTCAGTGTGCCCCTGTTGGGGGGTGCCTCCCAGTTAGGCTGCTCGGGGGTCAGGGGTCAGCACCCACTTGAGGAGGCAGTCTGCCCCTTCTCAGATCTCCAGCTGCATACTGGGAGAACCACTGCTCTCTTCAGAGGTATCAGACAGGGACATTTAAGTCTGCAGAGGTTACTGCTGTCTTTTTGTTTGTCTGTGCCCTGCCCTCAGAGGTGGAGCCTACAGAGGCAGGCAGGCATCCTTGAGCTGTGGTGGGCTCCACCCAGTTCGAGCTTCCCGGCTGCTTTGTTTACCTAAGCAAGCCTGGGCAATGGCGGGCGCCCCTACCCCAGCCTCGCTGCCGCCTTGCAGTTTGATCTCAGACTGCTGTGCTAGCAACCAGCGAGACTCTGTGGGCGTAGGACCCTCCAAGCCAGGTGCAGGATATAATCTCGTGGTGCGCCGTTTTTTAAGCCCGTCGGAAAAGCGCAGTATTCGGGTGGGAGTGACCCGATTTTCCAGGTGCCGTCCATCACCCCTTTCTTTGACTAGGAAAGGGAACTCCCTTCTTCGGCTCTCGCATGGTGCGCGCACCCACTGACCTGCGCCCACTGTCTGGCACTCCCTACTGAGATGAACCCGGTACCTCAGATGGAAATGCAGAAATCACCCATCTTCTGCATCGCTCACACTGGGAGTTGTAGACCGGAGCTGTTCCTATGCAGCCATCTTGGCTCCTCCCCCAAACGATACGTAATTTGAAACATTGGTTTTATTTTAAAACAAGCAGATATGAAATTGAATGTAAATTTTGAATGTATTTTTAAAATTAAAAATCTAATTGTGGGCCAGGCTCTGTGTCTCACTGCACTAATCCCAGCACTTTGGGAAGTCAAGGCAGGAGGATCACTTGAGCTGAGCAGTTCAAGACCAGCCTGGGCAGCATAAAGAGACCCACCTCTACAAATAATTAAAAAATTAAAATTAGCCAGGCATGGTGGCATATACCTATGGTCCCAGCTATGTGGGAGGCTGTGGTGGGAGGATCACTTGAGCCTGAGAAGCCAAGGCTGTAGTGAGTTCTGACCATGCCACTGCACTCCAAGCTGGGCAATAGAGTGAGACCCTGTCTCAAGAAACAAATATAATTGTATGGACCACTTGAGACTATATTCACTTTCTTCTTTACTAACAGGATCCAATTTTGTTGGAGGTCCCAATTGAAAAATAAAATTATCTTTCCCAGCTCCCATTGAAGATGGAGTGGCCAAGTGTCTGCTCTGGCCAGTGATTTCTAAGTGGAAATCACCAGGCAAGACTTCACAGAGGCTCCTTAGAGGTGGGTGGATTTAGCTGGAGCCTCCTTTTGGCCTTGACCTTTCTTCCTGCTTGGAAGTGACCACAGGACAACCATGAAGAAAATGCCAAGATCTAGCTGGGACTTGGCCCTGACATCTGTGAGTCTTTGAATCATACCTTCATGTGGCCGTCTCTGAAATTCTTGTACCAAGAGAAAAATAAAACTCCTAATTCATCTAAACCACAGTTTGTTTTTTGTTTGCTTGTTTGTTTTTGGTTTTTTGTTTTGTTTTGTTTTGAGACTGAGTCTTGCTCTATCGCCCAGGCTGGAGTGCAGTGGCACGATCTTGGCTCACTGCAAGCTCCGCCTCCCGGGTTCACGCCATTCTCCTGCCTCAGCCTCCTGAGTAGCTGGGACTCAGGTGCCCGCCACCACGCCCAGCTAATTTTTTGTATTTTTAGTAGAGACGGGGTTTCGCCATGTTAGCCAGGATGGTCTCAATCTCCTGAACTTGTGATCCACCGCCTCAGCCTCCCAAAGTGCTGGGATTACAGGCGTGAACCACTGTGCCCGGCCTAAACCAGTTTTTCAAGTTTCTGTTACATCTGACTGTAGTTCTTCTATTTTCAGTATTTCTCCATTTTCTATGAACTTTTACCTCCTTTCCATTTTTTACCTTCTACAAAAGTATCACTGCCAAATTCTGAGTCTTCTAGTCTCATTCTATCATGTTCCCCAAGGGAGTCCCTTGTTCAGGGTGCTGAAGGGAGGAGAACATGCTAAGGGCTGGGAAGGAGAAAGAACCCATCTGGCTGGAGCTAAGAACAAAGACATGGGCCCCCTTGCCCATGGGAAAGCTCAAATGCGTGTGACTACTTTTCTTATTTATTTATTTATTTATTTATTTATTTATTTATTTATTGAGACACGGTCTCACTCAGGCTGGCAGGTCACCCAGGCTGGCATGCAGTGGCGTAATCTCAGCTCGCTGCAACCTCCACCTCCCAGGCTCCAGTGACGCTCCCCCTCAGCCTCCCTAGTAGCTGGGACTGCAGGCACCACCACCACGCTCAGCTAATTTTTGTATTTTTTGTAAAGAATGGGGCAGTGCGGATGTCTCGCCATGTTACCCAGGCTGGTCTTGAACTCCTGGGCTCTAGCGATCCACCCACTTCAGCCTCCCAAAGTGCCAGGATTACAGGCATGAGCCATCACACCCGGCCAACATGTGACTCCTCTTGATCCCTCTTCTCAACTCCAGCTGCCGTTGTGAAGTCTGCTGGGAAGCTGGGAGCCATGGGGTGCCATAGATCCAAGTCCTGCTCTTCTTTCTACCCTTTACAAGCCATGTGTCCCCCCTAGTTGCTCATCCATAATGACACCTTCTCCACAATATTATGGGGCTGATGACACAGAAGAACGTACACACAGCAGCTGGCTCAGCGCCTTGCACATCAGGTAGTCTCGACATACTGAATTATCCTTCTGCCTTTGAGGTCCTGAATGTTCATTTTATCCTTCTATCACCTGGATGAAAATGTTGGTGTGTGGTAAAGCAGGTTTTCCCACAGCATGACTTTTCCTCCCAGCTCTGTGACCCTAAGAACAGCTCTGGTGAATGGAAGAAAGAAGTTTAAGGCGACTCCCAAAGACTGAAAAGGTCGACTCAGAGACTCGCTGTCCTGGGAGAGGAGAGCGAAGACTGTGCTCAACTAAAGCTCAGAGGAATGAAGTGAGGTGATACTAGAGAGAAGCAAATGGGGATGGAGCATTGCAAATTCTCTGCCACTGGGAATTTAGGGAGGGTGTCCACACACCCCTGATGGCTCTTGGCTCTGCCATCTTCTCAATCTGTGCTGGTTTCTCTTTATGTTATTTACCCTTTAGATTTTTCAGAGAAAATAACTGGTCTTTAATTCACTGATTCATAGAGTCGTTTATTTAAGAGAGGTTAATAGCGCAATCCTCTTAATGGAAAGAGTCAAGCAAAGAAACAGAGTTCGAATTCCAGCTGTACCACCAACTAGTTGAGTAACTGGAAAACTCAGTTCATCTCTATGGGCCCGATGAGGGGAGAGGATATGAATATTCAACACTTCTTATTAAGACACATTTTAAAACATACAGCTTTGTAGAGGATAATAAGGCCAGGTGCAGTGACTCATGCCTGTAATCTCAGCATTTTGAGAGACCGAAGTGGGTGGAGTGGATTGCTTGAGGTCAGGAGTTCGAGACCATCCTGGCCAAGGTGGCAAAACACCATCTCTACTAAAAATACAAAAATTAGCCAGGTGTGGTGGCAAGTGCCTATAATCCCAGCTACTCGGGAGGCTGAGGCACGAGAATCACTTGAACCAGGAGGCAGAGTTTGCAGTGAGCCGAGACCGGGCCACTGCACTCCAGCCTGGGCAACAGAGCGAGACTCCATCTCAGAAAAAAAAGAAAAAAGAGAATAATATGTACTCATGTGCCCACCATGAGGCTTTATCAAATCTCAGCATCTTTTGCCATATTTGCTTCCTTAAAAAAGACATTACAAATGTATTTTGTAATGTCAGTCACTGTGTGTACATTCTTCTGTGTCTCAGCCCCATAATACTATGGAGTAGGTGTCGTTATGGATGAGCAACTAATCCCTGTCCCCTCCTTCCCTTCCTGAAGGCAAGCATAACCTGAATTTGCTGTCTTTTATTCCCATAAATGTTTTCATACTCAGATCTATACTCCCTTATCCATAATTCTGAAATCTGAAAAGCTGTAAGAAACAGTTTTTTTGTAAATTTGTGACAAACTCATTTGGCAGTAAAACTTGAACTGACATGTAGTTATTTATGGACTTTATATGGCTCATTTTAAGTGGTTGCTCATAGATTTCACTGAAGAAATACTGATGTATTTGAACCTGGGTTGCTGCCTCCTATACTGTTAGCAATGTTCTATGCAGCCCCATGTGGCCTTTCTAAAATGTGAACAACTCCAAATATCAAAACAGGCCTGGCCCCCAGGTTTAGGGTGAGGATTATGACTCTTCATTACACATACAAGCCATATAGCACCACTCTCACTGTGTGTATGTATACAGTATGGACCTATATGATTTTCAACTTTTATTTAAATATTTATACAAAATGTTTCCTTTAGCAACTTGTTTTTATTCACTCAATATTTTCTGAAATTTTTTCCTATCAATAAATGTAACTGTGTAGCACTCCACTGTCTGACTTTGTCATTAATTGTTTATTCATATTGCCTGTTGATGGACATCTAGGATGTTTTCAATTTTCCATTTTTGCAAACAGTGCTGACTGAACACTCGTGTTTATGTGGGTGAGGGTATCTTCCTAAAAGAGGAAATGCCGGACCCTGGGGAATCCACATCTTCAAATTCATTAGTACTCAGTTACTCTCCAAATTAGTAAATTGGTTTACTTTTGCATCAGTAGCACTAAGAGGCCTTTTTGCTCTAATTTCTTGAGAACACTTGGCATCATTCAATTTTTTTTTTCATTTTTGTCCATTGGTGGGTATGCTTTGGGGAAACCCAACCAACAGGACTACCTTTCCTTGCCTAAGTTTTGAGCCAATTGGGAAATAGACAAAGGACTTAGGAGATGGAGAGCCAAACATCAACTTTACCAGCAATAAAGTTGGGTTAATGTGAGAGCCAGAAAGGGCTTGCTCAACCTTGGAACAGCCCACTCACGGGAAGACTGAATGTGGAGCATAATCACACTTGCCCGGGTGGCTGGGTCATGCTGGTCGAGGTGGAGATGGAGAAACAGACCAAATCCCTTGCATGCAGGATCTTTTTCAGATAAGTTCCTCCCAGGAGAAAAACGTGAGTCAAAAGCCCCCCAACTAGAGAACTTATCCCATCTCCATGGGGAAGAGAAAGGGTAAGACGAGAAGTCATTATCAGGGGAAATCTCCTTTCCTGAGGAAAACATCAGGAGTAAGGAAGAAACAGTTTTCTTCTAGCCACTGTGAAATGGCAGCTCATTGTTTTTAGTTGCATTTCTCTGATTATTACTGAGGTTGAGCAAGTTTTCATGAGTTAATGGCCATTGATGCTTTCTCTCCATCGAATATTCATATTCTTTGCCCATTTTTCTATTGCATTCTTTGTCTTTATCTTACAGGTTTGTGGGCATTATTTATATATTGTGAATGCCAGACTTGTGCCAGCAATATACATTGCTAATATATTCTTCCAGTCTTTGAGTTGTGTTTTCACTTATTTACAATGAAATAGAAATAAAGGAAAACTGAAGATTTTTAATGTCATCAAGCCTTTTATTAATTCTCCCCTTTAAAGTTCATGGTTTTTGCATCTTGTTTGAGAAATTCTCTGCTACCTTGGAGTCTGGGAGTAGCAAGAGTTTCAGGATATGTATGTACCAAACGGCCTGGGTCACATCCCGAGGAGAGATATGAAAGTTTAGAGCACCAACCTGATGACAAGGTGGGGGCATGGAAGGAAAGGAAGACAGAGAGCTGGAGGACTGCCAGCCTCCACAGCCCAGCTAGTCCTGACCAGCACAACCTTCTAGGGTTCCACTAGGCTCGGACCCTGCATGCAACTTCTGAGACTATCAGGTGGCAGCCCTGGGCCCTGGGATAATGGAGCTCCTCCAGCCACAGCAACCAACAGGCCAGGGAACACCTCTGGACTTCGGCAGAGAGGAACCTTCCAAGACAGAAAGTCCAAGGATTCCAGTGGACCATGGTGAGGACTGCCCACAAAAAAAGGTCTGGACATGTTAGGGGGACACTCTGAATCTTTATTCAAGATGGCTCTTTTTTTGTTTTTCAGACTGTTATAACAAAATAAACTGGGTAATTTATAAACAAATGAAATTTATTGCTCACAGTTCTGGAGGCTGGGAAGTCCAAGATTGAGGTGCCAAAAGATTCTGTTTGGTTAGGAGCTGTTCCCCATCAGCAGTGCCTTTTTGCTGAGCTGTCACATGGTGGAAAGGAAAAAAAAAAAAGCCTCCCTCAAGCCTCTTTTATAAGGGCAATAATCTCATTCATGAGGGCAGATCCCTTATGAGCTAGCACCTCCCAAAGGCACCACCTCTTAATACTAATGCTAGTACTATTGCATTGGTGATTCCAACATATGAATTTGGGGGCCACAAACGTTCAGATCATAGCACATCCACACCGGGAATTGTCTTCCCATGGCCTACATCTGAGAGGTTTGGGGAGTGGGACGGCTGAGACTGGACAGGTCCTGGGCCCATCCAGGTAAGAAGGGACCCAAGGAGACCCAGGTGGGTTTGTGGATGTAGAGCTGGTGAGCTGTGATGGCTGCAGGGATGAGCTGTCCCTAGAATAGGGTGCAATAAGGAATGATGTGCTGAGCTTACATCTGGAGGACAATTTTCTTCAAATCATCACCTCTGCTCACTCATTCCCTGAGGTGCCTCTGATGAGATTATCTTTTTCTCTGTTATCTGCAGCTTCTGTCCTAAAGTCACCTGGCACCTACAGCTCCCAGGCTGTGTCACCTCCCTCTCTCCACCACCAGGGCAAGCTCAATCAGCAGCTCAGCAGACTTGAATCTTGGGCTGTGTGAAGACAGTCTTTGGGTGCCTTCTTCCTCCAGCATGGGCTCGCAACCCCCCTCCAAGGACAGTTCTCTGCTGCTTTCTAGTCTCTCCTAACAGTCTCACCCTCTGTGCGTAAACCACAACAGCTTTAGCTTTCTTTTCCTAGGCCTTCTCTCCCACCAAACTTTTTCTAATTTACATCACAACTCAAAACGGTTATTTGCTGCATTTAGCAGACTGCTGGTGTCATTATTTCCCCAGGGATGCAACAGTCTCACCTCTCATCTGCTCCTACCTGGCAATACCCCACCTTCCCCAGAACTGAGAACACAGTTTAATATAATAAGAGTGTATTTTTGTAATGTGTAATTGTGTCTGTTGTTTTCACATAGGATGTGAAACATAGGAAGGATGCCCTTCCTCTTCCTTCTTTACCCATCTTTATCCTGTAGTTAGTTTGTCATAGTAACCAGTGGGTGGCTGTAGTACTTATATGTACGCACACCTGTGTTTATGCACATACACACACACACACACACACACACACACACACACACACACCAAGCTATTCATTTTTATTTACAAAGTTGCCAAAAATAAGCGAATGGGGATTCAGATGGACGGATGCATGAGTAAATGACCAAATACATGAATGAATGAGTAAATGAACATATGAATGAATGAATGAGGACAAAGGAGAAGACTGTTGACAGGAAGGCACTCAGCAGCAGTGAATACCAAAACACTAGAATTTTTTTATAGACTCCAACTGTTCAGAATGTCAAAGAAACAGTCCATGGGAGCCAAAAAAAATGCCATTTCAGTTCCACAATATAGAGTATCTGAAATAACAAAAAAAAAAGAGGAAGAAAGTATAAGAATAGGGGGAGCATAAAGGTGGAAAAAAGACAGGATACAAAAAGAAGAGAAAGCAAAGGGCAGTTTATGTAGCTAATTCCAGGACAGGCAATGCACTCGTTGATATTAATGTCGATTTAGATTCAAATACTTCCAAGAGGCTCGTATGTGTGAGGCACTGAGTAAAACATCCACATGCCTTACTCATTTAATGCTCACATCAACTTTGGGCAGGGAGGCATCATTCTTTTTGCTTTCCAAATAATTAAACCAAAGCTTTAATAAATAGAACCTTCGGACACGGTGGATCACACCTTAACCCCAGCACTTTGGGACGCAACAGGGGAGGATCACTTGAGGCCAGGAGTTTGAGACCAGCCTGGGCAACATAGTGAGACCTTTCCACCACAAAAAAAAAAAAAAAACCCTTTTTTGACTAGGTGGGCATGCCAGCATGTGCCTGTAGTCCCAGGTATTCAGGAGGCTGAGGTGGGAGGATTGTTTGAGCCTAGGAGTTGGAGGCTGAAAAAGAAAGAGAGAAAGGGAGAAGGAAAGAAAGAAAGAAAACAGAGCCTTGCCTGGCTCTCAGCTGTGTGCCTAAGGAGGGTGTTTTGGGGCAGCTGGGCAGGACAGCAGGAACACAATGTAAGTGGCAGCTGTAGGGGACAGCATATGGGTCACAGAAGGAGCATCCTTGGCATGCAGGACCCACCCTGTCCTAAGTTCAGTGAATCATTGCCGTTTCCCCTCCTAGGTACTCAGGTACAAACACTCCATCCTTCTGGTTTGCAGCCTCCTTCCTGCTCCAGAGGTTCCAGGGGGACTTGAAGAGAAGAGCCCAGTCCTTGCCCTCAGGGAGTTTCAAGCTAGTTCAGGTGACAGAGCTGACACCATGAAGTAAAAAGGCAAAGTGGGCCTAGAACGGGGGCTGAAATGTGTGGCTCAGACAAAACGTGTTATAGGAATTCAGAAGAAAGAAAGAGAGACCCGTGAGGGAGTAAACACTCAAGGAAACATTCTGGAGAGAGGGAGGGATTTCTTAAGGATTTAGGCTGGTGGAGGAAAAAGGATTCTGGGGGAGAGGCACCAACAGCACCAACAGCAGGAAAGAGGGATGAGCCTGGAGTTTGTAATGCAATGACCATCTTACCCTGACTGGAGTGGAAGGGCCTAGGTGTAGTGGAAATAAAATGGATGAGAAACAGGGCTGGAATCCCACGGGCCTTCACAGTCAGATGGAGGTAATCTGCGCAATCCAATGCTAGTTACTGGCTGCCACTTTTATAGAACTGGATTGAGAAGCCCAATCAGAGGCAGACATGAAAAAGTCTACTTCAACATAGATAGGACCCTCATCCCTTTCCCCGCTGCCTGACTTTGATTCCAAAACACAGAATCTGTATGGACCAGAAAACCAGGCAGTCAGACCACAGAGCATCTTCTTACAGAAGGAAAAAAAAGGCTGTGCCTTCTCCACCCTCCCTCCTTCCCTTGCCCCTCACTGACACCTCTCTTTATACATCCGTTTGGAGAGTTCTATTTCCAAAACCAGTGAGGCAGACAGTGAGAGGATAGAGAAAGAGGGGGCACCTCCAGGAAGGGCCCTGGAGCCAGTAAATTTAGAAGACTGACTTCGGTATATCAGAGAACAAGGCAAGAGGGACTGGAGAAGAGGCCATTTGTCCAGTTGCCTCTGGTGGGGAGATGAGGGGATTGGGTTGGGAGCTCTGCTCCCTGGCTTGTCCAGAGATGGATCTGGATGGTGAATTTGGCAAGTAGCTAAGTTGACAAAGAGAGAATTGCCAAAGTGAGCCACACGGCCATCTGTGAATGTACACCAGGCCTGGGGAGTCCCTACTGCTGGGAGGAGGAGTAACCAAAACCCAAGACAGGACCCATGAAGGCTCCTATCGAATATGGGAGGGGAACTATCATCATGAAGACCTAGATGACATCCCCAGCTCTGGAAGCGACTTTTTACAAAAAGCAAAGGGGAAATTGAGTACAGGACTTGGCAGTCTCTAAAGGATACTAAAAGATAGGGTTTTCATGATCTATGATGAAAAGACAGCAGGTATTATTGTAGGAAGAGGAAGATAAGAAAATATTACAGGGAAGCGAAACATGCACTAGCAGATTTAAAATCCACATTGGTGCCAAATGTCACCCCACAGATCACCTACCTGCTAATTTACAAAAGGATAATAGAGCTTGACAACAGAAAGCCCTGATCACTACTGCCTTAACCACACAATCAAACTGAGCAGTGTTAATGATAGGACATGGGACAATTGATAAAAGATAAAGTAGCACTATGAACTATTCTTGCCAAAAATGTTAAAGCAGAATCTAATCACACCTTCAAATCTAGCTTCTACTTTATGGCATATACAGGGATGGAGCAACAAACTAAATATACCAAATGGAAACAGTCAGACTAATCCAGAATGTGGGAGAGTCTAAAATTAATAAATGAATAAAGCAGGGGTGAGGAAGATCATTCTAGGTTAAGAAACTACAAAGGCAAAACAACAAAAAGCAACAGATTAACATTGATGGTATACTGATTTGGGGACAGGGAAGACATTTTGAGGACAGTTGAGGCAACCTGAGTGTGGTCTGGAGTTAATATCAAGGAATTAAGTTTCTTAGGTATGATCATGGTATTGAGGTTATAAAACAAGAGTGTCCTTACTTTTAAGAGATACATACTGAAGTACTTAAAGGAGACATGTTATAATATTTGCAGCTTATTTTCAAATGGTTTAGCCTTTAAACACACCCATATGTATAAATGAATAACAGATGGTGAAATACTCACAGTTATTGAAATTATGTGATGGTCCTTGAATTATTCTCTCAACTTTTTTGCTTGATAATTGTTCACAGTGAAAAGCTGGGGGGAAATCACATGGCATTAGTAAAGAGCAGAACTAACTATGCTCTACTACAGGGGTCCCCAACCATCAGGCCACAGACCCCTACCGTGGCCTATTAGGAACCAGGCCATATAGCAGGTGAGCAGCAGGCAAGAGAAGCTTCACCTGTATTTATAGCCACTGTCTGATCAGTGGTGGCTTTAGATTCTTATAGGAGCACACACCCTGTTGGAACAGCACATGCAAGGGATCTAGGTTGCATGCTCCTAATGAGAATCCTGATGAACAGTTTCATCGCAAAATCACTCCACCCCGGGCCCCCTGGTCTGTGGAAAAAATTTCTTCCATGAAACCCGTTCCTGGTGCCAAAAAGGTTGGGGACCCATTGCTCTTAGTAGAGCAGTCTATCTGTCATGTAGAAGACAAACTCAAGAAGCACTCTCAGGAAGAAGAAGAAAAGAACAAAGAGGTAAAAACAATGAGAAAGAAGGTGACAGACACGTAGACAGACATCAAGAGAGCCTGGGAGAGTGTGAATGAGAAAGCAAGACAAAAATGAATCTTATTTTCCAAGCAGCAGAAATGGAAGAGAAGGAATTAATGGGTGTTCCTAAAGAATGCATTAGAACAAATAGAGGAAATAATTTGACATAATTAAAGAACATGTTGTAGAAATGATAATAGGCCAGAGTAAGAATAAAAGCATGGTCTGGATTTCAGGCAAAATCAAGAATTTGACTCATTTCTAGAAACCTTTTGAAAACAGCTTCTAATTATAAGGAATGCAAGAAAGTACTATAAGCATTCATGCAAGGAAATTTTTTTTATTTGCATTATAAGCAAAGGAACAGATTTTATGTTGCAGACTTCTCAGCAATGCTAAATATTTTTTCAAGTCACACTCAGAGCATTCTGAGTAAAGAAAGTAAGGATTCAATAATTTTATTCCTGGCCAAATTATTTGTAATATGTGGAGGCAGCATAAAGATATTCTTATATATGGGCATGGAAAACATAACTTTTACAGAAGAAAATTACATGAACATATGCTCCATTCAACCAAGTGATAAATTTAAAACACAAGACTGGTGAAATCACATCTGAAAGTATTTGTGGATCCTTTCTTGCTGGATTTAGATCCCAATCATAGTAACTCAGTCCAATTATATATCTACCTAGAGCAACCATGCAGTCATCTCACCACTTTCTCTTCTGCTAATGTACCTTTTCCAGCACTAGGAGGTATGGTTTTGAGCCATATGTATCACCCCATAATTGTGATGGTATCTCTTGTCATCCTTGATAGGCAGCAAGAACAATGACTGCTGCTGTTCTGTTCCAGCAGTTGCAAACAATAGAAAATGATTAACATGTACAATGCTACGCCAGGAGAATTACTGAGCTCAGGATCCTTTTTTTTTTTTTTTGGTCTTCCGTTAATGGGCCACATAATAATAAGGAACTTGAATGGTGATTTTTGTACATCTTGAGTGGTATAAAATTTTTGTTTGTGTTTTTTTATTTTTATTTATTTATTTATTTGAGACAGAGTCTTGCTCTGTTGCCAGGCTGGAGTGCAGCGGCATAATCTCGGCTCACTGCAACCTCCACTTCCCAGATTTAGGTGATCCTCCCACCTCAGTCTCTCAAGTAGCTGGGACTACAGGCCAGCGCGAACACGCCTGGCTAATTTTTGTATTTTTTGTAGAGATTGGGTTTTGCCATGTTGCCCAGGCTGTTCTCAAACTCCTGAGCTCAAGTGATTCACCCACCTCGGCCTCCCAAGGTGTTGGGATTATAGGAATGAGCCACCGTGCCTGGCCTGTTTTTGATTTTTAAAAAGCAATAAAATGCCAAGAAGCAATTATGATGTCATTAGCCTCTGTTAATATAATCTTCCATCTAAGACATGTGTACATTGTTATATTAATTATTCCTTTTTTGGTTTTTTTGAGATGGAGTTTTGCTCTTGTCACCAGGCTGCAGTGCAATGGCGTGATCTCTGCTCACTGTAACCTCCACCTCCCAGGTTCAAATAATTCTCTTGCCTCAGCCTCCGGAGTAGCTGGGATTACAGGCACCCACCACCATGCCCGGCTAATTTTTTTGTATATTTAGTAGAGAGAGGGTTTCACCACGTTGGCCAGGCTGGTCTTGAACTCCCGACCTCCAGTGATCTGCCTGCCTCAGCCTGTGAAACTGCTGGGATTACAGGCATAAGCCACTGCGCCTGGCCTGTTAATTATTCTTTAAAAAGAATATATGTTATGTGATCTTGACTATGTAATTTATACATACACATACTAAGGCCTGTATGTTAATAAAGGGAGCTTGAGAAAGTGAGACAAGCATGAATCTTATTTTCCAAGCAGCAGAAATCCTCTCTCAGGAAATATTTCCTCTTGCTAGACGTTTATCTTGATGAGCCTTAGGGTGAATGGTGACGGTGCAATTGGTAGTTGTGATTTTTCCAGCCATGTGGCTTTTGTTTTGCTGACTGGGGGATACAACATGAGGTGGCAGTTGAATTGCCCCAAAGCATAGAAAGAATTGGGGATGCAAAAAAGGAGAGTAATATTACTATAGCTAATACCCCTTATGTGCCAGACACTGCTCTAAGCATTGTTTAAGTACTAACAATTCTGCAAGGTAGGTGCCATTATTATCCCCACTTGACAAATGAGGAAACAGAGACACAGAGAAGTTAAGTCGCTCATCCAAAGTTTGACAGCTAGTAAGTAGCAGAACTTGGTGATCAAACCAAGAAATTCCGGAACATGAATCTGTGCTCACAGCCATCACTATACTCCCCACTCCACCTCACTGCCCAGGAAGGAGAGCTAGGGGTAAAAGAGTGAGGAGAATGTGGAAAAGTTTCTGATGGATAGGATGTGATGTGGATTCTCTTTCATGTCTTGCAATAAGATCTTTTATAAAATATTCAGATGTCCTTCATGTGTTGTAAAGTTGAATTTGTTTTGTGGGTTACAGTGAAATGCCAAGTATGGGGCGTGTGTGTGTGTACGTGTGTGTGTGTGTGTGTGTACAAACAGAATGTAAGAATGCAGTTGAATCTGTGTAATTTTTTTCTCCTTTGCATTTTCATTTTCTGTAATATTCTATGGCTGAATGTATACTTTTACAATCAGAAAAAAATTATTTCTTAAAAATAAATGTATTGAATTTTATATTTGCCATATGATGAGTGCATTTAAAATGTTCATAGCAAATAGCCTGGAACAAAACTCATAAAAATGTAAGCAATGGTTATAACTAGATGGAAAAACTAGGGGCGATTTCTTTCTTTCCTTTCTTTACTAAATTTTCTAATCTTTTTGCAATGACCAGATGCCAATTTTGAAATGAAAAAAATACATAATTTTAAATAAAATCGAGAAGAATAATTTTAGATGCAATGAGCAATGGGACATTATCAAAGTGAAGTGGCATGAAGACAGTGGGTTTTAGAAAACTTTCTCTAATGGTACCAGAGTTGACCAGAACAAGGCGAGAAGCCAATAATTGAGATACTAAAGGTCCCGCCCTTCCAGCCTTGTCAGCTTTCCAGCCACAACAAGATATCCACGGCTTATTAATATATTCAACAAATGATTATTGAACAACAACCCTGGGCCAACAATGGGCCAGGCACAACAAACAAGAAAGAGTTTAGATTGAGTAGGGAAGATAAGCACTAAACAAGTAAACCAATGACTACACAGCTAATTTCAGATGATGGTACAGGATGTGAAGGGGAATAAATACCACACTGACCAGAAAATAGGTATGGGGGGCTGGTGAAGGAAGGTTTTGCTTTAGATAAGGGGCACAGGGAATTAAGGTTTTAGCTGAAGCCTGAAGGATAAGAAGGAGCTGTCCAGGCATTCCAGGCAGTAGGCACTGCAGGCACACATGCTGGGAAGAGGAACAGAAGGGACAAGGGGGTATGGGAATTGAGCAGGAGCCAGTCACATATGGTCTTGCAGGCCATGCAAAGGAATCCTTATTGTATTCCAAGCACAAGTAGAAGCCATTGGGAGGTTTTATTAATGGAATGACACAATCTGAATTGTGCTTTAAAAGTCACTCTGACTGCTCGTGGAGAATGAGTTGAAGAGGAAGAAGAGAAGTTCTGCAGAGACCAGTTAGGAGGTCAGCATGATTGCTGGTAAGAGATGATGAGGCTTGACTATAGCGGGGTCTGGAAAAGGTGACTCAGCTTCCTGTCTTTCAAAAAACTGCACAGTAGTTACCTCCTGCTTGAGGCTTTTCCTGACCCTTCCCAGGGGGCTTTGTGACTCCAGGGATCACTTCCTGTTGCAACTGTAGCACTGTATAGCACTCACTGTGTGCATATCCATCTCATCCTTATAAAAGGTAAGGCTCCTTAAAATTCTAACTGGTGCCTAGCACAGCAGCTGGCCCGTAGCAATAAGCAACAACTAGGGTATTGAGTGCCTATAACCTGCCAGACTCCCACTAAGCAATTTACATACTGTGATGGTTCATTTTAGGTATCAACTTAACTGGGTTAAGGGATACCCAGATAGCTGGCAAAGCATTATTTCTGGCTGTGTCTGTGGGGGTGTTTCTGGAGGAGATTGGCATTTGAATCAGTGGGCTGAGTGAGGAAGATCTGCCCTCACCCAGTGTGGCCAGGCACCAGCCAATCCATTGAGGGCCTGGACAGAACAAAAAGGCAGAGGAAGGCAAATTCTTGCTTTCTCTCTTCTGGAGCTGGGACTCCTTTCTTCTCCTGCCCTTGGACATCAGGCTCCACGAATTGCACCAACAGCCCTCCACGTTCTCAGGCCTTTGGCCTGAGACTGAGAGTTAGACTGTTGCCTCCCCAGGTTCTCAGCTCTTTGGGCTTCTCTGGGGCTCCAGCTTGCAGACAGCATATTGTGGGGACTTCTCAGCCTCCATAATTATGTGAGGCAGTTCCCCAATAAATTCTCTCTCATCTGTATAACTATCTATCTCTCCGTTTATCCTATTGTTTCTGTTTCTCTGGAGAACGCTGACTAATACACATTTATTGCATTATTTTAATCCTGTTAACAGCCTGATAAGGTAGGTATTTGTATTAGGCCATTCTTGCATTGCTATCAAGAAATACCTGAGGCTGTGTAATTTATAAAGAAAAGAAGTTTAATTGGCTCACAGTTCTGCAAGCCATACAGGAAGCATGGTACCGGCCTTTGCTCCATTTCCCGATAAGTTGCTCATTTCCATCTGAGACCTCAGCAGCCTGGACTTCCCTGTCCTTATCACTATCAGCATTTTGGTCACAACCATTTAACCAGTTTCTAGTTTCTAAGAAGTTCCAAACTTTTCCTCATCTCTCTTCTTCTGAGCCCTCCAAATTCTTCGAATCTTTGCCTGTTACCCAATTCCAAAGTGGCTTCCACATTTTTGGGTATTTTTATAGCAATGCCCCACTCTTTAGTACCAATTTTCTGTATTAGGCCAAAGAAATACTTGAGACTGGGTAACTTATAGAGAAAAGGTTTAATTGGCTCCCACTTCTGCAAGCTGTACAAACATAGCCCCAGCATCTGCTCAGCTCCTGGGGAAAGCCTCCGAGAGCTTTTACTCATGGTGGAAGGTGAAGAAGGAGGAGGTTCCTCACATGGCAAAAGCAGGAGGAAGAGCGAGAGTAGAGAGGGAGGTGCCACACTTGACAACAACCAGATCTCAAGAGAACTCACTCACTATCATGAGGACAGCATCACACCATGACAGATCAGCTCCCGTGACAAAAACACCTTTCACCAGGCCCCACCTCCAGATTTGTGGATTACAATTCAGCATGAGATTTGGGTGGAGACAAATATCCAAACCATATAAGTATTATTCTTTCCACTTTACAGATCAAAAACTGAGGTTTAGAGAAAATGAAAAATTCATGAACGTCACACAGATAGGAAGTAAAAGAGCATGGGCTTTGAATGCAGGTCTAGCAGGCTCTCAAGCTCAGGTCACTATTGAGCAGGGCATCAATAAACAGGTGTCAAGTGAACAAATGAAGAGATGAGGACCTGGACTAGGACACAGTGGATGAAACTAGAGATAAAGAACTGGCTACAAGAGAAAGCTCAAAGGAAAGTCTGGATAAACCTTTGTGTCTATTAACTGTGGGCAGTGAGCAGTCATCCAAGACAGCCTCAACATGGCCCCACCTTAAGACTGGAAGCACACAGGGACCTCCAGGACATGGAAGTGGGTGGGGGAGCTAATTTCAGAGAGAAAATGATATTTCTGGATCTCCTGAAGAGCTGTGATAAAAAGGTCAGGAAGAAAGGGAGAAGACAGCTTTGAGGAGATGGCCACCCACTGGGTCAAACTGTTTCCAGGTCAAGTGGATTAAAAACAAAAACTTTTTTTTATTACAGTGTGGTTTCTGAGGAACCCAAATTGCAATACCACCTAAGGTTATTTTGAAGCTTGATTACTTAAAAGGGCATCAAGTCTGAGTGAAGTGAGGTCATGGAGCCCATTTCCACCCCACCCGTCCTCCTCATGACAGCCACAGGGAGGAGATGGCACAAAACCATGAGGCTTCTGATCATGATGGGCAGATTTCCCCCAAGACCCAGGCAACTGAAGGCTCCTGAGGCAGATGGTAGCTCATCTAATAGGGGAGCCTCCCTCCAACACGCCACCAGAACATAACTGCACTCCAATTATACGGTTTTTTTGTTCTTGGACATTGCCCTGCAGGGAGCTATGTTTTAACCTTATAAGCACCCCCTGGGGAGAGCATGAGGGTTGATAGAAAATGTGTGATGTATAGGTCTCACCAGGTCCTCTTCATGATTTTCAGAGACATGTTCCCTGACTCAAATGCAGCAACAACTTGACAGTAGATGAAAATGGAGAGAGAAGAAAACAATTCATGCTCATGGCATAAGCAGAGGAAAAGGGAAAAAG
This sequence comes from Homo sapiens, assembly GCF_000001405.40. Classification (NCBI taxonomy): domain Eukaryota; kingdom Metazoa; phylum Chordata; class Mammalia; order Primates; family Hominidae; genus Homo; species Homo sapiens. Next base: position 223,150,871 of record NC_000001.11, on the reverse strand, counting down.
AGAATCACTCACTTTCTGATTATTGGAGTTGCCAGGCAGCACAATGAAGCTTTGCTAGTAGAAAAGTGCCTGTACCCTCTGCCATCACATGCCTCCCTTGGGACCAGAGCCCCTGGCCCGCTAGAAAATCTGAAGAATGCACAACCCTGTAATGCCATCCTGGCAGTGCTGCAGCTATGCCTGTAACTGCGATTTCAGATACGTGGTTCACAGAGGGGTGGACCTGCATCACTTCAACTGCTGGGCACTCATGAACAAAGTAGAAGGCACTCTACCTTGACGGGGGCTATGGAGGAGGAGGGGTAGGGAGAGTGGAAACAAGAATGTCCAGGAAGGACAAACAGTGGCTCACACCTAGCCTGTAATCCCAGTATTTGGGGAAGCTGAGGCGGGGAGATTGCTTGCATTCAGGAGTTGAAGACCAGCCTGGGCAACATAGGGAGACCTCGTCTCTACTAAAAATCAAAAAAATTAGCTGGGAGTGGTAGTGCTTGCCTGCAGTCCCAGCTACTTGGGAAGCTGAGTGAGGAGGGAGGATGGCTTGAGACCCTATCTAAAAAAAAAAAAAAATATATATATATATATATATATATATATATATATATATATCTCCACCAGGAAGAAGCAGCCAGCTCAGTTTCTGGGAAATGAAAAGCTTTGCTTTGGCAAAAAGAGAAAGGAAATTTTTTAAAAAGGAGAGAAAAAAGGGTGGAGAAAGGGAAAGCAGAAGGAAGAGAAGAAGGAAGCAATTGACATCCAACAGGGGATATTTCCACAACAACAGAAGGTTGAAATCTAGCCCTGAACAAAATGGACATCAATTCACCTAAGTGGAGTGTGAGCAAAGCCAAGTAGCTATTTCTTTCCTGACCTAGGGTATTGGCCAAAGGATTCTTCTGAGATTCAGTTATAAAACAGGAATTACACTGCTTTTGTCATATCCCTGAGTCCTCCAACTGTTTCATGCTGTCAAGTAATTGACAGTCCTGAGGAGCTCCAAAATAACCATGCCAAGAGGCTATTAGAAACATTCACTCCTCAGATCTGAGGCCAGCGGTAGACAAGGCCATCCTAGCTGTCCTCTCTATGGGTTCCTTTTCCGTGGAATGCAGCCAACTGGCCCTGGAGAGGGGACAACCAGAGTCACCCATAGTTTCTTCCAGGGCTTTCAAATTACATGACACATCAGTGGCACCACAGAACCCCAGAAGCCTGAAGCTGCCACAGAGAATGTCCACTCCCTACATCCCCAAAGCATGGTTCCCATGGGCATGATGAAGAACCAGGAGTCTTCGCCCTTCTTTGGGTCACTCTTTTGTTCCACACTTATTAAGCATTCATCATGTGTCATACCCAGAGCCAGGGATGTAAAGAAAACTCTGGAAAGAGCTCTGCTTTCTTGGAGCTCACAGCCTGGCAGGGGCAGTGAACAGGATCGAATTTAGATTCAAGGTGAAAAGTATAGCCAATGACATGAATGAGGTGCTACGGCAGCACAGGGTGGAAGTCGAGATTGATTTGAGCCAAATGTGCCAGGTAACAAAGTCAAGGAGGCTTTATTAAATCCAGGCAGGAGGTCAACTGGGTAGGGAAAGTATGTCATAATCCTATTTTAAAGACTTCACATGATCTCTATCACCTACTCTGCCCTTAGGTCATTGATGACCTGCTATATTTATTTTCTTCTATTGCATAACAAAATACAAGAAATTTATTGACATAAAACATTAGCCTTTTATTATCTCACAGTTACAAGGAGTCAGGAATCCAGGCATAGTGTGGCTGGGGTCTCTGCTCAGAGTCTTACAGACTGAAATCCGGGTGTTTGCTGGGCTGAATTCCTTCTGGAGCTTGGGGTTGTGGGCAGAAACCAGTTCCTTGTAGCTGTAGAAATGACATCCTATTTTGTCTTTGCTGGTTGGTGAGAGTCACTCTTAGCCTTTGAAGGGGGCCATGCGGCTAGGACCTGAGGTAAGTAGTTCATAACAAGGCCATTTGCTTCTTTGGGGCCAGCTGTGAATTACTAGACAGTCTGCTCAGATGGAGTCTCATATAACAGCACCTAATCAAGGGAGCAGTGATCCCATTATAGTCACAGATCCCACCCACAAAAATGGAGAGGGGTGCCAAAGATGGGAATCTCGAGGGCCATCTCAGAATCAGGTCTGCAAACCTGCAACTTGTCGCATCCAGTCGGGAAACTTCACTTCTTTTGGTATTTGACTCTAGAACAGTTGGCACCATTGGCCACTCCCACCTTGAAATTCATTCAATGACTCCTATTTATTTATTATTTTTATTTTTTATTTTTGGCTCTCACTATGTTGCCCAGGATGGAGTGAAGTGGCTATTTCTAGGTGTGATCATTGCACACTACAATCTTGAGCTCCTGGGCTCAAGCATGGGACACTGAGCCCAGCCCAGCTTATCCATTCTACTTTTGATGACCATTTGAGGGATCTCTAGTTTGGTGATTTGTATTAGTTATCTTGCTGTGTGACAAATCATGCCAAAACACAGTGGATTAAAACACCATGTATTATGTGACAGTTTCTGTAGATTGAGACTCCAGGCATGGACTCTTGGCTAGGTCCTCTGGCTCTGGTCTCTCACAAGACTGTAATCAAGGTGTTAGCTGGGGCTATGGTCTCATCTTAAGGCTTGAGCTGGGGATGATTCGATGCTGAATTCGCTTAAGTGGTTGTTGGCAAGAACCATTTTATCACAGGCTGTTAGACTGATGGCTTCAGTTCCTCACCAGCTGTTGGCAAGAGGCTTCCCTTGAGTCCTTGCCATATGGGTCCTTCCATAGGGCAGCTGACAATATGACAGCCAGCTTCATGAGAGCAAGCACGCAAGAGGGCCAGAGAGAGAGTGTGAGCAAGGCAGAAGTCACATCCTTTTGTAATCTAATCTCAGAAGTGATATCCCATCAATTTTGTCATGCTCTATTTGTTAGAAGAAGTTGCTGGGTCCAGTTCACACTTAAGGAGAGAAGATTACAGAAAGGCATGAATATCAGGAGGCAGAAATCTTAGGGAGCCATCATAGAAGCTGTCTAGTACAAAGGATATAACAAACAATGCTGCCTTACAGATTTTCGTATATATATTGTGGCATATGAGCATATCAGGTTATGCACCTAGGCATGGAGTTCCTAGGTCTTAGGGCATGTGAATCTTCAAGTTTCCATGACAGTGCCAAACTTCTACCAAGTGGTTATACCAATTCACATTTCCACTAGCAACAAGTGAGAATTCTGTTTGCACCATATCGTCACCAACACTTTTTATTGTCAGACATTTTATTTTTGGCCAATATGATTTATATAATATGTGATGTATTATAGCTTTAATTTGCATTTCTAAGATTTCTAATGAGGTTTGGTACTTTTTCATTTATTTATTGGTCATCTTATATTTCCTCTTTTATGAAGTATCTGCCTGTATCTTTTGTCCATTTTTCTACTGACTTTTCTTACTGATTTGTATGAGTTCTGAAGATAATCTGGATGCTTGGGCTGTGGCAGTTATATGTGTTGCAAGCATCTCTCTGGTTTTGTTTCCTATCTTTTTATTCTTTTAAATATGTCTTTTGATGAACACAAGGTCTTCATTTTAAGGCAGTTGAATTTATCAATCTTTTCCTTTATGAACTCTTGGACTAAGCCTGTCTTCTAGCTATTGTTTTCCGCCTATGTCTCCAACTGTCCCCCCATCTTTGATCCCCCCATTGTCTCCATATAAACATCTTTTCTATGCTCTGGACACATGACTTCAACTGCTCACTCGATGGCTCCACCTCCATATCCCACAGTCAGTCCAACACCAGTTTATCCCAAAATGAACTCATCCCTCCAAGTTCACCTTCCGCCACCCTACCACCCCTAGCTTGTATTTCCTAACTCCATGACTGACACAACTATCCACCAATCACAAAGCCAGTGTCTTGTGAATTTGCCCTGACTGCTCTTTCTCTTATAAGGATCCAGTTTTTCTGATTCTACAATCTAAACCTTGCCCCACTCTGTCTTCTCCTCTACATCTCCAGTGCCAGAATGTAAGTTCCATGAGACCAGGGACCTTGTCCAGCTTGTTCATTACCACAATATCAGTAAGGGATGGTGCTTAACAGCATGAATTTTGCAGCCCAATTACCTGATTCAAATCCTGACTCCATCAATTATTAGGTATCTAAGTAAGTGGAAGTTATATGACCTCTTCTCCCGCAGTTTCCCCATTGGTAAAATGGGGGATGATAATAGTACTGATTCATAGGGTTGTGGTGAGGGTTGAATCAGTTAATGCATGTATAGTATTTAGAAAAGAACAGGACACATGGTAAGCACTCAATAAATATTGACTATTAATATTATACCCTACCACCTAGCATGGGATGGGGTATAATATTATGCATCAAAATATATTTTAAGCATCAACAAATATTTATCATCAAAAAACTAACCATCAAATAATATATATCAACAGAGATGAATGAATGCCACTGCTTTAATTTAGACTCTTATTATCGTTGCTTAGACAATTGCTGTAGCCTCCTAACTGGGCTTACTTTCTGCTAACCATCCCATCCCCCATTCCATTCATTTTACACACTGCCATTAGGGTTATAACTTCTTGTCTATAAATATGAAGGTGTGGTGCCACTCCATTGCTTAACACCATCCAGTGGATCCCCAAGCCCTACAGGGAGGCAGAGCATAGCCCAGACTCCTCAGCAGAACACATGTGCATGAACGTGGGATCTGGTGATTGCCTACCTACCTCTTCAACCGCCTCCATCCTTCACACAACCTGCGCTCCATTTACCAAACCACTGGCAGTTCCCCAAATGAGCCACATTCCTTCATTCGTCTCCTGCCCAGAATGCCCTCCCTCTGTCCCGTCCAGGTGACAAAGTCATCTTTTTCTTTTTCACCAAGTCCCAGATATAGGCACTCCCAGGCAGAGTTAGATACCTATATTATTGCAGCATTTATCAAATTACACTATAACCATTTATTTACATGTCCAACCCTACTCCCCCAGGCTGCAAGCTCCTGAGAGCCAGATCGTATTTAGATTTGTATTTCTGGCAAGAAGCACAAGGGCTACGGAAGCTTAATACACATTTGTTGAATGGATGGTTAGTTTTAAGAAGTACCTAATAAACCTTGGTATTTGTATTTCCTTGAATCTTGTTTTGGTTGCTACCTTTTTTAATGGAAATAGTCACTACTGCTTATGTTTACAAGTTTATTGAGTTCTAATTTTATCTTTTAAGATAAAGATTGCTGATATCATTCATTCACTCATTCATTCATCAATAAATATTTATAGGGAGACACTTGTCAGATACTGGATTTGAAGTGAACAAATCAGACATGGCCCCTACCCTCGTGAGGCTTACAGTCTATTAAATCTATTAAGTATGAAGGACAGGCTGACCTTGAACCAATAAACATGTCCATGTAAAATCATAAATTGAAATGAGAGTTGTGAAGGAAAAGAATAGGTTATAAAGAGGAAGAATAATGGGAGGGACCTAATTTAATTAGAAGAGTTAGGGAAGTTCTCTTTGAAGAAGTTACATTACAGGGAACACTAAAATGTGGGTAGGAGTGAGCTACGCAAAGTCATGGAGAAAGAGTATTCCAGGTAGAAGAAATAGCATGCGTGAAGACCTTAAGCAAGTGGAAGGCAGCTGCTGAGGCTGGGGACTGGGAGGTTGGGGCTGGAAGCAGACAAGCCTAGAGAAGTTGTCAGGGGCTAGACGATGGGGTTTTGACCTAGAATATAAACTTTGTTTGTAGTTCATAGGGAAGACATTGAAGGTTTAATATATGGGAATGACGGGAACCTCTGGCAGGGCTCTGCCTGTGAGCATCACATAGCACCCCGAGGATGTGTTTGCTACTCTAGGTTTCAGTGGAGAAAAAAGCAAGTGACAACCCTTCTGTTCCTGCTCAGCAAAAGCTTTGATCACCAGCCCCCTTCCCCTGAATATACTGGAGAAAAATAACAGAAGTGCATTTCAAGGTCCACATGTGAGAAGACCCTAAGCTGTCCTGGCTGTTCAGGTAGAAGTTGTCATCTTCCTCAATGATCTCGGCTGTTGGAAGACATGGCCAGGCAGACAGAATCTAAAAGTTCTTCCAGGTGTGACATGAGTCCCTGGAGCTCAGTGACAGAAACCAGTGTCCAAAACCAGATGCCACCCTGGGGAGGGGGCTTTGGGAGTTCCTGGGAGGCCATAACACCGTCTGGAAGGCTCCTCTCTCCCACATATTCACAAAGTTGCATGATAAGCCAGGCCCCTGCTGGTCTTGCAGCATCCACCTATGATGCAGAGTAAACAGTGCCACACGTCAAGCTGTCCCCAACCTTGCCCTCGGTTCCACTACCAAAAGAGGGAACACTGGGCTTGCCCCAGCAAGGTGTTATTTATGTCAGGCTAGGGCCACTGTGGCTCCCAGCTCTTACTGCTTTCTAGGTGCCCTTACAGACTTCCCCACTGCCCCCTGCATATGCCAGAGTGTGAACATCCCCTCCCTCTCCACAGCCCCCACAGTGGGGTTCGGGTGGGCAGGGAGGTGGTTTCATCCCTCTACATACAGCCCTTGGAGACCTACCTAGGCAATTTGTCACTCAGGCTTCAAGCTGCCAGCCGAGGAGGGGAGCTGAGAAGACTCTATAATGAGATCTTTGCACTGTAATTAAGTGCCAGGCTTTGTTTTACACCTATCTTTCCCGCCTTGCCCGATCCCACCGCCAAGCTCCTCCAGGCAGTGAGTGGGGAGTGTCAGCTGCTCTGTGATTACACCCCAAGTGGCAGGTGGCAGGGAGCTCCTCCGCCTGCAGTCTGCGCCCCACCCCCAGGCTTCCCCCACCACCAGTCTTAACTCAAGACAGTGCTATTTCTGTCCTTGAACTGGGTTTCACCCCAGAAAGCCACTCCACCGCTTTCTCATAAGGCTACCTCCTTTTAACCCTGTGGTTGCACGGCCTCTGGGGTGTCCATTTCTTTCTTTTGACACGTCCCTTTTCCTGAAAGTTTCAGCAAACCCCATAGGCAGAGGGAGTTAGAAAAAGGAAAAGAGAAGTTAGGGCAGGAGGAGCACTGTTCTTATAGGACAGGAAGGGTCTGTCTTCTCTCTTGGGTCCTCCACACAAAATCGGAGCTTCCAAACACCCCAGCTCCCAAACATATGCAGCAGATTCTGCTGACAGGAATGTGTCACTGTGATCTTCACATTTTAGCCTGAAGTTTAGCCTACCTGAAGAAGCACCGGAGTGGGAGTGGGAGAACATGGGATGGTGCTTCTCTTTGGCCTGGCTGTGCTTTTGGACACTTCAGGTCTTCGGCCTGGGTTTCCTCCTCCGTACGATGAGGAGAGGATGGGAGGGGGCAATGCTGGCATGTGTGATCTCGATAGACACTGTGGAAGTCTGCAGAGACCGGAGCATAACCTCTGCCTCCTCTCCCCGGGCCTAGCCTCTCACAGCCCTCAGAGAAAACCCTGAGCTGCGGCGTGGCCGAGACGGGGGCGTGGCCTGGCAGGTGGGCGGGCCCTTCCGTGGGCGGGGCCGCGAGGTTTTCAGGAGCCCGAGCGAGGGCGCCGCTTTTGCGTCCGGGAGGAGCCAACCGTGGCGCAGGCGGCGCGGGGAGGCGTCCCAGAGGTGAGCGCCCTGCAGCGGCAGGGGATGGGCCGGGGGCCCTAAGTCGTAGGCAGCGCGGGGCGGGGACGCGGCTGCCTGCGGAGGTCGGACTCCTCTCCGCCCTCCTCCCGGGCTGTCCGGGTCTATTTTCCAGTCTATGTCCAACTCGCGCCGCCTCACTAGGCGGCGCTCTCTGCCCCGCGGCACCCGCGAGACGTGGGGTCCCTCGGCCCAGGGACGGGGTGAGCGTGTCATGTGGGTGCCCTGTGCCCGGCAGGTTGGAGACGAAGAGACCTCGGCACAGACGAAGTCACTCACATCCTCGCTTTGAAACAGAGCGGGTCCTTCTTGTGCTGTCTCGCTGTCACTCTCGCCCCCACCCTGTGGAAGAGGCAGGTGGCTTGTCCCCAGTCACTTTCTTCCTTGGAAAAGGGAGACAGAGGGCCATCTCCAGCAGGGCCATGGAAATCCCAGAAAGTCACTGAGCTGCTCAACAAAAGGCCCTAAACACCCCACCCCACAGCACCAGGCAGTGCACACTGGCCAAGACTCCGTGGTAAATATTGCTGGCCTTTATGTTGAGAGGGGGAAAAAAAAGCCTGCCTGTGAAGATCATTGCCCAGTGGCCATGCTCCTGTGAAAACACAATTGGAAAGCCATTTCCTAAGGGGCGAGGGTGGGTCTGGGACCATGCTGTGGCTTGGGTGATTGGTGGTTGCAGGAGTGAGGGTGCTGCCCTGGGAAGGCGCTGAGGCCCTGTTGGGTGGGAATCGACGGCTGCGGCTTTCTCCCGGAGGAGGGAGAGCGGTGTTGTTACCTAGTGTTGGGAACACATCCGTCCAGCACCGTGAACTGCAAACAAGCAGAGTAACCCTAGTGTCCTTCAGATACTGTTGCTGAGCAGTCACCTAGTCAATGAGATGATCTGTTTGGACGGCAAGTGCATCTGTAATGCCGCCCTCTTGCTCAGTGCCTGGAAGAGGCATTGGTGACTCCCCGCTAATGCTAGGGGTAGCTACCGTGCAGGAGCAGTCAGGCTCTTGCAGGGCCAATGTGGTTTCATCAATTTTCTCCTGCATTTACCCAGCCCCTCCGAATTCTGAGAAGTGCGTCCAAGATCTCTTGGACTCCTTGACTCAGTTCACCCTTGTTCTTGTGGGCAGAAAACAATTCCCAGTGTGCCATGCACAGCCAGTCAGAAGGGAAGCCCTGGAGCAGGGCCCTGGGAGAAGTTCTGTGGGGCTGGATGCTAATTATTCAGTTACTGGATTGTGGGGAAATTCCAGGGGAGGTCCCAGAGGAGAGACCGTGCTAAAGCTAATTACTAAGCAGTACAAAAATAATCTCTCTCTCTCTCTTTCTCTCTCTCTCTCTCTCTCTCTCTCTCTCTCTCTATATATATATATATATATATATATATATATATATATATGTAATTTTTTTTTTGAGACAGTCTCACTCTGCCGCCCAGGCTGGACTGCAGTGACACAATCTCGGCTGACTGCAACCACTGCCTCCAGGGTTCAAGCGATTCTCTTGCCTCAGCCTCCCAAGTAGCTGGGATTACAGGTACCCACCACTACGCCTGTCTAATTTTTGTATTTTTAGTAGAAATGGGGTTTCACCATGTTGGTCGGGCTGATCTCAAACTCCTGACCTCAGGTGATCCGCCTGTCTTGGCCTCCCACAGTGCTGGCATTACAGGTGTGAGCCACTGTGCTGGGCCAAAAATAATCTAAATTTCAACAATCAGCATGACCATGCCTGTGCGTATGACCCTAATTATCAGTCTGACTGATTCTTCCTTCCAAAATGATGGCAGAGGATCACCTCTTTGGATATTTACAGCTCTGAGCAAAGCAAAAAGCATGTAGGTGCCATTGTCTGAATGCAAAACCAGCCATGCCAGGTTTTCGGTGTTGTTTCTGAGGAGGGAGCGCCTCTCTGGAGGACGGTGTTTCCAGAACAGTGCCTCCGTTGTTCATTCCCGTGCATCAGGAAGTTTGGCTCTGCTGAGTGTTGAAAGCAAAACTCTCCTGTTTATTTGTCTCTGTATACTAACAGACTTAAACAGCAGACAGCACTGGAATGTCCAGTTACTGCATCCAGATGTGTTTGTTTCACTCTTAACATTGTGGAAAAGAATGCAGAAGGCAGATCCAAAGCTTCAATCAGATTTCTGAAGCTTAAGTGATTCCCAGCCTTGGTCCCTTAATGTGAGAGCAACAGCGTATAGTGTCTTCCGCTCTCTGGGACAAACCCAAGTTTGAGGCATAGTCCCTGCTGTCCAAAAGCTCCTAGGTCTAAGTAGGAAGACAAAACCAGCACCTGTGAAACAATTAGAGCGCAATTAAGTGCGAAAGTATGTGGCAGCATCTGCTAGCTCAAAGAAGACAGCTAGTGCAGACTGACTGGGAAAGGAAGAGAGAGCTTCACAGAGCCAGCTGGTGTTCAGCTTGACTTAAGAATGACCATCAAGGGCTTGGCCAGGCCTAGGAAAGGAAGCATGAGGATATATGAAGCTCAGAATAATGAAAGGCACTTGCTGCCCAGAGCCAATTCAAATTCCTGCCTTCCGGGAATTCTGGCTGTGGGTCCTGCCACTCTCTTCCTCACCCAGCCATGATGCCCTTCTTATAGCATTCTAACCATGCCTTTTTTTTTTTTTTTGAGACAGAGTCTCACTCTGTCACCTAGGCTGGAGTGCATTTGTGTGATCTTGGCTCACTGCAACCTCTGCCTCCTGGGTTTAAGTAATTCTCCTGCCTCAGCCTCCCAAGTAGCTGAGACTACAGTCACGTACCACCATGCTCAGCTAATTTTTGTATTTTTAGCAGAGATGGGATTTCACCATGTTGGCCAGGCTGGTCTCGAACTCCTGACCTCAGGTGATCCACCTGCCTTGGCCTCCCAAAGTGCTAGGATTACAGGCGTGAGCCACCACACCCAGCCTGACCATGCGTTTTTTGTGTGCCTCCTTTACTTTATGCCTACTCTCCTATGCTCAAAATGCTCTGCTGACCAATCCCCTACATTTTTTAAGAAGCAGCTCAAATGGCACCTTCTCCAGTGAAGACTTCCCTGGCAGGCCCCTACCCGAGTGTTTGAGCAGAGTTGGAGGGTTTCTCCTTTGTTCTCCATTGGTCCTTGCATAGACCTCTGTTGAAGCTCCGTATTGTCCATAGGAGTTAAGGGATCTTTGACTCACTCACTGAAGCAGAGCTGTGTCTCACTTACATAGGGCTCCCCTGAGCCGAATTTGGTGTCTGGCACATAAGAGGCGTTTGATAAATGATTCTTGATTGAAATTCAAGCCCTTATAGGTAACAGTGAAGTGCCCCACCAACTTGGAGTAGAAGGCACAGGTTATGTGTTACAAGGAGTCTCAGATTGGATAAATTAGATGGAGCCAATTCCTAGAGGCCTTGAGGAGTCTGAGTGTAATGCAGTGGTGGTGCTCAAAACTCAGAGCACCCCCTATTGCCTTCACTATAGAATTCTAGAGTCTTCTTGATCTGCCCCCAGCATATCCTCTTTAGCCTCATCTTCCACCAGCTCCCACCTTGAGCCCACAAATCTACCTTCTGAGCCACTGCAGCCCCAGGTAGCTCCCCAGGCCTAGGCTCTCTCTTCTCCTTTGTCCATGCTGTTTGGCAGCCTTGGCCAGGAATGCCTACTGCTCTCCCTAGCTAATTCCTGATCATTAATACTCCAGATCTGAATCCCCTATGTGCAGAGGCCCCTCAGGCTGGGTTTTCAAATTCTCCTCTGTGCTCCATAGCACCCTGCACAGCCTCTAACAGCATTTATCACACCCTCTTATGGCTGCTGGTTACTTGGCCATCTCCCTGCTGGGATGGCTCCCTGAAGGCAGTGATTGAGTTAATCCTTGATGTATCCCCCATCAGCTAACATTGTTCCTAGGAGATGGTGTCCAATAAGCATTGGATGGTAGGCTGAACCAGAGTGATAAAAATATCAAACGAAGGACAAATCTAGAGACATCTGGAAGGGGAAAACTAGAATTTGGTGATGAGTTATATAAAGAGAGTGTATTAGTCTGTTATCACACTGCTAATAAAGATATACCTGAGTCTGAGTAATTTATAAAGGAAAGAAGTTTAATTGACTCACAGTTCCACATGGTTGGGGAGGCCTCACAATCATTGTGGAAGGCAAGGGGGAGCAAAGTCACATCTTACATGGCGGCAGCCAAGAGAGCATGTGCAGGGGAACTCCCATTTATAAAACCATTAAATCTCGTGAGACTTATTCCTTATCACAAGAACAGCACGCAGAAGACCTGCCCCCAGGATTCAGTTACCTCCCACTGGGTTCCTCCCTCAACACGTGGGGATTATGGGAGCTACAATTCAAGATGAGATTTGGGTGGGGACACAGCCAAACCATATCAAAGAGTAAGGGACAAGGTTTTTTCAAACCTATGAGGCAGGTGGAGATGGTGTGCTGCAGGTGTAGGATTCCCTGGCCTGGGGAGAAGTCCACTTATATGTCTCTGAGTACTACGCAAAAATTTTTTTGTTTCCTGGAGGATTTTCAAAATTCAAAATATCAAGTCACTTTGAGACATATTGAGTCTGATGTTAAAAAGGAAATGTTCTAGAGTCAACTGAAACACACACTTTAAGTACAAGTGAGGTCAGGCCTAGAGAAAGATTTTGGGAGCATAGTGGCAACAGTTTAACTTGTGAAAGCAAATGTGGTCACTGATGGAAGAAGCCTGAAGCAGAGAACAAGGTCTTGGGGAAACCTAGAAGCCATGGGGGTGGGAAAAAGAAAAGTATCTGTTGGAAAATAGAATGATAGAAAGATAGGGAAAAAACTAAGGAAGCCAAAGGAAGAGATATTTCAAGAAGAAATAGGTGGCCAAAGCTGCCCAATGCTAAACAAAACAAAACAAAACAAAACAAAACCCACAAGGAGATTCATAGAAGAAAGAGGCTGGGTACAGTAGTTCATGCCTGTAATACCTTGGGAGGCCAAGGTAGGAGGATTGTTTGAAACCAATAGTTCAAGACCAGTCTGGGCAACATAGTGAGACCCCTCCACCCCCACCCCCACACACAAAAATTATCTGGGCATGGTGGCACATGCCTATAGCCCCAGCTACTCCAGAAGCTGAGGTGGGATGATCACTTGAACCCCGGAGTTCAAGGCTGCAGTGAGCTCTGATCGCACCACTTCACTCCAGTCTGGGTGATACAGTGAGACCTGGTCTCAAAAAAAAAAAAAAAAAAAAAAAAAATTTAAAAAGCCAGACCTGAGGAGGTTAAAGAGAGGCTAGTTACTGAGTTACTGGGCAATGGAAACATTGGGTGGGGTTTTTAGACTTTTTGTCTGAGGAATTTGGCCATAAAAGAAAGAAGGAAGGAGGGGTCTGCTCAAGAGAAGACTTTCTGTTTGTTTTATGGTAAGAGAGATCTGCCTCCCTTTGACCACACTAGGGAAGGAGCTCATTTATGCTAAAGGAATATGGATAAATATTCATATTGTTCACTTGGTTATATTTCATTTAAACCTTCCTCTCCTCCTTTCCTGTCCTCTGCAAGTGCCCCATAGAACTTTCCTTCTGGGGAATTGCCAAAGTCATGGTATTGCTAAATCCAGTGACAGGGTGTTGCAACACAGAAATCATTGGTTCTCACTTCACTGGCCTGTAATGAGACTCCCTCAAATGCTTCCAAACAACTTTCCTTCCTAATAGTGCTAGTCAGGCATTTTCTCTTTTACTGTGCACAAATTAATAACACAGTAAAAGCAGCAATAATAGCAAATGCATAGATAGCAGTTACTCTGAGCTACAGACTATTGTGAGTACCTTTGAGGGGTAAGTGGTGAACCAGTATTCAAGCTTAGCATATTTGTCTTCAGGGTCCATGTACTTAAACCACTATGCTAAATTCAAGATAAGTAAGTTTGTATTTTACCATAGATTGATGTTCATGTTCCTGACACTACTACAAGATTCATACTCCTGATGCTACTGACAACGTGGCTTCTCCACAGTCACCAAACCAGGTATCTCTCTGGACCCAGGTTCACTGTGGGTTGGACTAGCTTTAATAGTCAATAAGGCCAGGGACAATGGCACACGCCTGTAATTCCAGCACTTTGGGATGCTGAGGCGGGCACATCTCTTGATCCCAGGAGTTCGAGACCAGCCTGGGCAACATGGCGAGACCCACTTCTACAAAAAATAGAAAGATTAGCTGGGCATGGTAGCATGTGCCTGTAGCCCCAGCTACTTGGGAAGCTGAGGTGGGAGGATCACCTGAGCCGGGGGAGTTCAAGGTTGTGCCATGATCATGTCACTGCACTCTAGCCTGGGTGACAGAGTGAGACTCTGTCTCAAAAAAAAAAATTTAAAAAACAGTCAATAAATAATTTGATAGTCAACAAGCAATCTGCCACATGCAAAGTATTGCAAGGGACCAAAAAATATAAGCTATATGTCCCATCTCATTTACTCTTCATAACCATCCCATTTTACAGTCAGGGAAACTGTCTGGATTTGAACTCAGAAGACCATGATAAAGGCAAAATCAGAAGTCACTTTTAGTCCTGAGTTTCTGGGGTCTGAGATTCCTCCTCATCTTGGTCAGAGATATAACTGGGTTCAGATAGCTTCAAGACTACCTTTTCTTTTATTTCCCAACCTGTGAACCAAAAGGGTAGTGAGTGTGAATCTCTAGCATGCACAGATGTGCAAGAAATACTGCCTCTCCTCTATTTTCTAGATATTAATATTAGTTTAGAGCCTTCATCTCATCTGGCCAGCAACCATAGAAATCACCCCAGGTTGTGTCACTGTGTCACAATTTCAGATCTCTTATGCATTGCCAAGATCCCAGGGGCTCGGGTGCAGGTATCTCCTGCTCCCCCATCTGGTCCACTCGGGTTACCACTGAAGGCACTCTTGTGCCTGTCTTGCCTAGCAAGTCCTCACTGCTTCCAGACCACATAGCTAACTCACTGGGGTCCTGCCAGAGTCCTGTCTTCCTGGTGCTGACAGACCCCTTTTCCCTTCCTGTCTTCCTGTTTCTAGAAGCATGTCTCTCTGCTTTACCCATCAGCACACCCCACCCCTCTTCCCCCAACTTGGCAAAGACTTTGTGTCCCCAACCTAAGGCCCTGTTTGGAAAATCAAAGCCAGAAGAACTTGCAGGCTATTCCTGGTAGGGTTCTGACATATACCTGCCCTGGACCAATGACTAGGGAGCTGGCTACAGAGGTGGAGGTGAGCCTAGGAAAGCAGAAATACAAGGAGAGGGGGAAAAAAAAGTCAAATCTCAAAATATCTAGCCGCAGACATAAGCTCCTCTGAGGGTAATTTCTTGAGGGGGGAAAAAGTTGCTATTTAAAGCTAGGATATATGTGGTTCCATTTTTTTCATCGGTACATTAATAACATCATTTTCCACTATGTATCTTCAAGATCCGGTGTAACAGCCTTGCAAATTTGCCAGAATGAAGAAGGAATGTTCTGCTTCAGGGAGGATTGGCCCTGGTCTATGATTGCTGTCATGATGATACTCAGCAAGTTTCCTTAGATAACTTCAGAGTTAACAAGGATTTAAAAATGCTTCCATTTCAAACTCACCGTTATACATATGCAGAAACTGAGGACAATGAAAGTTAGAGTTGTCTAGGATACCCAGACTGTGGCTGAAGGAGGACTAGAACCGATATTTATCCTCTCCCAGCCCAGCATTTTTGCCATGGTCTCATGTATCTCGAAAGTAACCACCACTAGCAAGTTGGAGCCAAATCAACTAGCTGACTCCCTGCCCTGACTCAGAATGGAGCATAGCCACCCTGGGCAGCCTGCCCAGGCAGATTCCACATGCAGTAAACCTCCTTCGGGTCCCAGGACACTGGGCACAGGGTGGGGACCTGTGCTTCCAGCAGGGGTGCGCTCCCCAGCCTCACCTGTCCCTGCTTACAGTCCCTCAGGCAACACCAGTGAAATCATCTTCCTCTCAGGGCATCCTCATCCTGGCCTGAGTGCCCCCCACCTTTCCTTCTCAACCTCTTCAGGGCTTACCTTGCATCAGGGGGTGTCTCCAGCAGCTGCAGGGTGCATTGGATTTTATCTGCCTGGGAAGCTTTCTCTTGATTCCTTTGCTAGCCCAGCACAGACTACACATCCCTCTCAGAACAGTTCTCAAGTGTTTGATACTCTCTCTTCACATTCCCATTTCGTATCTAACTGATCAGGTTAATAGGGTTCCTAGTTGCCGGTCACCACCCCCACCCCAGCTGTTTCCAATTTACATCACACTCCAAATGATTTTTGCAGCGCTTAGCAGATTGTCTGTGTCATTACTTTCAGGGATGCTATACTGGACTTCCCTACTCTCATCTGCTCCAGCCCCCTGACCTTATAGTTGCCCAGCTTTCCTGGCAATTGACTTTGCCCATCAATACACAGGATTTAGCATCCAGGGAAGATGTCGGAGCCTCAGATGTTAATTTTCTAATTGAGAATGTTGGCGCTGTCCGAACCTGGAGACAGGTAGGGATGTTCACTTTCTGGGCGAGCCACCTTTTCCCGACGATTTTAAATGTTGTGCTAGTTGTTCGTTTTTAATAATCACTAAAAATTATTTCTTTCAATCAGATGCTTTAAAATTGTGTGCTAAAGAGTTATAATGTGCAAACAACGGGGAAGCCATTCTGTACCTAAACCATGTGTTTTCAACATAACTTTTCAGAGTATCAGCGCCTTTGCTTGCTGCTGTTTTTGCTGTTTTTTGATGCTGGGAACCACCACCTAAAGATAGTAAAGAAAACACAGGAAGCTTTCCGGTAACTCATGCTAAAGAAACACAAAATCACCCCAGTGCCTTGAGAAATTTCCTTTCCCTCTCTAACTTTCCCCTTCAGTGTTCTAAAGGGAAGGCGTTTCTGGTAAGGTGTAGTTGCGTAAATGATGGCTGCCTACTTCAGCAAGCAAGAACTGTTGGAGTATTAAGCATGGGTAACTGGATATTCTGGTTTGGGCACTGGAGGATCCCTGGAAGCCGGAAGCAGGCTGTTGCTGCCGGGGTAGGGGCGGCGGGGGTGGGAGGTAGAAACTTATTGCTGTGATTTTATAGGCAGTAAACTGATGCTTAGAGAGGTTCAGCACTCGCCCAAGCTCACACACCTACTAAACTGTGGAGCTAGGATTTGAATCCAGCTACAAATTTAGTTGTCATTGAAATGTCTAAATGCACTCTACTGCGCAAGCGATAGGAACTTCCCAGCGGAGCTCAGCTCAGGGACGCTTGCAGCTCCCCGCGCCCCGCTCGACTCTCCGGCCGCGGCTCCGCGGGCTCCTCCCCCTCGGTCCCTGCCCCTTTTGCGCCCTCTGCTGGTCTCTAGGGAAAGCGCATCTCCTGAAATCAGAAGTCGCACCCAAGCTGTCCCGTTTCCTTAGCTCCTAGTAAAGCGATATGACCCATCCATCCCCTCCTCCTCAAAGCCTCACATGAATCTTCTTTGAGGTACTCTCTGATGCTTCACTCTTCAGCGCTGAGAAAAATGGGGAGGAAGGGGAAGTGAATGTATTAGTATAGCCCCTTCTCAAAACCAATCGTGCAGCATCTTAGCCATGCCTTATCCTGGAAGAACGAGGCAGCTCACGTGGGCATGGGGGTAATGAGCAGGGAGGCAATTACAGACTCTTAGGTTCTCACCGCTAACAGTGTGGTCAGTGGACCAGCAGCAGCATCACGTGGGAGCCCGTTAGAAATGCAGACTCTCAGGTCCTTCAGCCACAGCCCTGATGAATCAGAATCACCGTTTCAAGGAGGTCTCAGGCGGGCCGTTTCAGGTTCCGAGCTCGCTTTGAGGCTCTGTGGATGTTTTGCAGCATATTCAATTTTGTTTTGTTCAAAGGTCACAGTGACAACTAAGTTTGCAGCGGGATTCAAATCCGAGCTCCACAGTGTAATAAATGTGAGATCTTAGACAAGTGCTTAACCTCTCTGAGTTAATCATCTATCAAATAATGAAAAGCACTATAAGCCAACTCTTCAACTTTCAGGACATTGTTCACCCGAAACCCGAAATCCAATAACTGTGCACTGTCTTCTAACACAGCCATAATTTACCTAGATGTACCGCTTAGAAATGTCTCACTCTCATAGTGACCTTAGTTCTATCTGTCCCTAGAGAGCCGCAAGACCATTTTGTCTGGAAGTTCTCTGCTCACTGGACAATAGGGACAGTGGAATTGTCCTCATCCTTGTGCTTGAGTCTTTGGAAACCAAATGACCCCAGAAATGTCATGAAAGAGATTTTTAGGTCCCAGAGGAACTGAATGGCTTAGACACCCACCTTCTGAACAAGAGGCTGGGCCAGAGATTTCTCAAGGTCCCAACTTCAACCTTGGTGTTCTGTCCGCCTTGATTTACAAAATGGTCTTGATCTTTTCCAATTAAAATTCCATTTAGTAGAGATACACAGAAAGTTTGCAATTCTTCCACAAGAAAACTGCTGTATGGCATAGAAAAATATCTACATAATATTTTTTGTTTCTTCTTCTTAATTAGCTTTCCTATTTTCCCTTAGGAAAACAAAAAGTCCTTTCTCCTGATTCACCAAAAAATAAAATACTGACTACCATCACTGTGATGAGATTCCTATAGTCTCAGGAACTGAAGTCTTTAAACAACCAGGGACCCTCTGCCCCTAGAATAAGAACAT
The DNA here is from genome assembly GCF_000001405.40 of Homo sapiens. Lineage (NCBI taxonomy): Eukaryota > Metazoa > Chordata > Mammalia > Primates > Hominidae > Homo > Homo sapiens. The sequence continues at coordinate 223,132,504 of NC_000001.11, read as the reverse complement.
ACTAGAAGTCCCTTCTGCTAGGACAACGAGGTAAGTGCTTCTGGTAAAAATGTGTCATAGTGTGTCTGTGTCTGTGTGTGTATGATACGTATATAAATATATGCATATTTGTACATATATATATACATATGTACAAATATACATACATATAAGGTCTCTCTGTCGCCCAGGCTGAAATAAAGCAGTGTGATCATAGCTCACTGCAGCCTCAAACTCTTAGGCTTAATGATCCTCCTGCCTCAGCCTCCCAAATAGCTCAGACTACAGGTGCACACCAGCATGCCTGGCTAATTTTTCTGTTTTTTGTAGAGACAAGGTCTCACTATGTGGCCCAGGGTGGTATAGAACTCCTGGGCTCAAGCAGTCCTCCCATCTTGGCCTCCCAAAGTGCTGGGATTACAGGCATGAGCCACCATGCCCAGTCCTGTCTTCAAAATATTAATGGAGAAAAATATTGCTGGGGTACTTAAGTTGTGCCAGGTACTACAGGGGGATCCTGCATGAATGAAACTGAGTGCCTGCCCCTCAAGACTTACAATCTAGTGGAGAAGGCATAATATAATAAAAATGCCATGATGGAAATGTACCCAGAATACCAGGGGACGGAGATAAAGAGTGCATATAGGCCAGGCATGGTGGCTCATGCCTGGAATCCCAACACTTTGGGAGGCCGAGGCAGGTGGATCGCTGGATCCCAGGAGTTCGAGACCAGTCTGGGCAACATGGTGGAACCCTGTCTCTACAAAACAAAAACAACAACAACAACAACAAAAATTAGCTGGGCATGGTGGTACAAGCCTGTAGTCCCAACTACTTGGGAAGCTGAGATGGGAGCATCACTTGAGCCCAGGAGATTGTGGCTGCAGTAAGCCCTGATTGCACCACTGCACTCTAGCCTGGGTAACAGAGCGAGATCTTGCCGCAAAACAAAAAAACAAAAACAAACTAGTGCACATAGAAGTGTGAGAAGTGCATGTAGAATTCTCATGGCAGAGGTGGCTTCTGAGGTGGCCTTTGACGGGGGAGTTGGAATGGGATGAGCAGATGAGACATTCACGAGCATTCCAAGCCCCAGGACCAGCCTAAGCTGAGAGAATGGGGATGAGGGCAGACTCTGAGAATGGCAAGTTAGATCTCGAGCACAAGGCAGTGATGGGATGCCAGTGTAGATACAGCCAGGAAGGCAGGGTGGCTGGAGTTTCCTGCTCTGTGAAATGAAAGGGTTCAAGCCCTGAGGGCCTCTCTAGTCAACCATTCCAGAATTCACTTAGAGTCTGTGGTGGGGACCCTGAGGTCATCCTGAAGAGTTTGAGTGATATGAGCATGAGGAGTCAGTGAAGACTTCTAATCAGAGTCATGCCCTAGGAAGCCCCCTCAGATAGTAAGTGAGGGGTGTGTGTGTCAGGGTCAGGCTTACTATGGGAGACTAGCAAGGTGGTGTCTCCCATATCTAGAGGGGAGGCAGTGGAGCCTTGCAGCCAAGCAGTGGCTGCAGAATTGGAAGAAGGGGAATGGATGCTGGAGGCATCCTGACGTGAAATTCACAGAACTGGCCACCAACAGCATTGATGCCCTGCTTAAAGCTTCTTCCAGCTGGGAATTAAGGAAACCAGAATGACCTCACCCTCCTGGTTAGATTTTAAGGATATATACACTAAAGACAGAAATAAGGATCCATGAGCAAAGATGAATATCAGGCAGTGTCTGACCAGTGAGAAAGGTCTCAGAATGGCTATAGCCCTAAATGCTCTGAATTTGGGGGAAATGCTACAAAGATGCAAAATGATTTTTCAAGCTCTGTTCAGATAAGGAAGAAGGAAGCAACAAGCTCACTCTCAGAAGCAGATGGTGCAATGGTATAATACTAGCAGATAACCACTCCCTGGCAGGAGAGAAGTGATGGCCCAGGTAGGAGAGAAAGAAGCAAGCAAGTGACGTGGGGCTGTTCTGAATCTGCCCAAGTCCTTCTCAGACCGGCCCATCCAAGGAACCCAGAGAACTGGCAGAGGAGCCCTCTGCACCTGGCAGCCTTTTCTGCAGGGCCACGAAGAGGGAGGGAGGCACCAGGCAGGATGTGAGCAAATTCATTCATTCAGCAGATATTTGCCAACATAATACATTCTAGGTGCTGGCAACACAGTGAGTCAAAGAGAACCAAACAATACCTGGCCTCTGGAACAAAATTCTGATTCACAAAAAGGGACACAGGTGGGCTTTTAAACCACAAACCAGCGAGCTTGACAACAACTGTGGACAAATTTCTAGAAGAGGTTTAGTAGGTGGTCTGCAGCTCTGTGGAACGGTGCGGGGATCCCTGTATGTCAGCTTGTGTTTCTGAATGGCCAGTCACAGAGAACTCAGCTTGTTTCCATCCTGACAGGGTTACCCTTTTCTAGCAACTCTAGGAATTTGGCAGGGCATTTGATAGTCTCTCAGGGTACGCCCCAGCCCCCACCCATTGCTAATGGAATAAAGACTGCACATAAAAGTGCACATAAAAGGGAAATTTAGGCTACACTTAATAGACGTGCTTTGTATTATGGAATCATAAAGACCTAGAGAGGCAAACAGACCCTAATGAGACCACCGGGCATCAGTAAATAAATCAACCGTTCTGCAGTGCACAGAAACCTCGTGTGCTGATTCTCTGAGTCCTCTTTAGAGAACAGTAGTTAGTTGTCAGACGTTTAGCCCGCTGTGTTAATCCCTGATGCTAATGACTGTTGCTGCTCAGGCGTGTGATGGCTCTGAGGAGAAACCTGGGTAGGAGCTCGCTTTCCATTTTGCCCGCATGAACGGACTGCCTGTTCCTGGCCGTGGAGTGCATTTTGCACTCACGTTTGCACGAGTGAGCTGCCCTCCCTCCCTGACCTTGTTGGCCTGAGTGTGACTGCCTGGGGCCCAGTCACACCTCCCTGACCCCAGTTTCCTCTCCCAGTGGCGCTGCTGGGTGCTGTTCCCCGGGACTGCGGCAGAGCCCTCCTCGCGGGCCTGACACGGTGTCCGGCCGCACGGATGACCGGTAGAGGGCAGCAGCGCGCTCCGGGTCGGTCGGGAGCAGGGCCTTCCTAGTCCAGAAACCGCGGCAGGTCCGCTGCTGAGGGCCAGGGCCTGGTGGGCTAGGGGCAAGAGCAACGTGGTGAACCGGTGGGCTCACTCTGCAGGAAGAAGAGAAAGAGGAGACGTGGAGAAGTCGTGCTGACCACATGGCGTATCGGACACTGCACATTTATGTGGGCCCCAATGTGCCTGGCGCATGGTTTCTGCGACAGGAGCCCAGCCGTCAGGTGTAGACGTGCAGGAGGCTGGCAGATGGGCTAGAAAAGCAAGGAGGCTCAGCACTTGGAGGTGTCGAAAGAGGGTTTGAAGAGAAAGCCCGGAGTGCCTGGAATGGTGGGGAGGCATGAAGAGGCTGACACCATGAAAGGCAAGGACAGTTCAAGGGCACTTTCAAGGCCTTCAGGGAATGGTGCAGAGAAGTGAGCGCGCGCAACAGCTGGAGAGGGCGGTTGTGAGGAAGGTCGGAGAGAAGGCCCTCCTGTCACTGGCAGAGGGTCTTGACTGCAAGTTGTCCAGGTTCTTGGCGTTTTGAACAAAGAATTGGACAAAATACCCAGCAAAGCAAAAAGCAACCAATCGGAGGCTAGGAAGAAGCTACAGTTATATTCCTATGCAAATGAAGACTCGACAGGCCATCAGTCTGATGGGTTGTGGACAGCAGTCATTCAGAGGCTGGAGTGAACTTACAAAGTTGCAAATGAAGACTCACCTGCAGTCAGTCTGATTGGTTGCGGACAGCCAATTTCCCATCTGCCACACAGAAAAGGACAAAGGGAGTAGCGTCTGGTCCTTTTGTTACTTATGCATGGAAAGTTAGGATTTTCCTTTCAATTTAGTTCTGGGAAGTCGGTGTGAAACAGACTTAGGTTCCCTGCCTCCAGACCCTATTCTACTGCCTCACTCCCACATTGTTCCATTGTCAGGAATAAACGACTCTGGGGGTAAGGTGGACCTCCAGATGACGACGAAGGTAGAAGGGGAGGAGAGGCTGAGAGGCTAACCTGCCACTGGGACCCAGGGCCAAGGCCCTTTGTGATTGAGGGGAAGTGACCACAGATCAGCAGATGATGACTGAGAGATGGGCTGGAGCAGGACCGTGGTCCGGTCCTGAACAACACATGCAGCCATGCCCAGAGATGCTAGGCTTAGAGGCTAACATGCAGTAGACAGCTGCGTGGCCTTAAGTTACTTAACATCTCCGGGCTTCAGTTTCCTCATCCGTAAAATGGTACCTACAGTAATGGTACCCAGTAATAGTACCTACAAAAGACTGGGAGGATGAGGGAAGGGAGGGAGCTCCCAGCTGTGTGGGGAGGAGCATACGGGCGAGGGTAACCCCCCATATGGTATTATAGGGATTTGCGTCTATTTCTGTCCTCCCTCCAGACTCTAGCCTCATGGTTCTCAGACATGGGTATGCATCAGAATGACCCAGATGCATTAAAAACACTGCCAGGTCCCAGCCCCAGAGCTTCTGATTCAGCGGGGCTGGGGTAAGGCCCAGTAATTTGCATTGCTCGCTAAGCCCAGGTGCTGCTGCTGCTGCTTGTTCCCGGACTGCACTGTGGGCACCACTGCTCTGGAGTCTGCAGAGCTCCAGCAGGGACTCCTGTTGAGGAGAGACGGGCATATAGTGGGAGCCCAGGCCTAGGACGAGTAACTCTAGGACAAACAAAAATTCCAGATACAGTGCAAGAAGAGGTAGTGATGAATGAAAAAGCGATCACTCCAGCAGAGCTTTCAAGTCATGGTGGTTTATGAAGGGAGTTAGAATTGCACCTGGGGAGCAAGTGCTGAGGTTAATGGCAGTGCAATTCCCCGTCTGTTTTATTGGAACTGTTGTCAGAGGCAGAATGCTGGGCTGGAGGGACTGTGGCCCTAGCAATGTTTTGGACTTGACAATGCCCATTTGTTGGGCATGGTTCCGGTGGGATGCTGTATTATGCAGCTAGAGAATGTATTTGTCCTGGAAGAGTTCACTTTGTTCACTGCCCTCGAGCCTTTATCCAAGGCTAAACCCACATGCTGTACCTACTTTTGGAATTGGTCCAGGAATTTTATACCTGTGTGAATTTGGAGAAACTCTCTCAGACACCCATTTGGAAATGCATTAGTGTTTTTCTCAGTGAGTCCTCCATGCTTGCTGTTCCAATGGCCCTCCAGGTTTGGGCCCAGCACCTGCCAGGAGAAGCATTCCCTCTATAGCTTCCACCTGACCACAGCCAGCCCAAGCCCTGCTCAGAACCCCAGGCCTGCCAGCGAGCCTGTGACTGGAATTATCTATTAGGGATCAAGCATTAACTTGACACAGGAGCAGCCCTGGCTCAGCTGGAGGCATCCGCATGCTGTGGTGCCCCAGGAACAGAGGCACCCCTGAAATGCAAGCTGTGTGTTTGCTGCAGAGACACCATGGCCCATAACTCCCCAAGCATAAGTGAGCAGCTCTGCTGTCCAGGCAATGAAGTCAAGAAAGGGAACCAACCCAGCTAATGGCTGGGATTAAAGCTAAATGAATTCAGCTCAAATGAAAGGGATACTGACCCTTCTCCCTCTGGCCTCATTAACTTAATTAACAGTGCTTGGCAGGAGTATTGAAGCCTGCATTGATTGTTCTGTTTCTGTTTTTCCCCCTCAAAGCCCTAGATACAAGTTAAATCAGCCTTAATAATAAAAACCCAATACTCAACAGCCCTCAGATTTTCTTACCAGCCCTTCTTCCTCTAAGAGAATCACTTGGTTTCTGAGTTGGAGGGGATCCATTAGACCAACACTTCTCAGAGCATGGCCTGAGACCACTAGCTTCAGAGTAACTGGGATATGGCTATAAAATGCACTTTCCAGGCCTCAGAGGCCTGTGGAACTGGAATATTGAGAAGTCCAGTTTGGGTATTTGTAGTGGGTTTTGGGGGTTTAATTTAATTTTTTTAATTGTGGTAAAATAGACATATAATTTTCATTTTATAAAAAATGTCCATTTTAATAATTTTTAGGCAGACAGTTCAGTGACATTAAGTACATTCACTACTGTTTGTCTCCAGAATGTTTTCATCATCCCAGACTGAAACTCTGCCCATTAAACGCTAACTCCCCATCCTCCCCTCCCAGCCCCTGGTAACTTCTGCTCTGCTTCCTATCTCTGAATTTATCTATTCTAGATATCTTGTAAGTGGATTCATGCAATATTTGTTCTTTTGTGACTGGCTTATTTTACTCAGCATAATGTCTTCAAAGTTCATCCGTCTTGTACCGTGTGTCAGAATTCCATTCCTTTTTAAGGCCGAAAAATATCCCATTATATAGACAACAAATTTTGTTCATTTATTCATTCATTGGTGGATATTTGGGTTGTTTCCACCCTTTGACTATTGTGAGTGATACTGCTATGAATATTGGTGTGCAAATATCTGTTGAGCTTCTGCTTCCAGTTCTTTTGGGTGTACACCCAGAAGTGGAATTGCTGGGTCATGCGACAGTTAGTTCTGTGTTTCATTTTTTGAGTCAGTACTGTTTTTAAGCAGCCCACATGGTTCTAAGCTGCAGTCAGGGTTGCAGCCAGAAGACCAGGTGATCAGACTCTCTGCTGGTGGAGTCACCTGAAGACTCTGAACAACCCTGGATGCCCAAGCCACACTCCACACCAACTAAATTTGTAATTTTTTAAAGTCTCCTGGTGATTCCGGTGTGTAGCCAAGTTTGAGAACCATTGGTTTCCATCAGTGATTCTCAAATTTGAGTGTGTATAAAATTCACACAATGGCTAAGGATACAGATTCCTGAGAGAGCACACCACCACCCCCCCACCAACACCACAACCCCCACCGCCACCACCATCACCACCAACCACCGCCAATCCCAAAGAGGCTCATTTAATGCATCTGTGGTCAGTCTGGGCTTCCTGGGTCTGAAGACTTCCCAGGTGATTCTAGTGTGTAGCCAAGGCTGAGAGCTACTAATCTTGTTAAGTCTTTCAATGAAACATGAGAACACTGAGAGTGTGAAAGGTGACACACTCTGCCCAAGTCCCTGAGCTCGTTAGGTTCTGAGTCTGCACTCATTCCCAGGGCTGATTTTCAAGACAGTCCCACGGGTTCTCCATACTCAGCCTTGCAGGTGCAGGGGGTAGAATCTTATATAGAACCTGCATCTTTTCTACTCTTAATTTGAACTGTAATCCTTGAATTAGAGTGTAGTCAGTGCTGCTATAATGCTTGTTTTGGAATGTAAATTTGTTTCTAACGTGATTGATGTATTAGGGAACAATATTAATGTGTTAGGGAAGACTATTGATATGCTGGAGAATAATATTAACATATTCAAGAATGTGAATTTCACATTTGCTTATGTGCAATTTCTTGCATGTAAAGGCAGAAAACTGCACCCAGCTGTGCCAAAACACAAAAGAATACACAAAATACACCTCCAATATTAGTCAGCTACCTCATTCTCCATGTGTGATTTGAGCCACATGCACCCACATCTGTTGCTGTAACTTCCCCTCTGATATCAAACAACCCTTCTTCCCCCATTCACAATAACTCACTGGCGGAGTGCGGTGGCTCAGGCCTGTAATCCTAGCAATTCTGAAGGCTGAGGCAGGTGGATCACCTGAGGTCAGAAGATCGAGACCAGCCTGTGCAACATGGTGAAAGGCTATCTCTACTAAAAATACAAAAATTAGCCAGGCATGGTGGTGCACACCTGTAATCCCAGCTACTCAGGAGGCTGAGGCAGGAGAATCACATGAGCCTGGGAAGTGGAGGCTGCAGTGAGCTGGATTGCATTCCAGCCTGGGTGACAGATTGAGACTTCATCTCAAAAAATAAAAATAAAATAACTCACAAGCTGCAATCTTTCGGATGTCCACTTCCACAAGCAAACTGCAGGTCATTTTCAAAGTCAAGTGCTGTATTATGTATTTTTAAGAATTTAACTTGGCTAAAACTGTGCTACCTTAAGGGGGCTCCAATCCTTTTTTTTTCTTTTTCTTTTTTTTTTTTGTTTTAGACGGAGTCTTGCTCTTGTCGCCCAGGCTGGAGTGCAGTGGCATGATTTTGGCTCACTACAACCTTTGCCTCCTGGGCTCAAGGGTTTCTCCTGCTTCAGCCTCCCAAGTAGCTGGAATTACAGGCACCCACCACCACACACAGCTAATTTTTGAATTTTTAATAGAGATAGGTTTCACCGTGTTGTCCAGACTGGTCTCGAACTCCTGACCTCAGGTGATCCACCTGCCTCAGCCTCCCAAAGTGCTGGGATTACAGGCGTGAGCCACAGCGCCTGGCCCAATCCTTTCTTTATAGGCCACTGTTAAGTTTTCAAGTGTGAAACACCCTAGCTCTATTTTTCCCATGAGCCTTGTGGTTTTTATTGTGTGATTTTGCATAGTGTAATGACTTGTAAAAAGGAATGTATGTCACCTGATAGAAGAACTAACTGTAGATGTAATTATACACATTGCTTTTTAGCATCCTTTTAACAATGAGTGAGCAGCTCACTGCCCCCTTGAGAATTTTAGTTCCTGTCCCTCTCTTTCCTCCCTCTATAACCACTAGATGGCGCACTCCTCCGCTGGGGTCGGGCGCCTTTGCAGCGGCAACCTCAACAGCGTGGACGCCGTTCTTGAACTCTCGTCTCACTGAGGTTTGATTGGGTCTGGAACAACTTCACAGCCTGGTTCTCCTCTTTAGATTGGATTTCCCCAATCCCAGTGCTCATTCAAGATTTACTTCCGCCCACTTTAGCTCTGGCTTCTTTTTGGATGGTACTTCTTCCCAGGCTATCTGCAGGAACTGCCTCGCTGCACACACCTCTGCTCACCTGCTCACCTGGTTCCTCTGCTCACCTGTCCTGCCATTTAACCCACAGAGATCTACTTCAGAGACAAAAATCTCGTTATTTCATGCCTTTCTGTACTTCATAAAGAAATCTGTCTGCGTGGTATCTTTGTAATACGACATAAGCCCAGACAATGTTCTTTCACATCCATTTGTTCAGCTGGCCTTATCCACCTTACTTACTTACTTTCATTTTAGCTTCCCTATTAGGTACTTGAAAATTCAGTATCCTGGAACATATTTCGTTTGGGGCTGTCTTTCACTTATCTTTACCACAAATTCAAGGTCACCCAGTTTGGTGGCATGTTTGGGAACCGGCATTGAGTCATCCATAAAAACAAAGAATTTAAACTAAAAAATGTAACTGTTCTTCAGAGCTGGCATTCTCACTCCCATGTCTGCAGGGATTTCTCTGGTTTCATGAGATGAGAATTTCCTTCTCGTGTTTGGATAAAATAGCAGCTGCAAAACTGTCAGCAACTTGGGGTCCAAGTTTGTTCTTTCCTGCAAATACTGGTAGTTCAATATTGGAACATATTTATATCTTAGAGTCACTTAAAATCCTCATTTCTGAAATCAAATTTTCTATTCTCTTTTCTTCTAGAATAGAGATCAGCAAACTACGGTCTGTGTTTGGACTGCAAAACCTAAAATATTTACCCTCTGGCCCTTTAGAGAAAATGTTTTCTATCTCCTGTTCTAGAGCCTAAAGTGTGATTGTTTAACAGAAACTAAGGGTCCTCAATGTGACATGGAGATGGACAGGCCTCAGGAAGTCAGCAAATCCTCTGAAACTGGGTTCAAAATTTGGTTTGTGATGCAAATGTGCATTTTTATAGGAAAAAGGATCAAAGCTATCATCAGAGTCTCAAATGGGTCCAAGACTTCAAAAGGTTTAAAAACATGTTGTCTACTTATGGGCAGTGTGACTGAGCATGAGAGCCCACCATAACATCCTAGGTGTGAGCAATGAAGCCAACATGCTTACATGCCTTGTTAGGGCACTTCAGAATCTACTTCATACTATAAGATGTGGAAAAGGTTATGTGGAACCCAATACAAATATGGTCTTTCCATTACCATTTATTTTCCTCCTTGGGTGTCAAGGCCTGTTCTCCCCCACTATTCTTGTCTCATCTGAAGTACATCTTCAGACTCTTCACCCCAGGTACCACTGAGTAAGGGCTCATGCTTCCTACCACACACCCTTATCTCTGCCTCCCAGGATTATATCAGCTTCTAGAATCACAGCCTTCCAATTGCACGCCAGGAACCCTGGAGCTGGATTTAGGGCCCATTGCAATAACTGCCTCTCATCTCATCCATTGTGACATCTGTCCCTCTCTTCATAGATTCTATTCTGCCCTTTTTAGGTTGGTTTATCATCATGATGCATATTTGATATTATTGAACACTGTGGGGTGTCAATGCTAAATGTGTAATTGAGGATGGCAGGGACAGAGCAGAGCACCTCCCATGGCACCTGAGAAAGCCTGTCCCAAACCTTGGAGGTAGGAGGGATGGTGCTTGCCTTTAGGAGTTTCTTCTGAACTGTAACACCCTCATCTGCCCTGATTGGTTTCTATTTTCTTTCAATAATTCTTCATTTTATCTATTGAGATCACTTTGAACTTTTATCCCATTTTCCAAAATGCAGCCTCCTGCCTGTGTGTGTCATCTATAAATACAAGGTCATTACCTCTGAGGCCCATTTGAAGCCACAAGAAATTCACTGAGACAGAAAGTGGCTACTTTGTTTGCATTACTCAATCTCATCACCTACAAAAGAAACAAACACTGGCCAGGCACATGCCTGTAATCCCAGCAGTTTGGGAGGCCGAGGTGGGCTGATTGCTTGAGCCCAGGAGTTCGAGACCATTCTGGGCAATATGGCAAAACCCTGTCTCTACAAAAAAAGTACAAAAATTAGCTAGCATGGTGGTATGCACCTGTGGTCCCAGCTATTCAGGAGGCTGAGGTAGGAGGATCACTTGAGCCCAGGAAATTAAGGCTGCAGTGAGCTGTAATCGCACCACTGCACTCCAGCCTGGACAGCAGAGTGAGACCCTGTCTCAAAACAAAACAATCACAAACTATGTAGATGGAAAGAATACATAGGATTCGCAGAATTCCTGGCTTTAGTCATCAGAGTGCCTGTAAGGAATGTGGAAAAAGACCTGGAAGCTTTACCTCTCGGCACTGCAGCACTGTCAGACCCAGGCCTCTGTTTTATAACAAATATTTGAAATGACCTCTTTATTATTTTGAAATGACATTCATAGCTGTAACATAATCCACCTACATACATAATTTTATAGAAATCAATATACTGTCCTAACTTGGATATAAAAAAGAAATAAAAGGGGAAGTAATTTATAATGAGTTGGTACATGTCTCAATGTGTGAATGCTTATGTGCAACTAGAAGATGAAATGAGTTAAACACTCACACCTACTTATAAAGAAGATGCTTGGATTTAGGAGAAGTAAAATAATATTCAACTGACCCTTCTTAAACATTTTTTTTCCAAGGCAGGGTCTTGCTCTGTCGCCCAGGCTGGAGTGCAGTGGCACAAACACAGCTCACTGCAGCCTCAAACTCCCAGGCTTAAGCTATCCTCTCACCTCAGCCTCCCGAGTAGCTGGGACTACAGGTATGCACCACCATGCCCAGCCAATTTTTGCATTTTTTGGTAGATATGGGTTTTTGCCATATTGCCCAGGCTGGTCTTAAACTTCTGGGATCAAGTGATCTACCTGCCTTGGCCTCCCCAAGTGCTGGGATTACTGGAGTGAACCTCCACACCCTGCCTCTTCTCAAACTTTTTTATTACACTTGACATTTTGAAATGAGGACTAAGTAAATTTGCTCACACATAAATGCTACCACCATATGATGCAGATGGGCACTGTTTGTGACATTGTTTGATTCTCCACAGAGGCACTGGCCATCATGAAGTGATTTTCTGAAATGGTGAATAACACTGTCAATAAAAAAAAGTCAAACTCTGCAAAATATTTCGAGAGTTTATTCCAAGCCAAATGTGAGGACCATGACCTGTGACACAGCCCCAGGAGGTCCTGAGAACATGTGCCTAAGGTGTTCAGGCTACAGCTTGGTTTTGTATATTGTAGGGAGACACGAGACATCAGTCAGTCTATGTGGGGTATGCATTGGTTTGTCCGAAAGGTAGGACAACTCAAAGCCTGGGGCTTCCAGGTCATAGGTGGATTGAAAGACTTTCTGACTGGCAATTTGCTGAAAGAATCAAGTTTTTATCTAAAGGCCTGGAATCAAGGGGTTGTGAAGAAAGGTTCTTATGCAGATGAAGCCTCCAGGTAGCAGGCTTTAGAAAGAATAGATGGTAAATGTCTCTTTCATGAGAACTAAAAATGTGCCAGACTCTTAATTAAATCCCTCCTGGATCAGGAAAAGACCTGGAAAGGGAAGGGGATTCTCTACAGAATATAGATTTTCCCACAAGAGACAACTGTGCAGCGCCCTCTCAAAATATGTCAAAGAAATGTTCTATTTTGGGGTAAAATATTTAAATTTCTTTCAGGTCCTGCTATCTGTTGTGTTGATATCTTTTTATTTTATTTTATTTTATTTTATTTTATTTTATTTTATTTATTTTATTTTATTTTATTTTATTTTATTTTTGAGACAGTCTCACTCTGTTGCCAAGGCTGGAGTGCAGTGGCATGATCTCGGCTTACTGCAACCTCTGCCTCCTGGGTTCAAGTGATTCTCATGCTTCAACCTCCCAAGTACAGATGCCACCACCCCGCCCGGCTAATTTTTTGTATTTTTAGTAGAGACGGGGTTCCACCATATCAGCCAACCTGGTCTTGAACTCCTGACCTCAGATGATCTGCCCACCTTGGCCTCCCAAAGTGCTGGGATTACAGGCATGAGCCACTGTGCCAGGCCTGTTGTGTTGGTATCTTATTGCTACAAAGAGTCTGTTCTATCAGTCTGAAGATCTCTGTTTTAATGTTAACACTGGTCAGTTGTGCCTGAATTCCAAAGGGAGGAGGGTATAATGAGGCGTGTCTGACCCCCTCACCTTTCCCATCATGGCCTGAACTAGTTTTTCAGGTTTTTTTTTGGAATGTGCTTGGCCAAGAGAGGGGTGCATCAGTCAGTTGGGGAGCTTAGAATTTTATTTTTGGTTTATAACACTTTATTAAGGTCCAAACTAAACAAGGTAGTCTTTCCTAGATTGACACAGTAGTTGCATTCCTGAAAAATTCAGTATATATTAAAACCGTGCAAAAACTATTTTGTTAGCATGTAACACAAAGTTAGGTTCTGAGGGAATTTTGAGCAAGTTTTTGACCCTTGGGGACTTTGGGCAGGACATCCTACAGCTGTGTGGATGCTGGCTGATTCTGCATGGTACGGGACTGTCATGCACGTGTCAACCAAAAATTAAATTCTAAGGCCCCACAACCATCTGAATGGACTTTCTTTCTCTTCTTTTTCATTTCTTTTCTTTTCTTTTGAGATGGAGTCTCTCTCTGTCACCCAGGCTGGAGTGCAATGGCACAAGCTCAGCTCACTGCAACCTCTGCCTCCTGGGTTCAAGCAATTCCCCTGCCTGAGCCTCCTGAGTAGCTAGGATTTCAGACACGTGCCACCATGCCTGGCTAATTTTTGTATTTTTAGTAGAGATGGGGTTTCACCATGTTGGCCAGGCTCGTCTCAAACCCCTGACCTCAGGTGATCCGCCTGCCTCAGCCTCCCAAAGTGCTGGGGTTACAGGCGTGAGCCACCGTGCCCGGCCCATCTGAATGGACTTCCTTCTAGGTCAGGGCACTCTAAAATTTAACCTAAAAGTCTGGTTTAGGCCATGATGGGAAGTGGAGGCTGAAAATGCCTCATTATACCCGTCAGCATTAACATCAACACAGACCTTAAGTCTGATGAGAGGCATTTATATTATATTCTCTGTAGCCTGCTACCTGGAGGCTTCATCTGCATGATCAAACTTTGGACTCCACAACCTCTTATCACAACCCAGACATTCTTCCCTATTGATAACTCTTTTTTTCTTTTTTTGAGATGGAGTCTTGCTCTGTCACCCAGGCTGGAGTACAATGGCACAAGCTCAGCTCACTGCAACCTCTGACTCCTGGGTTCAAGCAATTCTCCTTCCTCAGCCTCCTGAGTAGCTAGGATTTCAGGCATGCGCCACCATGCCTGGCTAATTTTTGTATTTTTAGTAGAGATGGGGTTTCGCCATGTTGGCCAGGCCGGTCTCCAACCCCTGACCTCAAGTGATCCACCTGCCTCAGCCTCCAAAAGTGCTGGGATTGCAGGCGTGAGCCACCATGCCTGGCCTCTATTGATAACTCTTTCAACCAATTGCCAATTAGAAAAATTTTAAATCTACCTATAAATTGGAAGCTCCCTCGCCCCTCCAGTTGTCTCATGCTTCTGGACCAGACCAATGTATATCTTAAATGTATCTGACTGATGTCTCATGTCTCCCAAAAATGTATAAAACCAAGCTGCACCCTGACCACCTTGGGCACATGTTCTCAGGGTCTCCTGAGGGCTGTGTCACAGGTCGTGGTCCTCACATTTGGCTTGGAATAAACCTCTTTAAATATTTTACAGAGTTTGACTCTTTTTTATTGACAGCGTTATTCACCATTTCGGAAAATCACTTCATGATGGCCAGTGCCTGTGTGGAGAATCACATATGTGGCACTCATATTTAGCTCAGAATAAATCTCTTCAAATATTTTACAGTTTGGCTCTTTTCATTGACATACATTATCATGACATCTTGATTACAGGGGTGATACCCACCCCTATCACTGTGACAACCAAAAATCATCCCTGCAAAATTACAGTTTCCTAGGAGGCAGCTGTCCCCATCAAGAGCCACGGCTTTTAGAGTGTTACAGATAAAATGCACTGAGGCAAAGGTCCTCGAACAGATCCAATCCCTTTATCTTTCTGTTGATGGCAGTGTTGTTCATTCAACATACTCTTTCCTTTTTTTCTTTTCTTTTCTTTTTTTTTTTTTTTTTTTTTGTGAACACCATGCTTCTTTCTGTTTGCTGTATGGAGAATATAGTCTACCAGGGGACAGAGATGATAAGTATTGAGAGGTGACAGCGTGCTGGCAGCCCTCGCTCACTCTCGGTGCCTCCTCAGCCTCACTGCCCACTCTGGCCGTGCTTGAGGAGCCCTTCAGCCCACCGGTGCACTGTGGGAGGCCCTCTCTGGGCTGGCTGAGGCCGGAGCAGGATCCCTCTGCTTGCTGGGAGGTGTGGAGGGAGAGGCACAGGCAGGAACCAGGGCTGGGGTGCTCACGGGCCAGCGCGAATTCTGGGTGGGCGTGGGCTTGGCAGGCCCTAACTCGGAGCAGCCAGGGGCAGTGAGGGGCTTAGCACCCGGGCCAGGAGCTGCGAAGGGGGCCCCGGGTCCCCCAGCACTGCCGGCCCCGCCGGCGCCACACTCGAATTCTCGACGGGCCTCAGCCGCCTGCCTGCAGGGCAGGGCTCGGGACCTGCAGCCCGCCATACCCGAGTCCCCCTGTGGTGGGCTCTCACGCGGCCAAGCCTCCCCAACGGGCGCCGCCCCCTGCTCCACGGCGCCCGGTCCCATCGACCACCCAAGGACTGAAGAGCACAGGCGCATGGGGTGGGACTGGCGGGCAGCTCTGCCCCTAGCCCTGACGCGGGATCCACTAGGCAAAGCCAGCTGGGCTCCTGAGTCAGGTGGGGACTTGGAGAACTTTTATGTCTAGGTAGAGGATTGTAAATACACCAATCAGCACCCTGTGTCTAGCTCAAGGTTTGTAAATGCACTAATCAGTGCTCTGTGTCTAGCTAATCTATTGTAAATGCACCAATCAGCACCCTGTCAAAACGGACCAATCAGCTCTTTGTAAAACAGACCAATCAGCTCTGTGTAAAATGGACCAATAAGCAGGATGTCGGTGGGGCCAGATAAGGAAATAAAAGCAGGCTGCGGCGGCCAGCAGTGGCAGCCCACTGCGGTCGTCTTTCACACCGTGGAAGGTTTGTTCTTTTGCTCTTTGCAGTAAATCTTGCTGCCGCTCGCTCTTTGGGTCTGCACTACATTTATGAGCTGTAACACTCACTGTGAAGGTCTGCAGCTTAATTCCTGAGGCCAGCAAGACCATGAACCCACAGGGAGGAATGAACAACTCCGGATGGGAAGAATGAACAACTCCAGACGCGCCACCTTAAGAGCTGTAACACTCACCGTGAAGGTCTATAGATTCACTCCTGAAGCCAGCGAGGCCATGAGCCCCCCAGAAGGAAGAAACTCCGAACACGTCCAAACATCAGAAGGAACAAATCCCAGACACACCACCTTTAAGAACTGTAACACTCACCGTGAGGGTCCACGACTTCACTCTTGAAGTCAGTGAGACCAGGAACCCACCAATTTCGGACACAGTATGATAAATAAGCAAATAGACAAGACAAGTAAGGGCTTGTGATCATTGCTTTGATGGAAATAAGATGGTTTTTGAAAGAGTAACACGGCAGGGGATTTATTTCAAATAGTGTGTGCAGGAGAAGTCTCGCTGGGGAAACACTGATGTGAGATCTCGCCACAGTAAGAGCAGAGAGAAGAGGGTTCACATGAAGGAAGCAGCACTTGCGAAGGTCCTGAGGCTGGAAAGAGTTTGGAATGCGTACCATGTGTGTATTCCAGGATGGCTGGTACTTCCACCCTAGGACCTTGGTGCTGGCTGCTCCTTTCCCTCAAACGTTGGGCCTCTCCACATCCTTTCCTTACTTCTGTTAGACACCTGCTCTAATCTCATTACATCAGAGACACCCTTCCTGACTCCTCTCTATAAACAGCAGCCACCACCCGAGCCATGGCACCCCCATCTCCTTTTTCCCACTTTACTTTCTTCCATTGCATTTACCTCTGCCTGTCAGTACCTATTTCCTCTTCCTTTTGTTATCACCTCTTCCGTCCACCAGAATGTAAGCTCCATGAGGGCAGGCTTGGTCCATTTTGCTCACAGCTGTATCTCCAGCTCCTAAAACAATGCCTGAGGCTTGGTGTGCTGGCTCATGTTTGTAATCCCAGCACTTTGAGAGGCCAAGGCCGGTGGATCACTTGAGGTCAGGAGTTCAAGACCGTCCTGGGCCAACATGGTGAAACCCCATCTCTACTAAAAATACAAAAATTAGCTGGGCGTGCTGGCACACATTTCTAATCCAAGCTACTCAGGAGGCTGAGGTGGGAGGATCACTTGAACCCGGGAGGCGGAGGTTGCAGTGAGCTGAGATAGCACCGCTGCACTCCAGCCTGGGTGACAGTGTGAGACCCTGTCTCAAATAAATAATAAATAAAACAGTGCCTGACACATAATGGGTGCTCAGCAAATTTTTTTAATGAGTTATTGAGGAGAAAAACTATTCAAGATAATGTTGACAAGACAGCCAAGAGCTGAATCATGTAAGTACTCACAGGATTTTATTCCAAGTACAGCAGGAAGGAAGGGAAGGGCCCTGTACAAAGAGGAATGATATAAACCAGATTATGTTTTTGAAAGAACATGCTGGCTGCTGGCTGGAAAATGAAAGCAAGACCAGAAATAAGAGAGCCAGTGAGGAGTCTCCAGTCTGGCCCATGCAAAGAGATGGCGGCGGCTTACAGTAGGGCAGTGGATAGGCTTGGGAGGTGGCACCAACAGGACTTGCTGAGGGATTGGATATTGGGGGGATGTTTAAAAGAATGATGTTTAAAAGACTCTGCTGTGTTGTCACCCTGAGACTCTGGATGGATATGGTGAAGCCATTTACTGAGATGGGGGAGAAATTCAGAGTGGTGATAAACATTCTCACCAAGTTTTTCCTAACGATTATTAGATGCCTGAGTTTGAAACTTTGAGTCAATCCAGGCATCCATGCCTACTTCTGATTTGCTGTAGCTTGTGTGCCACAGCCTCCCAGTTTCTGTGGAAACCCCACCATACATCAGCCCCAGCACAAAGCACAACCTCGTCAGAGCTAGCCCACCTCCAGCACCGTGACTGCTCCAGGCTTAATCTCTCCTGGTGTTGACACTTTTGCCAGTGATGGTGTCTCATGGGATTCATGCTCTTTATAAACCATTGCCTTCTTCCTATTTCTTTCATTTATTTTTCCTCTCATTCTCCTGCCCTCTGAGCTATATAACTCTTCCTTTACCTTCCAACAGAGGCCTTTCATTACATTTAAAGCAAATGGAATGCATAGTAGGCACCAAAGATGGAGGTGCTGTGCAAATAATAGACACCAAGCTCTCTGCAGGTGGGGTCCTTGTGTGTTTTCTCTTCATAGCACCCAGCACAATACTTGGAACATAAGCCAGACACGTTCATTGAGCACCATTTCTGCTGCACCCATGAAAAAAACACTCAACCCAGACAGATGGTTAGCTCCCCGACAGGACTTAAGCAAGTGGGCCAGTCTCTGTTTATTGTCGTACACTCACACAATCACACAGCTGCCAGGCGAGCACTAGGCACTTATCACACTTTTATTAAACCGATCACATCTGGCTCTTTGTGGGGTGCCAGAAAGTGCCCAATTTCTGCATGATGGGATGGACTGTGTGTGGAGTAAGGTCGGATAAATGGAGATGGGCCAGTAGCCTAGACAAATTAAGGGAGAAAAACAGTGAATTTATTTTCCACTCATCAGCCGAGCTTTCTGTGGGCTAGGAACGGGGTACCCGGCTGAAGTGAAGCAACATTGTGTCTCTTCCTGCTGTTTTCTCCACCTCCCCTCAGCAAATCATGAATGAATAAACAAACGAATGAATGAAGAAACATAGAGTTATTATAAGGATTAAGTGAAGGCAGGGTGCAGTGGCTCATGCCTGTAATCCCAGCATGTTGGGAGGCCAAGGTAGGAGGATCGCTTGAGCTCAGGAGTTGAAGACCAGCATGGGCAACAAAGCGAGACCCCCATCTCTATATTTTTATTTTAATTTAGAATAATAAATAAAATTTTTTTAAAAGAAAAGATTAAGTGAAATGTTTTTTAAGTACCTAGAATAGTGCCTAGTATACAGAAAATTCAACGTAAGTGTTTGATAGAGAGCAAGAATAGGCCAGGTGTGGTGACTCACATCTGTAATCCCAACACTTTGGGAGGTTGAGGCAGGCAGGTCACTTGAGCCCACAAGTTGGAGACCAGCCTGGGCAACATGGTGAAACCCCATTTCTACTAAAAATACAAAAATTAGCCGGGTACAGTGGCACGTGCCTGTAGTTCCAGCTAATCAGGAGGCTGAGATGGAAGGATGGCTTGAACCCGGGAGGCGGAGGTGGCAGTGAGCTGTGATCATGCCACTGCACTCCAGCCTGGGCAACAGAGCAAGACCCTGTCTCAAAAAAAACAGAAATAGAGTAAGAATAGTTTTGTCTGTATCTGCCAACAGCCACGTCTGTGGAGTCAGAGGAATGAAGGGGTCAAAGGGAGCAGGCACATCATAGAGAATACCCCCAAGATCTGAAGACCCCAGTGCAATACCTCGAGCTTAAATGCCTGTGTTTTCATTCTCCCTTCTTCTCCATAGGATCATGGGAGACCACCTGGACCTTCTCCTAGGAGTGGTGCTCATGGCCGGTCCTGTGTTTGGAATTCCTTCCTGCTCCTTTGATGGCCGAATAGCCTTTTATCGTTTCTGCAACCTCACCCAGGTCCCCCAGGTCCTCAACACCACTGAGAGGCTCCTGCTGAGCTTCAACTATATCAGGACAGTCACTGCTTCATCCTTCCCCTTTCTGGAACAGCTGCAGCTGCTGGAGCTCGGGAGCCAGTATACCCCCTTGACTATTGACAAGGAGGCCTTCAGAAACCTGCCCAACCTTAGAATCTTGGACCTGGGAAGTAGTAAGATATACTTCTTGCATCCAGATGCTTTTCAGGGACTGTTCCATCTGTTTGAACTTAGACTGTATTTCTGTGGTCTCTCTGATGCTGTATTGAAAGATGGTTATTTCAGAAATTTAAAGGCTTTAACTCGCTTGGATCTATCCAAAAATCAGATTCGTAGCCTTTACCTTCATCCTTCATTTGGGAAGTTGAATTCCTTAAAGTCCATAGATTTTTCCTCCAACCAAATATTCCTTGTATGTGAACATGAGCTCGAGCCCCTACAAGGGAAAACGCTCTCCTTTTTTAGCCTCGCAGCTAATAGCTTGTATAGCAGAGTCTCAGTGGACTGGGGAAAATGTATGAACCCATTCAGAAACATGGTGCTGGAGATACTAGATGTTTCTGGAAATGGCTGGACAGTGGACATCACAGGAAACTTTAGCAATGCCATCAGCAAAAGCCAGGCCTTCTCTTTGATTCTTGCCCACCACATCATGGGTGCCGGGTTTGGCTTCCATAACATCAAAGATCCTGACCAGAACACATTTGCTGGCCTGGCCAGAAGTTCAGTGAGACACCTGGATCTTTCACATGGGTTTGTCTTCTCCCTGAACTCACGAGTCTTTGAGACACTCAAGGATTTGAAGGTTCTGAACCTTGCCTACAACAAGATAAATAAGATTGCAGATGAAGCATTTTACGGACTTGACAACCTCCAAGTTCTCAATTTGTCATATAACCTTCTGGGGGAACTTTACAGTTCGAATTTCTATGGACTACCTAAGGTAGCCTACATTGATTTGCAAAAGAATCACATTGCAATAATTCAAGACCAAACATTCAAATTCCTGGAAAAATTACAGACCTTGGATCTCCGAGACAATGCTCTTACAACCATTCATTTTATTCCAAGCATACCCGATATCTTCTTGAGTGGCAATAAACTAGTGACTTTGCCAAAGATCAACCTTACAGCGAACCTCATCCACTTATCAGAAAACAGGCTAGAAAATCTAGATATTCTCTACTTTCTCCTACGGGTACCTCATCTCCAGATTCTCATTTTAAATCAAAATCGCTTCTCCTCCTGTAGTGGAGATCAAACCCCTTCAGAGAATCCCAGCTTAGAACAGCTTTTCCTTGGAGAAAATATGTTGCAACTTGCCTGGGAAACTGAGCTCTGTTGGGATGTTTTTGAGGGACTTTCTCATCTTCAAGTTCTGTATTTGAATCATAACTATCTTAATTCCCTTCCACCAGGAGTATTTAGCCATCTGACTGCATTAAGGGGACTAAGCCTCAACTCCAACAGGCTGACAGTTCTTTCTCACAATGATTTACCTGCTAATTTAGAGATCCTGGACATATCCAGGAACCAGCTCCTAGCTCCTAATCCTGATGTATTTGTATCACTTAGTGTCTTGGATATAACTCATAACAAGTTCATTTGTGAATGTGAACTTAGCACTTTTATCAATTGGCTTAATCACACCAATGTCACTATAGCTGGGCCTCCTGCAGACATATATTGTGTGTACCCTGACTCGTTCTCTGGGGTTTCCCTCTTCTCTCTTTCCACGGAAGGTTGTGATGAAGAGGAAGTCTTAAAGTCCCTAAAGTTCTCCCTTTTCATTGTATGCACTGTCACTCTGACTCTGTTCCTCATGACCATCCTCACAGTCACAAAGTTCCGGGGCTTCTGTTTTATCTGTTATAAGACAGCCCAGAGACTGGTGTTCAAGGACCATCCCCAGGGCACAGAACCTGATATGTACAAATATGATGCCTATTTGTGCTTCAGCAGCAAAGACTTCACATGGGTGCAGAATGCTTTGCTCAAACACCTGGACACTCAATACAGTGACCAAAACAGATTCAACCTGTGCTTTGAAGAAAGAGACTTTGTCCCAGGAGAAAACCGCATTGCCAATATCCAGGATGCCATCTGGAACAGTAGAAAGATCGTTTGTCTTGTGAGCAGACACTTCCTTAGAGATGGCTGGTGCCTTGAAGCCTTCAGTTATGCCCAGGGCAGGTGCTTATCTGACCTTAACAGTGCTCTCATCATGGTGGTGGTTGGGTCCTTGTCCCAGTACCAGTTGATGAAACATCAATCCATCAGAGGCTTTGTACAGAAACAGCAGTATTTGAGGTGGCCTGAGGATCTCCAGGATGTTGGCTGGTTTCTTCATAAACTCTCTCAACAGATACTAAAGAAAGAAAAAGAAAAGAAGAAAGACAATAACATTCCGTTGCAAACTGTAGCAACCATCTCCTAATCAAAGGAGCAATTTCCAACTTATCTCAAGCCACAAATAACTCTTCACTTTGTATTTGCACCAAGTTATCATTTTGGGGTCCTCTCTGGAGGTTTTTTTTTTCTTTTTGCTACTATGAAAACAACATAAATCTCTCAATTTTCGTATCAACACCATGTTCTGTCTCACTAACCTCCAAATGGAAAATAATAGATCTAGAAAATTGCAACTGCCCTTAGAGGTTTCCAGTCTCCATTGATTTTCTTTCAGATCCAATAATACCGTTCTGTCCTGCTGTGTTGATTATGGAATGTATCCTAATCATGGGAAGGGCACCTTGGGAGAAGTTGCAGATGGCTGACGTGCTTTCTCTAGCATTCAGCTAAAAAATGGGATGGTCCATGATTCTGCGTTCTCTGTGTTCTGCAAAACAACATTAAGTAGAAAACAAACAGAAGCAGAGGCACATTTCCTTCTTTTGCCACAGAAACAATGCCACTGTTGAGTGCAAGTCACACTTTGTCTCATAGATAAGAGGTGGCCCCAAAGAAGCTGGGATGAATGAGTCACTACCTGTCTTGTGACTGTACTGCACTTCATGTTCTTACCTTCGGCTTCTCCAGGTCTCGCCCTAGTGAGCCAAGAACTTTCTCTCACATGCTGCCTTTATTTAAGCCTGGCCTTCAAGACCTTCCATGATTTATCACCAACCTACCTTTTCAGCTTTGTTTCCTAGCACACCTCATTGATCAGCTGCTCAGGCTGTTGCATGAAGAACATGGACTTTGCACACAGATCCTGGGTTGAGTTCTGAGTCAGCTGTGTATTAGCCATGTAACCTTGGCCTTGGTATGCCCTTGCTGGACCTACATTTTCTCACGTAACAGCATCTATGTCATAGAATTCCTGTGAAAATTAAATTGGCCAAGGATGTCAGGGCTTCTCAGATCTTTTCCTTCGTTGCCCTAATGACCACAAGAGAACACATACACTGAAGGCCTCCTGGGGGGCAGTTGCAATTTCACTGAAGTTGTATTTTTTTATCTTAAATGAAATCTATGTGTATTTTCCATTCTGTTCTTTTTTTCATGTTTATTAATATAGAAATGTGTTTTTGCAAAAGGATTAAGAATACTTAAAACAAGGAAACTGTGCCAAAATTACCCCATAGCTTCACACACTGCCTCCTCCAAGTCCAGCGTAACTCCAGGTCAGCTCCTGCAGTTTGAGGGGTACACATGGGTCTGGGACTCAGCTCTCCAAACTGTCACCTTCTTCCCCTCACTGGGCCCCTCAATCCTGACTCCTCCAACACACACACGCGCGCACACACACACACACACACACATACACGCTATTCTCATCCCAACTTCTTTTGGCCACTTCTAATCAATGAGACCGAGCTTTCCCTGCACCCAGCGATGGCATTATTTTCACGCACACCATGCAGTCCCCACTGTACCTCTTTCCTCTGGATTCTTCTCCCATCTCTGCACATCCATCCTACGTTTTCTTCGTTTTCTTCAAAATCCAGCCCATGAAGCTCCCTGGGATCCCTAACCCAAAGTCCTCTCTCCCTTTTGTGAAAACTCTTGACACTTTATCTGGTCTTTTAAAAGTAGCACTTACTACTACTTCCTCTATCCTTTTTTCTGAGCCTGCCCGGCTGCCCGCCTCTCTGGAAGATAAGTTCCCTGAGGAAAGACCTTGTCTTCTGTGTCCTGCCCTCACTGGCTGTAGCAGATCACTTATGGTTTGGGGACCATTCAAGGGTTTCCCACTTACACATCTGCCCATGCTTCTTCCTCCCCATGGAATTTCTTCTCCCCATCCTACCACTCGTCTGCCTGATGAATTTCCTTGTTTAGCAAGACTGCCCATCCCTCATGACCCCAGTGACAGATTTTCTGTCACTGATACATGACATTGTGTTGCGCCAGTGTGTTTATGTATGTGTATGGACGGCTTAGTTTGTGAGACACTGCAGTCAGGATCTTGTCTTGTTCATCTGTGTATCGCAGGCCCAGTTTGTGCCTGGCCCACAGTATGTGCTTAGTAAATGTCTTGTGGATGAGTGAAGTATACTGGGAAGCCCAGCCTCCCTCATGGCAACACCTGCTGTTATTAGACTTTCCACTGGAGGGGCAGGGAGGATGAGGGCCTGAGAGAGCAAGATATCCATGGAGGTGCTGAGTGGTAAGCTGAAAAGGGCAGGAGACCACAGGCTGTCAGACACCCCTGAACACTATTTCAAATGGCCAGGCATGGCACAGGCCTCCTGGGTAGTGGGACAGTGGCAGCCTGGATTAGCAGCTAGGAACGGGGCTAGAATGGAGAGCTGAGGGGGTGGGGAGGAAAACAGAACCCACATGAATTTGCAGTGAATAAGGTCTCCTGGAACCCTGTGCTAAGAAATACAGTAAAACAGGGCCAGGCACTGGTGGCTCATGCCTGTAATCCCAGCACTTTGGGAGGCTAAGGTGGGCCAATCACTTGAGGTCAGGAGTTTGAGACCAGCCTGCCCAACATGGTGAAACCCCGTTTCTACTAAAAATACAAAAATTAGCTGGGTGTGGTGGTGCACACCTGTAATCCCAGCTACTAGGGAGGCTGAGGCAGGAGAATTCCTCGAACCCAAGAGGCGGAGATTGCAGTGAGCCAAGATGGCACTACTGCACTCCTGGGTGACAGAGCGAGATCCTAACTCAAAAAAAAAAAAAAAGAAGGAAGGAGACAAAACAAAAGTATACTGTGTCAGTAACAGGTATAACCGCAAATCAGGAAGACTGTGGAAAGACCACTCTGCTCGGTTTCATGCCCTCCTGTCCCACCTGCTGCTCAGCCATGGTTTTCCCCCAGCTCTAGGGGGTGGGAGGGGCACCCAGGACACTGAAGAAATCTCCTGGTCAGAACACCTTGTATGAACAGGACTCCTAGGGAAAGGGGTTTCCTAGTCCGGCTAGGGGTTGGAGGTAGTGCTACACCAGGGACCTCCCTTGGTTTGGGTGACCATCGCTATGACTCTGTTTTCCAAACCAAACCTGGGACATGTAAAATGACAAGTGCAGGTGTCTTTACAGGAAGAACAAGCTGAAACACAGATAACTCTCAACATAGGAAAGGAGTCTATCCCACAGCCTTTTCTAATCTTCTTATTTAAAAACACGAATTACAGGTAATTTTCCTAATGAAACACATTTAAAAGGCATCTTTTGTGGTCTCTGTATAGAGTGTATGGGGGACCTGTTCATGTCTACATCCTAGCCACTGTTAGTTTCAACATACCACTCTATTTCAAAACTTCCCTTTTCTGGCAAAGATCCAAAACTTACTAAAATTCTTTTGTCTTCTTTCCCATGGTCAGGCCCAGCAGTTGGAATTCTTTTTGAGGCCATTTTCCCAAGTCTTTATCACGTCACAAGACTTGCTGTGTACATGGCAAAAGGAAGGCCCAACGGAGCCACATTGGGAAGTGGGCCCTGGGGAGTCTGCTGAGACACTGGTTGCTAAGTGACTGCCCTGTCTTCCATGGCGCAGTGATTCAAAGCCAGGCCTCAGGAAATAGATAAATTCCACATAGCACAGACCTCTGGGGTCACTCCAAAATGGTGAGAAACTACCACAGTTCAATCTCAGAATGGCTAGAGCTTTCTGTAGTTGAAACTGCAACTATTCTGGAAAGATCTAGAATATTGACTAGAGCTGCTGAAAACTTCAAAGAGAATCCCACTCATGCCAAATACAACTGACTCTGAAAATCCCTTGCCAACCACGTGCACTTGCAGTGAAGAATGTTTTAGAGAGTCTTGATATTATGTAAAGCAAATGCGGTTTGAAGTTTTAAATCATGAAAGAACCACGTTAAGAGGACAAGAGACTGTGGAGTAAAAGTTTAAGATAGTTAAATGCTCATGTACCACAATGTAAAATTGATTACAAAAAAGTCTACAATATTAAATCAAGAAATAGTGTTCCAAATATATATATTTAGAAGTATGAAAATGCCAGAAGAAAGAACCATACAAATTAATGATGATTGCCTGAGGAAGTTCTGCCCAGTTCTTCCATTGGGAGCATCTAGAAAAGCTGGAGAAACTATTTTTTTAGAATCTATTTAAAGACACGGGAAAGTTGCAAGGTAGTAAATAGGGCCAAGAGGCAAGAGAAGAAGGAAATCGAGAAAGCTGACTACAATGCAATTAAGACCATCTATTACCAAAAAAAGACTATCAGTGAATGAAAAGGGAAACTTTAGCATGGAGGGAGATATTTGTAATACACGTATCCAAAAAGGACTCACAGGCAAAATCTAAAAGAACTTCTACAAATCAATAAGAAAAAGACTACAGAAAAGAAAAATGGACATGACACTTAAGAATTTCACAAAAGGCTATCCAATGTCCAATAAGGAAACGAAAAGATACTCAACCTCCTTTAGTGATCAGAGACACGCAAATTGATACAACATTGCAATCCCACTACCCACCCACCAGAATGGCTAAAATTAAGATGACTGACAGTACCAAGTATTGGCAAGGCTGGGGAGCAATTGAAACTTTCCTGCGTGATTGGTGAGAATGTAAATTGGCATACTATAAAGCAGGGTTCCCCAACCCCCAGGCCATGGACCCATACTGGTCTGTTAGGAAGCGGGTCACATAGCAGGAGGTGAGCGGCAGGCTAGCAAGCTAAACTTCATCTGTGTTTGCAGCCACTCCTCATCGCTTGCATTACTGCCTGAGCTCCACCTCCTATCAGATCAGCTGCGGCATTAGATTCTCATAGGAGCTTGAACTTCGTGTACGAGGGATCTAGGTTGTTTGACCCTTATGAGAATCTAATGCCTGATGATCCATCATTGTCTTCCATCACCCCCAGATGGGACCATCTAGTTGCAGGAAAACAAGCTCAGGGATCCCACTGATTCTACATTGTGGTGAGCTGTATAATTATTTCATTATATATTACAATGTAATAATAATAGAAATAAAGTGCACAATAAATGTAATGGGCTCGAATCATTCTGAAATCACCCCACCCCTATCCCCCGCCAGTCGGTGGAAAAATTGTCTTCCATGAAACTGGTCCCTGGTGCCAAAAAGTTGAAGACTGCTACTTTTATTTTTTATTTTGTTTTATTTTTTAGATGAAGTCTAACTCTGTTGCCCAGGCTGGAGTGCAGCAGCACAATCTCAGCTCACTGTAACCTCCACCTCCCAGGTTTAAGCAATTCTCCTGCCTCAGCCTCCCAACTAGCTGGGATTACAGGTGCGTGCCACCACACTCAGCTAATTTTTTTGTCTTTTTAGTAGAGATGGGGTTTCAGCATGTTGGCCAGACTGGTCTTGAACTCCTGACCTCAAGCAATCTGCCTGCCTGGGCTCCCAAAGTGCTGGGATTACAGGCGTGAGCCACTGTGCCCAGCCAGAGACTGCTACCTTAAAGAACAGTTAGTCGTCTACTAAAGTTGAACCACACATGCCCTGTGATGCTGAAATTCTACTCATAAGTATATACACACTAGAAATCCATGCACTTATGCGTGAAAACACACATAGAAAAACGTTGGTAGCAGCATTATTTGTAGTAGCCAACATTGGAAACGACCCACATGTCCATCAACCACAAAATGGATCAATAAATTGTGGTAATTGAAAGCCCTACAGAAATGACAATTAGCCAATTATAGCTACAGGTAACAACATAAGTGAATCTTGAAAAAAATGTTAAGTCAAAGAAGCAAGGCATAATGATGAAATACCAAGTGGTTGCAATTTGAGAAATTTTAACAAGGCAGAACTCATCTGTGGTGATAATGAGGACAGTAGCCACCTCTGGGGAGGAGTGAGTAGCGCTGGAGGGGGCTTCCAGGATGCTGTGTATGTTTTATGGCCTGACCTGGGTGACAGCAACACTTTTGATAATACATCTTATCGGCACTGATGAATTTGTTCACTTTTCTGTGAGATACTAGTTTTCCATTTAAAAAACAATTTTTTGAGATGGAGTCTCACTCTGTCACCCAGGCTGGAGTGCAGTGGCGTGATCTTGGCTCACTGCAACCTCTGCCTCCCGGGTTGGAGAAATTCTCCTGCCTCAGCCTCCCAAGTAGCTAGGATTACAGGTGCATGCAACCAGGCTCAGATAATTTTTGTATTTTTAGTACAGACAGGGTTTCACCATGTTGGCCAAGCTGGTCTTGAACTCCTGACCTCAGGTGATCCACCCACCTCGGCCTCCCAGAGTGTTGGGATATGAATTAGACAGATTTGTTGGTTAAAGGAATAGAAACATGTAGCAGACTAATTCATGTAGAGCTTATGGGACATTCTTCCCAGGATACCTTATTTTTGTCAGGGATTGCCTCTGATCTAAATGTGTTTCCATGCTCTGCTCCCACCAAAGGAAAAACACAAGTGATTATCCTGGAGGGCTTAGGGAGATTGGAGGAGTCAGGGAACTGCAAGCTTTTATTATGAGTATGTGATATTATTTAAAGTTTAACTCTGTGCATGCATTTCAGTAATAATACTTAAAACAGACAAAAACAAAAATAAATATGTACTTAGATAAAATTGAGATAGTAACTCCTGCCCTTGGCAGAAGACAATCTAGAAATAATTAGCCAAAATTCTAAAATTAAGCCACCAACAAAAAAAATTATTTCAACAGGTGAATATACATACACATGATATATACACACACATATATAATGTATAGATCATATATTTTATGTATAATGTTTTACCCAATTTTATTTTTCTTAAGATTAAAGGCACTTTTAATCTCTTTTACTTAGCAATTAAATATTTGATTTCTTCATGGCCACAATAACTTCCATTTAGATAGACCTTTTAAGAAATTAAATATTTTTATTTCACAGAAAATTCCATGGAAAGAACTCACTAAGGCTTCCATGGTCCTCTCAGACACCACAGTCCAGGAGAGTCTGACAAGGTGGCTTTATTCCTGAAACTCAGGGACCTGATCCAACGCGCTGGAAATTGTGTTTCTTTTCCCAGCTCAGGCTATTCACCTCAGGCCCCTGTTTTCCTGTCTCCTCCCCAGGAAGGTTGTGATAAAAATCAATGACATCATGTCTCACTGGGCCCCAGCCACCCTTCAGGAAGCAGGTGCTTTGGCTGAGTGGAGGCTGGGGCATTTTTCTGCTGCGCTGGCCTGCATCTGCCTTTCGAGTAGCCCTAGAGGCCTAACGCTTGAGGTCACCTTCATGGTTTTTCCAGTGACCTTGGCCATTAATGAGCTCCCACCGCTTCCCCAGCTGCAGCTGTATTATAGCGCCAGAGTCTTCCAAGCCTGCAGGTTGTGCCAAGCCTGGAGGGATTTGCAAAAGTAAGTAGCCAGTGGTTTCCGTGCACTGGTCCCTGTGAAAAGAAAAGAAGCTTTTTGGAGTGGGAACTAGGGATCACCACTGGTGATTTAAGGAAGACACTCAGGCTTAGGTGTGAAACAAAGGAGGAGAAGCTGGTGTGGGGAGTTCCTGGCTGGCAAGGGACAACCCCAATGTGAGCCTCGGGTGGGGAGTTCCCCAGCTGGCTTCTTCTGGGCTTGGAATAAGAATGCGGAGTTGCAGTTTTAGCTGTGTGTTGTTTCACCCCTTGGAGCTTCAGGGTTTGGTTTGTTGTTGTTGTTGTTTTCCCCCAGCATTAAAATGTATATAGAATATAGAACTAATTAGCACAGTTCCTAGCACAAAATAAATGCACATTAACACCTGGTAGTGCAGAGAGAGAAACTATGTTGTAGAAAAGTTGACCATCTAGGTTCTCTGGGGTCCACAGGTCTGCTTCTAGTTCCCCTGGTCTGGACACAGTTCCTTGTCCCTGGGGTGAATCTAATCTCTTTGGAGGTCAAGGCAATACGTCTGGAAATCTGAGAAGAAAATCAGTAAACTGGGTTTTTCTTAAACATACAATAAAATGGATACATTCTAAGTGTAAATTTCAATGTCTACACCCATGTAACCATTACCTCCATCAGCATATAGAATGTTTCCTTTACTCCAGAAAGTTGCCTCTTTCGCTTTCCTGCCAATCCTTACCCCTGCCCCAACTCAGACAACCACTGTTGTAATCTATCAACATAGATTGATTTTGGCTGCTCTAGAACTTCACATCAATGGAATCATTCAATCAACATTTTGCATCTGTCTTCCTTTACGTAACATAATTTTTTGAGATGCTTCCAGGATATTATAATATCAGTGAGTTTTCCTTTTTATTGCAGTGTGGATATATTACAATTTATCCAGTCTCCTGTTGAGGGACACCTGGGTTGTTTCCAGTTTTTAGCTATTAGAAATAAAGTTACTATGTCCATTCATTTACAAATCTTTTTGTGGACATGTTTTCCTTTCTCTTGGATAAATATGTAGGAGTAAAATTGCCAGGTCATAAGGTAGGTGTATGTTTTCCTGTTGTATTAGTCTGTTTTCATGCTGTTGATAAAGGCATACCTGAGACTGGGCGATTTACAAAAGAAAGAGGTTTATAGGCCAGGCACGGTGGTTCACACCTGTAGTCCCAGCATTTTGGGAGGCTGAGGTGTGTGGATCACCTGAGGTCAAGAGTTTGAGACCAGCCTGGCCAACATGGCGAAACCCCGTCTCTACTAAAAATACAAAAATTAGCCAGGCATGGTGGCATGTGCCTGTAATCCCATCTACTAGGGGGGCTGAGGCAGGAGGATCACTTGAACCCAGGAGGCGGAGGTTGCAGTGAGCTGAGATTGTGCCACTGCACAATCTGCACTGCAGCCTGGGCAACAGAGCAAGACTTCATCTCAAAAAAAAAAAAAAAAGAAAGAGGTTTGTTGGACTTACAGTTCCATGTGGCTGGGGAGGCCTCACAATCATGGTGGAAGGTGAAAGGCATGTCTCACATGGCGGCAGACAAGAGAAGAGAGCTTGTGCAGGGAAACTCCCCCTTACTACACCATCAGATCTCATGAGACTCATTTGCTATCATGAGAACAGCACAGGAAAGACGTGACCCTACGATTCAATTACCTTTCACTAGGTCCCTCCCACAACACATGGAAATTCAAGATGAAATTTGGGTGGGGACACAGCCAAACCATAACATTCTGCCCCTGGCCCCTCCCAAATTTCATGTCCTCACATTTCAAAGACAATCATGCCTTCCCAACAGTCCCCCAAAGTCTTAACTCATTTTAGCATTAACTGAAAAGTCCAGAGTCTAATGTCTCATCTGAGACCAGGCAAGTCCCTTCTGCCTATGAGCCTGTAAAATCAAAAGCAAGTTAGTTACTTCCTAGATACAATGAGAATACAGGCATTGGGTAAATACAGCCATTCCAAATGGGAGAAATTGGCCAAAATTAAGGGGTTACAGGACCCATGCAAGTCTGAAATCCAACAGGGTGGTCAAATCTTAAAGCTCCAAAATGATCTCCTTTAACTCCATGTCTCACATCCAGATCACGCTGATGCAAGAGGTAGGTTCCCATGGTCTTGGGCAGCTCTGCCCCTGTGGCTTTGCAGTGTACGGCCTCTCTCCCAGCTGCTTTCATGGGCTGGCATTGAGTGTCTGCAGCTTTTCCAGACACACAGTACAAGCTGTCAGTGGATCTACCATTCTGGGGTCTGGAGGACAGTGGCCCTCTTCTCACAGCTTCACTAGGTGGTACTTCAGGAGGGACTCTCTGTGGGGGTTCTGACCCCACATTTCCCTTCTGCACTGCCCTAGCAGAGGTTCCCCATGAGAGCCCTGCCCCTGCAGCAAACTTCTGCCTGGACATCCAGGTGTTTCCACACATCCTCTGAAATCTAGGCAGAGGTTCCCGAAACCTCAATTCTTGACTTCAGTGCACTCGCAGGCTCAAAACCATGTGGCAGCTGCCAAGGCTTGAGGCTTGCACCCTCTGAAGCCACGGCCCGAGCTCTACATTGGTCCCTTTCAGCCACAGCTGAAGCAGCTGGGACCAAGTCCCTAAGCTGCACACAACATGGGGAACCTGAGCCCAGCCCATGAAACCACTTTTTCCTTCCAGGCTTCTAGGCCTGTGATGGGAGGGGCTGCCATGAAGACCTCTGACATGCCCTGGAGACATTTTCCCCATTGTCTTGGGGATTAACATTTGGCTTCTCGTTACTTATGCAAATTTCTGCAGCGGGCTTGAATTTCTCCTTAGAAAATGGGATTTTCTTTTCTATCTCATTATCAAGTGGCAAATTTCCTGAACTTGTATGCTCTGCTTGCCTTATAAAACTGAATGCCTTTAACAGCACTCAAGTCACCTCTTGAATACTTTGCTGCTTAGAAATTTCTTCTGCCAGATACCCTAAATCATCTCTCTCAAGTTCAAAGTTCCACAGATCTCTAGGGCAAGGACAAAATGCCACCAGTCTCTTTGCTAAAACATAGCAAGAGCCACCTTTGCTCCAGTTCCCAACAAGTTTCTCATTTCCATCTGGGACCACCTCAGCCTGGACTTAATTGTCCATATCGCTATTAGCATTTTGGGCAAAGCCATTCAACAAGTCTCTAGGAAGTTCCAAACTTTTGTACATTTTCCTGTCTTCTTCTGAGCCCTCCAAACTGTTCCAACCCCTGCCTGTTACCCAGTTCCAAAGTTGCTTCCACATTTTTGGGTATCTGTTCAGCAGCACCCCACTCTACTGATATCAATTTACTGTATTAGTCCATTTTCACACTGCTGATAAAGACATACCCGGACTGGGCAGTTTACAAAAGAAGGTTTATTGGACTCACAGTTCCATGTGGTTGGGGAGGCCTCACAATCACGGCAGAAGGTGAAAGTCACATCTTAGATGGTGGCAGACAAGAGAAAAGAGCTTTTCAGGGAAACTCTCCCTTATAATACCATCAGATCTTGTGAGACTCATTTGCTATCACGAGAACAGCATGGGAAAGACCTGCCTCCATGATTCAATTACCTTTCACTGGGTGCCTCCCACAACACATGGGAATTCAAGATGAGATTTGGGTGGGGACACAGCCAAACCATATCACCTGTGAAAGAAACCACCAAGCTGTTTTCTAAAATAATGGTAACATTTTATACTTCTCCCAGCTATGTATGAGGTTCCAGTTGCTCCACATCCTTGTCAACACTTGATATGGTCAGTCTTTTGCATTTTAGCCATCCTATTGGGTGTGAAGTGGTAGCTCATAGTAGTTTCATTTGCATTTCCCTAATGACTAATATGCTGAGTACCTCTTAACATGCTTATTAGCCATTCATATATCTTCTTTTATGGAGTGTCTGTTCAAGATTTGTGCTCATTTTAACTGAGTTGCTTGTCTTTTTAGTATTTATTTGTAGGCATGTTTTATGTATTCAGGTACAATTCTTTATCAGATATATGTATTGCTATTATTTTCTCACACTCTGTGGTTTGCCTTTTCATTTTATTAACAATCAGAAAGTTTGACATTTTGATGAAGTCCAATTTATCTATTTATTTTATGGTTTGTGTTCTTGTATCCTGCCTAGGAAACATTTGCCTACACCAAGATCATGAAGATGTTTTCTTCTAGAGGATTTCTAGTTTTAGCTCTTTATGTTTAAATTGAGGGAAACTAAATGTATGGCCTTAAGGAGCTGTTCCAGCCTGAGACTATACACCAGCAGAAAGAAACTCACAGCACTGAAAATATTGTTCTCCGCCCTCCCTCATCCCTCTTCCTTCTGAATGGGAAAAAAGAGTAAGAAGCTTTTCCCTCCAGCTGAAAGCAAAGGAGTACTCTAGCCCTCTGTGATAGCTGATGGCAGCATCTTTGGTAAGCAAATGGATCGTCTCTGCCAAGAAGGAAGAAAAAAAGAAGCATTAATTGGGCACCTTCTACTTGCCAGGCTCCATTCTAGAGAATTTACCTAAATCATCTCATTGAATTCACATGACTAGATAATGTAAAGAGTGGTCACCTCCCCATTTCACAGATCAGGAAACTGAGGCTCCGACTAGAAAGATGAAGCAACTTGCCTAGCTAGTGATTCCAATCTGGGTTTTGCTGATTCTTTGCTTAACCTTCCTGAAATGCCCCTTTTCTTCTCCTCAAGGTGGCTCTCCCAGAGAGGCTGCTCTCTTTGCTGGAATTTGCCTTGTTCTCTCCTCACTGCTGAAGCACTGTCACTGCGTCCTAAAAAAACACCACAGTATCCGTAAGACGTTGCCTGTCATTGGAGGTTTGCTCCTTCTCTCTATCTCAGACAGGATTCAATGAAGAAAACAGAAGCCACTGTATGTACTCCAGGTGTTTAAAGTTTTAATTTAGAGAATTAAGGGTATACTGAAATATTGCAAGACCTGGGGTAGTGGAGGTCAGGTAAGCTGACACCAAAGACCTCATCCCAAAACACTCAAAGAGTGGTACATGTCCCACACTTGTGGGCAGCAGCAAGCATGATTGTTCCCAAATCTCAACTCCTTACAGATCTGGCTGTAACTACCCCTGAAGAACAAAGACCTTTCCCCCACCTCTGTCCTAATCTCAGGAGAGCTTCTCATTTGCAAACTCTAACCAGGAATCAGACAGGGACAGAGTTCAGGGAAGTATTCCTGGCTTTGCTTCCCTCTGCAGAAGGGACTTTGGCTTTGAGGGAGGTCCTGGGGTTGGTGGTAATGCCAAGTTGACCTTGGACAATCCAGCACTCTCTAAGGATGGCTCCAGCCCCTCGAGGGGAGTCAGCACCCTCTGAATAGCATTTTCAGGCCTCTCCCAGGAAGCTGGGGCTTGGAGTGGGAGTGTCCCCCCAGGAGAGTGGCAGAGGCAGGATGATTCAGGGTCAGCCCAAACCTTACAGATATTCCCCGAGGTGGCCAACGCAACCATGAGCAAGAGCCGAGGCCTTAGCCAACAAGACAATGGAGGGCAGCTCATATGAAGGGCAAAGCAAAGGCCAAAGTGAGAGAAGTAAGCGCTGTGACATGGAGACCAGCTCAGGATAGGATAGATGGCTCAGGAACCAGGCTGTTAAGGAGAGAATACTCAGCATTTCTGAGAACACGGCAGTTCGAGGACCCGTGCTGGTCTGGGCCCGCTCCCCCAGCCCCTGATGGGGGCCTGTGTGCTCTGCAAAGAGCTGTGCCCTGTGATGGGGGGTCTGTGACCTGGGAGGGAATACACTCAATCTCACATGGGTTGTGGAAGCCTGTGCTCCCCCCACAGCCAGGGAAGATCATGAGCTGCTTTGTGAGTGTGAGACATTACAGATACAACAGCCAATTGACTCAAACAAAACTATTGCAGGAAAGAAAAGGCTTTCTGAATTATGGAGTGCTGTGGGCTGAGTTGTGGACCCCCAAAATTTATATGTTGAAGTCCTACCCCTAGTGCCTCAGAATGTTCCTTTATTTGGAGATAGGGTCTGATAGAGTTTAGTTATTTGTCCCCCCAAATCTCATGTTGAAATGTAGTCCCCAGTGTGGAAGGTGGGGCCTGGTGGGAGGTGAGTGGCTCGTGGAGGAGGATTTCTCATGATTGGTTCAGCCCCATCCTCATGGTGCAGTCCTCATGACGGTGAGTGAGTTCTCGTGAGATCGGGTGGGTTGAAAGTGTGTGGCCCCTCCTTCTCCTTCTCTTGCACCTGCTTTGGCCATGAGATCTGCCTGCTCCACTTGCCTTCCGCCCTGAGTAAAAGCTCCCTGAGGCCTCCCCAGAAGCTGAGTAGATGCCATAGCCATGCTTCCTGTACAGCCCACAGAACCGTGAGCCAGTTAAACCTCTTTCCTTGATAAGTTACCTACCCTCAGGTATTTCTTTATAGCAGCGCAAGAACAGACTCATACAGGATCACTGCATGTGGAATCAGGTAAGACAAGGTCATACTGGAGTAGGAAAGGGGTTAATCCAATATGACTGGTGTCCTTAAAAAATGGGAAATTCATCGAGGGCAGATTGGATAAAGGAAATGTTGTACATATACACTATGGAATACTTCACAGCTATAAAAAAGGAGAAGATTATGTCCTTTGCAGGTACAGGAATGGAGCTAGAGGTCATCATCCTTAGCAAACTAATGCAGGAACAGAAAACCAAATGCCACATGTTCTCACTTATAAGTTGAAGGTAAATAATGAGAACACGTGGACACATAGAGGGGAATAGCACACACTGGGGCCTACTTGAGGGTAGAAGGTGGGAGGAAGGAGAGGATCAGAAAAAACGATTGGTTACTAGGCTTACTACCTGGTTGATGAAATAATCTGTACAGCAAACCCCAGTATCAAGAGTTTACCTATATAACAAAACTGCACATGTACCCCTGAACCTAAAATAAAAGCTTTTTATAAAAAGAAAAGAAAAAGGGCTGGGCATGATGGCTCACACCTGTAATCCCAGGACTTTAGGACACCCAGGTGGGTGGACTGCTAAGCTCAGGAGTTCAAGACCAGCCTAGGCAACATTGCGAAACCCCGTCTCTACAAAAATTAGCCAGGCATGGTGGCATGTACCTGAAGTCCCATCTACTTGCAGGGCTGAGGCCAGAGGATCGCTTGAACCCAGGAGGTGGAGATTGTAGTGAGTTGTATTTGTGCCACTGCACTCCAGCCTCGTTGACAGAGCAAGGGCAAGACCTTTTCTTTAAAAAAAAAAAAAGAAAGAAAGAAAAGAAAAAGAAAAGACAAGAAAAGAAAAGAAAAGGATATAATCAGCCAAATTCAAAATGTGTGAAATGCTACAAGGTAAGTGAACTAATTTTTTCCAATAAATAAATGATAAGAAAAAAGAGAGAAGAGGAAACTACTATAGATTTTAAGAAATTTAAGACATATCAACCAAACACAATGTGTACATAGACCTTGTTGAGATCCTGAACAAATTGACTTTTGGGGAAATGTGAACACTGAGTAGCTATCTGGTAATACTGGGTTTTTTGGTTTTGGTTTTGTTTTTTGAGACAGAGTCTCACTCTGTCACTCAGGCTGGAGTGCAGTGGTGTGATCTCGGCTCACTGCAACCTCTGCCTCCTGGGTTCAAGTGATTCTCCTGCTTCAGCCTCCTGTGTTGCTGGGAATATAGGTGCACGCCACCATGCCTGGCTAATTTTTGTACTTTTAGTAGAGACAGGGTCTCGCTATATTGGCCAGGCTGGTCCCTAATTCCTGACCTCAAGTGATCTACCCACCTCAGCCTCCCAAAGTGCTGGGATTACAGGTGTCAGCCACCATGACTGGCCAGGTGATACTGTTTTGTTCAGTTAATAGTGAGATAATTGTATCAAAATTATGTATTTAAGAGTTCTTGGCTGGGTGTGGTGGCTCACGTCTGTAATCCCAGCACTTTGTGGGAGGCCAAGGCAGGTGGATCACTTGAGATCAGGAGTTCAAGACCAGCCTGGCCAACATGGCAAAACCCTGTCTCTACTAAACACACACACAATTAGCTGGGCATGGTGGCATGCACCTGTTAGCCCAGCTACTCAGGAGGTTGAGGCATGAGAATTGCTTGAACCCAGGTAGTGGAGGTTGCAGTGAGCCAAGATAGCACCACTGCACTACAGCCTGGGCGACAGACTGAGACTCTGTGTCAAAAAAAAAAAAAAAAAAAGTTATCATTTAGAAGACATGTGACTGACATGTATGTAAATAAAATGATAAGGAGAATTTGCTTTAAAATATTTCCATAGAGATAGGTGCAGGGAGGAGGAACAAATGAGATAAGATTGGCCATTTGTTGGTCATTGTCGACACTATGTAATGGGTACATGGGGGTTCATTATACTATTCTATTTTTGTGTATGTTCAAAATTTTCTACTATTAAAAGTTTTTTTAATTTTAAAATAAAAAATAAGTAAAAATGGGAAATTTAGAGGTAGACACTCATGCAGGAAAAGTGCCAGGTGAAGATGAAGGCAGGGATCGTAGTGAAGCTTCTACAAGCCGAGGATCACCAGCAAACCACCAGAAGCCAAGGGAGAGGCCAGGAACAGACTCTCCCCACAGCCCTCAGAAGGGTCCAACCCTGCTGACACCTTGATCTTGGACTTCCAGCTTCCAGGACTGTGAAACAAGACATTTCTTTGGTTCAAGCCACTCCCTTAGTGCACATTGTTATGGCAGCCATGGAAAACCATCCACAGAGGGTCAGTTCCTATGGAGGTGGGGTGAGTGACGAGATGTTCCTGACTGGGCTGACAACGGAGGACGAGAGAGCTTGGGTGTGGATGGGAAAATAACTAGAAACTTCCCTTGATCTCTCAGCATTCTGTTCCATCCCTGTCACTTCGATGTCTCTCTTTCTTGAATATGGAAGCAGCCCTGGGCCCAGCTGCTGCAGGTGGCCAGGAAGGAGCCTGGGAGGATGACGGGGTTCCTGATCTGATAGAACTGGGCTGTGACTAGGCAGAACCCTGTTCCACCACACACACCCCAGTGGAGGTCAGTACCCCAAATCTGACACCAGGATGTAGCATGTCCATGGAGTCTGTCTGCTGACACCTGTCCCACCCTCCCCTGGCCCGTAACTTTGAGAGATACTGCAATTCCTACCGATGTTGCTGCCATCCTTTATTCAGCCCATTATCAGAAGTTATGACACATTGCAAAATGCTCAGGCTAGTTGAATTTCTGCAACAGGGCAAGGCGGTTAAATCCTGTCCTTCCTGGAGTCTCATTGACC
The DNA here is from genome assembly GCF_000001405.40 of Homo sapiens. Taxonomy (NCBI): domain Eukaryota; kingdom Metazoa; phylum Chordata; class Mammalia; order Primates; family Hominidae; genus Homo; species Homo sapiens. Next base: position 223,093,846 of record NC_000001.11, on the reverse strand, counting down.
AGGCTTTGAATCCCAATTCTACCATGGATTAGATTTGCAACTTTGGCAAATTGATGAACTCTTCTGAGCTTTGGACTAATAATAGGGTTTTGTGAGGAATACCTGAGATAATGCATGTACAACACCTTGCATGTTGTTTAGCACCTACTAGAAATGCAACCAACTCTAGCTGTTATCGCTAGTTTTTCTCTTGCTCCATCTCCATTCCTGAGATGTGCATGGCTACTCTGTGTTTGTTGTTGGGAAGAGCCGTAGACAGTCGTATCCTCTTCCTGAGAATGGTAACTGAGCTGCCCCCTTGGGACTGTCCAGGGGCTGGCCATTAGCCCCACGAGGCAGCAACAAAACCAACAAGACAAGTCTGTTTACTCTTCTGGTCTATAATTTAAAATGTGTTTGATGCTACTTTTTTTTTTTCTTTTTAGGACGTTCTGTATCTGTGATGAATGACCCCTGCATACATTATATCTTTCAGTAAAAACAGTGGTGTTTCAGTAGTGTTACTAGCTAAGCTGCTTAACTCTCACATTACAGACGTCAGTGAAGCCCCTTGGTAGGTAGTGTCTAAAATTAGATTTATCTGCTTATTTACACAATTATACTCTCATGAGTTTGAATGTTGGGGAAAGATCAAGAAAAAGACCAGATCACTAGATGGCAATAGCACACAAGAGCTTTATTTGGATGAAGCTTGGACAGAATGCATGGAAGGGGAAAGTCCCTTGCAGCAGAAGACCTTCCAGAGGCAGTGGCAGGGCCACCACCAGAAGAAAAGGGCAAGGACACTCCCAGGGGAGAGGAGGATCAGAGAGGAGGTTACAGGTCTAAGAGATGTCACAGGTCTAGAAGAAAAGAAAAGGAGCCAGGTGCAGTGGCTCACACCTGTAATCCCAGCACTTTGGGAGGCCCAGGCGGGCAGATTGCTGAGTTCAGGAGTTTGAGACCAGCCTAGGCAAACATGGTGAAACCCCATCTCTAAAAAAAGATTTAAAAATTAACCAGGCCTGGTGGCATGTACCTGAAGTCTCATTTACTTGGGGGGCTAAGGCTGGAGGATCGTTTGAACCCAAGAGGGTTCATGGTGGGGAGCATCATGGTGAGGAGTCTCTGGGTCAGAGAGCTCCAAAGGACAGCAGCCATTTGGGGTCTTTTGTAGCCCTGAGGTTCGTCTTACCTATGGTGAGAGGGTGTCGGGTGTAGTTTTGCAAATTATCGAAGCAGGCAGGCTCTAAATGGGCAAATAATATTTGGCCTACATTTAAAGCAATTGGATGTGCAAGAATTTGAGTTTGGTGCTGGCAGGCTTGAGTTAACGGTCCTGGGCTGTGGTGTGGAAGTAAACAGCATGGGGGCCAATACACAGGGGCTGTCTTGAACTCGTTCATACAATCCATTTATAACCTGTTTATAACTTGTTTATAACCCATTTATACCACATACCCCTAAAGCAAATACCTAGCAGATAGCATGCAGGGCCTATTTGCCTGGCCTCCTTCAATGGCATCACATTCTCCACCACCACGATGGTTAATATGGACGAGCCCTAGCAGCTGCCCAGTGAAGTCCACACGCTACTGCCCAAACCAGCTCAAGTCCTTAGTTGTCATGAAAATAATGTGAGTTCCCACAGCCGTAAAAGGGAAAGCAGCAAGAGCCACATGAGCATCCCCGGAACCCTGGGAACAGTCATCAGTGTCATCTTCAGGGTCATGTCCCTACAAGCAGTTCTCAGGCTCCTGCTGAGGGTCAGAACAGAGCCGAAGTCACAGGATATCAAAAATGGATAAGCCCAACCTCAGCTCGCAGAGGAATTGCTCAGCTGACAGATGATTGTGTTATCTCAGTGAAGCCAGATGACAATGTACTTGGCCAACGGAACATCTTGGTCAATGGATCTCCAAGTTGGTTATAAAATTAAAGCAAAATAATGCCATTATATGTAAGATGTCATTGATTGTAAGATGCTCCTTTATTTGATGTACCACTAATAAATAAAAACACTGACATTTAAACAATGACAATTGCATAACACATCTGCTTGTTCAATGTTAAATATGAAAAAATGTGCTTTAGAATTGATGAGATGCAGCAGCAAAAACTACTCTCTGTGTATGAGGCATTTGATCTCCCTGGACCTCAGTTTCCCTCGCCACCTCGCACCAATCCTTCCACCTTCTGCCAAGTCTGTTTACTCTTTTGGTCTGTAATTTCCCTAATGTGACAGGGAAGGTCTCTAAAGTCCCTTTCTGCACTCACATCCTATGGTTTTGGTCCAATCCCTTCCTTGTGGGGCCTCGGGTTGCTTTCCACAGCCTAGATCTCCCCCTGGGAGATGGCGTCCCTTGGGGCAGCATTTTCAGAGTTTCACTGGGTCTTATCAAGAGACATATGGCACTTGATTTTCTTAAAAGCGGAGCACACCTGGAATATTGTAATTGTCCAAGACTATAGTAGAGTCTCTCTCAACTGCCAGGACTGCAGGCAGTAGCACCAGATTTAGGATGAGGGCAAAGGTGGAGAGAGTTGACCCCAGCCTGGAGCGGCCACCATTTGCCCCCTTGACCAAGTCAGGAAACTAAGAAATGTGTAGGCCTTCATCTTTTCCTGCCTCAGACCTTCCCACGCAGTCCATCACCAAGCTGGGCCAGTTCTACCTCCTAAGTGTTTCTGACTCTACTTCCTGCCATCCCTAGGGTCTGGCTCACTTATCTGGATTACTGTGATAGCCTCTTACTCGGTGGTTCTTGGCCCTAGGCCCACATCAGAATCACCTGGGGAGCCTTTCAAACCTCTCAACACCCAAGCCCCACTCCAAACAAATTATATCAGGATCCCTGGAGGTAGGACCTGGGCATTGTTTAAGGGTTCCCCCAGGTGATTCTCATGTGAACCAGATTAAGGGTCATTGTTCTAACTCAGGAGCTTTTAAAAATCCCGTGGCCTTCCCATGGCCTAGGTCATACCCCAGACCAATTGCATAGGATCTGTAGGGTGGAACCCAGGCCTGGGGGTTCTGTAAACTGCCTGGAGACTCCAATGTGCCCCGGGATTTTGCATCAGTGCTCTGAGAACTACTCCAGTCTTCTCATTCCTTTTCCACACAGCAGCCAGAGGGACCATTCCAAGAACAAATCCAGCCATGTCACTAATGTCACCCTCCAACTAAAATCTAAATGAGGTCAGGTGCGGTGGCTCATGCCTGTAATCCCAGCACTTTGGGAGGCCAAAGCAGGAGAATCACTTGAGCCTAGAAGTTCGAGACCAGCCTGGGCAATATAGTGAGACCCCCCCCATCTCTAAAAAAATAATTTAAAAATTAGCCAGATGTGGTGGCACACACCTGTGGTCCCAGCTACTTGGGAGGTGAAGGTGGGAGGATCACTTGAGTCTGGAGGTCAAGGCTGCAGTGAGCTATGATTGCACTACTACACTCCAGCCTGAGCGACAGAGTGATACCCTGTCTCACACACACACGCACACACACACACACAATCTTTAAATCGGACCTGCTTTTAGGATAAAATGCAGAATTCATTTATCCTAAGCAGCAGCTTCTAGGGCTGTTCCTGAGCTGTGTCCAGCCTCCAGCAGGGGGAGCCTGGGAGGCATCCTGGAGCAGAGGAGATGATCCCTTGAGCTCTCCGGGGTTTAGAACTCTCACTAGGAGCTGGAGAGCCAGATGAGGGGAGGTTATCAGAGCCAAAGGAGTCATCCAGAGTCCATCAACCTGGAACCAGGGGAGCCATGCACCTGCATCATAATACTTGTGGTGCTGGACTAAGATTGTTCTGGAGAGCTGACCCTCCCCACACGCCTGCAGGAACCCTGCTCTTTGTCTGCTAGCTTGTCTGTTTCATCCCCACATTCTCGGTGATCAGCACAGCGCTTGTCTGGCACATCCCAGGAATGTTTGTAAAGGAGAGGGAAAGGGAAGCAAGGAAGGCTGGACTGTCTGCCATGCACCTAGGGCTGCCCAAGGAGTCGGGAGAGCGGAGTTTAGAGTGACCGCTATGATCAGTTCCAAGCTGAGAGTTTAAACTTTGTCTTAAGGACAACAAAGAGATGTCGTGGAAGGGTTTTAAGCTGTAAGGGACATGACTGGATTGCAATTTTGAAGAAATAATCCTGCTACAGTCAGTGAGGAGGTTGGGTTGCAAAGATATTACCTGAGAGCAGAGGATATTAGTTAGTAGACTTTTTTCTTTTAGAAATTCAGGAGCAAGGGATGAGGGCAGAGGAAATGAGGCCTGAGCAAGCGGGGCCCCAGGGCTCTGACCCGGCTGCGTTTTGAGGCCAGGGCTGACTGAGCACAGGGATGGGGGTGCCAGCTGCTCTGGGGTTGCGACACGAAGCACACGGTGCAGCCAAAAGCTGTGAAGGGGCCACGGGAGGCTAGGGAGCCCAAAAGGCGTCCACAGGAAGGACCCAACAAAACCCGCACCCTGGGCCTCAGTTTTGCCATCTGTAAAATGGGACAATATGGGTACAGAGCTCACAGGGTCTGAAAGCGAAGAGACACTTACCTCCGCAGCTGACACACAACAGGCACTGATTACATGTTAACTGCTGTTATTATTTAAAAGAGAAGAGGCTGCAGTTGGGGTCAGTAGGAAGCGGAGCAGGTCAGGGTGGGTGGGTTGGAGGTGGAGCTGGGTAACGCCCTGACTTCTGGTATGTGGTGCTGGGATCCCTCGTCCAGAGGCATGGGGGAGCCGGTAAGGGAATCAGGCTGTTCTGCCTGAACGGGAGAGATCTGAAGTTGACCAGAAGGGGAAGGAGGAGTCAAGGATGGCCCCAGGATTCCAGAGCCATTCCTGAACATAGAGTCATGAGTGGGCTGCAGATAACATGGCAACTGGGATCAAAGCCTTGATCCATGAGAAGTCAGCAGGCCTCTGGAGCTTAGGAAAGAGGCCCAAGCGGCAGGTGCACCTTTGAAAGCCATCAACACAAAGGGAGAGGCGGGAGCGGGGGCAGAGCTTGCAAAGTGAGAAACCCGAGGTCAAGGACGGAGCCCTCGGCAAAAATGGCATTTAATGGGAGAGTAGAAGAAGCAATGCTAGAAGTGCGGGCAAAGGAGGGGTGGCCGGAGAGGTGGGGATGGAGCAGAAAAGAGCAGCAGCACAGAAGCCAGGAGGCCAGCTCCAAAAGTAAGAGCCCCTCAGATAACCATGTGATGAAGGAGTGGGTGAATGGGTGGACAGCCATCGTCAAGTGCTGCTTGAAAATCCCATAAGAGAAGGCCTGAGAAACATGCCCTTGGCTTTGGATGGGGAGGTCACTGATGAACTCCCAAGGATGTCAGGAAAGCATCAGGCAGTTGTTCTGGGGGAATGCGTGGATGTGAAGGTGGAGGCAGCAAGTGTAGACAGCTGCGGCAAGCAATTTGGCTGTGAAGGGCAGGGAAGCTATAGGGTGTTTAGGAGGGAGACATGGGGTTGAGAGGTTTCTGTTCTAAGGTGGGAGAGGCTTGAGGACGTTGAAGTGCTCATGGAAAGGAGAGAGGAAAAAGCTGAGGACTCGGGGAAAAGAGGAGGTCCCTGATTGGGAGTGGGTAAGAAAACAGACATGGGCAAGGGAGCCCCCAGAACACTACAGAGACCCTATAGGAGCAAATGAGTGTGGAGTGAGGGGAGGAGGAGAAGGGTAAGGCGGGGACTCACAGACCTCTATGCAAATACCCATGGCTGTGTTTATAGGCAAGGCCATAAGGATGCGTCTGCACTTGGAAGAAATAGAAGCCAATTCTGAATAGGATAAAACTCCAAGTCTTTACAGAGCTGGCAGCAACCTTGTTGCAGCAAGAAGCGTTTAAGCTGTTTTGCATCTAGAGTCTAACTCACCCCCTTTTAGCACATAGAAAATGTATTCATGGCTGAACTGCTTCCTTGTTTTATGTGTTTTTAGGAAACTTTCTTCAGTGGTATTTTCAAAGAATATAGTTGAGTGTGTGTGTGTGTGTGTGCGCACACATGCATGCATGCAATTTCATCTTGTTTAAAGTTTCAGCTGGGAAAATTAAGCCATACAGATTCGTAATGGAAAGAAATGTTCACTCTCATAATAACCTGATGTGGCGCAGGAGCAGGCAGTGGATCTGTTACACGTTTTATGTGTGTTTGTCAGGCAGCCTGTAATTGACATTATAGCGAACACTGAGGAATTCTTTCTCCCACCAGATCTCTCCTCATTAATTGCACTTAACTTTCACAGAAAAAATTTTCCTTGAAGTGTTCCACGATCTGAGTCATACTTGGAGTGAATCTTTTGGGGAAAAAGTAAGCTAAAATTGCTTCAACTGTTTTTGACTGATGGGATGTTGGAAAACACACATGCACACACACACAATTTTTCTCTCTTCTTTGAAAGAGAGGGAGGAAAAAAAACACTGACCTATTTTTACAGTCATGCAAGTCACTAACGCTAGAGATGTAAACTCCAAACTTGGCAAGGCTGGGGCTGACATCTTTGAAGAGGCAAACCCAGCCAGCTCAAAAGAAAAAGACCACAGACATCACAAAAGTTTAAAATCCTGCATCTGAGCCTACAGAGGGAAACATTTCCTATCCAGAATTTCAGCAAACCTCATTATAGGAGCCCCACTAAAAAGCTTCAGGGATATTGCCAACCGCCATTTCTTTTCATTAAAAACAAGCCTGAAAAAAAAAAAGAAACAGAAAGCAAAGCAACATTTATCACCCAGCAGCACAATGAGAAAGTAGCAAACTCCTAAGCCTGAACTTCAAAGACCTAAGCTCCAGCAGACACCTTCACTGACTCTGGAGACAATTGCAATACTTTTTCAGGATTGATGTGGGTATTTAAATCTGCATTCGAAGACAGAGATAGTACAATTCCAGGCATTGGGGAGCTGAATATCAAGCCTGTGAGAGGAGTAAGTAAGGAGAACAGAAGATCTCATTCCCCACAGTGCACCTTAAAACTCAAACACAGCAGATCTCCCATTAAAAAATGGCTCAGTGTGCCAGGTGCAGTGGCTCACACCCATAAACCTAGCACTTTGGGAGGCTGAGGTGGGTGGATCACTTGAGGCCAGGAGTTCGAGACCAGGCTGGCCAACATGGCGAAACCCCGTCTCTACTGAAAATACAAAAATTAGGCCGGGTGTGGTGGCTCATGCCTGTAATCCCAGCACTTTGGGAGGCTGAAGCAATTGGATCATGAAGTCAAGAGATCGAGACCATCCTGGCCAACATGGTGAAATCCCGTCTGTACTAAAAATACAAAAATTAGCCAGGCGTGGTGGCACACGCCTGTAGTCCCAGCTACTCAGGAGGCTGAGGCAGGAGAATTGTTTGAATCCAGGAGGCAGAGGTTACAGTGAGCCAAGATCGCACCACTGCACTCCAACCTGGCCACAGAGTGAGACTCTATCTCAAAAATAAAAAGAAAAAAAAGAAAAAATTAGCCAAGTGTGGTGGCACGTACTGGTAGTCCAGCTACTCAGGAGACTGAGGCACAAGAATCACTTGAACCTGCGAGGCAAAGGTTGCAGTGAGCCGAGATCGCGCCACTGCACTCCAGCCTGAGCGACAGAGCGGGACTGTCAAAGGACAGCTCTAAAAAAAAAAGGCTCAGCTATCCCCAAGGACAAACTGTGATGCCAACAACCTCACAAGAAAAAGTTAGACTTGACTTGGCTTATCTATAAGGGATGTGCTAGGTCCATGCCAACTGTGGGGCTAGAGGAGACTTCCCCATATGCATAGGATTTGGAGTGAGCTACACACCTTGAGGAGACAAAGGGCCAGGAAGTCAACAGAGCATGGGATTTGGAATCACAGGACCCAAGTTCAACATCCAGCTCTGAAAATTCCTGCTATTGCAAGTTATTTCTTCCAGTTTCAGGTTCTTCTTTGCAGGGCTATGGTGAGAGCTGGCACAAGTATGTGTTCAATAAGCAATTCCTGCATGTAATAATAACAGTAGTAGAGGCACCTGAGTGAGCCACAGGGTCTGCCTCTGCCATTTATTTCTTATGTTTCAGGCAACCCCCAGCTTCTTCGGGCCTCAATTCCCTCATCTGTAAAATGGGGGTGATGATGATGGTGACAATGATGACAGCTACTCTATCTAAATCACTCTCCTGTGCTCCCATACATTCTCTGCTGGTTCTTGGGGGAGCTTCCATTATATGCCACATGAATATGTAATGTGTAAAACACATAGTAATCCACATTGCATAAGTATTTACACATTCCCAATGATGTGAGTGTGTCGGGGGCTGGTTCTCTCTCCCAGCAAGCCAACAGCAGGGCTCCCCCTGACCTGGTTTGAATACGGGCACTGACAAAGACTCTTGCGTTTGACCAAACCTTTAGGCTCCTCTGAGTCCTCTGCTCAACTAGGTATGACTTTGGGCTTCACGCTCTGTCTTTGTAGAATCCAGTTTGAGCAAGAATCCTATTGTCAGTTTAGCAACAATTCCCCACCCTTGGAATCTAATCACCCTGGGTATCTTCTCAGCCTGGCCTGCCTGCAGCAAGAATTCTGTTGTCAGTCTAGCAAAAATGCCTCCTCTTAGTAATTTTCCATCCACGGACACCCACTCTGCTCCTGGGCTATGAATCCTCACTTGTCCCTGTTGGACTCAGTTGAGTTCAGTCTCTCTCCCCACTGCAAGACCCCACTGCAGTGGTCCCGAGAGCTACTGTGATTCCCCCAGTGAATAGAGTCTGCCTTACCATCTATAACAAGTATCACGAATAATTTTTTCTTTGACAGCACCCCAAAGTCACGGGGTCCTCTGAGGCCAGAGCATTCAGCAGCACCAAATCCCAATGTAGCAAGGGGCCATAATCATTATCATTGGTTTCTGGCCCACTGGATTTTATAATCACGGGACCCAAGTTCAAAGTCCAGCTCCTGGCAAGAGCTGATCTCCTGGAACAGCCTCAAAGAGGCCCCTCCCCAGCACTCTCCCCACTGCCCTTCCCTACCTTTGAAACATCTTCTGGCCTCAGATCTCCTCTGCATCCTCAGTTCATGATGTGGCCCTGCTCCAGCCCTGGATTCTTTCCAAATTCTCCCTCCACCTAGACCAGCTGCTTGTCCTCCCAGAAGGGCCCTGACTAAAAGCCTGCAGCGTCAGGTCTGGGGGTTGTGAACCTGTTGTTCCCTAATCTCCCGTTACAATCCATCTCGAACACATTGTCCCTGAAGCCATTATCATCCATTTCAAACAGAATTTATTAAGTGGGAAGAGACGCTCTGAGACTCTCAGGCAAATTCCATTTCTTTGGCGTCGAAAGAAAACAGCCACTCGGAGCAGCCTGGTTTCCATCCACTACAGTGCCAAATGCCTCCGCCTTCTTTCCTGAGGGCCTAAGGTCAGAGAGAGCAGCAGAAGGCCTTGTCAAACTCGGGCCCTTCTAGTAACTTCCAAAGCCTCCAGGGGTGTGGCCAACGTTGTTGAGAACGGGAATATCTGCAGAGGACCTTAGGGTGAGCCTCTCCAAAACTGAGGAAGTACAATGTATGGGGCACGCCTTTTGTCTCCATTCTAGCCCTTCCACAGGTACAGGGGGAGCCTTGGGTGTGGGCGACCCCGACGCTGTGCTAAGGCTGGCATAAGGGAACGTGATGGGCATCCCAAGCAGCCTTCAGTTTACAGGCGTGCTCCAAGCGCCTGCTGTGCACGATGTGGTGTATTAGGCACCATGGGGGTGAGGCTGGGGAAAAACAAACCTCAGACTATACACGTGCACCAGCATCAACTGGAGAAGACAAACATACGCGCCACAGTTAATTAGCCCTACAAAACAGCACCGGCTAATGAAGTGGCGCTGGAAATAATGTGTGTGATATATTTACTGTAATTTAGTTTGTTTTCTGCCAGAATAACGCAAGCTCAGACGTGCCAGGAAGAAGGACGTGAGTTAGTCCTGGAAGGGTAAGAAAGATTTAGATCCACTGGGGCTCCCCCTGGCCCTTCCGTAGTGCCGGACGTCCTCACGTTGCCCCTGACCCAACACATATCTCACTCCAGTCTAAGGATTAGTAATGTACTCCTTGCTAACGCTTTCCCAAGGAGATGGAAGAAAGTTTTTCTCACAACCGAAACAGCAAAAGCTTACCCCAAACCCCTTTCCACTACATGCTCTGACCTCTCTGCTCCCACAGCAATGGGCTCATCCACCCCCAACACCCCCGAGACCTCCTCCTCATGTTCTCCAAACTTCCAAGCCATCTTTCACTTCGAAATCCCATTCCCTTTAGCATTCCATCGGTTCAGCAGTGGCTGGCCAGGCCAGAACCAGGTATTGTGGGTGGAATTGTGTCTACTACAAAAGTCATTTGCTGACGTCCCATGTTCCTTAGAATAGCACCTCATTTGAAGATAAGGCTTTAGAAAGGTAATCAAGTTAAAATGAGGCCATTACTCATCCAAAATGAATAGTGTCCTTATAAAAAAGAGAAACGTGGAGACAGCCACACACACAGAATGATGCATGAAGACACATGAAGATGGTCGACTACCAGCCAAGCAGAGGGGCCTGCAACAGATTCTCCCTCACAGCCCACAAAACGAATCAACCTGCCAACATCTAGATCTCGGACTTGCAGCCTCCAGAATTGTGAGGCCACAGGTTTCTGCTGTGTAAGCCTCCCGGTCTGTAAGACTTTGTTACAGCTGCTGTAGGAAGCTAACACACCCCTCCAGGAGCCCCTGGCTGTGTACAGGAAGCTTCGACTCACATGCTAAGGTGTGAGGGGGGCATGGCAGGTGCTCCGGGAAGGGGAAGCAGCAAAAGCAAAGGCGCGAAAGCAGGATATTCAGGGAGGCCAGCAGCCTGGCTCTGGGGAGGAGTTTGTGATGAGGAGCATAAGGTAACAAGGTGGCCAGGCCAGGTCAAGTACAAACAGGGCTAGATGCTGAATTTACGTGTGACATGCATTGCAATATTCATTTCTTCTTTGTTCCACAGAGACTGCAGGCAGCAGGGTAGCCTTTCCAGGTGCTATAAAGAGTCATTTCTCTGGGACCCAGACTTCAGTCTGAGTATCTTCGCAGCAGATGTGTCCTGTGGGTGGTACCACTTGGTGTCACACCCTCCATCCCATGCCTGCAGCTCCTTCTACAGCACTCAGCTCTGTGCACATCTTGGCATTATCTGGGTCTGCCTCTCTCTGTTTTCCCTGTGGCCTGGTGTCCCTCTGCGGGTGCCCAGTCACACACCTGCACGGGGGGAGGGCCACACACCGTGGACAGCAGTGGAAAGAGCACTGGGCTTAAAGTCAAGGGACTGGGCTGAAGGAGTTCGGGAAGTGCCACCCAAACACGGTATGCCAGCTACCTTGAACCGAAGGCACTGGGCAGCACAGGATGCAGGCGGAGGCTTGCTCTGAGCTGCCTTTGTCTGCCTAAAGACGGACCCTCCAAAGGGACCTCAATTATCATGAATCCCCCTCCCCAGGAAATTCATGAGCCAGGGGAGACTCGCATCACAGCAGAGGGGACTGAAGGTTGATGCCATGCCCAGGCCAACTTTGTCATAGGCTACCCATATTCTCCCAAGGGCCCATTCATCTTTCCCCAAATCATTCATTCTCCCCATGGCACCTCCATCCCCTCTCCTGCCTCCGCGGTGAGTCAGGCGCATAAGCTTCTAGGTCTCTCATTGGTTTGGAGATATTCACTTTTCTTTCCCATGATGCATCCATGTGCATAATAAATGTGGTCACCCTTCCTCCTGCTAATCCGCCTGCTGTCAGTTTATTCCATAGACTCCATTATGGAGCACTCAGAGGGTAAGGTTTCCCCTCTTCCACGGAGCCTTGCTGAGCCTCAGTTTCCCTATGAGGCAGGCATACTTCACCATCTCCTTTCAGGCTGGATATTCATTCTAAGGCCACACATGAATATGAGAATATTCAGGCCTTTTAGGTAGAATATTCTAAGAATCTTAAACGATGGTACCTCTTAGTGGAAGCAGTATTCTGACAAACCAATGGGGCAGGGAGGGTGGGAAATGGTGTTTTATGGTCACTCTGGGACCCCAGGCAAGGTAATCCTAATGGAAGCTCAGGCTTTTGGGGCGGGCTTTTTTTTTTCCTGTCTACGAATGGAAACATGAAGCAGATTTCGCAGTATCTCCCAGGGAACTGGACAGTCTACTTTGGGGCCGGCGCAGAAGAGATGACCCCTGACCACCTCCCGGTGTGCTGGCTGCGGCTGGACCCGAGGGCGCGTCCTCCCGAGCCTCTGCGGCTACTCTTCTCGCCGCCCCCAGGTGGTGCTGCAGGACCACAGCCTCGAGGCTCCTCCGCCCCAGGTGCCCGCCCGGCAGCCCCAGACCTGCCTGGATTTACTCCCTTCAGCGGGAGGAGACACCAAGAGGCCGACGCGTAAATTCCAGGCCTGGCCTTCTTCCAGCGCTCCAAAACCTTCTGGAGCCTTCTCAATCAATAGACTCAAAGGCTTTTAGCGTGTCCCTGCCACTTGACGTCAGAGGTGACACGGGTCTGTGAGCCTGGCTGCTGGAATTCACACTCAGCCAACACCCAGCTCGGGGCTGTTCCCCTTGAGCCTGTCCCAGTGCCCGGAGGGGCCTCTTTCCCTCATTCCTCCCCTTCTAGAAACCCTAGACACAGCGCCAACACCACACCCGGAGGCGCCGGCCTCAGGGGAGAAACCACAGTATACACACACCACACATACTATGTGTACACACACTACACAGTGGACACCCACCACACGCACAATACACATGCACGACACCCTGCACACACGTGCCACAGGTCAGCCTGGAAGCACGATCACAGAATGGGAGTCCTGTGGTGAAATCCTCGCTGATCTAGAAACAGCTGCACGGCCGCCCTTCCCGGGGAGAGTCCCAGGTCCTCAGAAGAGCCCCAAGTTGCAGCCCGGCCCATGCCTACCTGCAGCCCTGCAGCAGCAACACACCTGGAGGCAGAGAGAACTTTGGAATATGCTAGAAAGCCAGTAAGCGCACATCTCCTCAGAGCTTTGCTACTTTTGTCAAGAGTTCCATGCTACTTTATGAGGTAATGGAAAGACAAGGTTAAAGCTGATTGAGCTCAAGCTACATCTTTTACATGTTAAGGGCCCTCATTGGACCCTGACCCTGGCTACTCATGAGGGAGACTTTTCCTCCCTCTCCTGTGGGCCTGTGTGAGCCAGGCATGGAGCTTTGCCTGGGCACTGGTCCTTCCCCCCCAGGGCTGTGAGGGCAGGATCCATGGCCCTGGCAGAGTGAGGCTGGGGCCGGCATTGGAGCCTGAGGGGCAGGAGACCCCAGAGAGTTCCTCCGGAGCAGCACAGGGTGGGCATTGGGGTCAGAGCCTGTGGCCTTCAAACCTGGTTGCTCACACTACTGCTTCTCAGTACAGCCAAGGTGGTGCACGAATCCAAGAGAAAAGGTGAACGGAGAAGCCCGGTCCTGTGGGCCAACCCCAGGGAATGCGCTTCTTGGAGAACTGGGAGGCCTGAGCCCTGTCCTGTGGCTGGGGACAGTCCAATCTGTGATGCAGTAGATGCTGGGGGCCTCACGGAGGGCTCTGAGCTGAGGGTCCTTTCCACCCCCAGCCCAACCTCAGGGCCAAGAAAAGAAGGTGCTCAGTGACCCCGCACGAGCTCTTTCCCGGGTGCGCGAATTTCATGCAGTTATATTAAAATAGAAATACTCAAAGCCGCTTGGACCCAACTGACTAGCTGGGCATTAACATGGTGCCTAGGTAGGTAGGGCCTTCCTGGATTCCAGCTGTTGGACCCTTTTCTCAACAATGCTTACTTACACAAGCAACTAGGGATTGGCCCCCAAAATGAGGATTGCTGGGACTTGCAAATGATAATTGTCACCAAATAGGGTCTGGATAATTAGAATGAAGGATGATTAAAAGCGTGAGGAATCTTGGAAGTTTAAAGAGTCCAGCCTCTCCACGAGTGTAGGAATTCATTCTCATTCTCCCGGCAGGGATGATCCGGCCTCTGTGTGAACACTTCTAGGGACAGGGCACCCCCTTTTGGAAATCAGACCACTCCAGTATTAAAGAGTTTATTATTCACTCCTGCGTGGGCGTAAAATCTGCCTTCTGAGACTTTGGCCTGCGGGTCTGAATTCCACCTCTGAACCTCCAGAGAGGAGCCTTCCCCTCCCACTCAGCAGGTCACCCATGTCTCTGTCACTGACCACTGTCCACAAAGGGGCTGTTTAAGAGGGCAAGGGTGAGTTGGCAGCTACTTGGATCAAGGCGACCTGCCACACTCATTCTGGGGAAGTCACCAGAGTACATGGCCGAGGCTGGAAGGCAGATGTTTGAGTCTGTCAGAGTCTGTGCATTGACAGGATCCAAAAGCCTGGGGCAGCAGATGAGAGGTTCACAGCTGCTATGTACCCCTCCCCACGTGGAAAGGCAGACACAGGGGGACCCGTGGCCCTCACGTAGAATGCGTGGTCTCCAATGGTGGCCTTGGACCCCTCTTCCCCTGTGATCAGCCCCAGCAAGAAGCGAGGCTGTCCCCCTTCCCCCTGTGTCGAGCCATAGAAGGAGCAGCAGTCCTGGGCCCAGCCTTTAGCAGTCCTGGCAGTTTCCTCTTTCTCTTGGGAAAAGCCAGCGACCACACTGTAAAGCAGCGCTGATGAGTCTCCTGAACAGTGAGCACACATGTAGGGTAGAAGCTTCAACTCTCCTCTACCTGACCATCTTCAGTCATCATCCATGCCCCAGTTGTACCACGGCTGGTGCCAGCACAGCCCTGCAACCCTCCTGCTTCTGCTCAGGACTCCACTGCCTGCTGCTCCTAAGCCCCTCTGCTGGCTGCACTGCCCAAGCCGGAACCTGGCTGGGGGCCTCCCTCCTCCCTCTGGCCTCTTCTCCCCAGCCTGGAATGGCCCAAGCCCTGATGGAGGAATAAACGTTCCAGCAGCCAGAGCTGGAGAAACATCTGAACGAGGTCACAGATTGGCGTTGATGGATGGACCCCCAGGTTTCCTGAGGGCCTCATAATTTTTTTTTTTTTTTTGAGACAGTCTTGCTCTGTTGCCCAGGCTGGAGTGCAGTGGCGCCATCTCGGCTCACTGCAACCTCCACATCCCAGGTTCAAGCAATTCTCCTGCCTCAGCCTCCCAAGTAGCTGGGATTACAGGCACCTGCCACCACGCCCAGATAATTTTTGTATTTTTAATAGAGAGAAGGTTTCGCTGTGTTGGCCAGCCTGGTCTCAAACTCTCAACCTCAGGCGATCCACCCTCAGCCTCCCAAAGTGTGAGCCACACCTGAATTACAGGTGTGAGCCACCATGCCGGGCCTGAAGGCCTCATAAATATTGATTCCATTCCCTCTCTGTCCCTTGCAGCTCTGCTGAAGGATTAGCATGTTGTGGCGGCTTCCGGAGGAGGAAACGAGGGTAACGGAATGCATTGAAACCCAGAGTGCAGGGTCCCTATGCAGCATGGAGTGAGAGTCGGATGGTCGCCTCACTGTGCATGTCCCATCCCCTCCCCAGGGCAGCTACAGACATTACCTCATCTCTCTAAGAGTCTCTGGGACAGGAGGGGAACGTGGCTCTCCTTCCCCTGCTCCCCACACCCAGCCCCATGTGGCACCAGGAAGGCAGGCAGAGCCTGGCAAGGCAGAGCAGGCAGCCCAAGGGTGCTCACAGGACCGAGTAGAACCCACCCTCATATATGGCCCCAGAGAAAGGGTCCCCTGGAGCCCTAGCCAACCCCTGCCTCTTGGGGACGCGAGGTGGCCCTCTGGGGCTGAAGCCTGCTGCACCCTCCACCTCATGGCCAGGGCAAGGGTCCTGGACCCAGAGATCTGCCGGCCTCACTTCTGTTCCCCTGCTCCCTGGCCTTCGTGTCTGGCCTCACTGTGTGCCTGTGTGGCTCTCCCTGTCTGCCTCTGTAGCCTCCAAGGAGGACTGCTGGATTCATTTTGGTGTCTCAGAGCCTCTACTGCAGGCAATGCCTTTTATGTAATAGTTGTTCAATGAGTGAGAAGTTAAATGAAAGAATTAGAGCTTCATAGCGTGGAGTGATGGGGAAGGACCTTAACCTTGCCTAGAACCCAGAAGTTAGACTCCAGGCCGGAGGCCTCGCCACACCCAGCCCCACCATTCACAACTTGAGCCACAGACCCTGCGCGAGGCACAGGTACCGACAGATGGCCACGAGGGGCGCCACGACACTCATCCCCAGCTGCCCTCGGGTTGCACACTCAGGGTTGGGCGGGCCACCTCTCTCCCTGTGGACGTGGAGTGGCCCGCACAGAAGGATGGAAGGGAGGGGTTCCTGGAACAGAGCCCATCACTTGCTGCAGAGGCATCCCCTGAACTGGCCCGCTGTGGGGTTCCTTCCTTTCCCAGGGGCTATTATTGGTATTTCCCACTCATCTTCAAGACTGAAAAGGAATCTTTGAAAACCACAAGAAGGGGAGGGGGCGTGGAGAGGAGCTCCCTAAGCCAACTCCTTCTGGAAGTCACTGATCTCCCAACAGGAAAGCTGGTCTTTCCTGTTTAGACATCGTGTCTGGCAAGAGGAAATCAAGACCAAAGTAACAATAATAATTACATAAACCTATGATATGTTAACATCACTAGTATCAAAAATGGTTCTGTTTGCATAGAGCCTGCCAGGCACACCAGGGCACACAGCCTGATGGTGGGCTGCTGTGGTCAGAGCTGTGAAATTTAGAAGGCTTCACTAGGGATGGGGAGACCCTTGAAGACTCTCCAGGACACACACGCCTGCGGTAACCTTCAGGATCAGGGGAACGTGACTTCAGGCAGAAGGAGAAAGCCGCATGAAATAGAATGAGTGTGGGCTTTGCTCTCTGCCCAGGTTCAAATCGCAGCCCCAGCTCCTGACAGCTGTTTGACTTTGAACTAGCTGCTCGAATTCTCTGATACTAGCCTCCTTGATACCAAGAGGGAGGTCATACCCAGCTCATATTGAAGCTTTGTGGGATGAGAAACTAGCAGCATGTCTGACACATATGACCCTACCCTTGGACGTTTATGAGCCATGCCGAGCCAATGCAAAGAAATACGTAAGCCAAAGGCACAAGCTGTATTTAAGATTGAGAAGAGGAAGGTTGGGACAAGTGACAAAATGACTTAGTTTCCAATGGGAGAAAACATCTCATATAGGGGCCATTTGATTCTCTGGCTTTGCCCAGGGAATCCCTCAGGCCTTCAGTCAGTGCCAGCAGGAAGGCATCTGCCTGGGGTGGCCTGCAGTGCCAGCCTCACACTGCCCCACGCGGGTGTGTGCCCAATGCAGCTTCACTCAGACGTGTTGGCTGAGAGCTGGCTCCATACCAGGCAGCATGCTAGGCATATGTCTGTATATTCCAAAGGAAGGAGGAAAAGAGAATGTGAATGGTTCCAGGGAATCCAGCGCTGGCTGGGAGGAACAATCAGCTATTCCTTATCTGTGGAGAGCGGTCATTTCACTAGCATTTCAGCTAACAGTACCCCCGAGGGACTGCTAGTTAAGTACAAGAAGGCAGCCCCTGGGTGTTAGGGTTGTGCACATACAGTCTGTTTGATTTTTTTTTTTCAATTCTTTTAGCATGTTTCAACTGAAATCATGTTTATAGAATGAACCAATAAAGAAGGAAACTGAGGCACACTGGGAGGAAGAGACTGCCCCAAATTCACACAGCAAGTGATTTGCAAATCCAAGAGTGAACCTAGAGAACTTGTCAATGCCCGGGTAATTCAGGCGAATGTCTCCTGTCCATTCATTCTGCAGGGCTGCCTTGGCTGAAACTGCCTTTGCAAAAATCACAACTGAGAAAATTATGACAGTGAAAGATACCAGACCTAACTGACACCATCTTGCTTCCAACCTCTAAACGGTCCTTGTTCATTCCTGGACATAGTCAGAACCAGCTTTGGGAAGGAATTTAGTTTATAGTTTAAATAATAGCCCTTCCTAAAAGGCTAAACTATTCTTATAAAACAAATGACAGGCCACCAGCCACCAAGTCAGGAAGAGAAGGGCTGGAATTCTAAATATTACCAGCCATTATTCCAGAGGTGATAAGATTTGCAACTTCCCCAGTTACTTTTGGAGGTAACATCACTATTGTGAATCTAAGATTGGCCTTTTGAGATGAGTTTTCAGGTGCATTTCTAACAACTGGATGGCCCCACCTGGACCTGCTAACCAGTTCTGTGGCCCCCACCCAGGAACTGACTCAGCAGAAGAGAACAGCTTTGACGCTCTGTCATTTCATTGCGGAGCCAACCAATCAATACTCCCAATTCACTAGCCCCCTACCCACCAAATTATCCTTAAAAACTCTGATCCCCGAGTTTTTGGGGAAACTGATTTGAGTAATAATAAAACTCCATTCTCCTGCACAGCCAGCTCTGCATAAATTACCCTTTCTCTATTGCAATTCCCCTGTCTTGATTAATCGGCTCTGTTTAGGCAATGGATAAGGTGAACCTGTTGGGCAGTTACATGGCTTTTTAATCTAACACTTGTTTTTATTTAACTGTGTCAGATATCTTCATGAGACAATTAAGACATTTTAAAAAATGTGTTTACTGAACCTAAGAAACTGCGAAACAAGATATCTAAACAAAAAGCTCATTGTTGAACTATACACTTTTAATACACTGCTGATGAACTAAGAGCCTTTTTAAGGACATTGAATAAACAAGCAGTTGAGTTTAGAGCAGACATTCATCCAGGCGCACGCTCCTCATTTTCAGGCTGCCAGTGGACACGAAGCGTCCACACCCCCACCCACATCCACAAATACTCGCTGCCCCCACAGGACAAACATGTCACAATGGCCCTGCACAGCCCATGACTGTGCAGTCATTTGCTGCTTTCTCAAGCCCACAGAAAGCAAAATATCTCTTTCTAAAGAAAGAAGTGACCGCCAAGCATGGAGTGTTGGGAGTCTTGCCGCTCCTGCAGCTGTGGTCACCACTCCAGGTGCTGTCTGTCCCCCAGGATCTTGGTCACCTCTGGTCACTCAGGCCCCTCCCCACCACCCCCTGACCCCCCCATCTCCCATACACACCCTCCCAGACCCTGCAAACCAACAGCTTCATTCAACACATCAGGGGCTCCACCACAGCCAGGAAGTTTGCTCTCCCTTCACTTCTATTTTGGGAACTTGGACTCAGCCCTGGAATTTTACAAGCCTAGGAGGAATTGGCTGGGCCTTAGCACTTTCCTTTATCCCTGCCTCCTCTCCCCACAAAGCCCCTTTTCCTCTGGATCCCCAGGACGGAATGCACAGCACCCTTGGGCAGCAGGTGGGCTGCAGAAAGGGGACAGGCGGGAGGAGCAAGGCTGCAGCCCCAAGCTTTCCAGGGAGAGTCTAAAAATTTTGTGATTTTCTGCAGCAGAAGTGTAAGGTCTGTAATCTCCTCTGCTAGAATATCTGGGAAGATTCCCTTAGCCAATATTAGGGCAAAATAAACTGTCTTCTTGGTCGGGAGTGGTGGCTCACTCCTGTAATCCCAACACTTTGGGAGGCCGAGGCAGGTGGATCACTTGAGGTCAGGAGTTCGAGACCAGCCTGGCCAACATGGTGAAACCCCGTCTCTACTAAAAATACAAAAATTAGCCAGGCACGGTGGCAGGCGCCTGTCATCCCAGCTACTCTGGAGGCTGAGGAAGAAGAATCACTTGAACCCGGGAGGCAGAGATTGCAGTGAGGTGAGATGGTGCCACTGCACTCCAGCCTGGGCGACAGAACAAGATTCTGTCTCAAAAAAATAATAAATAAATAAACGACCTTCCATAGAGAGAGGGCTCTTGACTGTAGAAGTAAATTGTACCATGATTACTTGTTTATTACCCGCTCCCCAACTAGTGTGTGGTTTCCATTGGCCCTGCGATGTTTGTCTAACTCACTGCTCTGTGGCCAGCACAAGGAGCAGAGTACCTGGACTATGGATTAAGCTCACAGTGGGTGCTCAATAAATGTTGAGTGAACGAATGGATGGATGAAGACATGGGTGGACATAGAGCACTCCTATGTCTCCATCTCACAGCTGTATGTCCTCAGACATAGGGCACAAAGGAAATGAATGGGAATGGATCTATGCAAAGCACCCCCTCTACCAAGACTTGAGGGGTAAAAGTCTAGCTCCTACTGACCAAAACCCCAAGCACACCATCTTCACGTGCTTGCTTTAGTTCCGTAAATCATGTCAAGGCAGGATGAATTGAATCAAGAGGGGCTTAAGCTAGACATTTAGAAGAATTTGTGGTCACTCCTCTAACGTGGCTGCTGTGTGGGTGACACACATTTACCAGTGACGGGTCCCTACAACAACCTGAGGGAAGTCTAATGGCAGAATCTTTGTGTTAGGAGAAGCACCACTAACCAAGTTTATAGAAATCAAGTATTTCCAGCATCCCAGATTCAGACTGACTTCTCTGCTTGGCAAGAATCACAGAATTTTAGAGCTAAGAATAAGGTTTTTCACCTTCAGCACTATTGACATCTGGGCTGGATAATTCTTTGACGTTGAGGGCATCCTAAGCATTGCAGCATGTTTAACAGCGTATCTAGCCTCTACCTACTAGATGCCAGAAGCACCCTCTTCCCCTCAGTTGTGACAACCAAAAAATGTCTCCAGATATCACTAAATGTTTTCTAGGGGAATAAAACTGCCCCTGGTTAAAAACCACTGAGTTAGAGAGAATTTAAAGAACTTTACTTTACAGGTGGGGAAAGGGAGGGCTGGAGAGATGGAGTGAGTTGCCAAATGCCCTAGTAAGCAGCCCAGGACCGGAACTCAGGGGGCCAGAAAAAGCACCTCTCCTTTGTGTGATAGTACCTAGGACATGGTAGATGTTAGAGAAACGTCTGTTGTCTAAATGAATGCAACAGCACACTCACCAGACCTGCAGGGTTCGTTCTTGGGAAATAGGATGAGGACATTTCTCCTGCCTTATGGATGGTTGGGGCAAGATGAGAAAGACAGGGCTTTCCCCTTAATGGAGACACCATCACTCTCCTGAGGACTGTCCCTCACTTGAGATTACAGGAGTGGGTTGAAGAGTGAATCAAACCAGCTCTAGGCCCATGTATCTATCCCTTTGCTCAGAGTCTCAGAGGTGTTGCTTCAGTTAGACTAAACCTGGACAGCTCCAGAATAATAATTCTTAGAAGAATTGTGTTTTCTCAACACACCCTCCTGAGATCGCCCCCTTCCCTGTTTTATTGTGAACCTTTCCTATTTTTCTACCCCATGCCAGGTGTTTCTAGGTGTGGCAAATATTTCTGTTTCTTTCCCATCATGTAGAGGTGTTGCCGGGGCACTCACAGGAACTGCATTTCCCAGGTTCCCTTGCACCTCAGTAGGGCCATGGAAGGCTTCTCAGCTGTGGCAAATGCATGGAAGTAACAACTGGCACCTTCAGCCCAAAGGTAACATGGAGATGTCTCTTCCCCTTGGTGCCTCCCTCTACCCACTGGCAGAATGCAGAGAACACCAAGGACTTACAGAAGGCAGAGCCTCATGATGGAAGGAGCCTGGATCCCTGAATGACCATCTGGAAGGCTGACTGACCAGGAACATCCTCTTGGGACTGTGAAGTATGCAAGAAATAAATTTTCATTGTGCTAAGGCCCTGGGAGTTCAGGGTGTGTCTGTTATAGCAGCTAGCATTACCTTAACTAACACAGTAGGTCACTGGGAAAACACAACTCACAGAGGGGATTTTGGATCTCAGATGATCTTGCTTAGGGGACAGTAACTGTCAATGCACCAGATGAAGGTGACTGTCAGGCCTGACACAGAGCTGCAGCAGCTCTCCCAGATAACAAGTTTCCTGCACCTAAAGTGAGCTCCAAAGCAATTTCTGAGTGTATAATTCCAAGCAAGGAGACTTGTGAACAAGTCACTCAGTGGCATGCCCTTGTTTGGGGGAAATAAACCACCAATCCTGGCAATACTATCCTCAAAGGAGCCCCTTCTCCAATTTTCTCTATTCTATTCCAGAGGCACCCAAAAGCCAATTTTTGGCCAATTTCTTTATTGTAAAAATCTGTCAGTTGGAATGTACAGCCTTTTACACTATTAAACAGAAAAAGAATGACCTAGGCTTGTCTTTGTCTATTTCAGCCTCCCAAGAAGCTGGGACTACAGGCTAATTTTTGTATTTTGTCTTTGTCTATTTCACCAGTGTTTGTCCCAAGAATGGACAGGTACCCGATGTACACTGGTGTGACAAAAGGACTCACAAAGTTATCCCCCTGGCTGAGCAAGGAATGAATTAGCCCCAAAGCTGCTGCCTGCTTCCACTTTCAGAACCAAATGAAGAACATTTATTTGGATTACTCTTGTTTTTTTGTTTTTTTTGAGATATAGTCTCATTCTGTGGCCCCAGCTGAAGTGCAGTGGTGCCATCTTGGCTCACTGTAAGCTCTACCTCCCAGGTTCAAGCGATTCTCCTGCCTCAGCCTCCGGAGTAGCTGGGATTACCGGCGCATCTCACCACAGCTAATTTTTGTATTTTTTGTAGAGATAGAGTTTCACCATGTTGGCCAGGCTGGTCTCGGACTCTTGACCTCAAATAATCTGCCTGCTTTGGTCTCCCAAAGTGCTGGGATTACAGGCATAAGCCACCATGCCCGGCCTGGATTACTTTTAGAATAGCCCTTTTCTTTCTGCTTTCAAGCATACAGAAATATTAAGGCTCAATCTCAGAGTGCCCAGTTACTTGATAAAGAAAATATTTTAATAATCAAGAAAGACACATTCATCTTTGCCAGTCAGAAAGCTCCTATATCAAACTGCACACATAAAAGCTAGACTTCTGCTGAATGAAGTCTGGGCAGTCCAGGGTTGGCAAATCAAGCAGTCTTGGTTTCTGGTCTATTGAGTGCCATGTGGTCTGCCATCAGCAGATGTGGGAGATTTTTCTCGACGAAGGTAGAACAATACCTCGTGAGACTATGGGTCGCCATGAAAAAAGATTTTGTCCCCTCAATGCTCCCATTGCCTGGTTCTCAATAAGTGTCTGCTGATTCAATGTTTGTCACTCAGAACTGAGCTGATATCCTCTTCCTTCAGTCACACCACCTCATTTCAAACCAATGACCACTGGTACCCATACGAAGGTATGGGGTAACCAGTCTTCCACACTTTAACAACTCCCAGACTGCCTGGTTTTTCCCTTCTTAGCCCTTAGGATCTGATCACCTTCTTGGCACATATTCATTGATTTAACAAACATTCACTGAGCACCTATATATATATATATACAAAGCCATGGAAATGAAGAATAAATAAATCAAATGGCTTTACCTTTTTGGAGACCTGCTGAGCATTATTTATAATCAAAGCTTTTTCCCTCTTTCAGCTCTGGCTTGATGCCATTAAACCGTCACATGTTCACCCTCTGGCTCTGCTTCCAGGCTTAATGACTGTCTTCTAGTGATCACTCAGCTTCCTAAGCAGTCTGACTGTTACCGGAAAGGGGTCCCGATTCAGACCCTAAGAGAGGGTTCTTGGTTCTCACACAAGAAAGAATTAAGGGCAAGTCCATAAAGTGAAAGCAAATTTATTAGAAAAGTAAAGGAATATAGAATGGCTACTCCATAGACAGAGCAGACCCAAGAACTTCTGGTTGCCCATTTTTATGGTTATTCCTTGATTATATGCTAAACAAGGGGTGGAGTATTCATGCTTCCCCCTTTTAGATCATATAGGGTAACTTCCTGACGTTGCCATGGCATTTGTAAACTGTCATGGTGCTGGTGGGAGTGTAGCAGAGGAAGGCCAGAGGTCACTCTTGTTGCCATCTTGGTTTTGGTGGGATTTAGCTGCTTTTTTACTGCAGCTTGTTTTATCAGCAAGGTCTTTATGACCTGTATCTTGTGCCGACCTCCTGTCTCATCCTGTGACTTAGAAGGCCTAACTGGCTAGGAATGCCACACAGCAGGTCTTAGCCTTATTTTACCCAGCCCCATTCAAGATGGAGTTGCTCTTGTTCAAACGCCTCTGACATGACTATAGAGAGAGAACTCTTCAGACTCCTCAATCCTTAAGGGTTTCATTCTGGTCTATACATCAACCTCTGTGAGCCTGGTTAATGTGAGTCTGCCTCAAGAGACAGAGATATTCTTGTTGTGCTAACAGCAAGTTTCTTGGTATATGAGGCTGAGAGGTACAAAGTGGGATTATCAGATTCATTGAGAAGAGGCCCCTGTGGACCTTTCCTGAGTTCATCTCTCCTCTTCACTTTGTACCTCCACAAACTGATCACAGTGGTCTCATGACTTTGAGGAAACACACAGATCACTATGGGGCATGCTCATCAATATGTATGGTCAGACCTCAGAGCCTTCACATGCTGATGGATTGGACCTGCTTGGCCTTGGCCTCAACCCTGAAGGTACTCAATAGATGTTTGTTCATGAGCAAAGCATTGATAAATGCCTGATTTAGAGCTTTAAAAAAAAACCCCAGAAGGTTAATTAAAAGGAGAACATGTTTTCAATGACTTGAAAACATTGAGTCCAAGATAATTAAATTAGTCAGCCTCACTGTTTTTGTACTCAATAAAAGTGTTTTAATTCAATTACTTCTACTTCTCTATTAGCTCAACAGAAAGAGAGTTTTACAATAATTAACTTTTTCTAAAAAATAAACCATCAGACAAATACTGAGCCAAAAAAAAAAAAAAAAAAAAAAAAAACTTTGAGGAGGTACAGGAGAAGGTATGGAGTTTCCATGCAGCCACGCTTAGAGATGGGTCATCCATACACAATGTGCCAAGATCCAGTTATGCTAATTCAGTCTCAAGAGCATCACAATGTTCTGTCTGTTTCTCCGAGTCTACTCATTAATGGGCTAATGTTGATCTTAGCCAGTGCGTGGACCTTAGCCAGACTCTAGGTTTAAGTGATTTTTTAAAATCACCCTTTACGGAAATTCCATTTCTTATATAAAATCAGTGCTTCTTCTAAGGCCTTCCCCATCTCCTTGGAGCTCCACCCTCCCACTGCTTTTCCTCTCAGCCCAGGTCCAACTTAAGCCCACATCACAGATTCTCCTCTCTCAAGAAGTAAATGATGCCAGAGAGGAGGCAAGACTGAATCCTGGAGCCATCTGGTCACTTGAAAATGCTGCTTATTTTCTTTTTCTTTTTTAAAAAAACAGGGACAAGGTCTTTCTCTGTCACCCAGGCTGGGAGTGCAGTGGTGTAATCACAGCTCACAGAAGCCTCAACCTCCCCAGCTCAAGCAATCCTCCCATCTCAGCCTCCCAAGTAGCTGTGACTACAGGCACACACCACCTTGCCCAGCTAATTTTTGTATTTTTTGTAGGTCTGGAATTTTGCCACATTGCCCAGGCTGGTCTCAAATTTCTGGGCACAAGCAATTGCCTTGGCCTCCCAAAGTGCTGGAATTATAGGTATAAGCCACTGTTCCTGGCCCACTTATTTTCATAATGGTATGTTGTATAGTGGCAAGACTGAACAACCCATGTCTGCATGACAAGGATAAAGCTAAGGAATTCATCCATCTACAACCTGCCCCGATCTCTTATGCCTCCTAGGAGATGGCATGGAAACCTAGGAGATCCTTTTGTGCACCATGAGTGTAGCGCTGTGCCCCAGCATTGGGCCATTCCTCTGTAGACTCCGTTCCCAGGCAAGCAGGGCTACTGTTCCTGCCTGAACCAAGGTTTAGGTGGGGCCAGGCTAACCTTTGGTGATGACTCAGGGAGCTGGGGCAGAGGCTTATGGTGGAGGACCTGAGAACCAACCAGAGTTCTAGTTTCAGTTTTGAAGGGTCTAGCCAAGGGGTAAAACACCCAATCCAGCGTAGAGTCTCAACCCAGCCGGTCAGCTCTGGATGATGAGCTGGAGGCACATCCGGAGAGGGACTGGGAGTCTAGGGGGACCTCCGGGCCTTTTATGGGTACTTTATGAGCAGATGAGCAGGATGGGCACTGAACCTGGTCCTACCGTTATACTGCCCCTGCCAGAAGTTGCCCTGCAGCTGGGCCTGTTATGACACAAGACACAGCAGCGGCCCCGATGAGGACCTTTTTCCACAGCTGCCCTGCTGTCTGGAAAACCAGAAAGAACCTGTTTCTCTTGTGTTCGTATTCAAATTGTCAATGCTGGTGTTTCTTCTCCAACTAGATCATGAGCCTCTGAACGGCAGAGAACATGTTTTATTCATCTTCACATCAACCACTCAATAAACCTTTGTTGTGCAATAATAATTACATTAACAAGAAAGAGATGACAACTCCCCAAGTGCCAGGCACTTGGCTGGGTGTTTGCATTAATGATCACATTTACTTCTATGGACAATCATAGTTCTTGAGACTCAACATCTCCATTTCAAAGATGAGAAAATTAAGAGTCAAAGAGGTTAAGCAATTTGCCCGGGTCCTCCCACTGGTAAGTGGCAGACCTTGGCTTTTTAAAGCAAATATATGTGACATTAAAATCAGGGCTTACTCCACAAAGGAATCTCATATCCAACTCTGAGCAAGGGGATAAAGAACCAGGCTATCTGGGGAAGTAAGAGGGAAAGTTAAAGCAATGTGTCTTTTGAGGGGAGAGTCTGAGAATTTATGAAAACAGCATTCCCCTGCTCTGAGAAATGTCTAGATACAGCATTAAAATAGCATGAAAAGGAGAGCCTCACCTTGTCTCCAGGCCCCCAAACTGCCAAGGGATGGCTCAT
The DNA here is from genome assembly GCF_000001405.40 of Homo sapiens. Lineage (NCBI taxonomy): Eukaryota > Metazoa > Chordata > Mammalia > Primates > Hominidae > Homo > Homo sapiens. The sequence continues at coordinate 223,067,167 of NC_000001.11, read as the reverse complement.
TTATGATCCAATTGAAAGTTACAGAATTGTCATTTACCTTCATGGAAGAAACCTATGTACCTGGAAATGGCAGGAGTGGGGATGAGAGAGGCTCCAGGCCACATACTCAGTTGGTCCCCACTTTGTGAAAGGGGATCAGCCGTCTCTTGTGAGCAGCTGGGGAGCTAAAGAAAAAAAGGGGGAGCATGTTTGTTCTTGTAAACCCCTTGTGAAAATAAGAAGAAAATGGCCCAACTGCAAGGTGAGCCTTCAGTTGTTCTAACTCTACATGGAGACAGATTCCTGACATATGAACCAGGCCTAGGGACAGATGGTCCTTAGTTCTCAGGACAGCACCCTGAGGTTTGCTAGGCCCTTTCCAGTGTCATACACACCTCACAACAACAACCCTAGGAGGATGATGATCATGCGTATATTTGTAAGCCCATATTACCGATAAGGAAAATCAGACTCAGAGAACTTTCCAAGGTCATGCTGTTCTTATCTGGAGACAAATCCAAGTTTACTGGTCACCCCAGCACTCTTCTGAGACAAAGCGAGGAAGGATGTGGATTTGGTGTTGGAATTAGAAAGGTCTTCTGAGGCCGCCTAAGCCATCCCACCCAGCAGGAATCTCCTGGGCCCTAGGCTGCGAGGCATCACCCAGTGATCTTTGTTTAGGCATTCTAGTCCTGGTAGAGTTGCCCACCAAAACAGCACACACCACTTTGGGATAGCATTCATGATACAGTGCTTGTCCTCATGCATTCATTAGGAACAGGGGCTCCACTTGAATCTAAGCTAACTGAGTCATTCAAAGGCTCAGACCTGACTGCAAAGCTCTGGGACAATGAGAGGACAGGTTAGCAAAGACTCTGCCAAAAAGGCCACCATGGTTCTTATGAGAGACAAGCCGAGGGAGGCTCTCTGGTTTGCTTCCAAATCAATAGTGCCCACTGCCTGGCCTCTGTGGTGAATGGGGCACGAGGAGTGTGCCGGCTCCTGTGACAGATGGAGGACACGTCTGCATCATGTATAGCAGGATCGCATACATACCCACAAGATGGAAAGCACTCCAAGAAATCAGCAAGAGGCCAGGTGCAGTGGCTCACGCCTGTAATCCCAGCACTTTGGGAGGTCAAGGCAGGCAGATTGCTTGAGGTCAGGAGTTTGAGACCAGCCTGGCCAATATGGTGAAACGCCATCTCTACTAAAAATACAAAAATTAGCCAGGCGTGATGGTGTGCACCTGTAATCTCAGCTACTTGGGGGAGGCTGAGACAGGAGAATTGCTTCAACCCGGGAGGCAGAGGTTGCAGTGAGCTGAGATCGCACCACTGCACTCCAGCCTGGACGACAGAGTAAGACTGTCTCAAAAAAAAAAAAAAAAAAAAGAAAAAAAAAAGAAATCAACAAGAGAAAGCTAATCCCATGGAATAAAAAACAAAGGATGTGCTTTGGGAGTCCGAGGAGGGTGGATCACCTGAGGTCGGGAGTTCCAGACCAGCCTGACCAACATGGAGAAACCCCGTCTCTACTAAAAATACAAAAATTAGCTGAGCATGGTGGCGGGTGCCTGTAATCCCAGCTACTCAGGAGGCTGAAGCAGGAAAATCACTTGAACCTGGGAGGCGGAGGTTGCAGTGAGCCGAGATCATGCCATTGCACTCCAGCCTGGGCAACAAGAGTGAAACTCCATCTTAAAAAAAAAAAAAAAAAAAAAAAAAAAAAAAGGATGCGGCTGGGCACAGTGGCTCATGCCTGTAATCCCAGCATTTTGGGAGGCTGAGGTGGGCGGATCATGAGGTCAAGAGATTGAGACCATCCTGGCCAACATGGTGAAACCTGTCTCTACTAAAAATACAAAAATTAGCTGGGCGTGGTGGCGTGTGCCTGTAGTCCTAGCTATTTGGGAGGTTGAGGCAGGAGAATCACTTGAACCCTGGAGGCGAAGGTTGCAGTGATCTGAGATAGCGCCACTGCACTCCAGCCTGGCAACAGAGTGAGAATCTGTCTCAAAAAAAAGGATATGATAAGCAAGTCACAGAAGAGGAAAAACAAATGGCTAATGAATACATGAAAATGTGTTCAACTTTTCCAATATACAAAAAAAGAACAATTATTATTATAAATCTGTTGGCAAAAATCAGAAGGTGTTGCTGAGAATGTGGCAAAACAGGTACTGTTTGTGAGAATACATGCTAATACAGAACTTTTGGAGTAGATTTTAGTTGTAATTTTTTTTAGTGGACAAGGTCTTGCTCTGTCGCCCAGGCTGGTGTGCAGTGGCACAATCATGGCTTACTGCAACCCCAAACTCCTGGGCTCAAGTGATCCTCCTACCTTGGTCTTTCAGATAGCCAAGGCCATAGAGAAGCACCACCCACCTGGTTGATTTTTAAATTTCTTTGTAGAGATGGGGTCTCACTATATTGACCAGGCGGGTCTGAAACTCCTGGCCTCAAGTGATCCTCCCATCTCAGCCTCCCAAAGTGCTGGGATTACAGGCATGAGCCACCACACCCAGCCATATTTTAGCTGTGTTTATTAAAATTTAAAATATATTCATTTATACCTGTGCCATTCAATGTAGTAGCTGGTAGCCATATGTAGCTATTTAAATATAAATTAATTAGAATTAAAACAAAATTTAAATTTCAGTTCTTCAGTTGCACTAGCTACATTTCAAATACTCAAAAGCCATATGTGGCTAGTAGCTACCACATTGAGCAGTGCAGAACAGAACACTTTTATCATTGCAGAAAGCTATTGGGCAGCTGTGACTTACACCTGGAAATTTCACTTGAAGGAGTTCAACATGAAAGAAATGATAATGCATGTCCCCAAAACCACATGTGCAAAGGTGTTTCTCAAAGCTCTATTTGCAATGAAATAAAATAGAAAAATTGCAAACAAGGACTACTAAGGAGGGAATGGTTACATCACGGTACACCCACACTGAGGAATGGTATGTAGCAGTCAAAAAGAACAAGACAGTTTTCCATTTAACTAACATAAAAGATTTCTAAAACGTATCATGAAGCAACAAAAATAATAGTATTGGCAGGGCCTGGTGGCTCATCCCTGTAATCCCAGCACTTTGGGAGGCTTAGGTAGGAAGGTCACTTGAGCCTAGGAGTTTGAGACCTGCCTGAGAAACCTAGTGAAGCCCTAGCCCTACCAAAAATTTAAAAAATTAGCCAGGCATGGTGGTGCATGCATGTAGTCCCAGCTACTTGGGAGGCTGAGGTGGGAGGATTGTGTGAGACTGGAAAGTCAAAGCTGCAGTCAGCCAAGATCATGCCACTGCACTCTGGCCTGGGTGACAGAGCGAAACTCTGTCTCAAAAATAATAATAATAATATCCCATATGTATAAAAATATTGTAAAACAAAATGCCATATGCCCATGACTGGCAATCACCATTACCCTCTGGATATCATCCATGAATCATTGTCCATTCACCCACACATATTTATTAAGCACCTACCATATGCCCTGTCCTGACACCCTGATAGAAACAAGTCAAGCAGACAAGTCCCTGTCCTCAAGGAGCTTACATTCTAGAATAGGGAGACACACAATAAACAACAAAACAAATCAATACAATTGCTATGATAAAAATGAAGTCAGGCAAGGAGATATGGAGAAGAAGAGCTATTTTAAATAAGGTTGTCACCAACCTGATGAGGTGACTCTGAGCAGAAACTTGAGAACTTTGCAGATGGGTCCATGTGGATAAATGTCGGGAGAAGAGCATTGAATCAGGCAGATAAACCAGCAAGTGCTCAAGGTGGCAGCAGCATGGGATATCTGAGGAACAGCCAAGAGGCCAGCGTGGCTATGCCATCACAGAGGGACACTGTCCTACAGGGCCTTTGAGTGAGTGGGGAGACCAGCTCAGGACTTTGATTTTGCAGTCACTCATGCTGGCTGTGTGTGGAGGGGAAATGACAGCCGAAGCTGAGAAGGTATTATAGGAATCCAGGAGAGAGATGAAGAGGCTGGCACTTGAGTCAAAGGTAGAGCCAACAGATGACAAAGTGAATGACTTTCAGACTTGATCTTCATTTAGTCTAGAAAGGGACAGAAGACATAAAAACCAAGTCAGTCTCTTGACTCATTTCTGCTTGCTAGTGCAAAATCAGCCCCTATTATCATGAGTGGGGCCCATGGTGATGTTCTGGAAAGACATCAATGATTTTTATTCAATTTCATAACCAATCTATTAAATCACAGCAGAAACAAAGGTAGGGTACTATCATATTGCAAATAAATTTACTCCCTGAGTTCAGTCAAGAAGCAGCTAGAAGCCCACCTGTGGATCTGACAGCAAAAATTACTGCAAAGGACCCAGGCCAAAAATTGATGTTCTCATCCTGCAATGCAGTCGGAGAGCCCAAGTAGTCTCTACATCGCTCCTAGGGATGCTGAAGACAACTCTCTGTGAAGAGAACTTTTGAGAGACTCTGAAATGGTGACTGTCACAAAAAGCAGACCACTTCAACTCAAAAGTTCTGTTTACAGATTAGGCCTGAATCCAAGCAAAAAACCCAGCCCAGTCCTACCCATATACGGTCTCAGGACAGCCTGGGCCAGGGGAATGGGCAGCGGGTCAGCAGGCAAGATATTTAGATTCTGGTCATAGGTCTGTTTTGATCTAATGCTGTGACCCAGTTTCTCCATCTATAATAGTAGTAACAATATCTTCCCTTTCCTCCCTTGCTGGGAGACAAAGGCCCCAGCTATACCCAAGACACTATTGCAATGTTTAGCAGGGATCTAACAACGATGATTCAATTGCTGTCTCAATACAGGAAAGACAGGATTGCATGGGGTCAGATGCAATTACTTTACCTTGCACAAGAGAAGCGCTTTCATTTTCAAAGCACTTTCTAACATTATTATTGACAAAAAGGCAAGAATGCCCACTGTCATTACCTCTATTTAACATTGTACTAGAAGACACAGGAAAAGTAAAAGAGTTTCTACAAGCAGATGCTAGCCGGGCACAGTGACTCATGCCTGTAATCCCAGCACTTTGGGAAGCCAAGGCAGGCAGATCACTAGGTCAGGAGTTTGAGACCAGCCTGGCCAACATGGTGAAATCCCGTCTCTACAAAAATACAAAAATTAGCCAGTTGTGGTGGTATGCACCTGTAATCCTAGCTACTGGGGAGGCTGAGGCATGAGAATCACTTGAACCTGGGAGGTGGAGGTTGCAGTGAGCTGAGATCACACCACTGCAATCCAGCCTGGGCAAATGAGCGAGACTCCATCTCAAACAAAAACAAAAACAAAAACAAAACAAAACTTCTGAGACCAGACACAGTGGCTCACAGTTGTAATCCCAGTACTTTGAGCAGCCGAGGCAGGTGAATTGCCTGAGCCCAGGAGTTTGAGACCAGCCTGGGCAACATAGTAAGAACTCGTCTCTGCAAAAAATTTAAAAAATTAGCTGGGTGGAGTGACACATAGTTGTAGTCCCAACTACTTAGGAGGCTGAGGTGGGAGGATTGCTTGAACCCGGGAGGTTGAGGCTGCAGTGAGCCATGATCGTGCCATTGCACTCCAGCCTTGGTGACAGAGCAAGGCTCTGTCTCAAAAATTAATTAATTAATTAATTAATTAATTATATAGAATTAAGAACTTCTCATCAAATGCACCACTAGGAGCATGAAAATGCAAACCACAGACTGGGAGAAGATATTAGCAATATGAATAATTGATAAAACATTTATATCCAAAAGATAGGAAGAATGACTAAAACTCAATACTAAAAAGGCAAGCACATTCATTTAAAAAGGGGTTTTAATGCAGGATGGAGTATATTTACTGATAATGGGAAGGGGACATTCTTCTAAGGTGATGGAAGTGCTCTTAATCTTGATCTGGGCAATAGCTACACTGAAATAAACATATTCAAACACTTGGGCTGTACACTTAGGATTTGTGCATTTTCCACACTTTACTGTATATATACTACACCTCAATAAAATACATTCTGCCTCAACAAAAAGCAAATAATAATAAGAATAAATGTCAAAAAAAAAAACCCTACTTCCTGAATGAGATTGCCCACACAGTGTTTTAAGGCATACTCATGCTGCATGGGAAGTTATTAGGCACATCAGGTAAAAGGAGGTCCATGTTTAAATAAGTTAGGGGGAAAACTGGGATCAACAAAGATAAATATTTTTTATTGCAAGACTTCTTAGAGCTTTTTTACATTAATGTTTTTGTAAATGATCATAGGAAAGGAGGAGAGTAGGCAAAGCTTCCTGATGGTACCTGATCTCTTAGAGCATGTGTAACACAGTTGTTCGGCAAAGCGTGGTTTTGGAGAAGGTGATGTGAGATACTACGATTACAAGTATAACTCAGGTTTCAAGAAATCAAGGGAATCATTATTTTGTCAGTGTGACAGTTGGGTTCCTCTGGGAGGCAGACTCTAAGAGGAAGTTAGAAATGCAAACGATTCACTGGGGTAATGCCTGCAAAAGGTACAGATTGTGATGGAGGGAGGAGACGGAGAAGAAAGGAGGATTGGGTAGGAAAAGCCTCAGACTCAAATGCAACCCCAAGAAAGCCTTGGCCAGCCCAAGGGAGTACTCCAACAAAAAACTGCCCTTAGTGGAGTCCCAAGTTGGACAGAAGGAACCACGCCCTAAGACCCCTACCCTGTTCTGTCCTTGGCTGGGGTCTTCCTGGGAAGAGCCTGGCCTCGGCTAAATGTTGCACCTGGGGGAATGACAGCTCACTGCACTTCTCATGGCTGATTGGCAAGTTCCTTCTTGGAGAGAGATCCAGTGGACACATTTCCATGGTTGTTGCAGGAAGCCTACAAGCTCTTCATGAAAGATGAAATTTCCCACTATGAAATTCTACAAAGAAAGCATTACATGAACCTCTTATAAGGAGCAGTGAAAAATACAGGAAGAGATACAGGAAGAGACATTGGAGCAAGGCATGATTTGGTGGTTTATTGTAGTGTTTGTTTTTGGTTTTCTAATCCATTTTGTGAGTATATTGAGTAAAGGATTTCCTTGCTATTAGCTAGTGTATATCCTGTAAATTTTACATTAATCTGATAAAGTCCATCTTTCCTACAGACCCTTCAGCACCCATAAGCACTCCTACAAATACAAAACTATGCAAAGAGGACTTTTTCTTTTTTTGAGATGGAGTCTCCCACTGTTGTCCTGGCTGGAGTGCAGTGGCACAATCTCAGCTCACTGCAACCTCTACTTCCCAGGTTCAACCGATTCTCCTGCCTCAGCCTCCCGAGTAGTTGGGATTACATGCTCCCGCCACCACGCCCAGCTAATTTTTGTATTTCTAGTAGAGATGGGGTTTCACTATGTTGGCCAGGCTGGTCTCGAATGCCTGGCCTTGTGATTCACCCACCTCGGCCTCCCGAAGTACTAAGATTACAGGTGTGTGCCACTGCGCCCAGCCGCAAGGAGGACTCAAATAGCAGGGCAGCTGGCCACATAGGATCTGGGTCAACAGTGGCTTGCTGATATTGCAGCTGGGAGTAAATAAGTCCATGGGAGCCTCATGGGTTCTCCAAGCCCTGCACAGTCTCCAGTCTCCGCCACACATACACATAGGATCACTTACTGTCTGCAGTTTTCCAAAGGAAACATCCAGAGTCCAACCCTCTCACCTCTGAGTTCCATCCTCTGTCCTGATGAAATTTGAATGAAATCCATGATCTAAGTCAAATTACCTATGACAACCCATCAATTATCAGTGCTATGCACCTAATTTGGAGAAACAACTGGTATTGAAGAGGACATAAGTCTAATGTTAATCAAGCATGGACTCATGGAGAACCAGGACAGCCACTTTGTTCTTCCTGAGTCCTTAAAGCTTTTGTTATTAAAAGTTCTGCATTCCATGACTCATCATGGGAAAGACAAAATAATCCAAATTAAATATATTGGTGTGGTAACTTATAAATTGCTAAAATAGCTTATAACCAATGTTTGGTTTGTTAACCCATATTCCTGGGAAAAACAATCAAAGCTTCAGGTACATTTGGTTACCTGATGGGCCATTTAAACATTTTATAAAAGGATTTCATTCAATTGTTATTTTCGGTGCATGTTTTCTAGTTGTATAAAAGCTCTTCCGTGCAAGAGTGCTGATATTATGTAATAGATTATTATGCTACATGTATGAAGCATAATAATATAATAATAATAAGATGTAGTAGATTACTGTGTTACAGTATATTTTCACCAGGTAAAGAAAGCTTTTTGTGATTCACTGAGGACAGTCAACCCCTTCATCATCTAGAACCTGAAAATTGCATCTTCTGAAAACATCAGAGAAAGACTGTCCTTGCCATTCACACTGCAACAAAACTTTAGGATCTTGAAACTTGGGTTCATAATCGCACAACTGAGAAGGGTCCCTCCACGCTCTTGGAACTATACACCCAGTGGAAACTTTAAGGTAAAGCTAACCAAGGAAGTCTCTCCCCAGACGAATATGGCAACCTTGATGTGAATGGCTTTTCCTAAGATCGTGGATGAAGACTTCTACTGTCATGAGACTCTTATCTTTGAAAATTTTTTCCTTGCTTATGCCTCTGTGAACAATAGAAATGAAGAGGGTGTCTGCTGCATGCACTTATGGGGTATACTTTTATTTGTGAAGGATTTTGCAGCCAGCCTTATACATGGATAACCTTATACTTTGATAGACAAAAGATGAAGGCCCGATGTGGGGAACTTTAATGGTACATACGTTGCCTCATAGTCAGTCAGAAACAGTACATTGGTTCACTCCTCTTAACCCGTATCATGGATTAAAGAGAACATTGCCAGGAGGCCTTCACTCTTCTAGAAGGGCATCATTTGTTAGGTCCTTTTTCCATGTTTTTGAATAAAAGAGGTGATGATCAGAGATGTATCCCTTACAATAGGCTCTATAGCAGATTTTACTGTAAAGGCTGTAGTTACACAGAAGACTTTCAATTCTCTTGTGAAAGTTAAGGTAAGTAATAGAACTGGCTAGACAGAAAAGTGTCTATGTATCTGCTGGCACTTCTGGCCTAGGGAGATATACATAAGGTATTACAGAGATTCCGTTGTAGGGGATTAACAAAAAGACCACTTAGTTAAGCGAGTGGACTGTTTAGCTTGCTCTTTGATCTATTTGATTTTAGGTGGTTTGGTTTTTGGGAACCCTGGGTAAGGAGCATATTCCAAACTCTTGTTATTATCCTGTAGATAGTCATAATAACAGTCTCTCTGGTGCTCTGTGTTCTCTCAAAGGTTTTAATGCTTGCATGCAGCCAACTCTAGAATGTTAAATGGTCTCTATTCAACTGTAATGACAAAAGCTGAAAGAAATGTGTGACCAGGAGGACACTGTAAGCTATGAATGACATGCTGAGAAGGGAAACTGAAAATGGTGGTAACCAAGAGTGGCGCTAAAGCCCTAAGTTTTGGTCGCACTCTCACCTAAGTGAGAACCTGGCCAAAAAGGGGGAATTTTTAAAAATAAAATTATGGGAGGCCATTGTTTTGGACTGAGCTCATGCACTAGGCCTCAACAGACCAAATCAAACAAAGCTGGAGTCACTCATACTAAAAATGACATAATCAAACTAAGACTTTAAGGAAACACATAGATCCTAGGCCAGAACAGACCAGGTTTTGTTTTTCTTCTGTAAACAAGATGTTCCAGCATAAGGAGGTACCCTCTACACAGTCCTTGTTCCTACTTTCGCAAAACTCACTGTTCTACTGTTTCCTAGTGGGTTTCAAGACCAAACAAGTACATTTACCATGGTGATAGTAACATCAAAGACAAAAGTTTTGGTCAGTCTCTCAAAATCGAGAAAATGAACAAAATGGGGGAATTGTCAAAGCAAACTAAATATGGCCTGAGAAGGACTCCCTGCTTCTGTATTTGAGTCCTCATGAATGAACTTCAACCTAATAGGCAGACAAGATTGAAACCCTAATTTAGGACTAGGTACCTGTAACAACTGCTGAGTCTTGGTCAATCCCAGCAGCCATACTTCAATCAGTCATACGCTGCTGAGTATTCAAACTGTGTTCAAATAAGGCAAACATCAACCTGTAACCAACCTAACTGTTTCTGTACCTCACCTCTGATTTCTGTACATCACTTCCCTTTTTTTGTCTATAGATTTGTTCTGACCATGAGGCATCCCTGGAGTCTGTGCGAATCTGCTGTGATTCTGAAGGCTGCCCGATTGCTGAATCACTCATTGCTCAATTAAACTCCCTTAAATTTAATTCAGCTGAGGTTTTTCTTTTAACACATTTCTGGACACCACTGAAAGAGAAAAATCCCTGAGGGGTTTTTGAGAAGAAAACAAAAACATAACAAGAAGTGTACCACAAAGAAACCAGAAACTTACTGGCATAAGACTTCCTATCTCTAAGATGGGACAGTAACATAGTTAATCTTTAAATTTTCTTAGGAAAACTGAATTCCCCAGAATTCAACACCTAGCAAAAGACCATTCTTTTTCTTTTCTTTTCTTTTCTTTTCTTTTGAGACCGAGCTTCACTCTCATTGCCCAGACTGGAGTGCAATGGCATGATCTCAGCTCACTGCAACCTCCGCCTCCCAGATTCAAGTTATTCTGCCTCAGCCTCCCGAGTAGCTTGGATTACAGGCATGTGCCACCATGTCTGGCTAATTTTGTATTTTTAGTAGAGATGGGGTTTCTCCACATTGGTCAGGCTGGTCTTGAACTCCCGACCACAGGTGATCTGCCCACCTCAGCTTCCCAAAGTGCTGGGATTACAGGCATAAAACACCTTGCTGGCCTAAAAGACCATTCTTATGCAAAATAAAAACTTTAAACAAATAAGCACTCGAAAAGTTTTTCACTGGAAAAGTAACATTTCTAAGAGTAAATAGAGGATATCTTCCAATTTATAGAAAAGTAAATTAAAAATGGATAAAGAAATGGCATATAGTAAAGATAAGAAAGTATGGGTAGGCATGGCTAACTGTAAAAATAGTATTAGAATGTCTAATATAGCTGGTAAGAAAGAACCCTTAAAAGAAGCATAAAGAAAAAATGAGAATGATAGAAAAATAAGGAAATACATAAATTATAGACAAATAAATAGGGCATTTGGAATGGTAACTCAGCAGGCTGAGTAGAATTTCCTTAATTACAGAGGCAAGGGTGTGAAATGTTTAGAAGAATTTATTCTGTTAAATGTAGAACGAATGGACCATGAATCCAAGAACATGTGATTTTCATTTCAACACCAAATTACCTAATATACTCCCCAAACAATATGGTTTGCTTATTAGATTTCAAGGATTAATCCAAGGTAGGCTCCCAAATGTACACTTTGGAAAAACTGCATATTAAGGAAAATCCAATAAACTACAAGTGTTCCTTTCTTGGCACAAGAAATAGGAAAACATCCATGGCTAGAAGGCACCAAATAAACTAAAGTCTCCATGAATTCCACCACCCATAAATAGTCAGTGTTCCCATTTGGACGTCTTTCCTTCAGGGTGTCTTCAGGGTACATGAGGTCCACCCATGCACACATCTGACCAGGCTGAGATCCCGCCAGGGGCACTGGGCCACATGATTTCTCTTCTGTGGATGGGTGGTCACCTTCTGCATCTGCAAGGACATGTGCTGACTGTCCACAATACCTCTACTCCCCTGAAGTGTTTGTCTAAGGTCCAGGAGAGTAGTTGCCTCTTGGGGTGGCAATGAGCAGGTATTGACCAGAAGGGGCAGGTGGGAGCCTTCCTGAGAGTTGGCATTGTTGGATGTCTTGATCTGGGCAATGACCACTTGGGCATAAACACCTGTAAAATGTCATTGAGCTGTATACTTAGGATTCATACACTTTACTGTATGTGAGTGACTACCAAAAAAACACAAACAAACAAACAAACAAAAAGCAGAAAAAGGAAAGAGAAGGGGAAGAGACGAATGGGAGGTGGCAAGTAAAGGCTCTCTTGAAGAGCCTTTTGCTGTAAAGGGGAGCAAAGAAATGGGTCAGTGGCTGGAGGCAGATGTAAGATCAAGGGAAAGTTGATGAACATGGGAGCTATTCCAGGATGTTTCTGTGCAATCGGAATGTTTCAGAAGAGAGGGGATATTGATTATGAAGAATAGAGTGGTATAATTGCTGAGCAGGGAGTCCCTTAGAGAATTGCAGCTCTTGGTCTTTGATGGACAGTTCTTCCATAACAACAGGAAGGAAGGCTGAGAAGTAGGGCATAAATGAAGGAAGGGTCTAGACAGGATGGTGAGAGCATGTGGCATCCTCTTCTGATTGTTTCTCATTTCTCATTTGGTAATAAGCTGTCCACTGAGAACGAGCATGGTGAAGGAGGCGTGAAGGAATGAGAGAAGCAGAGGTGTGACATAATGCTCTGGAGAGTGGGAAAGTGAATGGACTGGGCTTGCCAGGCAGCACTCAGGGTCCACCTGAGGTTAATGGTCATGAACCTGAGATGAGACTGCTCTGCATGGTAGGTGCCTTCTTCAGTCCTGTGCAGTTGCTGCACAGAGTAGGCTGGGATTTGGCTTTCACCAGATGACTACCACGCAAGGCAGCAAGGGAGTTTCAGGTGTTTGGAAAGGAGGGATTCTACTGATGGGCCATGAAACCTCAGCTGGAAAAGGAGGTAACTGAACACAAAGGTGGGTGATGGCTGTGAAAAGATGGTAGAAGGAATGGGCTGTAATCCCAGTACAGCCACAAAGAGTAGGTACTAGACGGAGTGATCAGGAAAGTGGTTGGAGAGAGATACAACTTTCAGTTGAGATGCAATTGAGATTATGGAGGGGGCGCTTTAATTGGTAATAAATGCCAGGGTCTAGGATATGCCCACTGGAGTGTGGGACTGAAGCTCAGTGGAGGCCAATATGAGTAAGGAGAGAAGTTCAAGGAAAAGAAAGGTCACGGTCTGAGAAAAATCCTCCCAGTGCTCAATCAGGAGCGGTGTTGAGATTGATGGTAATCTAGGCACTAAACATCAAGGAATGAAAGGGGAAAGCTCAGGGCATATGTAAATTACTGTTAGGGGCATTTCAGAAAGTCTCTCTAATGACACAAGATTAACTTCTAGGTGTTTTAGGGAGAAGCAGTAGCAGAGTGAAGAAAAGAAGACCCCCACCTCTCCTCTAGGTTTAGCAGGACGATCCCATTGAGTAGAAAAGATTCACCATATGAGGGAGTTTTAGGGAACCGGTGATCTCGGGGGAGAGCAGGTTTCCATCAGAACAAGGAGACAAAGGGACTGCTCAGAGAAGAACATCTGGGATTTGAGGAGTGCTGGATGGTGATTCCCGGAAGGCACAGTGTTGAAAGTGTGGGAGATGGAGTCAGGGATTGTATAGTGCTTTATGGGGACAAGAGTCCTGGGCTGAGGGATGTCCTGGGAGCCACTGCCCTCTGAAGTCCTGCTCCACTCCCAGAATCTGGCCTAGGAAGCAACTCCCTCTCAGCGACCCTGGGAGGACCCCCAAACCCCTGCCCCTGCTCCAGCTTGCAGACCTTCCCCAACCCCACCAGGCTCCACCTCCCACATCACCCCCATTCCTGCAGCTCTTCCCTCCATTCCCTCCACGCCTGGGAGAATGCCAGGCAATCCTTCTGTATTAGTCCGTTCTCACATTGCTATAAAGAAATACCTGAGACTGGGTAATTTATAAAGGAAAGAGGCGTAATTGACTCATAGTTCAGCATGGTTCAGTCGGGGGGCCTCGGGAAACTTACAATCATGGTGGAAGGTGAAGGGCAAGCAAGCCACCTTCTTCACAAGGTGGCAGGAAGGATAAGTGCTGAGCAAAGGTGGGAAGAGCCCCTTATAAAACCATCAGATCTCGTGAGAACTCACTCACTATCATGAGAATAGCATGGAGGAAACCACCCCATGATCCAATTACCTCCACCTGGTCTCTCCATTGACACACGGGGATTATGGGGATTAAATTCAAGATGAGATTTTGGATGGGGCACAGCCAAACCGTATCACTTCCCTTGTGGCCTTGAGCCATAGGCTGCTGCTCTCAGGAGCGTGGGTCAGGAGCCTGACTCACCAAATCCCTCTCACACCAGGATAGAGTCAACTAGAGAAGATTCCATTGCCCAATGCCTCTGAGGTTGACTGGCATAAAAACAACAGAAATCCAGTATTAAAACCTTGTTTTAAGCATGACGATGGACAACTCACTTATCTCAGTTTCCTTCTCTGTAAAATGAGGTGATTTCCAAGGTCTTTTCAGTTCTGATCTTCCAAGCCAGTGAGTCCCAGGACCAGCCTGTTTGGGTGCTGTGGACACAGCCTGCTTCAGTGGATGCCTGGTGCCTGGCCGCTTGGGACTCACAGCCCCAGGATCAAAGCCCACAGCCAACAAGTTTGAAAAACAGTTTATAAATTAAGAACGGAAGGCAAACGAGCATTTGTGAGCAAGGCAGTACGCTGGGGCGGACACTGGGGCCTGTGCTGTGGACAGAGCCAGGCACAGGACAGAAGTGGTGCCCCAGAGAGTGGCCGGCCTGCAGTGAGCTCAGAACACACACCAGAGCCAGCGGCCTCGCCTGCCAGGTGGGGAGGAAGTGTGAGAAGAAACTCAATGGGGACTTTATTGGGTGTTGGGCTTAGGAACTGTTTTCATTTGGGATCTAGTCATAAATTAATCCTACACATAAGCGTTCCCAAGGAGAGAACCCAGGAAAAATATTTCAAATTTAGGAGAGATGGAATAAATCTCTCTGATTCCAAGGTCCAGCAGAGTTGTTCTTGCTCTCAGCCTCCACCTCTCTTTCTCTGTCTGTCTGTCTGTCTGTCTGTCTCACTCTCCGGAGTGATGCTCAGGGCCTGAAGACAGGACCCATTCTTCCAGGAGGGAGAAGAGGAGGGAGCAGGAAGGGTGGTGGTGATCAAGGCCAGGGAAGGCAGATGAAGCTGTGTGATTTGGCTACACTTGCTGGGCCTTGGTCCCTGCCCAGACCTTCAAAAATAGAACCTGCCAGGCCTGTGGAAGGAAGAGGACAAATGTAGAAACGCACATAAACAAATTTTAAAGAGAAACATGAGAGAGAACAGGCGATCCTGGGAAGGCGGCTGCTGTGCGGTGACTCCCTCCCACTCTGGGTCCCCCTCTCACAGGGCCCAGACAGCACCAAACACAGTCCCAACAGTGCATGAAAGAGGTGTAAAGAGGAGTACTGTCAGCCAGGCGGCTTGAGGTAGAAGTGGAAGTGGAAGAATTTTATGAGTGGCATGGGACCCCAACCGGGGGGCTCTGCCCTGCCTCTAGTGGAAAAACTCTGCAGAGACCCTAAGCCACTGCCCACAGGGGTCACTCCCACTTTCTCTTTGGGCTACAAGAGGCATAGGGGGCCTTCCCTTCCACCCTTACACATGAGGGGTTTCTGCCTGAGACCCATGCTTTAGAAGGCCCTCCCTGGTCCTCCTCAGGCCACAGTCCTCACCAGGAGAAGAGTCCATAGGACCAACAGGATGTTCCTGCTAGAACCCAGGCTCTGTTTTCTAGAAACTAGACCACGTTTGGTGGACTCAGGGCCCCCAAATTCTCTATCCAAAGGGCCCCCAAGTCAGCTTCCAGGCCCTGCATGAGACTCTTCTCCAGGTCTGTCTCTCCCAAGGGATGGCCAAAAAGCAGTATTTGTGCAGATGTGAGCAGAGCTGAGACATGTGGGCCCAGGGTGCTGGACAGAGAGGCTGGGAAGATAAAGGGGGGCTGTGGCCAGTGCTTCTCGCGCCTCTGGCTTCTGACACAGAACTCCAGAGAATCGACAAGTCTAACCTCCAATCTGGCTCTCCAGGTTGTTACAAAAACATAGTTGAAGCTGGGCATGGTGACTCATATCTGTAATCCCAGCACTTTGGGAGGCTGAGGCGGGCAGATCACCTGAGGTCAGGAGTTCAAGACCAGCCTGGCCAAAATGGTGAAGCCCCATTCCTAGAAAAATACAAAAATTAGCCAGGCATGATGGCGGGTGCCTGTAATCCCAGCTACTAGGGAGGCTGAGGTGGGAGAATCACTTGAACCCTGGAGGCAGAGGTTGCAGTGAGCTGAGATTGCGCCACTGCACTCCAGCCTGGGCAACAGGGCAAGACTCCATCTCAAAAGAAAAAGCATATTGGAGCTAGGTGCAGCGGCTCACGTGTGTAATCCCAGAGATTTGGGAGGCCAAAACCAGAGGATTGCTTGAGGCCAGGGTTTTAAGACCAGCCTGGGCAACATAGCGAGACCCCATCTCTAAAAAAGTAAAAATTTAAAAATTACCCTGGTTTAATGGCACGCTCCTATAGTTCCAGCTACTTGGGAGGCTGAGGTGGGAGGATCTCATGAGCTCAGAAGGTCGAGGCTGCAGTAAGCTGTGACCACACCACTAAACTCCAGCCTGGGTGACAGAGCAAGACCCTGTTTTTTTTGTTTTCTTGTTTTTTTAAGTGTATTTGTGAAGGATGGAGAATAGAACACATTATATTTAATGGTTTGTTGGCTTCTTATAACTTTTAAATATTTAGACATATGGTATGGGGGCCCCTCTGTGAGCCCTTGACCTAAATCCCATAGGGTAAAGCAAGTCTGCTAGAAATGAGTAAAAGAAGGGCTGTTTCTAGAGAGTTGGCGCAACCCTCTGTTAAAAGAAAAACTTAGCAGAATTAAATTTAAAGGAGTTTAGTTGAGCAATGAACGATTCGTGAATCAGGCAGCCCCCGCGAATCACAGCAGATTCACACAGACTCCAGGGATGCCTCATAGTCAGAACAAATTCATAGACAAAAAAAGGGAAGTGACATACAGAAATTGGAGGTGCGGCTGGCGCGGTGGCTCACGCCTGTAATCCCAGCACTTTGGGAGGCCGAGGGAGGCAGATCACGAGGGTCGGGAGATCAAGACCATCCTGGCTAACACAGTGAAACCCCGTCTCCACTGAAAATACAAAAAATTAGCCGGGCGTGGTGGCGGGTGCCTGTAGTCCCAGCTACTCGGGAGGCTGAGGCTGCAGAATGGCACAAACCCGGGAGGCGGAGGCTTGCAGTGGGCCGAGATTGCGCCACTGCACTTCAGTCTGGGCGACAGAGTGAGACTCCGTCTCAAAAAAAAAAAAAAAAAAGATATTGGAGGTGAACTACAGAAATAGCTGGATTGGTTACAGGTTGGCCTTTGCCTTACTTGAACACAGTTTGAACACTCAGTGGTGTATGAGTGGTTGAAGTATGGCCGCTGGGATTGGCCAAGACTCAGCAGTTCTTACAGGTGCATACTCCTAAGTTAGGTACTCAATGTTGTCTACCTATTAAGTTACAGTTTGTCCACAAGGACTCAAATACAGAAGCATGGAGTCCTTCTCAGGCCACCCCTTTGCGTTGGTTACTCACGAGCTCACTCAAAATCAGACTAAGAGAAAGCATATTAGCATGTGACCAGAGCAGACACAAATCTGATGGTGTCATCGTGTGCTTAAAACCCTTCAATGCCCCTGGCTTCCAGGTGACATGCCTTTGTGTGGCATTCAAGACCCTTTCCATCCTCCTTGTCTCCTCAAATTCACCCCTCACTTTCCACCTACACCCACCCAATGTTCCCCACAACAGTCCTGTCCCCTCTTCCTCCCACGGTCCCACATTTTGGTCCTCCACTACTACTTCTTCACAGGCCACTTCCTATTTGTCCTTCCTGAGACAGCTGAAATGTCACCTCCTTCACAGTGTCTTTCCTGAGTCGGACACCCCTCTCCGGTTCAGAGCACTGCTCACCCAGTCCTCCAGCGGTTTCTTGGTCTTTCTCTCTCATAGACTGTGGGCATCTCGGGAAGATCCATGTCCTCTCTGCACCGCTAGGCTGAGGGCCTGCTTGATAAAGGAACAGACACATAAATCAGTGGAGGTCTCTGACCTACCGTGTAGGCAATGTCCTTCCTCTCATAGCATTTGGGAACTAAGATTTCTCAGGGAAGAAAGATTCTGTTCCTAATGCACAGGAAGCTGCCTAGTCGAGATGTTGGGGGTTCTGGAATGTTCTTGGGGTCTATCCAGGGGACTTACAGGCACCAAAGGGATCTCCATTGATTGACACAAGCTGGCTATGCCTGGAGTACATCATGGATCCTCCACGCTGAGGAGCACAGCAAGACGCCAGGTCTTTTGGATGCAGAGCTGGTCCCTGCCAGTCTCTCCTAACGTGTCTTACCCAGACCACAGTCGCACTCCTGTGGCCTCAGAAACAGACTCTCTAGTGTGGAAGGGGGCAAGATCTGTTAGGCTTAACCTGAGACAGTGCCATATTATGGTCAGAAAGCATGTTCCACATCCACAGCCTTGTGACCATTCCCAGAACCCCCTGTTCCACAGGGCGGGGACCTCAGATATTCAAGTCCCATTGTGGAGATGCATGAAACAGGTAGGAATGCAGAAAAATGAAAGAGAGCAGTGCTGGCCAGGCTCGGTGGCTCACTCCTGTAATCCCAGCACTTTAGGAGGCCGAGGTGGGCAGATCATGAGGTCAAAAGTTCGAGACCAGCCTGACTAAAATGGTGAAACCTTGTCTCTACTAAAAATACAAAAATTAGCCAGGGATGGTGGCGCGCACCTGTAGTCCCAGCTACTTGGGAGACTGAGGCAGGAGAATTGCTTGAACCTGGAAGACAGAGGTTGTGGTAAGCCAAGATTGAGCCACTGCACTCCAGCCTGGTGACAGAGCGAGACTCTGTCTCAAATTAATAAATAAAATAAAAATTAAAAAAAAATAAAAAAAAAATAAAAAGCATGGAGGGTATTCATCCTTTACAGATTGTAAAGCACTAGTCATTATTCTATGTTCCAAAGAACAGAAATTGGCTCTGGTTAACATAGTAGAGAAAGGTCAGTAGCTCACAGAATCATGGAAAGCCCAGAAAACATGCCCAGGCAGGAAATAGTTGGGAGCAGGGGAATGGTGTCAGCTGGAATGTTGCTACAGCAGCCAGCAGGACCATGCTAACTGTCCTGGTGACACTGCCGGGCACCAGCTGCTGAGGCATCAGACCGTCCACTTGGCCACAGTCACCATTTTAAAAAGTCTGTAACTAACCTGGAGGCTTGGTTTACTTCTTCCAAATTCAGAAACAGTGGCAGGAATGTCCAATTGGCTGTGTTTAGGGGACATCCTCACAGTCAAGCTGCCTGGAGTTGAGAAAAGAATATCTAGTCCTGTGATGGTTCCTATTAGGGGTCAACTTGATTGGATTGAAGGATGCCTAGATAGCTGGTAAAGTATTGTTTCTGGGTGTGTCTGTGAGGGTGTTGCCAGAGGGTACTGACATTTGAGTCAGTGGACTGGGAGAGGCGGACCCACCCTCAGTGAGGGTGGGCACCATCCAATTGGCTGCTACCTCAACTAGAACAAAGCAGGCAGAAGAAGGTGGGATAGGCTGGCTTGCTGGGTCTTCTGGCTGCTTTCTTTCTCCCGTGCTGGATGCTTCCTCCTGTTCCTCCTGCCCTTGAACATCAGCCTCCAGGTTCTTCGGCCTTAGGATTCTTGGACTTGCAACAGTGGTTTGCTGGGGGCTCTTGGGCCTTCGGCCACAGACTGAAGCCTGCACTGTCAGCTTCTCTGCTTTTGAAGCTTTTGGACTCATACTGAGCCATTAGTGGCTTCTTTCTTCCCCAGCTTCCAGACAGCCTGCCACGGGACTTCGCCTAGTGATCATGTGAGCCAATTCTCCCTGATAAACTCCCTTTCATATATACATATATCCTACTAGTTCTGTCTCTCTGGAGAACCCTAATACAAGTCCCATTGAGCTTTTGTAAGGAGCAGCAGTGTCACCTCCCAAACCTTAGGATTTCCCCCATGCAGGATAGGTGCTCAGATGATGGACAGCCAAAGTCATAAATGCCCACTGTATTCATTTCTGAAGACTGCCATAACTAGGTACCACAAACTGGGTACTTAAAACCAAAACCAAATAAATTTATCATCTCACAATTCTTAAGTCCAAAGTTAAGGTGTCAACAGGGCCATACTTCCTCTGATACCTATAGGGCAACTCTTCTTTTCCTCTTCCTAGTTTCTGGTGGTTTATTGGCAATCTTTGACATCCCTTGGCTTGTACCTGCATCACTCCAATCTTCGGTCTTCAGAGATGGTTCTCCCCATGTCTCTGTCTTCTTGTAAGGACAACAGTCACGTGGAGTAGGGGTCCACTCTACTCCAGTATGACTTCATCTTAATATAACTAATTACATCTGCAATGATTCTGTTTCCCATAAGATCACATTTTGAGATACTGAGAGTTAGAACTTCAATATATCATTTTGACCCACTAATATGGTTTGGCTGTGTCCCCACCCAAATCTCATCTTGAATTGTAGCTCCCATAATTCTCAAGTGTCATATGAGGGAGGGACCGAATAGAAGGTAATTGAATCACGCGGACAGGTTTTTCCCTTGTTGTTCTCGTGATAGTGAATAAATCTCATGAGATCTGCTGGTTTTATAAAAAGGAGTTCCCCTGCACAGGCTCTCTTGCCTGCCTCCGTGTAGGACATGCCTTTGCTCCTCCTTTGCCTTCTGCCATGATTGTGAGGCCTCCCCAGTCATGTGGAGCTGTGACTCCGTTAAACCTCTTTTTCTTTATAAATTACCCAGCCTCGGGTATGTCTTTATTAGCAGAGTGAGAACGAACTAACACACCCACCAACAAAAACTTCCTGTTCTGTGTTTTTTAAACTTTTCTCATCCATGTCCCATTTTGACAATCAGAAAAGCTCACACCTTCCTGTCATTTTTTTAGAGAAATGTTAAGAGATTCAGTGACAACCTCAATAGTAAGTTGGAATTCTTCTCCTAGATCACTTTTGTAAACTATAATCACTGCCCCCTTCAATGACACACACTCTGCTCCTGTTAGAAGCAAACTCCCTCTTAAGTAAACAAAGCCCAGTATGAGTCCAAAGGACAAAACCAGAACCTGACCCATAACTTCTGTTTTTGCCCAATGTTCTTTCATAACACACCACAGCCAATGACAGAAACCACAGTCGCACCAACATCTCTCAGAGACAGGAAAGTAAGAGCGAAAGAGCTATAAAACTGATTCACTGGCTGAATTCTTCCTCAAGCTAAAGAGGTTCTCCCACAGCCTCAGTGTCCTTCCTCAACCCAACAGGCAGCTCTTTCTATCCAAGACAGGAGGCATCTCTAGTTTCCTGGAACTGAGGGCAAGTTCTGATATAATCTGCCTTGTAGCCAGGGACCCTCCCCATATCAGGAAGTTGTCTCTTTCCCAGACCCTACTTAATAGCCCCTAATGTGCAACTGTCTCTGTCATTGGAAGCGGCTTCCAAGGAACTCAGAAACTTTTTCGTGGGAGCACAAAGCGGGAAGGATCCCAGTTAGCAGACCAAGCACTGATGCTTTCATCTGCTGCCAAGTGAACTGGCCTTGAACTAGGTCTCCTAATCTTTGACATGCATCTCCTCATCTGTCAAAGGTCTTACCTTTGACATATTTATAGACTATAAAAGACTTCAAACAACATAAAATGCTAAATGAAAATAAGGTATCCTTATTGTTGCTGCTGTTATTGAATTTAGCACAAGAATTTAAAAGGACATGAGTAAGGCAGAGGGGTCCTTGGCTGGCATTTGACAGATCTCCATAGTGCTCCCCACAGTGCATCTTGATGTAAATTTATTTATATTTATCCTGCTGATGATTCATTATTTCCTGAATCTCAGAATTCATGTCTTTCATCAGTTTGGGAGCATTCTCAGAAAAAGCAAAAATATTGAACATTGTCCCTCTCCCAATGTCTATTGTCTCTTTCTGGTACTCCAGTTATATGTATGTTTGATCATTTTATAATATCCTCCATGTTATTAACTTCTTTTTCATATTTTCCATCTCCTTTTTTTTTTTTTTTTTTTTTTTTTTGAGACAGGACCTTACTCTCTTGCCCAGGCTGCAGTGCAGTGGTGTGATCATGGCTCACTGCAGCCTCGACCTCCTGGTCTCAAGTGATCCTCACAAGGAGGAGCAAAGTCATGTCCTACATGGAGGCAGACAAGACAGCCTGTGCAGAGGAACTCCCTTTTATAAAACCATCAAATCTTGTGAGACTCATTCACTATCATGAGAACAGCATGGGAAAAACCCATCCCAAAGATTGAATTACCTCCCACTGGGTCCCTCCCACGATACATGGGAAGGGACCCAGGAACTACAGGCACATGACACCATGCCCAACTAATTTTTGTTTTTTGCGTTTTGGGTTTTTTGGATTTTTTTTTGGTAGAGACAGGGTTTTGCCATGTTGCCCAGGCTGGTCTCAAACTCCTGGGCTCAAGTGATCCACCCACCTCAGCCTCCCAAAGTGCTGTGATTACAGGCACAGCCACTGCACCAGCCACCATCACCTTTCTTCTTTGCACCAAGTTTTGAGTAATTTTTTCAGATCTATCTTCCAGGTAATTAATTATCTCTTCTGTTATTTACTCTTTCTATTGTGTTTTTAAATTCTTCTGGCTATTTTTCTTAATTTTTAGAAGTATTTTATTTTTCAATTGACCTGGTATTTTTTTATATATATAGTAAGCTTATTCTTTTCTCAGTTTTTTGTTTGTTTTTTGTTTGTTTGTTTGTAGTGTTGTTTTGTTTTATTTTTTGTGAAATGGAGTCTCACTCTGTCACCTGGGCTGAAGTGGAGTGGCGCGATCTCGGCTCACTGCAACCTCTGCCTCCTGCTTCAAGTGATTCTTCTGCCTCAGCCTCCCAAGTAGCTAGGATTACAGGCACCCACCGCTACACCCAGCTAATTTTTTGTATTTTTAATACAGACAGGGTTTCACCATGCTGGCCAGGCTGTTCTCGAACTCCTGATCTCGTGATTTACCTGCCTTGGCCTCCCGAGTGTGTTGGGATTACAGGCATGAGCCACCACACCTGGCCTTTTTCTTGTATTTTCAACTTTACTTTTAAGTTTCTGTAATAAGTTTAGGCATATCTATTTTATAATCTACATTTGATAATTTGAATATTTTATTTTCTTGGGAATTGAATTCTTAGTTGTTGTTTTTCCTGATTCTTGTTCTTGGTAGCTTATTCTTCATTTGAAATTTTGAGCTCATATATATTTTTTTTGACAAGGGGTCTCACTGTGGTTTCTCAGGCTGGAGTGCAGTGGTGTGATCTCAGCTCACTGCAACTTCAGCCTCCTGGGCTTAAGTGGTTCTCCTGCCTCAGCCTCCTGAGTAGCTGGGACCACAGACACACACCACCACGCTCAGCTAATCTTTTATATTTTTGGTAGAGACTGGGTTTTGCCATGTTGCTCAGGCTGCTGAGTTCATATTTCTAGGCTTATGGGGGGACTCCTGGCCTGGGGTAAAATCATCACCTGTCTGTTTCTGTCAGGCACCCCAAGAGCATGCCAACCACTGTTCATATTTTAGTTTTTGTTCTTCGAGGTTACATGGCCTCATCTTACTGGTTCTCTCATTTACTAATGAGTGAAACAGTCTTTGTTCATTTTACTTTTTATTTATTTATTTTTTTTTTGAGACTGAGTCTCACTCTGTCATCCAGGCTGGAGTGCAATGGTGCAATCTTGGCTCACTGCAACCTGCACCTCCTGGGTTCAAGGGATCCTCCTGCCTCAGCCTCCAGAGTAGCTGGGATTACAAGTGCCCACCACTCCCAGATAATTTTTGTAATTTTAGTAGAGATGGGATTTCACCACGTTGGCCAGTCTGGTCTCGAACTCCTGACCTCAAGTGATCTGCCCACCTTGGCCTCCCAAAGTGCTGGGATTACAGGCGTGAGCCACCGTGCCCAGCACATTTTACTTTTTAATACTTTAACTATGTGTGGTTTTGTGTGTGCTCATTAATTTGATTCTTACAACACCAAAGAACTAGAAATAATCTAACAATCCATCATAGGGAACTAGATAAGAAAATAATAGTACATTCATTAGATGGAGTACTAGTCAGTTACTGAAAAGAAAGGTGATGTATGTATGTTGATATAAAACATTCTGAAAAGTTATGTAAAAAATAAGAAGATGCAAAAGAGCCTTATAATTTGCTGGCATATTCATCTTAAAATACTTATTATATATGTATATCTATGTGTATATTTAATTATGCATAAACTATGATTTTATTTTATTTTTTGAGACAGGGTCTTGCTCTTGTAGCCCAGGCTGGAGTGCAGTGATGTGATCTTGGCTCACTGCAACCTCCACCTCCTGGGTTCAAGCAATCCTTGTGCCTCAGTCTCCCAAGTAGCTGGGATTACAGACATGTGCCACCACACCTGGCTGATTTTTATATTTTTAGTAAAGACAGAGTTTCACCAAGTAGTCCAGTCTAGTCTCGAACTCCTCGCCTCAAGTGATCCTCCTGCCTTGGCCTCCCAAAGTGCTGGGATTACAGGTGTGAGCCACTGTGCCTGACAACTATGATTGCTTATCTATGAAAAATGTCTAGAAGAATGCTTTTGTTACGGGTAGTTCACTCTGGGTAATGAGACCAAATAGTTGTGGGACATTTGAACTGTTTGAATTTTTTAAATGAGAATTATATTGTTTAACCTAGGGGTTTTTGTTCATTTTGTTTGTTTGTTTAAACATGATAAAGTAAGAGGAGAAACATAAGAAAGACCAGTTTACAACTACGTCATGTATTGCTGCTTCATTCCCACATTCAAAGCCAACAGCCAAATATAAGAACTGGTATGGAAGGAACAATTTTTTTTTTTTTTTTTTTTTTTTTTTTTTTTTGAGACAGAGTCTTGCCTATCACCAGGCTGGAGTGCAGTGACACAATCTTGGCTCACTGCAACCTCTGCTTCCTGGGTTCAAGCGATTCCCCTGCCTCAGCCTCCCAAGTAGCTGGGACTATAGGTGCGTACCACCACGCCTGGCTAATTTTTTGTATTTTGGTAAAGATGGGGTTTCACCATGTTGGCCAGGATGGTGTTCATCTCCTGATCTCGTGATCTGCCTGCCTCGGCCTCCCAAAGTGCTGGGATGACAGACGTGAGCCACCGCGCCCCCAAAGGAACAATTATAATGCATCTTGGCAGAACACCTCTTACCCATGCTCCTACCCAAGCCTGCCTCTCCCCACCCCAGCATCTTTACCCATCATTTTATTAGTTCTCTAATCACTCTCCCCACAAGGTCTTGAGAAGAGAAGTAAGAATAGGTATTCTCCCTCTTGGCAAAGAGGAACCTGAACCCAGAGCTAGCCCTAAATCCTTAGGGAGCGAGCCAGGCACAGCTGCTGTGCTCCTCAAAGCTCTGCCTAGACAAATACCTCATTGGGGGCTTTAGGAACTTCTCAGAGCCCCCGTGGCCCCTGTTGGTCAGCCTGTAGGGAGTCCAACTACTTTGAGGCCAAGGCAAGTCCTATTTCCAGTGTAGCCTTAGGAGCCCTTCCACTCAAAACTGAACATCAGAGAGCTCTCAACATGCTCTAAATTCTTGCATAGATGCCAGGCATAATGCCTGCCTTCAGGGCAAAATTAACCTCCTGATCTTCTCCAGTTTGATCAGAAGCCAGTAAAGACTGTCAAAACCAGCAGTCACAAACCACAGCCTCTGGGCATGCGGTGGGAAGCAGACAGGTGAGCTCTCCCTCTCCTCCTCCCAACCCCCAACTCTTGCCTCCCACAGACTCATGTGGACACTTCTCCAGTCAAAAGAAAAAAGAGTGGTGAGGGGCGACAAGAACCTCAGGGGCCCCGTGCCCCACCCAACTTCATGAAGAAAGACCTCTTAGGAAAATTGAGAGGGAACAAAATCTCTTGTCATTTCCATTTAGAGATTCCACTGCCATCTGGCTTTTCGTAGCATTTGGACTTTCTCAAGGTGAAAGCACAGGAATTATTCTTGATTGCTCTGGTCTCACCTTCCATAAACAATTCCTTTTCAAGTCTCATCAGACGCTACATCCAAAGTACTTCCCAAATGTGTTACTTCTCTCCCTTTCACTGCCACAGCCCCTGTCAAAGCCATCGCTCTCTCTCTCAGTCCTACAAGCAATTCTACCAGTAGCCAATGGGTAATCAGAGGAGGTCACTGCTGTGCTATAAGCCCTCTAAGAACTTGCCAACATGGCTGGGTGCGGTGGCTCACGATTGTAACCCCAGCACTTTGGGAGGCTGAGGCAGGCAGATCCCTTGAGATCAGGAGTTTGAGACCAGCCTTGACAACATGGTGAAACCCCATCTCTACTAAAAATACAAAAAGTAGCCAGGCATGGTGGTGCACGCCTGTAATCCCAGCTACTCAGGAGACAGAGGTGGGAGAATCGCTTGAACTCAGAAGGTGGAGGTTGCAGTGAGCTGAGATTGTACCACTGTACTCCAGCCTGGGTGACAGAGTGAGACTCTGTCTCAAAAAAAGAAAAAAAAAAAAGAAAGAAAGAACTTCCCAACAGCACTCAGAAACCATCGCAGCTGTGTACGTGGTTCCCATGATCTTCCCTTGCTGTTCCCTCCAATCTTGCCCCTCCCCCTGCCCCTTGCCCATGACTCTGCAGCAACACATAGGACCTCTCTCTGTCCCTCAAGCATGCCAAATATGTCTCAGCCCTGGGGTCTTCTTCTCCCTCCTCACCTGGCTGGCTTCTTATCCTCATCCCACTCTCAGCTCAGGAGAGGCCCTTGACACCCCTCTGGTCTCCTGTCACCCCTCCATATGCATTGCTCAGTTCTATTTTCATCAAAGCAGTCAGCGCCATCTGCAATTAACACAATATTTTATTTACTTGTGTAAATAAGTCTGGGTCCCCCGAGGAGGTAGGCTCCAAAAGAGCAGGACCCTCACTGTTCACCTGTCTTGTCCACTTCGTGTCCTCAGCATCTGGGATGCTGTCTGGTAACACAATGGAAATGCTGCCAAAGAATGAGTTCTTTTTCCAGAAGTGGAAACGGCATGATCAAAGCCATCCACATCCTCTTGCTGCTGGGCCAGGATCAGCGTCCCTGCTGGAGTGAGCTTTGCACCTGTTGTACAAAGTTAGCTGGCCCAGCCAGGAGGCTCATCAGGGGGTGTGCCTGAGTTTCCTCCATGCAGAGCAGTTTCGGGAGCAAGAGGTCTTGCTTTTGTCAGACACAGACATACTCTCAAAGTGGGGAAAAGAGCGCATGGAAAATCACACACTGGCTCTGGAAGCTTCTGTCCAGTAGGGCAACACACATCACCCTCCACTGAATGTTCATTGGCCAAACAAGTCTTGTGGCTGCATCTGGTTTCATAGGGCCAAAATGAGTAATCCACCTTTCTATTTTTCTGTCTTTCCTTGTGTTTCCTTAATTATTAATTTTAGAGTCAGAAAACTAAGCTATATTCGATAAAGAACTATATGGCACCCCTTTATAGATGGGGCAATGTCCTCTCCAAGACTCATAGGGGAGATGATATCAGATCTGAGTTTTAGGAAGGCCAGGAATGGATTAGAGGGGCAGGCTGGAGACAGGGAGACCAGTTAGGAACCTGGCCCAGCTGTCTCTGTGGGAAGGAAAGAAGAGGAGGAACTGAGTCCCAGCGATCTGTTTTGGGCAACCGGGTGAATGGATGCCCTTCCCTGACCGGGGAAGTAGCTGTTGAGAACGTGTTGAGAGATCCCACCAGGAAGGGTGCCTAAACCCAGGTAAAGACCCCAACCAACCCCAGAGTCCGTGAACTCAGCCCATCGGTGCTGTTATGTGGAACCAAGGGGGCAGCCGTCTGGGTTAGCAAAGGCACAACCTGCAGGGCTAGGGTTGAGGGGAGGTGAGGGAGGTGCCAAGGTGCAGAATTGAAGGAGGCTCCTCTCCCAGGTCTCAGGGTCATGCAAGGGCAGGCTGGTCCTGGGAGTGATGCCTCCTTAGAGTTGACATCCTCGCGCCTCACTCACCCTAATCTTGGCCCGACCACAGAATATGTCAGGCCTGAGACATTCTTCCCAGGGATCCTGTGAGCACAGTCTCCTACCTGCTGGGCTGAAACTCTCCAGGACCCCCTGTCTGATGGGATGGTGGACACTGACTTGGCCTTCCCGGTCTGGTTTTCCCACTACCTGCTGCTTCATCTGACCCTGAGATCTTGCCATCTGGATTCCCGTGTTCCCTGCGTGGTCTGTACTAAGCAACCTGGACTTGACAGCCCCCCGCCAGACTCCACACATTCCTCTGTGCCCCAGGGACCTGGCCTTGCAGCTGCTTTTGGGCCCCCGCTCCAACCTGACTCCACCATGGTCATGGCCTAAAGAGCTCTGTGTAGGCTGCTAACTATACAAAGGCCCCTCTGTGAATGCCAAAGAAAGCGAGCAGCTCAGGGGCAGCCGACGCCAAGCAGGGCCCCGGGTCCTTGGGCCAGCCCCAGTGCCAATCCATGTCAGGCAACCATGGCATTTACACAGGCGGGCTGCCATCCTCTACGAATCTGGAAATGGGTCTGCCTGGTTACAGGAATCCCATAAACACTCATGCAGAGGCAGGCGGGGCCAAAGACCCAGAAGG
This sequence comes from Homo sapiens, assembly GCF_000001405.40. Lineage (NCBI taxonomy): Eukaryota > Metazoa > Chordata > Mammalia > Primates > Hominidae > Homo > Homo sapiens. The sequence continues at coordinate 223,038,675 of NC_000001.11, read as the reverse complement.
CTCCCAATTTTGTTTGAGAGGAGAAACACCCAGTCCCCAAAGCCACTGAGCAAAACATGTGATCCCCACCTTTAAACACTGCAGGGACTATGTCTCACTGAGGAGGAGGCACACACGTGGGAGCTGCAGGGAGACTCAGGCGTGGAGCCCAACCATGCCCCGGGCCCAACGAAGCCCCGAGCCCAACCATGCCCAGAGCGGGCCCTCCCTGAGCAAGAGCTGTTCTACCCCAGGGTGTGGGCTCCACCTTTGCTGGCACAGCGCAGACAGGAGGTAAAGTCACCAATGGCCAATCTCAACAGTCCAGGAATGATGAGATGTGGACGCGCAGCCTCGGCCACCCTGCGCCCCAGCACTTCTCTGTCCCCAGAACTGCTTCTCTGGACAGAAGGTGTGAGGCCAACAGAACTCCTGGGTCCTCCTCCTTTGGATGGCATGAATTCCTGGGCCCACTTCAGAGCCCATACACCAGCAGAGAATGCCAGCAGGAATCTCCCCTTCTCTGTCCTCTGTCCTGGAGGGCAGCCTCCTGGAGGCCTGGGAGGAGGGAGGAGGCACTATCTTCCCATCTTGGGATTCCTCACCACCGGCTCCTGAAAACAGCCTCGACAGCTCAGGGGGAAGACGCAGTGGACACGGGGGCAGGGAAGTGCTGGCTAGAGAAGGGCGGAGTCCCTCGCCGGGGCTCCACCCTCAGGCCTGTGCCTGCGGACTTAAGTGAGAACAAGCACTCCTGTTTTTATGTCCGAATGTTGCATTTTCCAAGACCACTCTGGCCTGTCATGCCCCCCATCTTGTGCCCATAGAAACCCCAGATCTTAGCAGGCTCAGACACACAAGCGGCTGAACACGGAGAGGAGCAGAGGAACAGAGCGACAAAAAGCAGTAGGGCAGCACGGCAGAGAAGGACCTAAGGGGCCGAGAACAGCTGGACTTCAGGGGAAGACCACCTTCCCACTCCATGCCTCCTCCCGACTCTCCATCCATCTTGCTGAGAGGCACCTCCACTACTCAATAAAATCTTGCACTCATCCTTCGAGACCACGTGTGATCCTATTTTTCCCGCACACTAGGCAAGAGCTCCAGATGATAGAGAAAGCTGTCACACTTTGTCCATTGAGCTGATTAACACACAAGCCATCTGCAGATGGCAAACCTGAAAGAGCCTGTAACACACTGCTCACTTGGGCTTCGGGAGGCACGGACATCCGCCCCTAGATGCTGCGTGGGGCAGGATCCCAAAAGCACTCGCCCCAGCCTCTGTACCTTCCTGTCTGCATGCTCCCGCCAGGGGTTTGATCTGCAGGATGACCAAGCAGGCAACACCCCTGTCGCATGTCCTGCGAGGGGAATCAGGGAACTGTCCCATTTCACCAGCAGCCCCATGTCCTGCGAGGGGAATCAGGGAACTGTGCCATTTCACCAGCAGCCCCATGGCCCTCCTTGCCCATGATTTGCTGGTGGGGTAGACACAGGAGGAAGGTGGTCCATGGAGTGGGGGGTCCCACCCCTTCATGCCCACCATCTGAGAAGGCCAGGACTTCTTGTGTGGTTTTGGGAGATGAGAATCCAGCTGCTCCCTGGTCTGTTGGGCCCTGGGCAGCGCCTGGACCTGAGGTGGAATGGGCAGAGGTGCAGGAAGGGGAAGCACGCCTAGCCCTGCTGGTCCAAAGTGGGCCCATTCCTGTCGCCGTTGCACGCAACTTCTTGCTGACAGCCTTTCTTGCTGCTGCTTCTTGGCGGCAGCAGCTATAATTTCCCCATATAGCATCTAATTTGAACTTCTACAAGCCTCCTCCCCTTAAAATGCTTAATTATTATGTTCTTCTAAAATATCAGAGGGAATCTTCCCAGCCGTAAGAATTTCCCCGGAGGAGAAAAGGATAAACCAGCAATTAGTGTCATGAACTCAGATCCTGGAAACTCCATGTGGGTCCAGGGGATGTGTTCAGCCCCAGGACTCCACCTGGGAGGGCGCGCCTGCTAGGAAACCAAGGGCACGCTGACTTGCCTGAAAGGCTGTTAGGGTGGCAAGCATGGCATGGGGCTAAAGTGCACCTCTGCCTTCACTTCTGCTGCTTCTGACTCATGTTTTTCCCTGGGCGCCCTGCTTCTCTGACAGCACAAAGCCACTCTCACCCCCAAAGCCCACCAAGCCACAGTGCTCAAGCAGGGTTAGTCCTTTACTGCTTTACTTCCTTTTCCAGAACATTACCTTTACCTTCATTCAAAAATCTCGTTTTTAAAAAAATTCTAGGTCTCCTGGTTATGTCATGTCATGCCTTGAGTCACCTGTCCTTGGAATGACCCATGGCCCTCCCCTTCCCTCTCAGCCTCTTGACTTCCTCCTTACTAACGACAGTCCCATTCCATCTTGGCCACACTGTCCCCTGAACATGCCATGTCATGTCATGACTCATCAAGACCACCAATGACTTCTCCAAAACCAAAACGTCACCCTTTGGGCTCTGAACACAATTCCTATCTCCTCCTTGTCTGGAACACTCAATTTCACTATTCCTACTCGGGGATGTCAGTGAACCCTGTGCATGCTCACACACACACACCCCCCTTCTATTTTCTCCCCATGTAACAAGGCTTCTCTTGATGAGAACAATGGTCTCATGAACATGTCACCTACCTCATGTCCCTAAGACCCCCAACCAGCCTGGGCTGGATTTGATGTTCTCCAGGGAATTCGATGCTCTGTCCCAGCTTCTGTGCACAATTGGCTTTCTCTGCCCTCCCACCACATGGCTGAATGGGCGAAAATCTAACCGAAGCACGTGCTAGAGCAACTTAACACTGCAGCGCCACTTACCTATCCTTTCATTCCTGTTTGTTTAGATACGCAGCATTGGGCCCTAGTGATAGAGGAGCTAGAAAGAAATTATTTAGGTAGATAGTAAGGGCAAAAGAGTCCTTGGCGGAATTTCCCTTTTAACAAAAAGCAGCCCCCAAATAATTTATTTTCTAACAAAAAGCAGCCTGAAAAATTGAGCTGCAGACATAGATAAGCAAGCTGGAAGCTTGCACGAGTGAATGCCGGCAGCTGTGCCAATAGAAAAGGGTGACCTGGAAGCCAGGCATGTTCAGCTCAGAGACTCCATCTTCCCTTTTCTTTGTCACCACATGTACAGTAAAGAAGCAGGTAACATGGCTCCTGCCAGGTAGAGAACTCATCTGCATAATAAAAGATTAGGGTGGGGCAGCCAGATTTTTCATGCCCTGTGCAAATGGCACACCTAGTCCTAACCAGTTTTTTGTGCCTTATGCAAATGGCACATCTGGTCCGACAAATCTTTCATGCCCTATGTAAATCAGACACCACCTCCTCAAGCTCATCTATAAAATCCCTTGCATTTTGCCACAGACCAGAAAACCCGCTCAGGACCCCTCTCTCTTCAGGAGAGAGCTTTTCTTTTTCTTTTTTCTTTTGAGACAGAGTCTCGCTCTGTTGCCCAGGCTGGAGTGCAGTGGTGCGATCTCCGCTCACTGCAAGCTTCGCCTCCCGGGTTCACGCCATTCTCCTGCCTCAGCCTCCCAAATAACTGGGACTACGGCGCCCACCACCAAGCCCGGTTAATGTTTTTTTGTATTTTTAGTAGAGATGGGGTTTCACCGTGTTAGCCAGGATGGTCTCGATCTCCTGACCTCGTGATCCACCCGCCTCGGCCTCTCAAAGTGCTGGGATTACAGGTGTGAGCCTCCGTGCCTGGCCGAGCTTTTCTTTTTCTTTTGCCTATTAAACTTCCACTCTGAAGCTCGCTCCTTGTGTGTCTGTGTCCTAGTTTTCCGTGGCTGTGAGATAACAAATCTTGGGTATTTACCCCAGACAATGACACCGCTTCACTAGGACTGTAGGACAACCTGGGCTGGCCTCCTGTATGGGCAAGGAGAGCAGTGCAGGGACCCCGCAAAATTCCCACGGAGAGAGATGTGATTCCCAGGCTAGCATCTTTCGCTGGCACAGGCTTGTGAGAGCAGAGTGTGAGTATCCTGTTCCAGTGCAAGTCAGTGTTGTCACGCTGGTGATCTGAAATAGCTTTGGTGGGAATATTTACACCATGGAAATTGGCAGATTCTATGAATTGGTCCTGTCTGTATTCCAGAGGGCCACTAACTAGCACACCACTGCCAGCATCTGCCACAGAGGCCAGAACCCAAGGCTCTGCCACAGTGATTGCCTAGTTTTGGTGGGGACAAACGGCTGCCCTGGGCTGCAAGGTAACTGAAACTCTCTCTCTCTTAGGGAAAGAGACTGCACCAGGTGCTACAGAGGGAACCAGTCACTTTTACTTATTTTGTTTTAATGTTTTTTTAGAGACAGGGCCCACTCTGTCACCCAGGCTGGAGGGCAGTGGCACAATCATGAAACCACCTTTGCAAAAATCATGACAGTGAGGAAATTATGACAGTGAAAGAGATCTGATCTAAGCAACTCCATCTTGCCTTTAATCTTCAAACTGCCCTTGCTCATTCCTGGGCATGAGCTAAGTTAACTTGTTGAGAAATTTAGTTTATAGTTTAAATGATAATAGCCCTTCCCAAAATTAATTGGCCTTTGTAAAACTAATAAAAGGCCACCAGTTTAGGAGGATGAGAGGGGCTTGAATTCTGCTAAGATACAGATGTAGTTAAATAATTACCAACCATTATTCCAGAAGTCACAACACTTGTAACTTCCTCAATTACTCCTGCAGATAACATCAGTATTGTACAACCTAAGACTGGCCTTTTGAGATGTCTTTTCAAGCTTTTGCCGATACCTGGACCAGCCCCTCCTCTGTGGCTTCCGCCCAGAAGTGGCTCAGTGCTCACAAGAGCAGTTTTCCACACCCCTGATTCCATCCCCAATGAGTCAGCCTTCCCCTTCCCTCGCCCTGTGCCTGCCAAACTATCCTTCAAAAACCCTAGCCTCTGAATTTTTGGGGAGGCTGATTTGAGTAATAATAAAATTCATCTCATGTTTGGCTAGCTCTGTGTGTATTAAATGCTTTTTCTGTTGCAATTCCCTGTCTTGATAAATCTGATCTAGGCAGTGGGCAAGATGAACCCATTGGACAGTTACAATCATAGCTCACTGAAGCCTCAAACTCTTGGCCTCAAGTAATCCTCCCACCTCAGTCTCCCAAGTAGCTAGAACTACAAGCACAAACCACTACACCTGGCTAAGTTTTTTGTTTTTTGTAGAAATAGAGCCTTGCTATATTGCCAGGCTGGTCTCAAACTCCTGGCTTCAAGCAATCTTCCCACCTCAGTCTCCCAAATTTGTGGGGTTATAGGTGTGAGTCACTATGCCTGGCCTTAAGTATTTTAATTCTCTCTCATGACCAATATAATGCAAATGCTTTAGATATTTCATTTGTTCTCATTGATAGGTACTTCAAACAGCCCATCAAAATGCCCAAACTCAGAAATACTGTCTTATAATCAGATAAACTAATTGCACTTGAATAGTTAATTCCTGCTGATAGCACAACCTAAGTCAGTGTTTTAAAATACTCTGTTTATAAGGCCTATGACATGCCCCCTTAAAAGTGTGACAGGAAAGGGGTCCTGATCCAGACCCTAAGAGAGGGTTCTCGATCTCGCACAAGAAAGAGTTCAGGGCAAGTCCATAAAGTGAAAGCAAGTTTATTAAGAAAGTAGAGGAATAAAAGAATGGCTGCTCCATAGACAGAGCAGCACCAAGGGTTGCTGGGTGCCCATTTTTATGGTTATTTATTGATTATATGCTAAACAAGGGGTGGGTTATTCATATCTTCCCTTTTTAGACCATAGAGGGTAACTTCATGACGTTGCCATGGCATCTGTAAACTGTCATGGCGCTGGTGGGAGTGTAGCAGTGAGGATGACCAGAGCTCACTCTCGTTGTCATCTTGCTTTTGGTAGGATTTAGCCGGCTTCTTTAATGCAACCTGTTTTATCAGCAAGGTCTTTGTGACCTGTATCTTGTGCTGACCTCCTATCTCATCCTGTGACTTAGAATGCCTTAACTGTCTGGGAATGCAGCCCAGTAGGTCTCAGCCTCATTTTACTCAGCCCCTATTCAAGATGGAGTTGCTCTGGTTCAAACACCTCTGACAAAAGCAATAATGCAGTGAGACTTATAATGTCCCTTGTCAGGACACGCTGGCCTTTCTAACGGATTTTATAGAACCCCTGGATCTGGGCACTGTGGCAGACCAGAAGTTGAGGCCTAAGCACAAGGCTAAGTGTCTCATCCAATCCTCTCAGCAAGCCTGTGAGGTGGGCACTATTATTATCCCCACTTTACAGATGAAGAAACTGAGGCCCAGAGAGGTTAAGGAACTGAGGCAAAGTCACACAGCTTGTAAGTGGACGGGCTGGGTATGAGTCAGGCTGTCTGTCCACAGAATCTGCACTAGAATCCACAGCCCAGGAGGATTAAGTAGGGGAGAGCCTGAGCAATGCCTGGACCAGGAGGCCTGGAGGGATGCTGATCTTGACTTTCACTTTCCACAATAGGGTAAGAGCATTTGCTTCCTGGAAGGAAGGGTCAGGATGTGAGGTTTAAGAATACAAGGACTTTGCCCCCATTCCTAGGGAGGAAGAAAGATGCAAGGAAGTTACAGGAAAAGAGGTGATCAGACTCTGTTGGCCACTTGGATTTTTTTAGCAACTGCTACAGGGTGGGGCTTATTCATTCCCCAGGGCCATCAGTGGATTTGACGTCTTCCTAAACGTGTGCCTCAGAGCATGAGCGAGGCTGCCTGAGGATCCAAGAGAGGACTGCTGCCAGTGACTCACTCCCAATAACTCGAGGCCCGCACCTCCACCCAGAACTGATGAGGGAAACAAACCAACCCACGTGAACACCATCGTCGGCACCAGGAATGGAAGTCAATGCCAGGGAGGACTTGGGCCAGAGGAGGCTGTCCAAGCTGAGGATACATCCACACCCTTCTCTGCTGCTTTTTAACCAATAAGATTGAACATCTTTGGTGTGGAAAGGACACTTTTTGTCCAACTTTGCCCAGAGGCAGAGAAGTGAGCCCTAGGGCTTCCAGCCCAGGACTCTGCCTAGGCCGGGATCCCATTGCTCCACTCACTCCAGGCCAGCCAGGTCTCAAGGCATTTCCCATGGGGAGTTTCACCCCAGTGCCCATTTCCCATTCACCACAGCCTAGAAGGAGCGGTCATCGATCTACCCCAAGCAGCCTGCAGCTTCCCAGCTCCCAAATCTACCACCTCCCTTTTTGCTTCAAGGCAGAGGTGTCATCGATCTACCCCAAGCAGCCTGCAGCTTCCCAGCTCCCAAATCTACCACCTCCCTTTTTGCTTCAAGGCAGAGTCTCCCCTGACCTCCCCTCTGACCACCGTCAACCCACAGAGGCCACTGCATTGCTTTAGGGGCTTTACCATATCTGTGAATTGTGCAGTAACATCTGTCAGTTGCTTCTGTTCTCTAGTTGTTTCTGTTATGCTCGTTGAATATGCATGAGAAGTAAAGGGTTGAAGTGTTCTGCTCTCTGTGCCTCCTCTAAAAGCTTAATCAATGGTGGTGTTTACATGTAAGAGTGAGAGAGGGCACGTGTGAGCCAATGAGGTTGGGTGCCATTTCCTCATCTAGACCAATGCTTCTTTCCTTGCCTGCAGGTTAGAATCACCCCGGAACTTTCAAAAACCCTGATGCCTGGACACATCCCGACCAATTACATCAAAATCCACGCGGAGGGACCCAGGCACGAGTATGTTTCAAGCTCCCCAGCCAAAGCTGAAAAGCAGCACACAGGCTCTGCTTCTGAAACCACCTTTGCAAAAAGCATATCAGTGAGAAAAATTGTAACAGTGAGTTGAGCTAACCCACTCCCCATCTTGCCTTTCCCTTAATTATTCCTGGGCTTTTGGGCTGAGCTAACATTGGAAGCCATTTAGGTTATAGTTTAAATGATAATAGCCCTTCCCCCAGATTCAACCAGCTTTGTAAAGGTAATGAAAGGCCATCAGTCTGGGGGGCAGAAAGCAGCCTGATCCTGCTAAGATGCAGACGTAAATTGCCAGCCATTCCTGCAGATAACACCACTATTGTAGATTAGCCTTTGAGATATCTTTTCCAGTGTTTTGCATGTCTGACACTGATGATTGCACCTGAACCTGCCAGACTGCTTCTGTGGCCCCACACAGGAGTGATTCCGCTTAGGAGGACAGCTTCTACCTGCTGTGGTTTCATCTCTGCCTCAACCAATCAGGAGCAAGTCTAGCCACCCCCACCCCTTCCCCACACTGCCTTTAAAAAACCCCTGACCTACAAGTTTTGGATGAGATTGATTTGAGTACTAACCCAATCTCCCATGTTGCGTGGCCAGGCTCTTGTCTATTAAACTCCTCTTTACTGCTGTGACAGGAAAATAAACCTTGGGACCCCCAAGTCACTAAGCTAAAGGGAAAAGTCAAGCTGGGAGCTGCTTAGGGCAAACCTGCCTCCCATTCTATTCAGTCAACCCTCTACTCACTGAGATAGATACGTATCTGATTGCCTCTTTTGGAAAGGCTGCCAGGCCTCTGAGCCCAAGCCAAACCATTGCATCCCCTGTGACTTGCCCATATATATACGCCCAGATGGCCTGAAGTAACTGAAGAATCACAAAAGAAGTGAATATGCCCTGCCCCACCTTAACTGATGACATTCCACCACAAAAGAACTGTAAATGGCCGGTCCTTGCCTTAACTGATGACATTACCTTGTGAAAGTCCTTTTCCTAGCTCATCCTGGCTCAAAAAGCACCCCCACTGAGCACCTTGCGACCCCCACTCCTGCCCACCAGAGAACAAACCCCCTTTGACTGTAATTTTCCTTTACCTACCCAAATCCTATAAAACAGCCCCACCCTTATCTCCCTTCGCTGACTCTCTTTTCGGACTCAGCCCGCCTGCACCCAGGTGAAATAAACAGCCATGTTGCTCACACACAGCCTGTTTGGTGGTCTCTTCACACGGACGCGCATGAAATTTGGTGCCGTGACTCGGATCGGGGGACCTCCCTTGCTAGATCAATCCCCCGTCCTCCTGCTCTTTGCTCCGTGAGAAAGATCCACCCACGACCTCAGGTCCTCAGACCAACCAGCCCAAGGAACATCTCACCAATTTTAAATCAGGTAAGCGGCCTCTTCTTACTCTCTTCTCCAACCTCTCTCACTGTCCCTCAACCACTTTCTCCTTTCCACTCTTCAATCTCTCCCTTCTCTTAATTTCAATTCCTTTCATTTTCTGGGAGACACAAAGGAGACACGTTTTGTCCGTGGACCCAAAACTCCGGCGCCGGTCACGGACTGGGAAGGCAGCCTTCCCTTGGTGTTTAATCATTGCAGGGACGCCTCTCTGATCATTCACCCACGTTTCAAGGGTGTCAGACCACGCAGGGACACCTGCCTTGGTCCTTCACCCTTAGCGGCAAGTCCTGCTTTTCTGGGGAAGGGGCAAGTACCTCAACCCCTTCTCTCCTTGTCTCTACCCCTTCTCTGCTTTTCTGGGAGAGGGGCAAGTACCCTCAACCCATTCTCCTTCACCCTTAGCAGCAAGTCCCGCTTTCCTAGGGGGCAAGAAGCCTCCAATCGCTTATTTCCACGCCCCAACCTCTTATCTCTGCGTCCCAATCCCTTATTTCCATGCCCCGACCTATTTCTGCACCCCATCCCTTATTTCCACACCCCAACCTCTTATCTCTGCACCCCAACCCCTTTTCCCACTTTTCTGGAAGGTAAGAATCCCCAAACCCCTTCCATCCGTTTCTCTACTCTCTCTTTTCTCTAGGCTTGCTTCCTTCACTATGGGAACCTTCCACCCTCCATTCCTCCTCCTACTCCCTTGGCCTTTGTTCTCAAAAACTTAAAACCTCTTCAACTCACACCTGACCTAAAACCTAAACGCCTTATTTTCTTCTGCAATGCCGCTTGACCCCAATACAAACTCGACAGTAGTTCCAAATAGCCAGAAAATGGCACTTTGAATTTTTCCATCCTGCAAGATCTAAATAATTCTTGTCATAAAATAGGCAAACGGTCTGAGGTGCCTGACGTCCAGGCATTCTTTTACACATCAGTCCCTTCCTAGTCTCTGTGCCCAGTGCAACTCGTCCCAAATCTTCCTTCTTTCCCTCCCGCCTGTCCCCTCAGTACCAACCCCAAGTGTCGCTGAGTCTTTCTAATCTTCCTTTTCTACAGACCCATCTGACCTCTCCCTTCCTCCCCAGGCTGCTCCTCGCCAGGCCGAGCTAGGTCCCAATTCTTCCTCAGCCTCTGCTCCTCCACCCTACAATCTTTTTATCACCTCCCCTCCTCACACCTGGTCTGGCTTACAGTTTCGTTCCGTGACTAGCCCTCCCCCACCTGCCCAGCAATTTACTCTTAAAAAGGTGGCTGGAGCCAAAGGCATAGTCAAGGTTAATGCTCCTTTTTCTTTATCCCAAATCAGAAGCGTTTAGGCTTTTTCATCAAATATAAAAACCGAGCCCAGTTCATGGCTCATTCGGCAGCAACCCTGAGACACTTTACAGCCCTAGACCCTAAAAGGTCAAAAGGCCATCTTATTCTCAATATGCATTTTATTACCCAATCTACTCCCGACATTAAATAAAACTCCAAAAATTGGAATCTGGCCCTCAAACCCCACAACAGGACTTAATTAACCTCACCTTCAAGGTGTACAATAACAGAAAAAAGTTGCAATTCCTTGCCTCCACTGTGAGACAAACCCCAGCCACATCTCCAGCACACAAGAACTTCCAAATGCCTGAACCGCAGTGGCCAGGCGTTCCTCCAGAACCTCCTCCCCCAGGAGCTTGCTACACATGCCGGAAATCTGGCCACTGGGCCAAGGAATGCCCGCAGCCCGGGATTCCTCCTAAGCCGCGTCCCATCTGTGCGGGACCCCACTGGAAATCGGACTGTTCAACTCACCTGGCAGCCACTCCCAGAGTCCCTGGAACTCTGGCCCAAGGCTCTCTGACTGACTCCTTCCCAGATCTTCTCGGCTTAGCAGCTGAAGACTGACACTGCCCGATCGCCTCGGAAGCCCCCTAGACCATCACAGACGCCGAGCTTCAGGTAACTCTCACAGTGGAAGGTAAGCCCGTCTCCTTCTTAATCAATACGGAGGCTACCCACTCCACATCACCTTCTTTTCAAGGGCCTGTTTCCCTTGCCTCCATAACTGTTGTGGGTATTGACGGCCAGGCTTCTAAACCTCTTAAAACTCCCCAACTCTGGTGCCAACTTAGACAATACTCTTTTAAGCACTCCTTTTTAGTTATCCCCACCTGCCCAGTTCCCTTATTAGGCTGAGACACTTTAAATTATCTGCTTCCCTGACTATTCCTGGACTACAGCTATATCTCATTGCCGCCCTTCTTCCCAATCCAAAGCCTCCTTTGCGTCCTCCTCTTGTATCCCCCCACCTTAACCCACAAGTATAAGATACCTCTACTCCCTCCTTGGCGACGGATCATGCACCCCTTACCATCTCATTAAAACCTAATCACCCTTACCCCACTCAACGCCAATATCCCATCCCGCAGCACGCTTTAAAAAGATTAAAGCCTGTTATCACTCGCCTGCTACAGCATGGCCTTTTAAACCCTATAAACTCTCCTTACAATTCCCCCATTTTACCTGTCCTAAAACCAGACAAGCCTTACAAGTTAGTTCAGGATCTGCACCTTATCAACCAAATTGTTTTGCCTATCCCCCCTGTGGTGCCCAACCCCATACACTCTTTTGTCCTCAATACCTTCCTCCACAACTCACTATTCCGTGCCTGATCTTAAAGATGCTTTTTTCACTATTCCCCTGCACCCCTCGTTCCAGCCTCTCTTTGCTTTCACTTGGACTGACCCTGACACCCATTAGGCTCAGCAAATTACCAAGGCTGTACTGCTGCAAAGCTTCACAGACAGCCTCCATTACTTCAATCAAGCCCAAATTTCATCCTCATCTGTTACCTATCTCGGCATAATTCTCATAAAAACACACGTGCTCTCCCTGCCAATCGTGTCTGACTGATCTCTCAAACCCCAGCACCTTCTACAAAACAACAACTCCTTTCCTTCCTAGGCATGGTTAGCGTGGTCAGAATTCTTACACAAGAGCCAGGACCACACCCTGTAGCCTTTCTGTGCAAACAACTTGACCTTACTGTTTTAGCCTAGCCCTCATGTCTGCGTGCAGCGGCTGCCACTGCTTTAATACTTTTAGAGGCCCTCAAAATCACAAACTATGCTCAACTCACTCTCTACAGTTCTCATAACTTCCAAAATCTATTTTCTTCCTCATACCTAATGCATATACTTTCTGCTCCCTGGCTCCTTCAGCTGTACTCACTCTTTGTTGAGTCTCCCACAATTACCGTTGTTCCTGGCCCAGACTTCAATCCGGCCTCCCACATTATTCCTGATACTACACCTGACCCCCATGACTGTATCTCTCTGATCCACCTGACATTCACCCCATTTCCCCAAATTTCCTTCTTTCCTGTTCCTCACCCTGATCATGCTTGATTTATTGCTGGCGGTTCAACCAGGCCTAATCGCCACACACCAGCAAAGGCAGGTTATACTATAGTACAAGCCACTAGCCCGCCTCTTAGAACCTCTCATTTCCTTTCCATCGTAGAAATCTATCCTCAAGGAAATAACTTCTCAGTGTTCCATCTGCTATTCTACTACTCCTCAGGGATTATTCAGGCCCCCTCCCTTCCCTACACATCAAGCTCGAGGATTTGCCCCACCCAGGACTGGCAAATTAGCTTTACTCAACATGCCCTGAGTCAGATAACTAAAATACCTCTTAGTCTAGGTAGATACTTTCACTGGATAGGTAGAGGCCTTTCCTACAGGGTCTGAGAAGGCCATGGCAGTCATTTCTTCCGTTCTGTCAGACATAATTCCTCAGTTAAGCCTTCCCACCTCAATATAGTCTGATAACAGATGAGCCTTTATTAGTCAAATCAGCCAAACAGTTTTTCAAGCTCTTAGTATTCAGTGAAACCTTCATATCCCTTACAGTCCTCCATCTTCAAGAAAAGTAGAATGGACTGAAGATCTTTTAAAAACACACCTCACCAAGCTCAGCCACCAAAAAGGACTGGACTACACTTTTATCACTTTCCCTTCTCAGAATTCAGGCCTGTCCTCGGAATGCTGCAGGCTACAGCCCATTTAAGCTCCTGTATAGACGCTCCTTTTTATTAGGCCCCAGTCTCATTCCAGACACCAGACCAACTTGGACTGTGCCCCAGAAAACTTGTCATCCCTAGTATCTTCTGTCTAGTCATACTCCTATTCACCGTTCTCAACTACTCATACATGCTCTGCTCTTGTTTACACTGCCGGTTTACACTGTTTTTCCAAGCCATCACAGCTGATATCTCCTGGTGCTATCCCCAAACTGCCACTCTTAACTCTTAAAGTAAATAAATAATCTTTGCTGGCAGGACTATGCTGAATCTCCTAAGGCACTCTCTAATCAGATATCCTGAGTCATCCCAATTCTTAGACCTTTTGTACCCATTTTTCTCCTTCTGTCATTCCATTTAGTTTCTCAATTCATCCAAAACCATATCCAGGCCATCACCAATCATTCTATACGACAAATGTTTCTTCTAACATCCCCACAATATCACCCCTTACCACAAGACCTCCCTTCAGCTTAATCTCTCCCACTCTAGGTTCCCACGCCGCCCCTAATCCCGCTTGAAGCAGCCCTGAGAAACATCGCCCATTCTCTCTCCATACCACCCCCCAAAAATTTTCGCCGCCCCAACACTTCAATACTATTTTATTTTTCTTATTAATATAAGAAGGCAGGAATGTCAGGCCTCTGAGCCCAAGCCAAGCCATCACATCCCCTGTGACTTGCACGTATACGCCCAGATGGCCTGAAGTAACTGAAGAATCACAAAAGAAGTGAATATGCCCTGCCCCACCTTAACTGATGACATTCCACCACAAAAGAACTGTAAATGGCCGGTGCTTGCCTTAACTGATGACATTACCTTGTGAAAGTCCTTTTCCTGGCTCATCCTGGCTCAGAAAGCACCCCCACTGAGCACCTTGCAACCCCCACTCCTGCTCACCAGAGAACAAACCCCCTTTGACTGTAATTTTCCTTTACCTACCCAAATCCTATAAAACGGCCCCACCCTTATCTTCCCTTCGCTGACTCTCTTTTTGGACTCAGCCCGCCTGCACCCAGGTGAAATAAACAGCCATGTTGCTCACACACAGCCTGTTTGGTTGTCTCTTCACACGGATGTGCATGAAAAAGGCTAATTCAAAACTCAAAGGAATGCAACCATTTGTCTCTCACCTACCTATAACCTGGAGGCTCCCTCTCCACTTCCTTTACTTCCAGTTGTCCTGCCTTTCCCTATCGAACTGATGTTCATCTTACACATATTGATATCTCATGTCTCCCTAAAATGTATAAAACCAAGCTGTGCCCCAACCACCTGGGGCACATGTCGTCAGGCCCTCCTGAGGCTGTGTCATGGGTGCATGTCCTTAACCTTGGCAAAATAAACCTTCTAAATTGACTGGGACCTGTCTCAGATATTCGAGGTTCACACTGCAATGCCGCGGTCTTTATTTGTGCAGCAGGCAGGAAGAACCTGTTGAGCGGTTACACTGCTCCAACATTACTTTGCATGTAAACCCTGCACAGATCCTATTGAAGGGAAGATTATGATTCTGCAGGGAGGAAATGGAGCTGAGATTCTGCATTGCGAACAAGCACCCAGGTGGGGGTGGTGCTGCTGGCCCCACAGGCCTCACTTCGAGTAGCAAGACACTAGGTTACTTGGAACTTTTTAGAACTGCCTTGCATACCACCCCATCTTGCCCCTCTCACACATTTTGTGGTTGCTTGATTAACCTCTCACTAGACTGAGGGCAAGGATACTCTCTGGCTCCCTACTGTATCCCAGGTTGATAGCACAAGGTAGCGTTCCATTATTGCATGCATGCATGAAGTGGTTAAATGAATAGAATGAATTTCAAAATGCCCCAAAACATGGTCTGTTAAATGCTCCCAGCCCAAACAGGCCCAAGTGCCTATTGCTTGTGGACTGCACCCAATATTCTCTCCCTGGGACAGCCCAGAGCCCACCTGGCTGATGCCTGAGCTGCTAACCACCTGAGGCCAGGAGCTTAGAGACTCAGAAGTCAGATAGGTACATCCTGAACTGAAACAGAAACCAGTGGAGGCTGCCTGAAGCTTCCTAAGGAAGGGTGGGCCCAGCCTAGATGGGAGAGGAGAGAAGAGCGGAAGGTTAGGCTGGGGGAGGAGGAAAGGGCAGGGCAGGAGGGCTGGCCCCAGGAGAGAAGGGCCTCTAATGATGGTAACATTTGATCTGCCTCTCCTTCCTGCTAATCCTAAACACAACAGTGTGAAATCTGAGCAAGTGTGAATGCCTCAGGCTCCAGCTGTTTTTCATATCAAGCCCCAGTTCCAGCCTGTCACAGAGAGAAGCCCCCATGCTGAGGACGCAGTAGTGAGAGGCTGCAGGGCTGGGGACTAATCCCTGCAAAGTGGTGGGGAGACATTGCAGGCTGTGGGGACAACCGTGGGGAACCTGGCCAGTCTCTCTAGCCCAGCTGCCACTGTGGCTCTGGGTGAACAGCCCCCATTTCTGCCCCTGGAGACAACTGGTTCTGCCTTCCTGCCTGTGTGAGTGTCTCCAGGCCTTTGGGATGCAAACCAGGCAGGCAGGGGATGGGCAGGGGATGGGCGGGAGCAGCTGCCTCCCTGGGAAGCTGCAACCCTGGGGGAGTCAAACAGAGGCAAACCCCAGCCAGGCCTAAGCCACAGGCCAGGGGCAGGCTGGGGGCAGCTCAGTTGCTGGGGCTGGATTAACCAGAGGAGACGAACAAAGGCAGCTTCAGAGGGATTACCGGGCACATTAGATGGGCTGGGCCATTAACCCAGATGGAATTGCTCTCAGGGAGGAAGCGCCTGGGGCTGGAGGTGTTGAGGAAGTGCCTGCTGGCACCAGTGTCTAACTGTGGCACTGTGAGGAGGCTGGGGCTCCTGTTTCCTTCTCTGGAATTCACTCCTTGAATAGGGGCCTGGGTGGGACTAAGGGAGCAGCAGGCTGGGGCAAGAGTTTCCTGCTGCCTGTAAGGAGAGACAGGACCCGGCCACCTTGCATTTTTATTTGTCTCACCTTAAGCCCTGCCAGTGCCCTTGGCAGGTAGATGTAGGGAGGCACTGTTCGGCCTCAGAGCTGATGGGGATGTTGGCCTCAACCTGTGACAGATGCCTTTTGGAGGTGTCTTCTCCACCTTCCTTCTGCTGCCCAGGGAGAAGCCAGAGTGATGTTCTCGTGGCTCTGTTGCTCCTTGGCTGCGATGGTTGAACATCATCCTGCAGAGACCTGACCCCGGGGAACTGACCCAGAGGCCAGACTGGCCCAGTCAGATTGTCGCTCTTGAAATTTGCAACTCGGACTCTAACAGCCTGGGTCAGTTTGCTGCTGGAGCTGGGTGGTGCGGACCCAGGGCTGAGGGCACCATTTTGGAGTAGCCCCGACAAACCAAGTGCAAAGTGAGCAGAGAAAGTCAATCCAGAGAGAGAGAGGGAGGAGAAAGAGAGAGAGAGTGAAGGAAGCGGACACAGAGACAAACCGAGAGAGACAGCAGAGACAGAGACCAGGGGAGAGATTTCTTGCTTCCAGCCCCTTGGGAAGCCTGCCCATGGGTTCCATGAGGCACCCCAATTCTTCTCGCAAAAATCTTTTTACTCTGCTTAAAATAGACCAAGCTAGTTTCTGTTCCATAAAAGTCCGTCATTCAGGGCTGAGTGTAGTGGTTCACGCCTGTAATCCCAGCACTTTGGGAGGCCGAGGCAGTCAGATCACCTGAGGTCAGGAGTTCAAGACCAGCCTGGCCAACATGGTGAAATCCCATCTCTACTAAAAATACAAAAATTAGCTGGGTGTGGTGGCATTTTCCTGTAATCTCTACTACTTGGGAGGCTGAGGCAGGAGAATCACTTGAACCAGAGAGGCAGAAATTGCAGTGAGCCGAGATCATGCCACTGCACTCCAGGCTGGGAGACAGAGCAAGACTCTGTCTCAAAAAATAAAATGTCCATCATTCAAATAAGGTTCATCCATGGAGGTAGCTAAGGCCAGGCTGCAGGACAATGCTGAGCCCAGAGGCCAGGTCAGAACCAGGGATGTCCAGCCTGGATGGTACTTCGTCTGTCTCCAAGGAGTCCTGGGAGCTGAGGGGAGCACAAAGATCACAGACTGGCCTTGACTTTGGTCCTGATGTGGGTGGGGGCGTGTGTGGATCCTGTGAGGTCTACAAGCTGCCTCTTCCCTCAGGAATCCATGACTTCGTCCGGCCCATTGGCCCCCAGCTCTGCTCACGGCCATCAGAGATTTTGGGCAATGAGACTTGCTACCTCCACCCTGGCTCCTTCCTGATATCAGGGAGCAATTGGCCAGGGAATAGCCCAATATCCAGTTTCTGGGAAAGGTGGACAACATTATTTGAACCTGAAACATGCCAGAGGTAATCAGATCAGTCACAGAAAACTGAGAAGCCTGTAATTTATGGAGAAGAGCTTGGAGACAGGAACCACCAGCCCTCTCCAGTTGTCCCTAGGGGGTGGGGAAGGTGCCAACATGAAAGATTCACCTACCCCTGGCAGAGTGACCCTCTCTCACTGAGGGAGCTTGGGTCTGATCCGTAGGCAGGGACAGAGGGCTGCAGGACTTCACAAGTTTCTGTTCCCACCAGGCCGGATCAGACTGGCTCCAAGGACAGCTCCTAAGCCTCAGCGGCTGTTTCTGAGGTCCTGGAGCTCTGGATGGCTGCTGGGGGGTTCTGAGGATCTTTGTCATCCCAGATTCCCCTGCGATACCCATGTTAAGTGCCTGAGCCACTGGGCCTCCCAAAGGCCTTTGGGCTATTTCTGGCTGTTTTGATCCACCATGATGGGGGCACCTTCTCCTCAACCTCATCTCCTGGAGAAAGCCCTGGTCAGGATTTTCCCAGCCCAGACCTCAGTTTACCGGCCAATTACTTTCTTATGAGAACCCTAAAAGTTCAGAATTCAAAGATGTTGAGGGACAAATAGAAGTCATGTTTATAAGGAGGGAAAAGAGGATGCTGGTGGTGGATCTCTGGTCCCATCACAGAGACGAGGGGAGATGGGTTACTTGCAGGCCTCGTCTCTACGTGCTGGTTTACTGGAAGGGAACAGGAGAGGGTGAGGGATTGAGGAATGCAGACAGGAACTCACCTTTATTGGATTCCTATTAAATCTCATTTAATCCTTGACGTCTTCTTATAAAGCATTACTGCATTCCCTTTCAGATGAGGAAATTGAGGCTTAAAGAATTGAGTAATATGCCTACGCTCACGGGTGTGTGCTACTCTACCGCTGTAGGCAGACATACCCGGGTCTGGCCTCCCCACCTCACTCCTCATCATCAGCCTCCCATTGAAGTTTGGCAGCACTCATTAAGCCATTTAATAAGATTTACATACAGTCATGTGCCGTGTAGCAGCATTTCTGTCAATGATTGGCCACTTACATGATGGTGGTCCCATGAGATTATAAAGGAACCAAGAAAATCCCTGTCACCTAGGGATGCCACAGCACAACCCATTACCTTTTCTACGTTTAGATGCATGATACTTACCGTTGTGTTCCAGTCGCCTGCAGTATTCAATACGGTAATGTGCTGTACAGGTTTGTAGCCGAGGGGCAATAGGCTGTACCCTATAGCCTATGCATTTAGTAGGTGACACCATTTAGTTTATGTAAGTATACACGATGATGTTTGCACAATGTAAACCCAACGTATCTGAGACAGGTCTCAATTTAGAAAGTTTATTTTGCCAAGGCTAAGCCCACGCCTGTGACACAGCCTCAGGAAGTCCTGACGACATTTCCCCAAGGCTGTAGGGTAGAGCTTGGTTTTATACATTTTAGGGAGATATGAGACATCAATCAATACATGTAACAGTACATTGGTTTGGTCCAGAAAGGCAGGATAACTCAAAGCAGGGGCTTCCAAGTTATAAGTAGATTTAAAGATTTTTGGATTGGCAATTAGTTGAGTTGTTATCAATAGAAAGGAATGTCTGGGTTGAGATAAGGGGTTGTGGATGCCAAGGTTTGATCATGCAGATGAAGCTTTTAGGTAGCAGGCTTCAGGGAGACCAGACTGTAAATGTTTCTTATCAGACTTAAAGAGTCTGTTCTGTCAGTAATTCCAAAAGGGAGGAGGGAATGATGAGGTATGTCCAGCTCCCAGTTCCTGTCAAGGCCTGAACTAGTTTTTCAGGTTAACTTTGGAATGCCCTTGGAAGAGAGCAGGAGTCCATTCAGATAGTTGGTGGGGCCTTACAATTTTATTTTTGGTTTACAACAATATCAAAATTACCTAATGACACACTTCTTAGAATGTACCCCTGTCGTTAAGTGACACATAATTGTAGATAGATGGAATGGAATGGAATGGAAATAAAATGATGGAGGCAAAGGCACAGAATAAGAAGACAGTAAAAGAGAAAGCTGGGCTGGGAAGAAAGAAAGGAGGAGGAGTACAGAACGGATGGCCAGGTGGCCCCTAAATCAGAGTGTGGACTGCTTATTAAGGTGCAACTCCAGAGCCTCTCCCCTGACCTCTCCCCTGACCGGCTGAACCCAAATCTCTGAGTCTACTTTTCAACAAGCTCCTTGGGTGATTCTTATACTCATGAAAGTTTGGGAACCACTGCAGCCTAGCCTGGGCTAGCCAAGGCAGCAGCCACTAGCTGTGTGTGGCCATTTAAATGGGAATAAGCTAAAATTAAAGATTCACTTCCTCCCTCACATGAGCCCCATGTTAAGTGCTCAATAAGCACATGCGGCCGGGGCTATTGGGCCCCACCATCCATGTGAGGTATTGACTCCCAGCTCTCTCCAGTTGCCCGGACACAGGAAGGGATGACTGCCCCATCCTCAGTCAGGCAGTTCTCTCTACATCCTCGGAGGGTCCCTGCAGGCCTGGTGACTATGGATTTGGCGGGAGTCTTCCGTGTGTCTAACAGTGATGTGGGCCAGACTCCCAAATGTATCCCCAGCTCCACCCAAGCGCCAACCCAGACCTGTGGTTCCTGATCCCCTACAGAGACGGCAGGTCATCGAGTGGCCACAACATCTCCTTAGGCCCTGTCCTGCAAGGTCTCTGCAGAAGAGGGGCCAGTGTTGAAGACTGAGCACTTTGGGCAAGGTCCTTTCTTATTCTTGTCCCCACTCACACAGGCAAGCTGTGGCTTCAGAATGACAAAGTGGAACCAGGCTGTGCAGTTTCCTAGCAAATGTCCACCTGGGGCCCGAATGTGGTGTGTGGAGGGTGTGCACACTGTCACAGGCAGCCCAGGGAGGCAAGCAGTGTGACCCCCATCCACAGATGAGACTCAGAGAGGCTAAGGTGCGGGCTTAGCTCACACTGGCGAGGGGTGGTCTGGATTTGAATCCAGGCCTAGCTGATCCTCAGACAGTGCTCCTATGATCCTGATTTCTCTCTGCTTTGTCCCCAAAGCCGGGCCTCAAGGGGCCTTGGTTCCTGGCTCCAACCCAGAGAGTATCCTGGCCATCAGTCCCCAAAATCAAACATGCATCTCACCCCTTCCTACTGTGGGTCTGGAAGGATTCCTGGATGAGACCATCTTGATAATCAATGTTAGGATAATATGGTTTGGCTGTGTCCCCACCAAAATCACAACTTGAATTCTATCTCCCAGAATTCCCACATGTTGTGGGAGGGACCCAGGGAAGGTCATTGACTCATGGGGTCCGGTCTTTCCCGTGCTATTCTCATGAATAAGTCTCATGAGATCTGATGGGTTTATCAGGGGTTTCCGCTTTTGCTTCTTCCTCGTTTTTCTCTTGCCACCACCATGTAAGAAGTTCCTTTTACCTTCTGCCATGATTCTGAGGCCTCCCCAGCCATGTGGAACTGTAAGTCCAATTAAACCTCTTTTTCTTCCCAGTCTCAGGTATGTCTTTATCAGCAGCATGAAAATGGACTAATACACAGGATATCCCTTCCTTCCAGTTAAAGAGGAACACCTCATCCAGGAATTCCCGGTGCTGGGACAGCCTCCTGTTTACCCCTCGGCCTGCTCCGTCCCGGCAGATAAGGAAGAGCCACCCATTCTCTCCGCCACACCAGTGCAGGTTTCCTGCCGGACTCCAGGCAACTGCTTCCTAGCCAGGCTTTTTCCCAGGGGCTGGGGGTGGAGGCCACAGGCTCTTCAGCTTGTGAGAAAGTAGGGGAGAGGGAGCCCTAGAGAAATACCAGTAGGTAGGGAGGTGGTGAGAAGGGGCCCCGGCCTGCCTGTGGTGGGCTGTGCGAGACCCATGGGCCCTGCCCTCTAGCACACACAGAAAGCCCCTTGGCTTTCCACAGAAGACTGACCACTTTTCTCCAGCCATGACCCCTTTGCCCCTGCACCTGATGCAAAGCCAGAGGCAGAGCCACACAAGAAGCAGACTGACCCCACTGGCCACCCGGCCGGCCAGCACTGGGCAGATCTGCAGGGCTGGCTCCCCTTGGATGCACCAAGACCCAGCAGTGGGCGCCGTAGCGCCTGCCCACCAACAACAAACCTTCTCCAGCCAGCCTGGTGCCTGCCTTCTCAGCAAGCCCGATGTCACCAGACAGCCACTAATCATCTCAGAAGCCTTGCTTCCAAAGAGACAGGGCACACCTTGTTGGCTTGAAAGACCTACCCCATTTCTCTTCCTCCAACCTCATCTCCCAGGTGGGTGCAGTTCCCTGTTGGGCAGTAAAAATTCCCTACCCAACATTCACTGGTTGGTCTTTCAGTCTTTGTTTTGGTTTTCATAAAGCTCTGCTTACTACACGAGGAAGAATAATTCTTCCTCTACCTCCAAAGATGACAGAGAGCTAGGAAATCATTATAACTATAGACTGGCCTCAGATGGCCTCAGTGAGCAGATCCCAACTCCAGGCTCCCCCTACTAACTCCCACGCTGGCCTCTCAGCAGGAAGGCCCAGTTCTCCTAAATTCCCCTGGGCAGATGGGAAGCTCTCCCAGGCCTTTTTCCTTAAGACATGACTCCTCTAATGCACAACAACCTGCACAAGAACCTCTTTGTATGTTTAGGCCTCTGAATCCATCTCCCATTATTAGAGTGGGCAAAGAGCCTAGGACCAGCCCAGCAGGCTGTGTGCACTCCAGCCATACTTCTCAGTGATGTTCTTCCCCAGTGCCTGCATTAACAGATCATCTTCTCTTAAGAAATCAAAGGTCCCAGTCAATTTAGAAAGTTTATTTTACTGCTGGGTGCGGTGGCTCACGCCTGTTGACACCGAGACAAACAGAGAGAGACAGCAGAGACAAAGACCAGGGGAGAGATCTCTTGCTTCCAGCCCCTTGGGAAGCCTGCCCGTGGGTTCCATGAGGCACCCCAATTCTTCTCACAAAAATCTTTTCACTCTACTTAAAATAGACGAAGCTAGCTTCTATTTCATGAAAGTCCATCGTTCAGGGCTGAGTGTAGTGGTTCACGCCTGTAATCCCAGCACTTTGGGAGGCCGAGGCAGGCATATTACTTGAGGTCAGGAGATCGAGACCAACCTGGCCAACATGGTGAAACCCTGTCTCTACTAAAAATACAAGAATTAGCCGGGTGTGGTGGCGCACCCCTTTAATTTCAGCTACTCTGGAGGCTGAGGCAGGAGAATTGCTTGAACAGGGGGGCGGAGGTTGCAGTAAGCAGAGATGGCCCCACTGCACTCCAGCCTGGGCGACAGAACGAGACTCTGTCTGAAAAAAAAAAAAAAAAGAAATCAAAGGACTTGAAAGCTGTCTTCTCACCTGTCTGCCTCCCCTCGGTTCTCAGTCTTCTTTTCAGATATGTGGGCCTCCCAGGGAACTCCCAGAGGGAGTTAGGCATAGCCCCTGCCTCTCTCCTATCAGTTATGCATTTTGGCTGAGTTGTTTCCATGGTTAGCATTTGCTGGGGAAGTGAATGTTTCAGAGGCTATGAGGTCAAGACATTACTACTGGAGTATTTATAAACGAATGAAAGATGTAATTGCCTTGGGGCAGAATTTAAAACTCTAAGGTAAATTCTGAACATGATTAGAACTCATTAACCTTAAGGAAGTGAAGACAAAGTGTTAGCAAAGAGGCCAGCACACTTTATTTCATAGCTTTCTCCATTCCTTATTTGAAGCTAAGACCAGTAGGGTGATAGGATGGCTCTTCCTCTCCCCTTAGAGTCCCTGTGTTGTATTGGTCATGGTCCTGAGTTGCAGACAATAGAATCTATTCTAGCTGGTTTTCAGCAGGAGAGCATTTATTAAGGACATTAGAAAACTCACTGAAATGTTGCAAGGACTGGAGACACCCAAGCTTCTAGAACAACTTCCAGCACCGCACTGAAGAATGGTCCTGGTAAGGGAGCTGCCGACATTGACAACCCCAAATCACATGCATTTGCAGGTCTAAGCCATGGTCCCAGCTGGTTTCATCACTTTTTTTTTTTTTTTTAAATTTGAGACAGAGTCTTGTTCTGTCGACCGGGCTGGAGTGCAGTGGCGCCATCTCGGCTCACTGAAACCTCTGCCTCCCGGGTTCAAGTGATTCTCCTGCCTCAGCCTCCTGAATAGCTGGGATTACAGGTGTGCACCACCACATTCAGCTAATTTTTATATATTTAGTAGAGATGGGGTTTCACCATGTTAGCCAGGATGGTCTCGATCTCTTGACCTTATGATCCACCCGCCTTGGCCTCCCAAAGTGCTGGGATTACAGGTGTGAGCCACCGCGCCCGGCCTGTTTCATCACTTTCAAACCAAAGTCCATCTGATTGATAGAAACTAAGTCACATGTCTGTAGCCTTACAGCAAGTGAGACTGGGCATCCATGTCTGGCTGCCATGCTGGGAAGGTAGATCCACAATATGGGGGAAGCTTTTGAAATATGGAGAGGCTGTTAAAGTGTGGGAGTACCCAGGAATGATCACAGTCCACCACACACACAGTCCCCATTCCACAAATCACTGTGTGAGACGGGAAGTCTAGATTCAGATCTGCCTTCTTTCTAGAAGCCCCTGTTCAAGCCCTTAGTTCTAGAGCATATAAAGAAACCTGTAGAAAAAAGGTTTTGATTTTGGTGTGACTTGAAGACTCTTTTATAGTCTTCTTTTTACCAGGTATGAGAAATTTTTACAACTTCTCCCTGTTAGAAACATTCCTGTGATGGGCTAAGTTCTTTGAAGTCTCTGACTCTTATCTGCAGTTTCCTCTGCCTGGATTGCAGCTCTCTCCTCTGGTTGCATCTATAATACCTGGCCCAAACATTCAGGTGGGAGCTTGCTAAACAGGCCTGGGCTAAAATCTATCTCTGCTGCTACACAGCTGTGTGACCTTAGAAGTGTTACCTAATTTTTCTTATCCTCAGTTTATGCATCTGTAAAATAGAGGTAATATTACTGACTTCCTAGATTGTCCAGGGATTAAATGGATAATAGATGAAAAGAGACCACATAAATGGTAAACACACAGGATTATGTCCCTTCCTCTCCTTTCTTATGACGTTTTGTGCACTCCTGGGTTACAATACTTACACTAAACTGTGCCATTTGGACATTCACCTATTTTTAAACTATTGGGTAGACAGCCCCTTCTCTGCTGTGTGGCCCGCTGCTTTCTTGCAATGTAAAAAAATACAATATTGAAAAGGAAGGCTAAAATCATCTGTTTTCCAAGTACATTAAAAAATTATTAAATAATGTTAAATTACTCCGTCATTTGCAAGTAGTCTTATATTTGACTCTATTCGCTAGAGGAAACCTTGCTAAAAGTTTTGTTATATCATTCTATTTTATTTGCAACTTATTTTTTTTTCCCTAACGATGTACCATGAATATCTTTACAGGTGAGTTCATAAAAATCTACATCATTCTTTTAAAGGGCTACCACGTATTCCATAGCTTTCTTTAACCAGGGCTCTTCTGGTGGACAGCATTTTTTTTGAATTCTTGTGATGAACACTCCCATACATAGACGTGGCACACACATATTTCATCATTTCTGGAGGGGAGATTTCTAGAAATGAGACTCTTCTATCACAGACTATAAACATCCACGGTGTTGTCAGAAACTACCCTTTCAAAATATTGTGTTGATTTTCACCCATCCAAACAGTACCTCTTTCGCCCACATCCTTTCCAACACTGGAAGCCATCTATCTAAAATTCTGGACAACTGTGTAAGTTCAAATGGTAAGTCAACTAGTGAATAGATTGTCCATTTGTAACCCTCCTTCTGTTGAGTGCCGGGTTATTTCATTTGCCCACTTTTCTATTGGTTCTCTTTTCTTTTACATTTGTATGATAGAGATATTAATCCTTTGTTTGTGAGAGGTGTTGTAAAATTGATTTTTCTTCCAAGCAGTCATTTATCTTGTAATGATTTGTTTACTACTCTGCACTCTTGGAAGGCAGGGGCCGTGTCTTATTCAGGCTCCAGTAACTGAGACAGTAGCTGGCTTATTGCAGGCTCTCAGCAGTGTCTGTTGGATTAATGAGCAAATCTATACATGGATGGCAGACAAATCAAGGGAACTTCAGTGTGCATTAGCAAAAACACTGAGGGGATTTTAAAATAAAACGTGTATTCTGGAAAATGTCAATTGTGTCTATCCATTTTCTCAAAGTTTCATCTTAAGTTCAGCTTATTGTAGCAGAAACCACTGCAGATCTTGGGTTTTGCTTTTCAATTTCTGAGTATTATGAGACCCTCAAAATGAACATGAAACATATATTATGTGACAAAACCCACAAGCATAAGTGGCAAATAAAAACTAGAAAAATATGTATCTACCTTGAATAAGAACTAAGTCAAGAGAAATAGGCTAGTGAATAATTACATCAGAAGAGGAGTCATATGGATGGTTAAAATTAAAATGATATCAAGGAATCATGAACCATTTTTTTAATGACTTCATCATGGTAGGTTTATATTGTGGAAAAAACTCTGGATTCCTAATTTAAAACTTGTCAGGCAAGTGATCAAGTTAAGTCCCTTTGCCTCAAGTTCATCATCTGTAAACAAGGGAAAACTATCTGCCCTGACTACTTCAACAATCTGTGTATCCTTTCATCCATTTACTCATTCATTCCTTCAACATTTTTTGGCAGACAACTTATAGTGAAGACCGACTTAATTAATTTATTCATTTATTTTTGTAGACGGAGTCTCACTCTGTAGCCCAAGCTGGAGTGCAGTGGAGCAATCTCGGCTCACTGCAACCTCTGCCTCCTGGGCTCAAGAGATTCTCGTGCCTCAGTCTCCTGAGTAGTTGGAACTACAGGCGCACACCACCATGCTCAGCTAATTTTTTTGTATTTTAGTAGAGACAGGGTTTCACCATGTTGCCCAGGGTGGTCTTGAACTCTTGAGCTCAGGTGATCTAACCACCTTGGCCTTCCGAAGTGCTGGGATTACAGGCGTGAGCCACAGCGCCCATCCAAAGACTGATTTAATTTAGCTAAGTATGCATGGAAAAGGGACTTGTAAACTATAAAAAACATGCTACAACCAGAATATGAAGAATATCCTTAAAATTATTTAGCTTATAAAGTCAGAGTAGAAAATACCTCTATGGTACCCCAAGAATGTAGTGAATGGATACACTGATGCAGCTTTTGGAACATAAATAAAAACAAACACCTTATTTAAAACACAGAGTTCACAGTAAGACAGACTAGAGTAGAATACAGTTTTTATTATATTGAAGTATTTGCAGCAAATCTATACATTGAAAACATGTATGTACACACATTTATATACTATATATAATATATACGATATTTGCAATACAGGCAAATACATAGCATCTGTGTGACAGGGAATCAGCTGACAAAGGATGGCCTGAGGTACTAGAAAGTGGCTGGTCTTGCTCGAATGTTTGCAGGATGAGCGTTAATGAGCAGAATCGAATGACATGATGATGAGCATAAAAGCTATTGGATAGTAAGAGTTACACAATAGCCTCTTTAATGTGTCGCATCTCATTTAACCTTTGCAAAAATCAGTTTTTATTTCCAGGATAGGAGATGCACCTAAATGTTTTCTGAATCACAGTGACTTAGAGGAAGGATTGAAGTGTTGTCTCAAAATTGGCTTTTCTGACCTCCGCTTCTTCTCGGTTGGCATCGTGCAGATATTTACTAGAGAGCTGTGTAATTTGCCATGATTGGCAGGGAAGCCACTCACTGAAGGGAATTCCCCTTTATCTGCCAGAGCCCAGGGTCCTTTCCAGGGCAGGGCAAGGCAAAGAAATTCCAAATGGGATCTGTGACAGAATTATTCAGCAATTCAAGATTATTCGGTATAGATCTAGTCCCATCCCACATATATGACGAATAACACATACACTATTCAGGAAACTAAAAGTAAAGAGAAGAGATCAAGCTCTAAAAAAGAACAAACACCGGTGAACTTCAATCTGAGTGAGGATATTGTCAGAGATTTGCTTGTTTCACAAAGCCTTTCCTCAGATCTCTTTACAAACAGAAATCTTACTGGAGGGAGAGGAATGCTTGTGGCTTCACACACCCCATGGTTTAAAGCTCCAGTGAATTAAGCTCTTGATTGCTGCCACAAAAGAGAGAAATAGAAGTCACTCTGTGGGTGAGAGAGCTTCCCAAGATAGAATAATGCAGCTGGTGGGAGTGGGGAGAATCTCAGAAAGACCACATTGAGGACCACTTGAAAATCCATGCTATTTTCCCATTCTTACCTAGTATTTAAAACATCTGGTAAAGTTTTGCCTAGAGATTATCCCACGGGACCCTTTTTTTAAAAATTAGTAAGATTTGTAATGATCATATTACGTTGCAAAGACAGTAACACTACAGTTTTTTAAACTCTAGAGGTTTGTTTTCTTAGGCAGGCTAAACAGGCTCTTTGTAATCCTGTTTAGATTATTGGTTTATTTAGCAAATCCTTTCCCCTTTAAATAGTGGCAAGTTAAAAGTCCAATGCACTGATCAAAAATGGCCAATTAGTGGATAGAGATTGAGCCAATTTTACTCTGTTACTTTGCCTCAAATTAAAACCGGCTCTTACAAGAACCTTATTGGATTCCAAAGAAAAATATTTTTCTTTTCCTTTTTTTTTTTGGAGATGGAGTCTCACTCTGTTACCCAGGCTGGAGTGCAGTGGCACGATCTCAGCTCACCCCAACCTCCTCCTCCCATGTTCAAGTGATTCTCCTGCCTCAGCCTCCTGAGTAGCTGGGATTACAGGCACTCACCATCACGCCTGGCTAATTTTTGTATTTTTAGTAGAGACAGGGTTTCACCATGTTGGCCAGGCTGGTCTCAAACTCCTGACCTCAAGTGCTCTGCCCGCCTCGGCCTCCCAAAGTGCTGAGATTACAGGCATGAGCCACCACGCCCGACCCCAAAGAAAAATATTTCTTGCTAAAAATAATCTGCCCTTAATTTTTTTAGGAAAGCATAGTTTACATTACAGAAAGTTATGTAAAAAAAAAAAAAGATTTGAAAGGGTAAATGTTGCAGTTTAGCTATTCCAGTCGATTTAAGAACATGGAATTGAACTATTTCACTGTGATTGTCATAGGGTTGTGAATATCACAGTCACTAAATGAAGCACAAAGTAAGTCAAGAAGTGCAGTCATTTTATGGGTCAGATGAGAGCAGCAGAGGTGTTGACTGTTATTTCAAATGTTGGCTTAAATCCCTTAAGAAGGGAACCTGTTTTGTACAGCATCACTGTGAATAATTTGGGCCACTGATTTATCTTCTTATTCAAAATAAAAAGTATATGGTTCTCAAGGTTACCTAAAACCTTAAGAACAGGCAAGCTGGAAGAAGCTCCTTCTTGGACTGACTTCTGAATGCAGAACATCATCGCTGTATTTCATGTCCCCCTCCCTAAAACTTAAAACAGCACTCACGGCCCCAGAATCTCAGGAAAGCATACGTATGTGCCCACAGGCTCCACTGAGTTAATGAACTGTGTCCTAGTTGGCCCCTGTATTGTCAACTTCATGTTCTAACTGATGGTTTAGGGGATCTGATGGAAACTGTTGTTGATCCTGGTTACTTAGTTGTTTTTCTGTAAGCACCCTTTGGTTCACAAAGCTAACAAAAAGAGAAGTGACATCTTTTCTTTTCACACACACACACACATCCAAAATTATGGCAATTAAAACACTGTTAAGAACAAAGGGCACAAGATTCCACTAATCAACCTTGCATATTCATTACTTTTTTCTTTGTATTTAATGCAAAGATATGAAACCTTAGTGTACAAAACCAAACATTAATGAAAATGTCTAACAAAAAAAGTAGGTTAATCTAACAATAATTAGAGATAAACTAAATGCCAGCAAACATTTCCGAAAGCTCCACTATGGCATACAGGGTATTTGGACGTGATAGTTTCTTGTGCATAAAAAACAATCCCCTTGTGATTTCAACAAATTTCTATTTTTGTGGTTATGTTTGAACCTTAAGAAAAAATCCCAATTGAGTCTGGATTTTTTTTAAAACACAGGTTTCATTGTTTTTTCTTCTAAAACGACTCTCCTCATTAAAGTGAAAAGATGCAGCTGTTTTCAAAGACACTGTTTGCTGCTATTTCATTCAGAAACTATCCTAACTGCTGGTGGAAAGATGGTTTCCATGTGAGACAATGGGAACCGGGAACATTTCCTAATCTCCTGTAAGATCACATTTGTAAACTACTCTTCACATCACCCCATGCAAAAGTTTAAAAATTTAGAATGATTGAAGGTGGGGCATAGATTATTACAATAACATTTAATAGCAGCTTAGCCTACCTTTAAAGAATATTATTCTAGGAGGATGTGCATTTTACAGCAATTACACAAAGAAATGAATACACACAGATGAAGCGGTGTAGTTATTTCAAACACAGCTTGTCTCTGTGAAAAACTCCTTGCTCTTGGCCTCTTCCACTTTTCAATAAAATAGGAATTTAAAGAGTGACCTTGCAGGGAAGAAGTCAGGAACAAATTTGATAACATGGACTCAAACCTCAAAGATGTTCTTGTTGTAGTGGCAGTCTGCAGATTCTTTCCATAACCAAATACCTTCCAAGTTACAAGTATTTCACAGACAGAGGAAAGGGCTCTTTTCCCTATGTATAATTTAACCTCTTATCTGCTTTGAAAATTACCTAGAAGATTGGATGAAGTTTTTTGTGAAACATTCCTAGAAATAGTGATCCTCTGCTGCCCAGTAATGAATTGAAAATAAAAATTAAAAAATTCTTAAAACTTTCTAGCCCCAGCAAATACTTTTTTAAAAAAAGAAATCCATTCGTGAAAAACATAGTCAATTCAAAGGCCCAGATCTGGAGATGAAATAAATGTGAAAAGGTTTCACTGCTGCATTCAAGGCTCAGGGTAATTAATCAGAGATGGGGGATGGGGGACGGGGGATGGGGGACGGGGGAGGCCCCTCCAGCCCCGTGGAGACAGAGCAGGCTCGGTGCATGGTAACCATGCCTCCCTGGTGGAACCCAGAGAGAAGACATAGGATGTTCCCCCTCCTCCCTCTAGTCTTCATTTTCAAATCAAATGACACTTAGCTTACCTGAAAGTCTTCCAGGTTAGACCATCCATAAAGAAATTGGCGTTTTTTTTAATTGCCTTTAAATTCAATCCATGTGGGTGGCCGAAAAAAGTCCTTTTGGGCCACTAAATTTTCACATAACTTTATGGTTACACATTTCAGAGGGAAAACAAAGACTCTAGTGTCGGGTATCGTGAGTCCTGTTTTCAAGTGCTCCTTCTCCTCCATATGTCCCCTTATTTATCTAACAGAATTAAGTGCGATGGGAATGGACATAAGCTCCTGAATGTCAGTGTTAAAAGAAACTAACTGGTTTGGAGAGGCAGCTTAGCAACAGAATATGTGAGAGACCTAGAGGGTTTAGTTCCCTGTGCGCTGCCTGAGAGTTGGCTATAATACTTGAGCGAAAGTTATTTCCGTCTCTATGTGAACTAGCGGGAGTGCCATCCAGACTCCTGGGGGCTGGTCCTCCTCCTTGCAGTGTAATCAGAGTCTGCTTGTGTACTTCAGCTGCACAGTGCGTAGATGCTCAATCCGTGTTCACGGGATGAACTCAGTGAACTGCCAATGTTAGCAAGAGGGATGTTTGCTTTCACTTCAGAGAACAGAATGAGGACAAACTGGTAGAAAAACTACAGGACAACAAATTCCGGTTCAACCAAGGTAGACGTGTAGTGACCTACTGGTCACCGAAGTGTTCAAGCAAAAGCTGGAAAGTTACTTAACAAATATGTGGTCTAGTGGATGTGGGTTGGAGTCAATGACCCATAAGATCCCTTCCTGCTTCTGACAGCATTTTTCTCAGGCCCTGGAAAAACATGCAGATCTAATTTGGAAAACTATTCTTAGAAAATAACCAATATAACGTTTGGAGGGAACATTGTATTTACAAATATTTCCACTCTTTTCTTTGGAGGACCAAATTGGAGGTAGAACTCCAGAGGGAAGCAGAATGCAGAAGAACACTTCCAGGATGGGGCTGGAATGCACAAAGGATCAGATGACACCCTATGATGAGGACTGTCATCTGAAGCATTATCCAGAGAGCATGCTCCAACAGCTCAATTACTGTCGACTGATCTAACATGAGATACACAAGTGTCATTTAAGATGCTGCCTGAAGGCTTAGCATTTCCAGGTGTTAACTGCACAAAAAAATAATCCTTAAGTGTCTTGAGACACTTTTTAACAAAGGAGAAAGAAGCCTTCTAAACATGGCCCCTTAGGGGCAGAGTTGGAAGCAAAACTTCATCCAAGTTCCCTTGCTCTGAATGCTCACCTGACCTGGATCTGTCTCTGACATCATGCAACGTATCCTGTGAAGTGCAGCACTATTTTGTGCGATCACATCTCTTCATTCACGCCCGTCCTTCTGTGCCTTTAACATAATTGTGGCCTGACACAGATGATGCTCATGGCTCCTGGGTTAACAGCTAAAATTACTGAACAACTGTACATTTTGGTTAAAGTGGAAAAGACACTGGTGTGGATATACGTGTGTTCTTGGCTTCATGTAAAGTCTACTAAAGCAGACATGTGGAATGCATTATTAAGGTGCTTGGCAATTGATTTTTTACATGAGGCCTCACCAAAAATGTAAGTTTTAATTTAGTTCTTGAATCCCAACTGAACTGGCTCTATTAAAATTAGAGCAATTCCTAGTATTCATGTTGAGCAATCAAAAGTACTGATTACTGCCCACGAAATACACTAGAATGAGGATACCAGGTGAATATGATGGCCCGGGAGAACGGAAACTTTAAACTTTAAATCTCCGACTCACTGCAGTGGGAGGGTAGAAAGAGAGACAGTTATTTTTCAAGCTGGGCATAAATGTAAAAAACAACTATACTTTTTGAAAATATAAAATCCAACAATCATCCAATCCAATAACCTAACGCACTCAGCAGATTTGTAAGTTTGTTGTTCCTACGGAATATAAAAATATTCTAAAATTGTTAATGTGAAACATGCTTGTTGCTGTATTTTTGGGCTTCTTTTCTAAGCTTCTGGATTTTACTTCCATGTTAAAAGAATAATTGAGGCACTGGTTCTGAATTGAATGCTGCATTTATTATAGTGTTTTTATTAACAAACTTTCACCAGAAAGTTCCGAGTGTGTTAATACAGCAGGCACATTGGCTTCCATGTTTGGCATTTGACAGTCCACAGAATTGCACTTCACTCTCACAATTCTGCCACAACTTTGTGAATTATTTGGGCAAGACCTACAACCAGCCTCCCCCATTAAATGATTAAATAGGACTTTTGGTTCATTCTGATTGAAATGTTCTGAGTTCACACTTGCATCCGTCTGTGACAAGCTCAGCTCCACTTTCCCTCCTGCCTTGTTTTCAGTCCCTCCACTGCTCTCCAGATTGCTCACGTCTCTATTTTTACAGAGTTCCCTTTGTTTATTCTCGGGGTCGCAACACGTTTTGAGTAACGATCCAGTGCTTCTGCAGACAAATGACGATGGCTCTGCCATCTTTGGAAGATGCTCTTCTATGCTCCTCTGAAGACTGTGTACATTGGTCTTGCCAATTTTTTCTTGGGCCTGAATGTGCTGCACTGGGTGGAGGAAAAAATTCCTAGGCAGAGAATTCTGCATTCCGGCTGGCTTTACTCTGCCCTGCAGGCAGGGACAGTGGTGGATGTGCGTGATGGGGTGCACAAAGCCCTCGACAGCTTGGTGTGTGGCCTTCAGAGGTGCCACGCCGTTTTGGATCTGGACAAAGCTGCTAGTGGTAGGAGAGCACTGGTGGCACAAGCAGTCCCCCATCTGCTGGCAAGAGTGTGGGCCATAGTTCAAGTGTTTGTAGGCATCTGGGCAGCTACATCTCTGATTCAGAGAGAAGAAGTGACACACGGTATGCTGTTCAAGAGGGGGCTGTAACAAGGCAGAGCCAGCGTCACTTTCAGTGCTTTTGCTGAGTTCACTGTTGTAAGCTGCATGCACAGGCATCCCTAAATTCTTTGCTTGGCTGTTGAAAAATTCAGAGCAGATGTGGGTCTCTTCATAAGTGGTCTTCTCAGGGGCAGTGCAGCTGTGGGAAGCCAGAGGTTCTAATTCATAAAACTCATGCTCCAGTTCAGATTTTGGGCCCCTGGGATCTAAATGATAAGCATTTATGGTATGTGTTTTGCTTTGTCCCTTGTCACTGGGACTTGTAGACAAGGCATGGGAAAAGGCACTGCACTGTAGTTTTTTAGGTAAAGGAATCTGACCACAGGTACCCTGTGGTCCAAGGCACCGGCACATGCACTGGAAAAAGAAGGTGGCGAAAGCCCAACTGATACACATGATGAGCATCATGAAGGTGCCCAGCTGGGTGTAAGCTAGAACTGTGGAGGGCATCATCATGGCCCCTGCCACGAAGGTGGTCAGGGCAGCCATGGCCATCGCAGAGCCCACGCGACTCAGAGAGAAGATCACTTTGCCTTCTCGGTCGGGATCTGGAGCCAAGCGGTAGGCAACCCCATAATGGACGGCAAAGTCTACAGACAAGCCGACGGCAACCGAAATGGTGACAGATTCCAACACATTGAGCTCCCAGCCCAGCAGGACAAGAGAACCAACAGTGACAAATATCGTTCCAGCAATTGAAATGATGGCATAAAGGCTTATGATGATGTTCCAAGTTGTCAGCAGCATCACGCTAAATGCAACAGCAACTGACAGCCCCATGGCAATGAGGGTGCCATCGGAGAGGCTATCCTGGAGGTCATAGAACTCCAGATTGCTGACAAACCAACCATTGCTGAGGCCTTCAGGGGCCGAACTCAGCTCACTGGATATCCACGAGTCCACCTCTTTATAAAACTGATGCATCTTTTCATAAGCCAGTGTGAAGAGGTAGGTACTCTGGAACTCTAACACCACTGCCCTGATAGTATCATTGATATCAAACCTCGGCCCTGGGGTTTTGCTATCCAAATGGTACCCTGTACTCCTTTCCAGCTCCATGATAGCTCTCTTGATGCACAGTTCAAAAATCTCTTGCTTGTAGGGGAAGCTCCAGTGGCTGCAGCATGGGTACAGGGCAGGCTCATCACAGTCCTGGTTTTCCATCCACTGTTTGAATGTCTCAATGAAGCAGCTGGTGAAGTCCTGTTCATCAGTCTGGTAAAAGAATGTTTGGTTTCTCAGTTTTTGACAGAAGTGCAAAATCCAGGCCTGGGAAGCTGGGCTGGCGATGTTAAAACTGCTATCTAATGTCAACTTCCCTTTACTCTTGGGATTTAGTGGGTTGCCATTGTCTTCTGGGGACACGCCCCAGATTACTGTGATGGGCATGTGGAGCTCCTCGCCATGGTGAACACGTTCAAACATGAAAAGCTTTTTGTATTCAGCATCATAACGCTCAAAAGGATGGGACGACCGGAACACCTGGAACTCGGATAACTCCAGTGAGGGCAGTTTCATCTTTGGATTTATACATACAATGTAGGCCCCACCTACAGTTAAGGCAAGGAACCAAAACAGCCAAAGGTAGCGAAACTTAATGACAATGCATGGCAATACTTTTTCGAAAAAAATTCGAGATGCTTCTGAAATGGCAAAGAGTACTTTGTGGCACTTCTGGCAAGCCACTGTCCAGCAGCTTTTGTTATCATATATTTGCTGCTGGGGCTTTTTGAAGCAAGTGAATATATTAAGAAGATACCGCTCATGCAGCACAACAACTGCTGGAAGCCATGTGACCATCAAAACGTAATTCACCAATATAGCTGTCCCCGCATAAACCCCAAAGCATCGGATTGCTGTAATGTTGCTAACATAGTTAGCATAAAAGGCAGCAGCAGTGGTAAAACTGGTGACGAACATGGAGAGGGCAGCGTGCTGCAAGGTGATGCTTACTGTTTCTGAGGTTTCGGCATGAGGCTTATCAAATTTTGTGTAGTTCCAAACATCACACAGGACAAAAGCATCATCTGCTCCAATTCCAACCAAAATAATGAGGGCAGTGAGGTTCATAAAAGGAAAAAATTCGAAGTGAAATACTACACGATAGAGAAAATAGGAAACAATCAAAGAACTGATTATTGCAAACATTGTCATCAGAGTGATAAACATGGACTTGGTGTAGACACACATAACTAAAAGGACAATCACAATGGCTATGGCAGGATACACAGTATCCATTAGAAGATAATCCTGAAACAAACTGTGTTTGATACCAAACTCAATCCCGGTGATGGTAGTCACGCCGTCAGAAGAGTTCCAGTTTTCAAAGTTGTCCAAGTAAATGTTCATCATGCTCTCCCCTTTCTCTGTGGGAGAGAAGAGCATGCTGTATTTTAAAGCTGGCGTGGCATAGTCAGCCGTCTTTGGGGTCATAAAGTCTTTGTCCACCAAGTAATGGAGGATCTGGTACACAGCATTGTACTTGGTACATTTGCGTGGCACATTGGTGCACTTGAGCTGGTCCTTTCTTCTGGCTGCCATGTCCCAGCAGTCTGGCCCCAGAGTGCCATTTTGGTAGTGTTTGGCACAAGTCCGAAGCAGCTTCAAGGTATGAGAAACGTCTCGCTCAACTATTTTCTGACAGGACGATCTATTGTTCAGAATGGCGATGTAGTTTCCCAGTGTCCAGCTGGGGCAGCAGGAGGCAGCAGTGGTCCTCTGGCAGAGATCACCAAACTGGGGATGAGATCTGATCTGCAGAGATAGAGACAAGCAGAAGGACTACAGTTTAAATTGGTTCACAATCGTTCACAACTGGAAAGGACTGCACTAAGGTGATCTTGAGGGACAGGGAAAGTTACAAAAGCTAAATAATTATCCACTTAAACTAGGAATCAGTTTGAATACAGGGTGAAATTTCCCCTAAATGGCGTCATGTTACAGGATGCCCTTTAGGTTACTTTATTCTGAATTAAAAACTACTGTTTGGGGATGACATGCAAGTGTGAAACAACTTCAACCAATGCTAGTTTTGTTTACAAAAGGAGATCAAATTAACACCTACTTAGTCAACAAGCCTTTTCAAAGCCACTTTAAAAAGCAATAAAATGGACAGGTTGTGAAGCTTATGTATATACATGCATAGGATTAAGAAAACCGTACACTTGATATATGAAACAAATTTGTGGTTTTGCCTAAAATTCTGGTTATCAGCATGAAATTGTTGGTGACTAAAGTACTATATTTCAGTCAACACAGTTAGAAGCAAAGATGATATTCCCTAGAGAACTGCTTTGGTCTGAATGTTTGTGCTCCTCCCAAATTCAAGTTGAAACCTAATCCCCAGTGTGTTAGTGTTAGGGGGTGTGACTTTTTGGAAGGTGACTAAATCACAAGGGAGGAGCCCTCATGAATGGGAGTAGTGCTTTTATAAGAGGTCATGAGGACACGTAGAATGCCCCATCTATGAGGAACAGGTCCTCACCAGACTGAATCTGCTAATTCCTTGATCTTGAACTTCTCAGCCTCTGGAACTATAAGAATTAAATTTTTGTTGTTTATAAATTACCCAGTCCGAGGTATTTTGTCACAGAAGCCCAAACAGATTAAGACAAAGACTGTTTGGTGAATCAAAAAGTGACCCCAGTAATATCAAAAGTGCTGATGTCAAGAAGCATAAAGGTTTGGAATAAAATTGTTTCCTGAAGTATGAGTAGAAAAGGGCAATGTTTCTGGATTAAAATATGATTGATATCTGATTTTTAAATTGGTATATACAATAAAATAAATGCCTAAGTAAGAATTTAATTATTTCTTCCATAAAGTTTATTCAAATTGGCAAAAATCCTTTTTTTGAAAACTTTCTCTTTTGGTAAATGAGGACCTGCTGCACATTAGCAAGTATGGTAATTCTGGATTTGGTGTGGACAGTATTTCATTTAAAACACTATTCCTGGAGAAGGCTTTCCATCTTATGGCTATTGTTATAAAAAATTGAAAAATTGTTCCATCACTGGTTTGCTAGATTAAAGTCTGAACCATTCCATCCTGTAAATTAGATGAGTAGCCCCTCTTCTCTGAGGTGAGAATAAGAAATATTCCTCTTCTCCTGAGCCTGACCAGAGACTTCTCTTTAGGAGAACCAGAACTAAAGATGACCTGGTCCTATCAGTTTCCCTCATCTCTATTTACCAAAGGCTGTTCCAGGGAAGAAACTCCAAAGTTCAAAGAGGAAGTGAATATTTTTTTTTTCTAGTAGGATTAAAAACACTCTTTACCTTGATTAAACTGGCTTTATCAATCATGTATTGAAATGTCTTCTCAAAGTAGAGCAGAAGCTGGCATGAATCACTGCTTCAGAACTGGGACTTACCCAAGAACCAAGTTACCTATGATCCCTGAACTCTGTTTATCAGGATACTTTCCTGGGACTAATCCTGTGGGGGTGGGGTATAGATGAAACAGGACTGGCCATGTGTTGAGACTGTGGAATTGGGTGTCCTATTTCGACAGTCCATTATACTATTTCTCTACTTTTGTATATGCTGGAGAATTTCCATAATAAAAAGTTGTTTGTTTTTCTACAGATTGAGGGTAAAGAAAAATGAACCCAAAAGGTTTTTGTTCAAATGTACTAAAATAATATTTACTTTAACAAAGCCTTCATTTTAAAGCTCATTTTTGAGGAGCAATCGTAAACATTCCATAAACTAGGATAATTCATACTTGACTGTTTCCAGATAAAAACATTCACATACGCTAACTTAGGGAAAACTGAACCACCCAACAACAGGAAACCCTGGAATGGCATCTCACTGGTTTTCATGGCAGGTTACCAGTTTTACCTTACAAAGACGTAACATACAAACCACTAGGGTCAGCTTGATGAACTGAATGAAAGGTAATGCAACCCCAATGTCTGACAGTTTTCAAATGGAAGAAAATGAACTGTATCCATTATGAAAATCCATTATCAGCTAGAAGGAAAATACCTGTAGTTGCTGAAATAACCAAATGCCAAAGATAAAGGACATGGAGTTGCCAACTAAAACTGGGAGAGAAAGCATAGAATTCTGTCCTTGAATAACCTTTTCAAATAATAGCACATTTTTAGATGTGTATAGTTGACCAAAGATTAAGCGGTTAGACATTATAAACACAGATTAAATGCTATTTTGATGGCTGCTATTAAAAACGAGTGCTAGTAAGTCACTGGGGAGCCAGTCCTCCAATTCAAAGATGGTACTGATTGATGGTCAACCTTTGGAAAACCAGTTTTCGAGAACTCATACAGGGTAAGAAATAAGGACAGAGAAAAGACATCGTGACTGGTTTTCTCTACCCTGAGTTGGATGCCAACACGCTGAATTTAAAGGAATGGAGTTCAAGGAATTGTCTGTACTTTTAGGGAGTAAGGTCATATGTTCTGGATCTATTCATCCATTCAAAAGCAAATTTACTGAGCATCTACATAAGATGAATAAGGCACAGTTGTCCTTCCTCCAAATTGTTCACAGTGTGGCAGGGAAATCAGACACAAACATAAGTAACTGTAATTCAAAGCGAGAAGTATGGTATTATCTGTAAGGGCTTATGGTGACCTACAGAGAAAGTACCAAAGTCTGTAAGTATGATGTGACAATGGCACTAACTTAGTCATGTGTGACTGAGATACAGAAACACAGAAGCATGTATTATATTATGGGGCTTAAAGAGACTGGAAAACAGGTATGTCTTCACACAGAACACAGATATGTTTTTGCCATATTTTTGGAAGAGGGATTCATAGGAATAATTTCAAAATCTTTGAAGTTTATAAAAATAAAAATGGAGTTAGTGGAAGCAACTTCTTATACCTCTCATGAGGAATATAGCCCTTCTAATTCTAGTTATTCACAAAATGGATGTTTAGGGGAATCATTGTGCTTATGTGGTTATAACATCTCTTGGCACACTTCCCTAGTTAGATAGTGCCAGGGGTGGAGTTGACTTAAAATAGAGGGTAAAGTAAGAGAAGAGAGAAAAAGAAGAAACCAGCAGAGAGTTTTAAATGATACCTTAACTTTTAAAACTATTGGCTAAGTTGCAGATATTTTAAGAAGCTGAGAAAAGAACAAAAGGGAGGAAAATTAAGCCCTTAATACCAGGTTCAATTGACTGCCGGACCCTCCTCCACGCGTAACCAACCTCCCTATGTATTAAACGTTTAAGGGGAGCCTCGGGAGAAAAGAAAAAGCAAGGGCTCTGTAGCCCTCTTTAAAACAAGAATAGGAAAACATGTTTCTGGGATCTTCTAAGCTTCAGGGGTTTTCTAGCTGTCTACAAAAGTCACCCTAGTAAACAGTCTCTGACACCAAATTTCAAATCCCTTTACAAGCTGAGTCCTCAGAGCTCCAACTTCTACATTGTACAAAGACTATGGAACAAGTACATGGTTTCCAGCAGAGTCAAGATTAGAGAGACTCACTTCTGGTTACTAACGACACCAGTGTGTCCCTTAGGATGTCAAAGGGCAGAAAGAGGCAATGAAGAAGAGTAGGGGAATCAACTGAAGCTCCTTTTGAAAGTGTGTAAGGAAACAAGCATTTCTGTTAAGAGGTAGACAACAGGATCAGAAACAGAAGTACTTCACTTTGGAAACCAATGTCTGAATTATGAGTACAAATGGCATGTAATTTAAACAAAACCTAGAGTTTGAACTAAATGTGCTGTAAACACAGGCAGGTGACAATTGAAACATCTGGTCTCACTGAGATCTTATACTAATTACCAGACGTTTTCTGGAGTCAACCCACCAACAATTAAGGTCTTCTGCTTGCTATTGCTTGGTTGCGCCCCATTTAACTTCATAGTTGTTAATAATCAAGTGCTTCCATATAACAACCAGGATTTGGGGGCTGGGGAGAGGAACAACTGCCAAGTAGTCTTAGGACAACTCTGCTCGAACCACTGTAACAAAGAAAACCCCTAACAGTGTCTTCAACTGGGAGACTAAAAAAAGGTACAGTAATATTCTGAAAGTCGAACTGTTAACCAATAGTTATTACTTAAGATATCAGATGAATATATTATCTCCATGAGAAAGGTTTATTATTCCAGGTTCATAGAGTTTGAGACTAGAATACAAAGGTGTTTATAATTGGTAAAAATAGTATTTAACAAGCTAAAATGATAACCATACTCTTTGAGGTAGACTTTTGGGGCTTTGATCACCTATTTATTCATTTGTTGGTATGGATCTATAATTGGCCATACCAACCATTCATTTTGACACATGTCTTGAGTCTGTTTCTCAAATTCTCACAAGAGCACCGCAATACTGCTCTCTTCCTAATTAACTGCCAAAGCATATAGATAATGCTTTTAGTTGTTGACTTAGAAAATATGTACTAAAAACATGTAGTTGTACTGTTCTTGCCAGGGATTACAAACTTAAACTCACAGCTGTCCTATCCTTATCAACTCGGTAGAAAGATAGACAAGCAGAGTACATCTATTCCTTTAGATAATCTAAATTATGCAAATGCAACAAGCTAAACCATTAGAAAGCCACATAGATTCCATTGCTTTGATCTCTTATAGAAATGCTTTTACTGTAATGTTTTCTTGCTACCAGCCTACCTATGTTTTGCAAATCAGCTGAACTTTAATATTGTATCTCTTCTAAGCACGCTGTTAAAAATTTTGTACACAGTGTCACACTTCTTTTATGAAGACTATGGGGGAACTGTCTCCTCCCGTCTTAGCAGGAGGAAAAGCTGGGCTTCTAAAAAACAAACTTGTTACCCTATTTATATGACTTTTGTTACTGATTGTGAATCCTTTTTGCTCTGGCTGCTGGGAGGTTACAGATAAGTTTGCAGCTCCCATCAGCAAATGTACAAGATTGTGGGGTGTGCATTAGTATAAATCTCATCCTTAGCTTTATTATTTTCCTCCCATTGTTTTCCCTTCATGTATTTCATTCAACTTATTTATCTCATCCTTTGCATATGCTTTTCTGTAAACTACCTCAACATGATGATTTTTATCATCTATCTATCTATATAAATCATGTTGAGGTAGTTTACAAATATATATATATATATAGAGAGAGAGAGAGAGACAGAGAGAGAGGAGAGATGAGAGACTATACTACTTTTATTTATGAAAGCCACCATGGCGTACTATTGCTTACTGGCTTTTGAGTCTCAGAGTCTAACATGTACTCATGGAATAAATTGCTAGCTCTTTAAGAAAAAAAAGGATACTTATTCCAGACCACAGTGACTTTTTAAGCTTCATTTGTGTGGGAAATGGCATATACAGGAAACAAAACGGGGGAGGTATCTTCCTCACTAGAAGCATAAAGCAGGGTGGGTAAAGGCAGACGCTGGAGTTCAACTTGGCTGGGTTCCAATCCTGGAAGTGCCCCTGACCAAAGATGTGAACTTTCCTCAACTGAAAAATGGGCTATTTAGTATTTAATTCACAACACTGTCATTGGGATTAAATGAAATAATGTATTAAAGTATTTAGAACACTTCCTGGCACATGGTAAATACTCACTAAATATCAGCTATTAATTAACTGAGTGAATTCAATCACTTCAGAGTCTTCAGGAAAGGGAAGGTCTGAAGATCAACCAAAGGTAGAAGAATGAGGACAAGAAGGAATAGAAATTAATGAACTGTACTCATCCAAGGTGAGATTATAAAGTAACCAGACTGGCTTAGCTTCTCTTAGCTTAATTTATCATCCGTGTAAAATGCATTGTAAATTCCAAGGTCACAGATCCACTGTGAGTGATGTACAAGTACCCAGCATAAAGTCTTGCACATAGTAAATTTCGCTACACATTTACAACTTTAGAGTTAATTTTCTGTATAAGAAGTATCCTAATGCATGACAAAGAGAAATAGGTTCATAGCCTTCAAATAAGGAACTGATAGCTGTAGAAGAGAAGAAAACATCACAAATAAAAATTGATCACCAATTAAGAAACTTTGGTCTATTTATAGATCGTTTGTGGCTTTGGTCTATGTGAAAGGAAGATAGCACTGACAGAAAATCCTGATACCTCAGTCGATTGGAAAGTCATTTTCAAAATGTACAAACAGCCTCTTAGAATGAAGGATGGGGTAAATCTGGGAGGTCTGGGACCAACTAACTAGGTTACCTGGTTAAGATACTTAGTTCTTAGAAGGTACTCATGTTAGTACAATGAGACTGCTGGTTTGGGTGATCTCTTCTTTCCTTTCTACTGCCTATTTCATTAAGAAATTTCCCTGTTGACCGAACAGGTGATTGCATGAGGTGGTCAGGCTAGCTCTCAGCACGGCACATGATTCGATTTTTTAACCAGTCATTTTACATTTTAGAGTTATGCTGAGAACACAAAGAGTTCCTTTTATGCTGGTTGCTATGCTTGGACAAGTTCATTAGTGACATCAGATAGCAGTTTCTATTTAGAGAAACTATCTCTGAACATATGAAATTGACAGCTCTTCCAAACCCAGAAGCTCACTACATTTTCTGATGCGGACATGTTTTTGGCTGTAGAGAAGACTGAGAGACAAAGCGCCTGTCTTCTTGCATCCCGGTGTCTCCCGAAGCAGCAAGGTGTTTAGCATTCAGGGCAGTTTGGATTGGATTACTGTGGTCATTTACATAGATACTGTATTTATGCTCTTTGATGTCCCCTTTCCCAGCCTGCTCCCTAAATTTCCCTTTGAGGTCACTGGCCCAAATGACCCAGTGATTGCCAGAGAGGCAGGCATTTCATTGCACAATTAAGATGCTGACAACTGCCTCAGGGCAGGAAATAGGGAACAATGAAACTAGGTTAGGAAATAAAAATACAACAAAAGAAGAAAAACAGTCTTAAATATTATACTGAAAAGAAATACTATGTGAAATAACAGAAAACACCATCAACAGCCAGAGATCATGAATGGGAAAGAAAAAGGAAGA
Organism: Homo sapiens; assembly: GCF_000001405.40. NCBI lineage: Eukaryota > Metazoa > Chordata > Mammalia > Primates > Hominidae > Homo > Homo sapiens. The sequence goes on along the minus strand of NC_000001.11, from coordinate 222,995,187 downwards.
TGGTATGTTTTAAAGTTGAAGGAAACACGGACACTTTGATCCTGGGATCTGAAAGAATGCAAAGCTGGCCTGCTGGAGTTTACTCCTCAGTAGGTAAGCCTCTGAAGTACTTTCATCTGATCAGAAACCAGGGTCAGCAGTAAAAGGAGTTTCAATAATACAACCTTATTTGTGCTAAGGAGATTTTAGTTTTTATCTTACATACCCTGGAATTATCTACATTGCACATTGATTTAATTGCAGGTAAATTCCATAATGTCTCCCCTCCAGATGAAGTAAATACCACTCTGGAATATCGGTCACCTGGTGATATGAAAAAAAAAAGGAAAGAAAAAGGTTTATAAATTATTCATTTATTTCATAAGACTCAGGATTTGGAAATAATTCAAACTGGGAAACCACATGGATGATTCATTAGCAGCAGGAAATTCTTTCCTTTGATAAATTCCAGGAGAAAATGTTAAAAGAAAAAAAAAAGCAATGCCATAATATTGTCTTAGCGCAAAGCCTTTGTCTACTCACTACATCTTAAAATTGTATGAATTATATAGCAAATCTATTTTTGGTCAGACTATAGGAAGAAAAATCCACAGGAATTTACAACAGGAAACGAATTGAATATATCCCTCTTAATTTCACAACACATCACCCTAATACAAAAAGATGCACTAGGGAATACCAAGAATGGATTATAGGGATGTTCTCCCTGGCAGCTAACTAGAGAGGAGAGATGGTGGGTGATCTATTTAAAATCGCTAAAAACAGCCAACTAAGTACAGAATGCTGGCCACATTCTGGTCGAGTACATGGTCTCTCTGGTACACTAGAGGCTAGAAAAAATATTTTGAAAATCAGATTAACAAAAAAATATGTTTCTGAATAAGGGAGGTTGTATGATATACCAGAAAGAGCATGCATGGTCTTTAAAGTCAGATTAGGATATAACCAGGTCCTGTCATTTACTAGCTACGTGACCTTAGGCAACTAACAACTTCTCTGAGCCTTGGTTCTTCATTTGTAAAATGCAGACAGCAATATCTATCTCAAATAGCTGTGAGAATTAAATGAGATAATAATAGATGCCCAACAATATTGTTTCTGTATCCTCAGAACAGAAACAATATGAACCACGTATTAAAGAATATGAACCACATAAAACAAAGAAGATTAATTTTATGATAGTTAAAATGTCTAATTGTGCTAACAAATAAGCTGGTAAATTTATGAATAAAGCTTTATTATAAAAGTTTTTATTTATGATCATGAAGTTTTGGCTATTATCTCATGTTGACTGATTTTGGAGAGCAAAATCAGCCTGGTAGAAACTGAAGCATTTCATTTACATAGAGCTGGTAATGGCTTTAGTCAAGGCAGAATCTACTTATGAGACAGCATTTACTGTTGACTATTGAAATGTAATGTTTTTCCTGGTTAAGATCATAACTAACAGATGTTGGTTAAGCAATAATATATACTAATACTTTGATTGAGAGAAATAAACCAGCCAGAACATGCAAGTAACCAGAGTTCAATTTCCTAATGTTTTTTAAGAGAAGAGACAGAAAAGGAAACATGTATTGCTTCCTGGGATCAGTATAAGGTTCTGCCTCATCTCCTACTATCTATTACTATACAGAGTAAGTGATCAAAATAAAGACCCTGAGACTTGGTAAACTCCAGAAACATCAAAGATCCAATCAGGTCATCTAGTGTTCTAATAAGACAGGAAAAAATACATTTAAGAGGGATTTTCAACACCAACAGCAAAAGCTGAAATCAAAAGAGCTTTAATGTTAATATTCACTTAATTAAAAATTATACTATCCACAATTCCTCAATCCTAATCACTATGGCTAATCAATGGCTTACATACTTATATTCATGTCCTCTAGGCTGTGCCTTCCTTCTTCTCTGGCAGCTGCAGAGTAATCAGGCTGACTCCATGTTACAGCAAATTTTGGGTAGTGAATTTGTTGCCAACATTTAGAGAATTAATGGCTCCACATTCAAATCTGGATTCTTGGCCAGGTGCGGTGGCTCATGCCTGTAATCCCAGCACTTTGGGAAGTCAAGGCGGTATGGTCACCTAAGTTCGGGAGTTCGAGAGCAGCCTAACCAACACGGATGGAGAAACCCCGTCTCTACTAAAAATACAAAATTAGCCAGGCATGGTGGTGCATGCCTGTAATCCCAGCTACTCGGGAAGGCTGAAGCAGGAGAATCGCTTGAACCTGGGAGATGGAGGTTGTGGTAAGACAAGATTGCGCCATTGTACTCCAGCCTGGGCAACAAGAGCGAAACTCTGTCTCAAAAAAAAAAAAAATTCTGGGTTTTTGACCTCTGGCAAGTTCTTGCAACATTTGGGCCCTCATTTCTAGAACCCCATCTTTTGTCGCGGCTAAGTAGCAGCCGATTTCTTTCGACAGGGCAGATGTTCCTTAGTGTTCCACAATCACCATCACTTCTCCTGTCACACCTAGCTAGCTTTATTCACTTGGATTATATGCCAGGCCCCTGAGGCATTCAAACTTTGAACCTCTAGACTTTATTTTTTTCACCTCTCTACCTCTACTGCCTAGTGATGAGGTAACACACAGAAGGCTCTTAATATAGTATTGCTTTTTGAATGAATCAGAACTTTAAGCCATTTTCTGATTCACTTTAGAATGAATTGGAACTTTAAATAATTTTTTAATAATTCAACAGATTATTTCAAGGTTCAATGCAAAAATATGTACCTGTACTTGATCTAGAAATAAATAGTACAAGGAATTTTTAAAAAGACTTGAAATGTTGGGCAAGGTCAAGAATTTCATTAGATTTATATCTTCCTTAAAATAAGAAAACTCAATCATTACTTTTTCATTAATTTTAATAATATAATAAACTCAGACTAGTAGTTGACTAAACTAGAGAAGTAAAAGAAAAAGTTAATTAGCCAAAATTTCTTTAGGTTCAACAGCAACAGTGAAGCTGTGTGACTAGCCACACACGGCTATCAGTCTAGACTGTGATCATGTTCAATTTTAAATGCGAGCAAACTGCTGAGTGGTTTGTTCATCTACAATGTCACTCACTTGGAACGTCGCAGAAAAAGCTGTCCTTGTGGAAGTTCCAGTCAACTTCTCTTTTCTCTCTTTCATAATGATCATCTGACCATCTATCATCCCGATGGCTGAAATGGAACGACAATTTGATCTTCAATAAAGTTCTCGTTATTTCAAAGCTGATAAGCATACTGGAAACATTACTTCCTCAAAGCCATGACCTGCTTAGTCCTTGATATTAAGTTGAAAGGATTAGAAGAAGCAACCAACATTAATTTTCTCACTTCTAAAAAAGAAAAAAAAAAAGAAAATCTCACCTTTTCATCCTACTACAACAAAATCTTCAAACACAATGACAAGTTAAGCAAATTCAGTGGCAAAGATTTTGAGCCACACATTTTACATTTAAATTTTTTGTTTAGGCAGTATTTGAAGAGGAATTCATTCAGCAATGTTTTGTCTAAAAGTTATATAAAAATAAATAATTGATTACCTTTTGGCTTGTTCATCTGCATATTTAAAGGGATAATTTGCTAATGTTGCTTTGTATCCTGTATTTTTCACCATATTATTCCATGTGACCAATCTCTGGCCTATTGCTGTTCCTCTTGGTTCAAAACCCTAAGGCAAAATTACAGGTGCTCATTAGTATATTTCATTTCAGGCTAAGTACAGTTACAATAAAAGCTTGGGAAAGCAATGTCAAAGTGATATATAGCTTTCAACAGAAAATATAGCTGTTCCTCACAGCTACTCCAGAGGTGACTGCATTAAAACAAGATGCCTTGACATGATAATCATCACCTATTTGCTGTGACAAAACAGTTTGATTCTTTGGTATGTTACATGTCTAAAGAAAGTTTATCTTTCCAACTCATGCCTAAGCATTTAGTAAATACTTACTTTTATCTTATAAAAATTATGATCAAATTAAATCATGTTACGCACTGTATTTTTACAAAGAGTGTTTCATTATCCTTGATCATATTTTCCTCATTATTCCACTCCAGAGAAACATTTACTTAAAAACAGACTCTGTGATCTGTTAGTAATACTGAAATTCCTTTAACTTCTTTGGGAGAAAACAGAGACAGTGTTAAAGACTTTATGAGAATAATTTTGTAGAAGGCAGATTCTCCAATTTATTGCTTTTTAGCTTAAACATGGGGACCAAGAAGCAAACCTTCCAGATTTTTGAGGGTAAACAAGTTCCTTGACCTTTTAAGAACCTGATAATACAGATAAAGTCATGTCTTTACTTTTCAGAAAGAGAATTGTTGCTTGAGAAGGTTTTTAAAGAAATGGGTTACTAAATAACATAATGCAACATGTATTAAAATACACAATATTTGGAGATGATTTTAGGCTAAAGAAAACATAAAAGTTAGTTACCAGCAATGGATCAGAGAAGTCAGGGAGCTCTGGCACTAATACTCCAACCAAGGCACAGACTACGATGAACATGGTGCACATGCCCAAGACCACCACCGGCCAGTCGGCTATCAGGGCTGCATAACTACAAAACACAAAGAAGTGTCGGCTATCAGAGCTGCATAACTACAGAAACACAAAGAAGGCACAAAGAAGGCCCTTCGCAGAAATATTTTTGGTACCTAAGACAGCAATTTATTAAATCCTCATATTGTAGACTACATACAGGTGTTTATCAATACAATATCTAATGGGATTATAAATATTTGTATGTAATTGTAGTAGAAAGTTACAAGATCATTGTCCCCTCATTTTTGTGATCAAGTAGCACTTTATGCCACAGGCTATTGAGAGTCAGAATAATGTTCATATATGACAAGTAACATTTTATATCTACATCTATGCCTGTAAAGAGATATAAAATACACACTTCATCAGTGGAAAGAAAATAAATTTTAACAGAGGATCCATACTCCAATCAGTGTCTTTCAGAACTTTTGTTTCTCTAGTTATTCCCTTTCTCCACACCTTTACTCTCAGAGTTCTTAAACAGTGAGAGTCTATAAACAGGTTCATACAGTTCAGATCTTAAAAATAACCAAACTAAGGGCTGAGCATGGTGGCTCACACCTGTAATCTCAGCACTTTGGGAGGCTGAGGCGGGTGGATCACAAGGTCAGGAGTTCGAGACCATCCTGACTAACACGGTGAAACCCTGTCTTTACTAAAAATACAAAAAATTAGTTGGGCATGGTGGCACACGCCTGTAGTCCTAGCTACTTGGGAGGCTGAGGCAGGAGAATCACTTGGACCCGGGAGGTGGAGGTTGCAGTGAGCTGAGATCATGCCACTGCACTCCAGCCTGGGCGACAGAGCTAGATTCTGTCTCAAAAAAAAAAAAAACTAAACTAAACACTTCCCATAAACCTGTAACTTTCCTTCTAGCTAAAACTACAGTGAGCATATCCACTAGATATGTGAGTTCCATGAGAGCAGAAATTCTTGTCAGTGGAAGTTGATCAATAACTATCTATTGACTAAATGAACAAACATCTGATGCTTGTACTCTCCAGCTACTACAATCTGGTTTTAGTCTCTTCCCACATGTGCAGAACTGTCTCTATTACCAAATCCTAACACTGGGCCCTTTCTTCCAGATGCGCTTCCCACACCCTCATTTGTTACCTCAAATTGAAAGATCTGTTTCTGTATCCCTTCCATGAGGTCCTGGATCACACGTTATTATTTTGGCACTTCCAAGTCTTGATATGAGCTGAGTACCCAACAGAAGCTGACTAAACTGAACGTTTTCTAAAATTCAAAATGCATCCTGCAAACTTCTGGCTTCTTGAATCTTTATTAGAAGAAAAGCAAGACAAAATATTTAACTTGTGGACCACTACTCTCAAATTCTCAGTAATGTTAGCTCATTTGGCTGCTGCAATGGCTATTTCTGGCTCATTTGAAATAGGATTCTTACTCATATATTTTTGAGTTATTTCTTCAAAATCATGCTAGTAGTTACAAATAATTCTGGTGGCTCTAAATGTCAGTCTGAAAAAAAGCTACTATATGTCTCTAATAATAGACTGCCAATTTTTATAATCTGATGTCTTAACTTTATTGATCTGGCTTTGTGGAGATATTTGCTTCAAATTATAATTCTAGTAAGGATATTAAAATATAGAGCAATTATGCTTTAAGGGAGCATGTGCACAGGCACTTTTCACTGCTGCTCTTTTAAAGTAATCTTAAAAGGCCAGACACAGTGGCTCACGCCTGTAATCCCAACACTTTGGGACGCTGAGGCAGTCAGATCACCTGAGGTCAGGAGTTTGAGACCAGCCTGGCCAACATGGTGAAACTCTGTCTCTACAAAAATGCAAAAATTAACTGGGCATGGTGGCACACGCCTGTAGTCCCAGCTACTTGGGAGGCTGAGGCAGGAGAATTACTTGAACCCAGGAGGCGGAGGTTGCAGTGAGCAGAGATCATATCACTGCACTCCAGCCTGGGTGAGCAACACTCTGTCAAAAAAAAAAAAAAAGAGAAAGAAATAAAGCTATAAAGGAAGGAAGGAAGAAAAAAGAAAGAAAGAGAAGAGAGAGAAAGGAAGAAAAAAGAAAGAGAGAGAGAAAGAGAAATCTTATAAAAATAAATAAATAAATACAAGCTCGTCCTTATTCAGAATACCAGTTGCTCTTGTGCTTTACATAAATTATTATATTGTTCAATTCTCACAACAACCCTTGGAGATGAAACTGCAGCATTGACAAGTTATAGAACTTATTCAATGTCACAAAACTAGGAACCTAGATAGTCTGGTTCTAGTGTCAGGGCTTTTAATCTCTGGGCTGTCATTTCTTTCTTCAGACACAAGAGTAACTAGAAACATTAGGAATAACTACACTTGCCACAAATGTCTGTTTCCCAAAACTTACAATTAAAAATTCCTAGCCCTATTTATAGTTAATTTCTCTATGCAAAATCATATGGGTTCTAAGTTTGAACATTATTCACTAGACTGCAAATTTTAGATTTAAAAACTCATTCAGGAAAAATGACAGAATAACCTTTTAGAATAATTCTGAAAATAATAAAAACATTTAAGTGACAATAAGCTGATTGTGGTTGTTCAAATGTAAACACCAAGTGTCTAGAAGCTTTCACACTTCTAGGACACACCCTGTGCAAAAATATTCTCCTTACTTTATTTCCTCCTCCACAAAATGCAAACTAAGATGAAAGTAACTAGTTTTGAAGCAATAAAGTCCTCTGTCTCAATAGCACATTTGAGACTACTTTCATTGCTTCAGACTTAAAAAGAGTCCTTTACATTTTAGACCATTAAAATATCAGCCCTGTGAAATGAAAATGGCCCCAGGCTTATACAATTATTCATTACACTTTATTTTAAATGGATTCATTTTCTCTCAAATGAATCAGAAGTTATGCATTTTTACCTATTAACATGTTATCAATAGAGGGCAGTAGGCCCCAAATTGCTTAGTATTCATACTGTGGTTTAATTAACCCATATAATAACTTTTAATTTTGTGTTCTTGAAAATCTGCACACACGTATAGCAACGTTAAAAGCCCCATTCAATAATTGCTTTTCTTCCCTTTGAAAACATTTGGTTTTGATTTTACAGCACTGCTACACACCATATACGTGCACTGACTACATATGGAAACTTTATGGCATTAGTGATTTCAGCACATTTCTTCCAAACACGTTTAACCTCACTATATTACAATTCCACTTCCTTACACAGCCGATGTTTCCCACGCTAACCTTTCCTAGAGATAACTGTTCACATTTAAGTAATGGGATCACCATCCTGAGTATATAAAACACCATGGGGGAAAGCCCAATCATTCTAAGTAAATTTTACTCAAACAAGTATTTCTTCTCAACACCACAAAATTGCTGAGGCTAATTCTACTCCTCCTGCTATCTATGCAAATATATAGTATAGCTGTGGGTACCACATGGGAAACAGAGTTGCCTGCGCAATATGAAATCCAGACAATGGTTGTAATATGAAGATAAAAGTCTAATAAAGTAGGAAAATTGGAGAAGTAAAGGAAATTAAAAATAGTCTATAAATCTCACAAATATATATATATATTTGATGATGCTATATATATATATATATATCCATATCCTGTGCATTATTCTCTTTGAAAAGTGAACCACATGTAGAGTAGAAGAATTTTCAAAGGAACCATTCTTTTAACTATCATGTATTCTTCTGCATATCAAATCATATTTGTCTTTCATCCACCTTCTCTAATATTGAAAATCTTTAGACACCACAATATAACTGTAAATGTGGCCCACCTCTGTAACACCTGGCTTACAGCAGGTAGTCATTTTCCAGTGAAAGACCCTTTTCCCGGAGGCCCTACTGCTGTACTAGCTGCTGAGGTTAGGGACCACAACTCTTTACAGGGCACTGCTGTATAAAAGTTCACATCATCTTCTCAATAGGTTAAGTCTCTAATAGGAGACGGATCTGAAGGGCTCATTCTCCTTTTACAGAAGAAGGAACAGAAGTAGCAGAGGTAATGAAATGCGTTCGTGGATGAACCATGGATCTGAGTTAGCAGGCATGCTGCCTGGCGTTCTGGTCCAGGGTGTTACTGCCATGCTGGAGTTTTCACTGGTACTCAGTGGAAGTCCCTCAAACATAGTCAGAGATTTTCAGTCACCTTATTATTGGGTTTACTCTGGAAACAGATCAGAAATAACTGTTAAAACAAATAAACGAAGTATCTTATAGAGCCAGCTTATGCTCAAGTGACATTAAAATGGGGGCCAATTTTAAGTGGGTCATTTATATTACAATAACATTCCCCCATAATAAATTTTCCTCTTAGCTTACAAAGATTTTTTTTCCCTTGCTCTTTGCTGCCTTTCTCAAAACACTCTTCTTTTTTCTCTTCCCTCTGAGCAGAAAGCCGTGTTTCAGATGGTATAATTCAGTGCCCACACCAGAGGCTTCCTTTTCCTCACCGACCACCGGATCTTTAACCCCTTATAGCCTGGCTTTTGCTCTCATGACTTTTCTGAACTGCCCAAGTCAACTAACTATTCTTGGTTTTTACCTTCCTTGACCTGAGCAGAATTTAACACTGTTAGCTACCTCTTTCTTCCTAAAAATCCTTTCCCCGTTGGTGTATTCTTTTCTGTTTCTCTTAATAACTCTTTCTTATTCCTCTTGTCCCTTAAAGATAAGACATTTCAAAATGTTAAGTCATAACTTTTCCAGTGGCATCAACTATCAACTTAGTGAGAAGAGTGATTGAAGTTTGAGAAAATTAAAAAAAAAGAAAAGAATATACAACTCTTTTTCTTGTGAAGTAACAAATTCATCCAACAATTAGCATTAAACAATAAGGAAGCAAGGCATTCTGGGAATACAAAAATGGCAGACTTGGATCTTGCCCTCAGGGAATTTACAGCCTAATACAGAAAATAAGACAGGCACACAAATATCTACAAGACAGGTTAAAAAAAGTGTGTGCTTTTTGTTTTTTTCTTTCCCCCACCCCGAGACGGAGTCTTGCTCTGTCACCCAGGCTAGAGTGCAGTGGCACGATCTTGGCTCACTGCAACCTCCACCTCCCGGGTTCAAGCAATTCTCCCGCCTCAGCCTCCTGAGTAGCTGGGATTCCAGGCACCCGCCACCATGCCCAGCTAATTTTTGTATTTTTAGTAGAGACAGGGTTTCACCATGTTGGCCAGGCTGGTCTCGAACTCCTGACCTCGTGATCTGCCCGCCTCGGCCTCCCACAGTGCTGGGATTATAGGCGTGAGCCACTGTGCCCGGCCAAAAATATGTGTTTTTTAGAGGGGTACAGATGAAATGTTTTGTGAATTCAATAAGGGAAGCAATAAGTTCCAGCCAAGGTGGGAAAGGGGAATCAGGAAAGGCTTTGTTGAAGAAGTTATATTTATATGCACATGTACGTAAAAGAAATTAGAACTCTGTTTTAATAACACCAATTTAATAACAGAGAAAGAAATCTTTTCAAAGTAAAATTTTTAGTCATTTGCAAAAGCCCTATTTATAGAAAAGTAGAAATTTGTTTTCTTAATATGCCGTATTTACTTCCATACCTCTTTCCCTCATTTTTTCTTTCTCTCTTGTTTTTTTGCAAAAATGAAAAGGGAATTGGATAAACAAAATGTAGTATATACATACAATGGAATATTATTCAGCCTTACAAAAAGGAGATTCTAATACATGCTACATGAATGAACCTGGAAGAAATTACACTAAGTGAAATAAGCCAGTTCCAAAGGGACAAATACTGTAGGATTCGACTCATACGAGGTACTTACAGCAGTCAAACCCATAGAGACAGAAAGCAGAATGATGGTTGCTAGGGCCTGGGGGTAGGAGAAAATGGGGAGTTAATGTATAATGGGTACAGAATTTCAGTTTTACAACAGAAAAAAAGTTTTGGAAATGGATGGTGGTGATGGTTAGACAACAATGTGAATGTACATAATGCCAATGAACTGTACTCTTAAAAATAGTTAAAAGGCAACATATATGTTATATATACAACAAATATAAACATGTTATATATACAACATATATAACATATAAACATGTTATAACATTTAAAGTATGTCAACATGTTATATCTATCATATAAACCTGTTATATATAACATATAAACCTATGTTATATATAACATATAAACCTATGTTATATATAACATATATGAGTACGCTCTCTCTCTCTCTCTCTCTCTCTATATATATATATATTTTTTTTTTTTTTTTTTTGAGACAGAGTCTGGCTCTGCCACCCAGGCTTGAGTGTAGTGGTGTATTTCAGCTAAGCACAAACTGCTTCCTAAGCTCAAGAGGTCCTCCGACCACAGCCTTCCAAGTAGCTGGGACTACAGGTACAAACCACAATGCTTGGCTAACTTTTTGTATTTTTTTGTAGACACAGGTGTCCCCATGTTGCCTTGGCTGGTCTTAAACTCCTGACCTCAAGTGATCCGCCTGCCTCATCCTCCCAAAGTGCTGGGATTATAGGCGTGAGCCACTGCGCCTGGCCTATTATGTATATTTTACCACAATTTTAAAAATATATTTTTTTTTAAATAGAAGGAGAGTTTACTAATTAATATTTATGTAGTAATTTCACTTCAAAGACAGGATAACTCCCTTGAGGCAGGCTTCAGTGTTATCAGCATTTGAGCTTCTTTGGCAACTGAATTTCAAAGATCACTTAGAATTTCTTAAGTGTAATGACATTGTATCTGGAATTACAATGTGTAAGGACATCTGATGAGAAAACGCTTTTTTTAGGAACTCTTATCAAGTTAAAATTTTCTCTATTGAAAGATAAGCCTTAGACATTTCCACATAAAAGAATACTTCCATTGGTAACAAGATTTTTAAAAAGAAAGACAACCCCTCTGAAATAAACTGCCATGAATTCGAGTCATGGTAGTTGGCAGAACAGTATCTCTTTCCTCACTAAGTAAGCCAATCCGTTGCAGGAAGGAATGCAAAATAAATAAACAAATATAAATGTTTACGCACAAATATTTTTTTTTTTGAGATGGAGTCTTGCTCTGTCCCCCAGGCTGGAGTACAGTGGCACAATCCTGGCTCACTGCAACTGCCACCTCCCAGGTTCAAGCGATTCTCCTGCCTCAGCCTCCCGAGTAGCTGGAACTAAAGGCACGTGCCTCCACGCCTGGCTAATTTTTGTATTTTTGGTAGAGATGGGGTTTTGCCATGTTGGCCAGGCTGGTCCCGAACTCCCGACCTCAGGTGATCCACCCACTTGGCTTCCCAAAGTGCTGGGATTACAAGCATGAGCCACTGCACCTAGCCCTAGACACAAATAGAATTTAATAGGGTTAGAAATCTACCTTAAGATTAAAACCACTTTTGGAGATATGGAATTCCTCAAGCAGCCAACTCATGGGACATTTCTTTTTCTTTCATAAAAATATGAATGAGGAAAGTGAAAAGAACAGCAAAATACGGAGAAAATACTAGACTGGAAAAAGCATGCAGGTAAGTTTATTATTTAATAAGATGACCCAGATTACTTTACCTTTTTGGCAACTTGAAAGGTCTGGATGGTCTGAAAAAAAAAAAAGCAAAGGAAAAATGATCAAAAACAGAGCATCATAAACATCATAACATAAACAAAGGCTTTACATATGTGTTGAACATTTTACTTGTTATCTCTTACAAAGAATCTTGGAAGTGTTAAAAAAAAAAAGGCAATCTATTTGAGAGATTTTAAACAATGAATGTTGGCTACTTTACATACTAGTAGAGACAGCTCGAGTGGCTAGTCAGGAGGCAGAACCTTCCCAGACTCCGTATCACCCTCTCCTGATGGAATCATACTCACACTGTACAACATTCTTCTCTGAGATCTACAGCTACCAGATTCAGTCTTCTCTCCCCTAACAGGAATCCACATCCCTCAGTCTCCAATCTAAGCTGCTTCCTTACGTAGCAAAGATCCCAACACTTAAAAAAATTGGATATTAATACCTTCTTTTAGGTATTCTATTCCCTCTTCAAGATACCAGCTGCTTCTCCATTTTTCAGTTTCTTAATATCTAACTTCACAATCTACTTCAACAGATACGGGCTTGTATTTCCAATCAGCTCTTTCCCATACTGTTTTATTATTCCCACTCATCCTTTGTACCTTGCCTCCCAGATATAGGATAAGTTTGCTAAAGAAACTCCAAACTAAGTCTCAATCTCCAAACTTTGTATTCCTATCAGATTATTTTTTTCCTATTTACTGGAAAGCATTTAATAAATATTTGTTGAACAAACAAAAGTACACTGGTTATCACAGTGTGGTCTAAAGACAGCTGGGAGTTCCTGAGACCCTTTCATGGGGTTTGTGAGACCTCCCTTTTCCAACTACAGATGTGTGTAAAGCCAGATTTTCTTCATATACTTCATATATTTCAACCAAATGGCATATTGCCATAGATTGCAGAACAAATATGAGAATACGGCTTTTAGTAAGCCACATGTCAAAGAGATTTGCAAAAATGTAAAACAATGATACTTATCTTGCTAAACTTTTTTGTTTTGAAAAATGTAATTATTATTCACAAAATGTGTTATTTATGTTAACATGTAATGGGCTTATTATTTTTAATGAGTTTCATAATTTAATATTTGTCAGTTTCGATTCCAATATGGTACATATCAGCTAAACACATAAACAAAAGCTCTTTGAAGGTTCTCAACAATTTTTGAAACTGTAAAGGGGTTGCATGACCCAAAGTTTAGGAACCACTACACTAATTTATTGAGGATATATAAATATTTGCTGACTGAATAATTGAATTGCCTAGCTACATACTCTTTCTTAAAATGAAATCTTTCACCAGACTGTACCATACTTGGAGAAACAAAACAAAATGTAAAAACCTGTCCTCCAAACTTCCTACTTCAAGCTATTACTCTTCCAATAGTTGGAACCCTACCTTGGAATTTCTTGAAGATCTAAAGTTCTCTTTCCTATTTTCTCTCTCCATTTACATTTCTCCCTCAGATACATGTACCCACTCTTAAAAAGAAACATTTATCTAATTCCTAGTATACCCATGAACAAGACAAACAGGGTTCCCAACTACACAGAGCTAACATTCTGGAATGCATTTTGTATTAAACTGTTGATACAAGAGATGCATGTGTTCTAAATTTCAAGCTTTATTTACATGCCCTCGTTATGGATTCTAAGCCCATTAAAATATTAAAACCAAGGAGATGGAACAATCTCAGAAGTTGCAAGCACCAGAAAGAATTTTAGGGAATATATATTCCAATTCCACTGCAGCCTCATTTTTAGAGATGGACCTCAGTTTGCCTTTTGGTCTCTCAGCATCTTAATAGTGGAGCTGTAGTGAGAACTCAAGTCTCTTGATACCTAATTTGCTGTTCTCTGTCCTGTGAGTATTTGTCTGTAAAACCAAGGAAGAAAAGCCCATAGGGCAAAAAGTATTAACCTCTTATACAGAAAATAATTGTCTTTTCTTTTGGCAGATGTGGAACTTAAAGTCTGAGTTTCCACTAAGAACAGCATAAGAGAAGTCATTTTTTGTTCTGAGACAGAGTCTTGCTTTGTTGCCCAGGCTGGAGTGCAGTGGCACGATCTCGGCTCACTGCAGCCTCTGCCTCTTGGGTTCCAGCGATCCTCCTGCCTCAGCCACCTGGGTAGTTGGGACTACAGGCGCATGCCACCAAGCCCAGCTAATTTTTGCATTTTTAGTAGAGATGGGGTTTCACCATGTTGGCCAGGCTGGCCTCGAACTCCTGACCTCCCACCCGCCTGGGCCTCCCAAAGTGCTGGGATTACAGGCCTGAGCCACTGTGCCCAGCCAAGAACTTGTTGCTTTAAGAAAAAAGGTGAGCCTGAATATTTACAGCATTATAAAGGATACCAAAAATGCATTCTTTTTATATATGTACAGTAAAGATAATTCATTTTTTAAAAATCTAAAAAAAAGACATTAGATACATAAAAAGGAACCATATCTTATTTGTATTCATATCTCCATAACTAGTATAATGTATGGTCCTTTGTGGATGTCAGATCAGTGCGTGTTGGATTAATGAATGGGGATCTTTGATTACTTTTCTCATACTCAACAGCTTTGAAATCAGTAGACAATGAATTAAAAAAGCAAGAAGCTAGGGACATAAATATTAATATAGGTAATTTTTATTTTGTTTCTCTCTTATACACACACACACACACACACACACACACACTTTGTTACATCAGCCCATTCCTATTTGTCAATCCTAAACTCTTTCAACATTTTACTAAACTTTGTAAGTTTCTCTCTGTGCCTCTGTATCCTACAGTATAGGCTCTCTGTTCAATGCTGCAGGAACCATTAGTTTGTTGGTTAATCAGAAAGGTTAATTAAAGAGAAACATTTTTTGAAGTTCTACATACATTCCTTAAATATCTAATAGTAACTTAAACATAAATGTTAATCTGTTCTTACATAAACCATAGACCTGCTGCATTGTCTATGACTGAGTTTTTGAGGACTTTGGATACTTTTGAGTATCCTGGATATACTGACTACAATACACAACTAAATTTTGATGATTTTTTTCCCCAGATCTTTTACAATTTTCTCTTCCATGCCTAATTCAGCAGTAAAATTTTTTTGTAGCAATTAACCTTTTTTTCCTAAGGCTACAATTTTCTTTTCGTGAAAACAACTTTTTCTTTTAGCATCTATATATAAGTGAACTAAAAACATTAATCAGATAACATAATTACCAAAACAAGCCAACTGGCATGCGTGGGTTTGGTAAGCACACTTGTCAAATGCTGGGAGCAGAAGTGTGTGGCTGTAGGAGACAGCAGCCTCCTGACCTGCAGCGCTCAGCTGGCCAGGGCTATCCAAGTATGCATAGAGGGACGGAGTGCAGGGCCACTCCAGTGAGCTGGTGAGGGCTTAGCAGCTTTACACAGACTGGGCTTTCAGTGAACACGTTCACATCTGAAGAAGCCATGAAGCACACTTAGTTTTTCTGGTGAATCTACAAAAGACCAAAAACCCCCAAAAGCTGTATTTTCAAATACAATTACACATTGATTTTTCAATGAGTTTTATTGAGATATAATTCATATACCACATAATTCACCCAATTAAGTGTACAATTCCATGTTTTCAGTACTTTCATGAGTTATGCAACCATCACTACAACTATAAATTAATTTTATTTAAAAATTTTTAAATTTAAATTTTTTTTTTGAGACAAGGTCTTGCTCTGTCACCCAGGCTGGAGTGCAGTGGGCCAGCTCACTGTAGTCTCAATTTCCTGGGCTCAAGTAATCCTCCCACCTCAGCCTCCTGAGTAGTTGGGACCACAGGCGTGCGCCATGACACCCAGTTAATTTTTTAGATTTTTTATTTGTAGATGTGGGGTCTCCCTGTGCTGCCTATGCTGGTCTTAAACTCCTGGGCTCAAGTGACACTCTCGCCCAGGCTCCCAAAGTGCTGGGATTACAGGCGTGAGCCCCTGTGCCCAGCTTATATATTGATTCTAGCCCAAGGTAATTTATAGATTCAATGCCATCCCCATCAAGCTACCAATGACTTTCTTCACAGAATTGGAAAAAACTACTTTAAAGTTCATATGGAACCAAAAAAGAGCCTGCATCGCCAAGTCAATCCTAAGCCAAAAGAACAAAGCTGGAGGCATCATGCTACCGGACTTCAAACTATACTACAAGGCTACAGTAACCAAAACAGCATGGTACTGGTACCAAAACAGAGAGATAGACCAATGGAACAGAACACAGCCCTCAGAAATAATGCCACATATCTACAACTATCTGATCTTTGACAAACCTGACAAAAACAAGAAATGGGGAAATGATTCCCTATTTAATAAATGGTGCTGGGAAAACTGGCTAGCCATATGTAGAAAGCTGAAATTGGATCCCTTCCTTACACCTTATACAAAAATTAATTCAAGATGGATTAAAGACTTAAATGTTAGACCTAAAACCATAAAAACCCTAGAAGAAAACCTAGGCAATACCATTCAGGACACAGGCATGGGCAAAGACTTCATGTCTAAAACACCAAAAGCAATGGCAACAAAAGCCAAAATTGACAAATCGGATCTAATTAAACTAAAGAGCTTCTGTACAGCAAAAGAAACTACCAACAGAGTGAACAGGCAACCTACAGAATGGAGAAAATTTTTGCAATCTACTCATCTGACAACGGGCTAATATCCAGAATCTACAATGAACTCAAACAAATTTACAAGAAAAAACAAACAACCCCATCAAAAAGTGGGCGAAGGATATGAACAGACACTTCTCAAAAGAAGACATTTATGCAGCCAAAAAACACATGAAAAAATGCTCATCATCACTGGCCATCAGAGAAATGCAAATCAAAACCACAACGAGATACCATCTCACACCAGTTAGAATGGCAATCATTAAAAAGTCAGGAAACAACACGTGCTGGAGAGGATGTAGACAAATAGGAACACTTTTACACTGGGACCGTAAACTAGTTCAACCATTGTGGAAGTCGTTGTGGAAGGGATCTAGAACTAGAAATACCATTTGACCCAGCCATCCCATTACTGGGTATATACCCAAAGGATTATAAATCATGCTGCTATAAAGACACATGCACACGTATGTTTATTGTGGCACTATTCACAATAGCAAAGACTTGGAACCAACCCAAATGTCCATCAATGATAGACTGGATTAAGAAAATGTGGCACATATACACCATGGAATACTATGCAGCCATAAAAAGTGATGAGTTCATGTCCTTTGTAGGAACATGGATGAAGCTGGAAACCATCATTCTCAGCAAACTATCGCAAGGACAAAAAACCAAACACTGCATGTTCTCACTCATAGGTGGGAATTGAACAATGAGAACACATGGACACAGGAAGGGGAATATCACACACCGGGGCCTGTTGTGGGGTCGGGGGAGAGGGGAGGGATAGCATTAGGAGATATACCTAATGTTAAATGACGAGTTAATGGGTGCAGCACACCAACATGGCACATGTATACATATGTAACTAACCTGCACGTTGTGCACATATACCTAAGACTTAAAGTATAATAAAAAAAAAAAAAAGAATTTAAAAAAAAAAGAAAATGACAATGATGTCATAAAAATATAGTGACAAGTAATCTAAGAAGTACATGTAAAGTTATGGGAGTTAGACAAAAAATATTTGTAATTAAGCCTTTCCAAGACAAGACAACTAAGTCCTTAACAAATAAAACAATATTTGTCAGCCCTCTTTGAAAAAAAAAAAAAAAAAAAGAATATGCTGACCGGGCGTGGTGGCTCATGCCTGTAATCCCAGCACTTTGGGAGGCCAGAGCTGGCAGATCACCTGAGGTCGGAAGTTCAAGAGCAGCCTGACCAACATGGAGAAACCCCATCTCTGCTAAAAAAAAATACAAAAACTAGCCGGGCATGGTGGTGCATGCATGTAATCCCAGCTACTCAGGAGGCTGAGGCAGGAGAATCGCTTGAACCTGGGAGGCGGAGGTTGCGGTGAACCGAGATCGCGCCATTGTACTCCAGCCTGGGCAATAAGAGCGAAACTCCGTCTCAAAAAAAAGAATATGCTATCTGAACACCAGTGATGAAACTATTAATGAGCTATGAAAGCAAATGTGTTTTTCCAGAGAGTAAGGCAGTGGACAAGGAAGCAAATCACTTGTATACAAAAATCTTAATTTTTCAATCCCATTTTTTCACTTATGCATTCTTAAAAATACATCTTGAATTTCCAAGAGAAATTAGGAGATTTTGCTATCTTTGGAACTAAAATTATCCTCACAGCCATAATTCTGGAACATGTACTGAGCAAAGAAATGTATTTTGTTACAGACATTTGGGTTGTAACAAATGTAAACCCTCTCTCTGCCACTAACTTTTTCTTTTAACTAAATAGAAATTCATGGATCTATGACTAATTTACTCCCTGGAGAGAAACAACTATAGATTCATCACAGTCTTTCTGCTTGAGTAAAGATTTCATTTTATGTTAAAAAAATTTGAGACAGTAAGTAGAGACTGTCAACATCAGTTGGAAAAGAAAAATTGAGGTTACCACAAAGAAACCTCCTAGGAAAACATTAGATCCCTCTGAAGTTTCTATACAAATGGACGTGACAAACAGATGATGGAAACACCCAAACCACACTACAGGTAAAACATGAAACCTGTTTGATTTACAGTGCTGCCTTCTTTAATTCTGCTTTTGCAATCTCTTACCAGAAACACCTGTGAAAGGAGGCTAGCCAGGGAGTCCACTACATACTTTCATAGATGAAAAGCAGTCTTCCTCCATTTGTAAAACCCTTTGGATTTGCTACTTTTAATATCGACCTAATAAAACCTACGGATGACCTTCACCCTAACTTCAGTCTTGTGTTAGTAAAAATAAACAAATTTTTATTTTTACTAGTCTTGTCTAGTAAAAATAAACAAATCTAACCTCGGAGAGAGAAACTATCTTTTTCCAGCATTCACTTTTTAATAAAAACAAACCCAAATAAGCAGCAATAATCTTCAGTGGGAACATTTTTCTGTTCTTTGATTAGGTTTTTAGCGTTTTTTTCTGCTGGGAAAAGGCCCAAGGAAAGATGACATTTGCGCGTCCCACCACACACTCCCGCAGGCTGTAGTGTAGATAAGCTTGGGTCCTCAGACAGTCCACCAGCTGCAGTGTCATTCTTTCTCTCCCACTCAAGAAAGCATTTCTGTATGCAAGTGAGTGACAGTGACATTATTTGAGGGCTAAGCTCATATCTGTTTTTTAAAAAAGCAAAGCATGTACAAACTGGGGTTCTCATAATTAGTAACAAATTGCCCTTGGCACTTCACACTTGAGAACTGGAACAGCAGTTGAGAACCTTGGCTACAGTACTCTGATGACCAGTGAACTGCGGTATGTGTACATGTATCAGTCAAGAGGACAACTAATGAGACTGTAAAGTTCTCAGAAGGAGGGAGAGTGGGAGGTACCAAGCGGAGTAATCAAGATAATAGGGGTACAGAGGCAAGGGAAATTTTTAAAAAAGGTAATAGAAAAAAAGGAGTGTGAAAGGGGTAAAGTTAAGAAACAGAAAAAATGTGGAAAAGCTCCAAATTGTCTGTTTCTTTGTTTTGCTCACCTTTTTTCTCTTTTAATAATTTTTGGAAGGAGAAGGGGAGCTTGTAAAGCAAATAAGAATACTGAAATACAAAAACTTTCCCATCAGTCTAGAGAATTCTATTCTAGACATAACTGCAGAATTAACACCACAACTTACAAAGGGACAGTCTCAGGTGGGTGCGGTAACTCACGCCTGCAAATGTCAGTACTTTGGGAGGCCCAG
Source organism: Homo sapiens (assembly GCF_000001405.40). NCBI lineage: Eukaryota > Metazoa > Chordata > Mammalia > Primates > Hominidae > Homo > Homo sapiens. The sequence goes on along the minus strand of NC_000001.11, from coordinate 222,975,273 downwards.
CTGGGAGGATCGCTTGAGCCCAGGAGTTCAAGACTGGCCTGGGCGTGATAGTGAGCCCCTATCTCTATAAAAAATAAAAAAATTAGCTGGGGTGGTGGCATGCACCTGTAGTCCCAGCTACTCAGGAGGCTGAGAAGGGAGGATTGCTTGAGCCCAGGAGGTCAGTGCTGCTGTGAGGCAAGATTGCACCATGAAGAAAGCATACTTTCAGCTTTATGGTAGTAACCAAATTTTTAAGCAAAAAAGTGCTGTAAGTAGCACATTTTAACCTCAAAAGTCACATTGGATTGTATCATACTGTCTTTCTGTGAAAGGCTATTCTGCAAGTAGTAACTTCAGTTCAGCACTGGTAAGTTAGGAAGAAAATATTTGAAAATAAAAAAAATCCGCACTTTGATGAGCATTCTTTAAAAGATTCCCAACAAAAACAAAGCCATTCTTCATATTAAGTATTTCCATGAAACATCACTGGCACACTTGGGCTCTATCATGAAGATGAAACAGATACCCTGCAGACAAGCTAAGCTTGGCCTCTAACCCATTTTTCATGCACCAGAGCTCAATGTTTATGGTCTCTGTCAAGTGATTTTAAGGATAACAAAAACCACAACTACTTGTGTGATGCATTTCCTAAATGCTTACGAGATGCTGACTCAAAAGTGTTGGTCATCTTGGTGTCTAGAACTGTTAAAACTGAACAAAGTGCCAGCTTCTATACAAAATAAACTAGGAAGCATGAGAGAAAGGCTGGGAATGGCGGGACTAACATTTAAAGAGCACCTTGTAAATACTACGTACTTTATAAATGTTCAAAAAAGAAATGTAGCATATATTGAATAACTATTTTGAGCATGAAAAAAATACTTTTTTCTCTTTAAGAGAACAGTGAACTTAGAAATCAAAAGATGTGAAGTTAAAGTCTGGACCCTGAAACTTATTAGTTGAATGATCTTGATGATCTTGAGCAATTCCTTTAATTACTCAGGATTTGTGAGAAAGAGACAATACTTTAAAATGAGCTGGTGTGTGTAACAGTTTTCTATAAACTGTTGAGAATTATCCAAGAGAAAAAAGGTACTACTACCACACTGTTATTTTTTCATCCAAAAATGGCATTCAAACATCAGTTAGGAGTAATGCAAAGACTCATTTAGAGTAAAGCATAAAGTCCCTTTATTCATCAGCACTGTACGCTTTTATGATTTACTTAACAAGATCAACCGATTCTTGCTACTAGCTGAATATGACATAACAATCGATGTTGTCACACCCACAAGCCTAATTAGAATAAGAGACTGTCAGAACTGTAAGAAACCCTAAAAGTCATCCCACTTAACACCTTTATGAAACAAAGGAGAAAAGGGTCCAAGATCATAGAGCAAGTCAATGGCAGAGCCAGGTCTAGAATCCAAATATCTTGACTTGATCCCGTGCTTTATTGGCCACATACTGAAAAGGAAAAGCTGAACACTGATGCAGGCTATGAGGTATTGCTTGTGAACTGAAAATGAAAAGGAACGCAGAAATGGGAAGAGCTTCCTAATCAAAAGCAAATGGCACTTGTGCACAAGAGGGCATATGCAAGGATGTCCACTGAAGTGTGACTTACAATAAGGAAAATAAGTGAGAGCAACCTTAATCTTAATGTTCACTTATTAATAAGAAGATTCTTAAATAACCTTACTGTTCACTTGTTAATAAGAAGATTCTTAAATAAATGGCGGCACATCCATGCAATGGGGCACTACACAATGTGAGTACACATTCATATACAAACATATACATACACATACACTGATATGGAAAGAATTTTAAAACAAAATAATAAGTTTCAAAACAACTCATACTGTATTCATATGAAAAAAGAAAACTAAATACAAAATACGTAAATATATTTTAGAAGCTCAGAAGGGAACTTGGCAAATCAATAGACCTGTTTACCAGAGAGGAAAGAAAAGGATTAGGAAAAGAATAAAAAGTGAGTTTCATTTTGCATTTTTGAATTCCTCATGAGCATATGTTCATAAATTAGTTGTATAATTAAAAAGTGAACTGAATTTTTATAAAGGGTAATTGCATATGTATTCATTTATGTACATGTGATAGAAACATTTTATTTGAAAATTTCTCACTTCTACATAATTTGGGGAGAATGGGGCATCCTGGCTAACTCTAATTTAGATGAAAAGAAGTAACATTATACAAAGATCATACATTTCCATAAACTTAAAATACATTTAATACAATCTATAGTTAATTCTGTTTAATTCACTGCCAGTTTAAGTGATACCAAGTAATTTGATGACCACTGGAATCACCTGGGTAGCTTACTAAAACTAGAGATTTCCAACCCCCTCCCCAGGGATCTGGTTCAGTAGGTCTTGAAATAGAGACTACACAGTCAGAGCTTGAACCACTGTCTTGGACAATTTGCCAGGAAAATATGACCTCCAGACAAGAAAAAATTAGAGAACAATACACTGAAAGTAATTATAACGTATAGGTACAGTACAAACATTACGTGAATGAATGGGGAATAGGAAGATAATATTGGACCAGAGTAGTCCAAAGAATAGCCCCTGAAACTTGACCTAAGAAACAGAATTAGAATTAAGGTTTGACATAAGTAGGTTTCAGATAGAGAAACAGAAAGAAAAGGAAAGGAAACAAACCTTGTGTCAATACCTATAAGCAAAGTCAGTGAGGATTTACTATGAAGGACTAGTGAGGATCACAACTTACTGGATTAGGGGTTGTTTGAGGGGAAGCAAGAGATTGAAGTGGATAATAGAAATAGGAAGTGGCTAAAGTTTCTTGAGTAACAACTGATAGGATAAAAACACTATTTTCGGAGGACTGATTTGGTAGCAATGTGTAGGATGAATTAGCTAGGGGAAATGCTAAAGGGAAGGAGAGCAGGTTAGGAGCTACTGCAGTGACCTAGAATAAAGAGAAAAAAAGGAAAATAATCTTTAAGTAATTTAGAAAGCCTCTGACAATCTTATCAATATGTGAATCAAAATTATAAGCATCTATTGTCATAAATATATATGACATTATAAGAAAATAATTCTGGTGACATTTTGGATAAACCGAAGTTTATATATCCTATGCATGTTATAACATATTTCTATGTTCACTATTGTCTAATATTTTATATAATTATATAAGTACAATTAGAAGTGCCTCAAACTATAATCGAAAATATCTACTGAAGTGAAGTTAGTGATAATTTGAGTTACAACACAAATAAGTTGTTCAAAAGATTAGTCTACAGGTTGAGGGTACGGTTTTATAAGTACATTTTGGAACTTACATTAAGCCTAATTCAACAAATATATTTTATTACCTTCATTAAGATACACACACATTTCTCACTTTCAAAATTTTATGGATCTTACATAAAATACTAAAACCTTTCCACATTTTCACTATAAACTATACAAATTGCATAAAGAGTTTTTGTGTTAATTATAACCTCAGTGAAGATATGTTTGCATTTCTGAAAGTAAGTTCAAATTATGTATTTTATATCTAAGATCCCATCTCAAATTTGCTCATTTGTTAACAGGACAAGGCCTTCATCAATGAGACCACAGATCAAAAGTATAAATACAATCATAATTCATCAATGTGCGGATTCTCTTTTCCTCCAACATTTGCTTAGTTTCAATTTGTAGTTTGTCTACATTGTGTTCAATGTAAGAACTGTTACTTAAGCTTAAAATTACAGAAACATTATTAATCTTTCTTAAGTTCATTTCCCACATATCTTGGATCATTTTGTCCCTACAGAATTATTCGGTATCATACAAGGTTGAGTTTGGAAGGTTAAAAGTCACACCTGCTATGAAAAAAAAAAACTTGGGGGGTGTGGGGTTAAAAAATAATAAAAAATCCACTGTATCAAAATGAACTCCAACGGTGTAACCAATACCTTGCAGCTGTTGTGATATCTTCATTTACAGGCCAGGAGGAGAGACATTTCCCTCAAACTTCTATAGAAATTCTTTAGCTATGCTTTTAAGGACAAAAATATACAGTGAAATTGATTTTTCTTCCTGATCTAAACTTTCTCATGCTTAATCTCTAACTTAAAATTTAAATTTTTGTAACTCAAATCATTGTCAAAAGCTTTAATAAGGATCAAAGCAAAACTCTAACAATCAGCGTTAATAAAAATAATACTGATTTAGAAGGTTTTCTTCTCAAAATCTGAGATTAGAAAAGAAAAAAAATCAACTAAACTTAAAATAATTAAACTGAGGAAATAATGAGACTTTTCTGACGAAAAGTAGGGAAAGCCACAAGATGCTGGGGCTGCATGACCTCAAACTGTAATAATGTCCCTTTTACACTTTGGCACTAGGGCAACCAGGGAAAACTTTAAATTCATTGTATTCAATTTGTCACGGTGTAGATTCTGTTTGCAACTCCAGAATCTATTATACATGCCAGTGACACCCAAATACTATGTGACAACTTTTAGAAACAAATTCTAAGTATAATGTATTTTTTAAAAGACGGCAATGAGAAATCAGAGGACCAGTTTCAAACTGGGTGTTAATCTTGGGTTTTAGCCTCTTTGGCTTCAGTCTCCTCTGTAAAATAAGGAGAGTTAGATTAAATTATTTCTAAGGTCCTTTCCTGCTGTGAAATTCTATTGTATTTTCCTGTGGAATTTTAGATAATTCAAATCACCACATATTTTAGTCTCCTAAAGTATTTCAACACTCTGGCATGGCTAAAGCTAGTGAGCCAGGTTCCTGTAATCAAAATTTGATGTTAAAATATTTCACATGAATAGGCAATAAAAATGATCCCCCCATAAGGTAGGCAAGAACTAGTATTTTAAAATGCTTTGAAAAATAATGCCGGCTCTTTATGTGAACGGCTAGAGACAGACTTTTTAAATGACTAGATAAATGGCTTAATAAAAAAAAAGAGCTCAAAAATGCTTGCTAGGAAGACAGAGCAGAATTCTCCATCTGTCTGCCTTAGATGAAGGTGGAGATTGATGAACGGGTGACACTAATAACACATCCGTGCTGGTGCATGTCACACTGTAGGAAATAACGCCAGGTTACTAAAGATGGTCATGTTGAGATTGCTCAGGAATCGTCTAGTTTACCAACCGAGTGAGTTTTATCAGAAGAGCAAATACGAAAGAGTGCTCAAGTTAAAAGGGGTATTTAAAAATTTCCCAAAGTACTTTTCCTGAGTTTCTCATTTACTATCTCAGAAAGGCAATATACGCCCCTCTTTTTTCATTCTAAAAATTTTCCTTTAGTAGACTTTTTCACTTAATGTTTTGTCTATTCTAAAATATAAAGTTTAATTTTTAAAGGAAGAGGAAAGCTTTAATGAGGAATATATTTTCTGTATTAATGTTGGTTTGTTTTCTGATTATAAAACTAACACATTTTCCTGAAGCCTAAGAAAATGCAGAAAATTACACAATTACCCATATTCTTACTACACAGATAAAACATTGTAACTCTTTTTGATCTATTTTCTCTGAATATTTTTCCTTTTTGCCTAAATATAGAAATTAAATATAAACAAAATTATGATCACACTAGATGCATAAAGTATTATCACTTTGGATTAGCATTTTCCATATAATTAAAATCTTCTGAAAACATGATTTTTAGTAGCCACATGTTCCATTATATTTGCCATTACTTATATATCACACAATTGTAACCATACTACTACGTTACGTTAGATTGCAACTTGTTTCTCATTTATTTGTAAGAATCTTGAATTAAAGCTAGGAAACATCCCCAATTGTGGCAAATAGTTTTCCTAGTTTGTGGTATTTTTCAAGATGGTTTTTGGATAGGCATTAAATTTTTTTTCAACACTTTGTATTTTTCTTTGTAATTTTTTTTTTTTTTTTTGAGACCAAGTTTCACTCTTTTTGCCCAGGCTGGAGTGCAATGGCATGATCTTGGATCACTGCAACCTCTACCTCCTAGACTCAAGTGATTCTCCTGTCTCAGCCTCCTGAGTAGCTGGGATTACAGGTATGCACTACTGCGCCTGGCTAATTTTGTATTTTTACTAGAGATGGGGTTTCACTGTGTTGGCCAGGCTGGTCTCGAACTCCTGACGTCAGATGATCCACCCACCTCAGCCTCCCAAAGTGCTGGGATTACAGGCGTGAGCCACCGTGCCCAGCATTTTCTTAGTAATTTCTATGACTGCTTTTACAATTAAAGAGTCATCCTTGATCCAGATGTTAGTTTTTCCCAATTCCACTTACTTAATAATCTAGGTCAGCTCTATTACTTTCTGATGCTTCAATTACCATCTTTGGTAAAACTCCTTTTTTTTTGAGACAGAGTTTTGCTCTTGTCGCCCAGGCTGGAGTGCAATGGTACTATCTCAGCTCACTGCAATCTCTGCCTCCCAAGCTCAAGCGATTCTCCTGCCTCAGACTCCCAAGTAGCTGGGATTACAGGCATGCGCCACCATGCCTGGCTAATTTTGTATTTTTAGTAGAGACGGGGTGTCACCATGTTGGCCAGGCTGGTCTCGAACTCCTGACCTTAGGTGATCCACCTGCCTCTGGCTCTCAAAGTGCTAGGATTACAGGCATGAGCCACCATGCCCAGCCAAAGCTCTGTTTTAAGGGGGAAAAAAATCTAAAAATTAATTTTGACATAATGTACAGCACCCAATATTGTAAAAATAATAGCTAATCATGGCACACTTGTGCAGCTATGGGATTGAATTTCCAGAGTCTGGCTGAACCGTCCAAATTCATCTTGGTATGGGCTATAGTTTCATGTCATCTAGTAACAGTTATTCACTGAGGTTTAATTAACAGTGGGGATGAACGTAGATTCTGAGTTGGATGGTCTTTCTAGAACTACAACAGTGGTAACAGAAATCTCTCAGTTAACTGGTGCCCATTTTGTTAGCCAGGTTTTGGGAAACTGGGCAGGAGAATAGTGGGAAAATGGGGATCTATTTTCTGATTCCTCATTTCCTGAAGGGGAGTTGCATATGGTTTCTTGGCTTGTAAGAAGAAAAGAATTTTAGTCTGACCCCATTTGAGAATGGGAACTAAGTGGAAGTCAGGAGCCCACTGAGTTATCAAGCAGTTTGACTTTATGGAAGTTTTATGTGTGCTGTGCAGTTTGTTTCATTTTTCCTAGTGTATCCATTGATGTGTCTACCAGTTCTTTTCGCAGAATCACATTGTTTCATTTTGGCTTCAACACAGGCAAGTCCCAGGGCAGAATACATTAAAAAGATCGTAATTCCCTTTTCGAGAATGGGTTTACAGTGTTATTCTTGCATCTGTAGCTTGAAAATAATTCTAGTCAGTGAAAGACCGGAGGATTAAATGGGCCCCAAACCAAATATAAGAACTATAATTCTCTATGGTATGCACATGCTAAATTAGAGTCTAGAACAAAGATCCTGAAGGGGCTTTCAGTTCATTCAGAACAACTTCATAACAGGACAAATGCATGAACACCAAGACTCCCGTATGCTTTCCTTGTGCATATAGATCTTTCTTACAAAGCAAACTCACATTCAATGCCAAGTCAATTGAGCTTACTAAGTTTTCCCAGAACCTGACTTACATCATAGGTTGAAGTATTTTGCAGGAAAAAGTCTTATATATGTAGAATCCAAGGGCTCTCTGTTGTCATAAATGTTCAAATCACCCTTTCTATTCCTTCTTCCTGGCCTTAAATCTGGCTCTTTCATATGGAAAACTTAAATCTTTCTATAATCTTGGCTTGCTTCTAGATACCATCTTTGACAGAGAGATGGAAAAGATGTGTTATGACCTCTCCTAAGAAGGGTTGCCTAAAGACAGCCCTTTATTTTCTCAGCATTATTAAATCATTCATTTTGTCATCTCTTCTCCACACTAAAATTGAACAGTAAGAAATCAAAGATACAATTTCTGCTCTTAAGTACCAAACTAGGAAGATGAGAGGCTAACAGAGATGCAACTGGGAAAGCAAATAAGGGAAGACAGGTGCAAGAATGTGATCATGTCACAAAGTCCTCCACTTCTCAGATTCTGAAATCAAAATGCTGCTTAATGTTGCCATCTTCACATCAAGGGGGAATATTTCTACATATGTATACATGTATATATATAATGTAGATATATATATATGTAGATCTATTCCCCCTTGATGTGAAGATGGTGACATTTTGAAGATGGTGAGGTGGCAACTCAGAGTGGAATTGGGTTTATTAATAATCTCTAGTAAGAGCAGACCTGAAGGGAAATCATCTCCCTTTTCCTCCAACTGCATATATCCTCCCTCCCACTCCATACCAGGAATCCAAAAATTAATAGAGTATTGTCCCTGCCTTCCAAGTGTATATGGACTGGCCAAGAGGGTGAAGGAAGTTTTAAGATTGGTGGTGGGGGGAGTTCTTAAATCCCTTACATCATTCTTTTAAACCATTCTGATTTCACTCAAGTCTTCAGTGAAAGGCACTAAGTTAAAGTGTAGAGTTTGATGCATTTTTACATATGTACACATCTATGTAACCACCACTCAGATCACAATATACAACTTTTCCCAGCACCTCAAAGGCTCACTTGTGCCTCTTCCCAATCAATAATCATACCCTGTCCCCAGAGGCAATCAACATTCAGGCTTCTATCACCACAGATTAGTTTTGGCTAAAGGATCACCTTTTAAAGACAGCCAAAGATAAAAGTTTAAGCAAAACCTTACATAGTTAAAATTCAGGTTAATTCAACTTTATGAAAATACATAAAAATGAAGTCCTAGTAATGTTTTAATCCTATTAATGAGTGACTCCTAGATGAGATTTAATTGATTTTTTTCTCTTGAAGTTTTAGAAATACCTTTTCCAATGACTTATGAGGTATAGATCTTATATAACCTGTAGAAGGCCTCTGATGAGCAACAAAACTTCACTGATCTACAATAAAACTACTACTGGTACTGTTATTTGTCATTATGTTATTTTTCCTAGGTTATTATTTTTAAAATCCATACTATTCTGCCTCCCTACATTTTAGTTTCTTTCCAAGTTTGAGTTCCCACCTGAATCAACAATATCTAGTTACAATAAGTGGGTATACTTACTTAAGTGTAATAAACAAAGAAATGCTTCAGTGTAAAAAATTACACTGATTTACAGTGTAAAACTACAGTGTAAAAATTAACTCTGATACTTTGGTTTGACAGAATATCTCTATCTATCCATCCATCCATCCATCCATCCATTTAGAGACAAGATCTTGCTCTGTTCCCCAGGAGTGCAGTGGCTCATTCATGGCTCACTGCAGCCTTGATCTCTTGGGCTCAAGTGATCCTCCCTCCCTCCTCAGCCTCCCAAGTAGCTGGCACCACAGGCATGTACTACCATGCCCAGGTAATTTTTTTTTAAGAGACGAGGTCTCACTGTGTCGTCCTGGCTTGATAGAATATTTAAATAAAGCTGTCCTGAAGGCTAATGTGAATATAAAAATAACCACAACAGTGATAAATATAGACAGGAAATAGAGATCTGAAATTTTAAAAAGTTGATGGGGGTAAGAAAAAAACTGAGTGAGATATTATGGAAATGACAGTCATATGAAAGGGTGAAAGAAGAGGCTCTGTTAATTGTGAAAGAGGGCAGAAATGGTCGCAGTGCACAGAATAAAAAGAAAGAAAAGCATAAGATCATGGAATGCAGAAAAAGAAAACTGTTTAAGAAGAGGTGGTAAACAGAGACTGCATGCTATAGAACTAAACAGGAGAAGAAATCAAATGAGTTTGTCAAAGGAGTCACTGACCTGGCATTGCCAGGAAAGTAATGGTGACAGAAGAAGTTAGACTCCAGGGCACTAGCAAGAAAAAAGACCATATGAAGTTAAAGTATTAAGTATAATAATATATTTAAAATAACAACAGTCAACATTTACAGACTTTACTATGTGCCAAACACTGACCTAAGCACTTGACATATATTACAATATTTTAAAATTCTTAAAATAATTCTATAAGGTAGGCATAGATTTTACCGATGGAGAACTAAGGCACAGAGAGGTTAAAGAAGTCACCCAAAGCCACATAGTTAAAGAGGCAGGATTCAAACCCAGGCAGCCTACTCCAGAGCCTACATTCTTAACCACTAGGCTATACTGCAGCGAAATTTTCTATTGTTTTCATAAAGTAGAAGGTGCTACTGCCCATGTATGGGTGTTAAGAGAGTAAACTATGATTTGAGTTAACATGGAATAGAAGAATACTTGAAAAAAAAAACTACTGAAGGAAGTGTGCTTGGGAGTTAGCTGTGAGGACTAAGTTGTGACAGAAGCATGAAACCAGAATGGGTAAAATCTGCACCGTTTCCATTTTCTTCCAGCAAGCAGTGTTTGTTAGCCTGGGAGCTGGAGCAAAGGCATCAAAATTCCTGAAGATGACAACACAGAGCTTTAACATTTAAACTAGAAAATTCAGTTCAGATAATTTCTCCAATTACTACTAGCGTTTTCAAAAGCCCACTGAAAAACCCACTGCGTATCCTGCACCAGGTAAGGTGTTAAAGTACAACATGATATAAACAGGCTAAAGGAATTAGGTGGAATTCTTCTTCAGGGTCTGTGCAAGGTAGCACTGTGAATATGCTGTTTCTATGATCTAAAAATGACCAGGGCAGCCTATGACCCATCACCTATACCCTCACGATTATTTGTGTGATCCATGTGATTTCAGTTCTATGATCTCAGGACTGAACCTGCACAGCACCTGCTACGTAGTAAGCACTTGTTAACTGTTTCTTAAGCTATTACTGAAACGAAAAAAAAAGTTATAGCAAGAAAACAAAAAATATTTCATTCTCTTGTGTTTGCACAGCATAGAGTGGTGATTAAGAGGAAGGCTTCGAATCAGACACACTTAAACTTCATTCCACATTCTACCACTTACTAGTAACTTTTTAATTAATCTTCCAAACACTTTTTTTTTTTTTTTGAGATAGAGTCTCGCTCTGTCGCCAGGCTGGAGTGCAGTGGTGCGATCTTGGTTTGCTGCAACCTCCGCCTCCCAGGTTGAAGCGACTCTCCTGCCTCAGGCTCCCAAGTAGCTGGAACTACAGGTGCCCACCACCATGCCCGGCTAATTTTTGTATTTGTAGTAGAGACAGGGTTTCACCATATTGGCCAGGATGGTCTCGAACTCCTGACCTTGTGATCCACCTGCCTCAGCCTCCCAAAGTCCTGGGATTATATGCCTGGCTTTTCTTTTTTTTTAATTAAGGATCAAGATAATTTTATTTAGGCAGAGGACCTGAAAGAGACAATCCCCAAATTAACTTGTAAATGAGATTCTAAGAATTCTTCTAAGTTTTATAACGCTTTATTTTTTTCTCTTCTTTAAAATTTACTTTAAGTTCCGGGATACATGTGCAGAATGTGCAGGTTTGTTATATAGGTATACATGTGCCATGGTGGTTTGCTGCACCTATTGACCCATCTTCTAAGTTCCCTTCTCTCACCCCCAACCCCCCAACAGGCCCTGGTGTGTGTTGTTCCCCCCCAGTGTCCATGTGTTCTCATTGTTCAACTCCCATTTATGAGTGAGAACATGTGATGTTTGGTTTTATGTTCCTGTGTTAGTTCGCTGAAGATAATGGCTTCCACCTCCATCCATGTCTCTGCAAAGGACATGATCTTGTTCCTTATAATGGCTGCATAGTATTCCATGGTGTATATGTACCACATTTTCTTTATCCAGTCTATCATTGATGGGCATTTGGGTTGGTTCCATGACTGTGCTATTGTAAATAGAGCTGCAATCAACATACTTGAGCATGTGTCTTTAATGATTTATAATCCTTTAGGTATATACCCAGTAATGGGATTGCTGGGTCAAATGGTATTTCTGGTTTTAGATCCTTGAGGAATCGCCATACCGTCTTCCACAATGGTTGAACTAATTTACATTCCCACCAACAGTGTAAAGTGTTCCTACTTCTCCACAGCCTCGCCAGCATCTATTGTTTCATGACTTTTTAATAATCTCCATTTTGACTGGCGTGAGACAGTATCTCATTTTGGTTTTGATTTGCATTTCTCTAATAATCAGTGATGTTGAGTCTTTTCTCATGTTTCTTGGCCGCATAAATGTCTTCTTTTGAGAAGTGTCTGTTTATATCCTTTGCCCAATTTTGATGGGGTTGTTTTTTCCTTATAAATTTGTTTAAGTTCCTTGTAGATTCTGGATATTAGTCCTTTGTCAGATGAGTAGATTGCAAAAATTTTCTCCCATTCTGTAGGTTGCCTGTTCACTCTGGTGATAGTTTCTTTTGCTGTGCAGATGCTCTTTAGTTTAATTAGATCCCATTTGTCAATTTTGGCTTTTGTTGCAATTGCTTTTGACATTTTCATCATGAAGTCTTTGTCCATGCCTATGTCCTGAATGGTACTGCCTAGGTTTCCTTCTAGGGTTTTTATGGTTTTGGGTTTTACATTTAAGTCTTAATCTACCTTGAGTTAATTTTTGTATAAGGAGTAAGGAAGGGGTCTACTTTCAGTTTTCTGCATATGGCCAGCCAGTTTTCTCAGCACCATTTATTGAATAGGAGATCCTTTTCCCATTGCTTGTTTTTGTCAGATTAGTTGAAGATCAGATGGTTGTACATGTGTGGTGTTATATCTGGGGTCTCTGTTCTGTTACAGTGGTCTATATGTCTGTTTTGGTACCAGTACCATGCTGTTTTGGTTACTGTAGCCTTGTGGTAAAGTTTGAAGTCAGGTAGTGTGATGCCTCCAGCTTTGTTCTTTTTGCTTAGGACTGTCTTGGCTATACAGGGTGTTCTTTCATTCCATATGAAATTTAAAGTAGTCTTTTCTAATTCTGTGAAGAATGTCACTGGTAGTTTGATGGGAATAGCACTGAATCTATAAATCACTTTGGGTAGTATGGCCATTTTCACAATATTGATTCTTCCTATCCATGAGCATGGAATGTTTTTCCCTTTGTGTCTTCTCTTATTTCCTTGAGCAGTGGTTTGTAGTTCTCCTTCAAGAGGTCCTTCCCATCCCTTGTTAGCTGTATTCCAAGGTATTTATTCTTTTTGTAGCAATTGTGAATGGAAGTTCATTCATGATTTGGTTCTGTGCTTGTCTATTGTTGGTGTAAAGGAATGCTTGTGATTTCTGCACGTTGATTTTGTATGCTGAGACTTTGCTGAAGTTGCTTATCAGTTTAAGGAGTTTTTGGACTGAGACGATGGGGCTTTCTTCTTCTTTTTTTTTCTTTTTTTGAGACAGAGTCTTGCTCTGTCACCAGGCTGGAGTGCAGTGGCGTGATCTCAGCTCACTGCAACCTCTGCCTCCTGGGTTCAAGTGATTCTCCTGCCTCAGCCTCCTGAGTAGCTGGGACTACAAGCGCACACCACCATGCCCAGCTAATTTTTGTATTTTTAGTAGAGACGGGGTTTCACCATGTTGGCCAGGATGGTCTCCATCTCTTGACCTCGTGATCCACCCGCCTCGGCCTCCCAAAGTGTTGGGATTACAGGCGTGAGCCACTGTGCCTGGCGATGATGGGGTTTTCTAAATATAAAATCATATTGTCTGCAAACAGATACAATTTGACTTCCTCTCTTCCTATTTGAATACGCTTTATTTCTTTCTCTTGCCTGCTTGTCCTGGCCAGAACTTCCAATACTATATTGAATAGGAGTGGCGAGAGAGCGCATCCTTGTCTTGTGCTGGTTTTCAAAGGGAATGCTTCCAGTTTTTGCCCATTCAATATGATATTGGCTGTGGGTTTTATCATGAATAGCTATTATTCTGAGATACGTTCCATCAATACCTAGTTTATTGAGAATTTTTAACATGAAGAGATGTTGAATTTTATCAAAGGCCTTTTCTGTATCTATTGAGATAATCATGTGGTTTTTGTCTTTGGTTCTGTTTATGTGATGGATTACGTTTATTGATTTGTGAATGTTGAACCAGCCTTGCATCCTGGGTATGAAGCTGACTTGATCATGGCGGATAAGCTTTTTGATGTGCTGCTGGATTTGGTTTGCCAGTACTTTATTGAGGATTTTCGCATTGATGTTCATCAGGGATATTGGCTTGAAGTTTTCTTTTTTTCGTTGTGTCTCCTCCTGGTTTTGGTATCAGGATGATGCTGGCTTCATAAAATGAGTTAGGGAGGAATCCCTCTTTTTCTGTTGTTTGGAATAGTTTCAGAAGGAATGGTACCAGCTCCTCTTTGTACCTCTGGTAAAATTCGGCTGTGAATCAGTGTGGTCCTGGGCTTTTTTTTTGGTTGGCAGACTACTAATTACTGCCTCAATTTCAGAACTTCTTGTTGGTCTATTCAAGGATTCAACTTCTTCCTGGTTGAGTCTTGGGAGGATGTATGTGTCCAGGAATTTATCCATTTCTTCTAGATTTTCTAGTTTATTTGTGTAGAGGTGTTTATAGTATTCTCTCATGGTAGTTTGTATTTCTGTGGAGTCAGTGGTGATATCCCCTTTATCATTTTTTATTGTGTCGATTTGATTCTTCTCTCTTTTCTTATTAGTCTAGCTAGTGGTCTATTTTGTTAATTTTTTCAAAAAAAAACCAGCTCCTGGATTCATTGATTTTTTGCAGGGTTTTTCATGTCTCTATCTTCTTCAATTCTGCTCTGATCTTAGTCATTTCTTGTCTTCTGCTAGCTTTTGGATTACTTTGCGCTTGCCTCTCTAGCTCTTTTAATTGTGATGTTAAGGTGTCAATGTGACATCTTTCTAGCTTTCTGATGTGGGCATTTAGTGCTATAAATGTCCCTCTTAACACTGCTTTAGCTGTGTCCCAGAGATTCTAGCATGTTGTCTCTTTGTTCTCATTGGTTTCAAAGAACTTCTTGATTTCTGCCTTAATTTCATTATTACCCAGGAGTCAATCAGGAGCAGGTTATTCGATTTCCATGTAATTGTGTGGTTTTTAGTGAGTTTCTTAATCCTGAGTTCTAATTTGATTGCACTGTGGTCTGACAGACTGTTACAATTTCAGTTCTTCTGCATTTGCTGAGGAGCGTTTTACTTCCAACTATGTGGTCGATTTTAGAAAAAGTGCCATGTGGCACTGAAAAGAATGTATATTCTGTTGATTTGGGATGGAGAGTTCTGTAGATGTCTATAGGTCCACTTGATCCAGAGCTGAGTTCAAGTCCTGAATATCCTTGTTAACTTTCTATCTCATTGATCTAATATTGATAGTGGGGTGTTAAAGTCCCCCACTATTATTGTGTGGGAGTCTAAGTCTCTTTGTAGGTCTCTAAGAACTTGTTTTATGAATCTGGGTGCTCCTTTATTGGGTGCATATATATTTAGAATAGTTAGCTCTTCTTGTTAAATTGTTCCCTTTACCATTATGTAATGTCCTTGTCTTTTTTGATCTTTGTTGGTTTAAAGTCTGTTTTGTCAGAGACTAGGATTGCAACTCTGCTTGCTTTTTTTTTTTTTCTTCCCCATTTGCTTGGTTAATTTTCCTCCATCCCTTTATTTTGAGCCTATAACAATAATTTTTCTTTTTTCTTTTCTTTTCTTTCTTTTTTTTTTTTTTTTGAGACAGAGTTTTGCTCTTGTTGCCCAGGCTGGAGTGCAATGGCACAGTCTCGGTTCACTGCAACCTACCTCTCCCAGGTTCAAGTAATTCTCCTGCCTCAGCCTCCTGAGTAGCTGGGATTACAGTCATGTATCACCATGCCTGGCTCATTTTGTATTTTCAGTAGAGACGGGGTTTCTCCATGTTGGTCAGGCTGGTCTCAAACTCCTGACCTCAGGTGATCCACCTGCCTTGGCCTCCCAAAGTGCTGGGATTACAGGTGTGAGCCACCGTGCCCAGCCAACAGTAATTTTGCAAAGCTTAGTTTCTTCATCTATAAAATGAAAATGACAGTAATAGCACTGAATTCCTTGGGTTGTTTTCAGGATTAAATCAGAGAATGCATGTAAAATATAGCACAATGCCTGGCATATAGTAAGGGTTCAATAAAATCATTAATACTATTGTTATAGATTTTAATTGCAATTTTATGCCATTAAAGTCCACTTACTTCACTAGTCACACAAGTTCAGTTCACAAATCAAGTTCCATGTCATAATTTTAAAAAATTCTTTATACTCAGGGAAGAGTGTTCATAATTACAAAATATTTTGGAAAATTTATAGTCACGATAAAATTTATTAAAATTCTTAGAAAGGTAACTTTGTTATAAAAATCACAAATTACTAAAAGGAGATAATAATGTGATGAGAATTAGAAAGAATTTAAATATTATGCAATCTAAATTGCAATGTTGATAAAAAAAAAACTAAACATTCTTAATTGCTTATATGACCTGATATAGTCAAGGACATCATTAATGTAGAAGCCATATATAGCTGGTTACATGTTCATGCAAAGCCTATATATTTGCAGGTGAGAGAAAAGGAAATATATGACTTCAAAATGTTCATCTTTTCCCATTTTGAAACCTTTATGGGATACTGATGTTCTGGTTAAGCATATTCTATAATATAATCTAAATTTTAAAGACTTAATTCACAATGACGAAGAATTGCTTTTCTTTTAAATCAAGAGTTTTAAACAGAATCTCTTAGTTTAACCAAAGAAGACTAAAATATATATTTTCTAAACTATGCAATACAAAATCGTATTTAAAACCATGTTAAATTTACCTCTCTTCAGATATATCTAGACACTGATGATTATAACTATTTCTACCTTCAATAATGAATGTCCACACCTTAAATTTACAAATGTATATTCTTTTTATAAATGACAGGAATATGCCAGTCCAAGGGAAAACATAAAGCGTGTATTTCAAAATGACTAAAGTAGCTGCTCAAGTGTCTATGGAGTATGGGCAATCTTACTGATTAATTTTCTTTGCTGTCTTTTACTTTTGTCTACTTTAAAGCCCATTTAAGCATTCAATGGCTATTGATTAGCTAAAAAACAACACACCTCTAATTCAGTGGTTAAATAATTTACAATTTTCCCGCTGGAAACATTAAGAATATTGCTGAGAAGATGTGTTAAAAGACTGCAGTGAACAATGACAGAAATGTGCTGTGTGCATGTATTTATAAATCCCAGGGCCAACTCAACCACAACTTTTTGGCAAAAGAAAGATATCTGATAATTAAATATGTCAATCTGATGGTAATGCCACAGAGCAAAAACGCACACTCATTGGATCTGCTTAACAGTTATCTCAATTAAAAACTGAAGAAGGCATTTCTACGTGATGTTACCTTCAAAAATAGGTTTTCTGCATAATGTACATGGTCTCTGCCAATTCCATATGAACTCAAAAATCCTATAAACTGGAACAAATCTAAGCTGGAACAAATCAGATTTTCATGTAACAGCTTCAGTTCCAACTTAGGTTAGAAAGAAACTTTTCTCTTACTATAGCCTGGTCCTAAGTAGAAAGCAAGAAATGATACTGTTTGTTATTTCAGTAAACAAGAAAGGAATTGTGTTATCTAAGACTGGGCAGGAATAGGGGAGAGATCTTGAGGCGTCATTTTCTCTTATTAATTATTTCTTCTTAAGATGAGTCCCAAGGCCTAGCCGATCACTAGTTAAAGGGCAGCTAGGTGCCCTTTAGAAAGGTGAAAGAAGCAGGGTATGGGAAATCCCTTTATTTTATTTTTTATTTTTTTATTGAGACAGAGTCTCATTCTGTCACCCAGGCTGGAGTGCAGTGGCATAATCTCAGCTCACTGCAACCTCCACCTCCTGGGTTCAAGCAATTCTCCTGCCTCAGCTTCCCGAGTAGCTGGAATTACAGGTGTCCACCACTGCGCCTGGCTAATTTTTGTATTTTTAGTAGAGACGGGATTTCACTATGTTGGTCAGGCTGGTCTTGAACTCCTGACCTCAAGTGATCCATCCACCTCGGCTTCCCAAAGAGCTGGGATTACAGGCGTGAGCCACTGTGCCCGGCCTGGGAAATTCATTTTTAAACACATTTTTCTCTGCCACTTATCAGGGGGAGAAGAAAAGAGCAGTATTAAAGGTCAAAATATAATGTGGCTCTGGTCCTCCCATACAATGCATACCCCAAAAGCGGAATCTAAGAATGCTTTTTTTTTTTTTTTTTTTTTTTACAATAGTAAAGAAAATAGTTTAGAGCAATTAGAAATCTGAAAAGGATGACAGGTTAATTCAAAGTCTTTTTAAATGATTGAAAAAGCTTTGGTTAAAAGGAAACATTCTTCCTTAGCCTATGAAGTTACAATTGCATGGTTTAGTTGGAGGTTATAAAGCACAGTCCCATGTGTTACATTTTAAAGTTACACTAAATTATAAAGTACTTACCCTTAAACTCAAGCCTTTTCATGCCAGACTGTTGCTGTGAGCCCTGTATGAAACATGCTTAATAAGAGTATAATATATAGTTTTCTTAATAAGATGTGAATAATAATCATTAATATGAGATCCAAGAAAAGCCCTTAAGAAAGCCAGAAAAATCTTATTAAACTTAACTAACTTAAGAGCATGGAATACTGGAATGAAGTCTACAATCCTCAAGCCAAAACACTCACCAAACACTGATGTTGCTCAGTGAGAATTTTAAGCTTTGGGAGAAGGAGGTCAGGGGTAAAGAGGTTAAAAAAAAGCAATGCAATTTGGAGCCCAGTGTAGAGTTTCACCCTATGCATTAGGGAGAAACATTTTAACAATCAAACCATACTTCATAAATAAATCTTTATTAGGGATTGCTTTACAATGAAAAAAACCAACCAACCAAAACAAAATAAAGTTCTAGACTAATACCTAAAAAACAAAGATCCAGAATATATAACCTTACTAGTTCCTCATTATGTATAAGTGGAAACAAAGACAGTCATTAATCTGATTTCTTGCTAAACTTCTAAAGTGCTGAGGAGAAAATCCGTCACAGTAATATGCTCTGAGATCTGTCACCTTGTTCCTTCCTGTCCAGGGCTAGGGGACTCTTCCTCCATGAAGTACCCTTTCCTCACCCACAACACATACTCCATCCATCAAAGGGAAACTTTCAGTGTCAGGTCATGGAATTTGGGAAAACTGGAAGATTTCTGAGCAGAGGAGTGACATAATGAAAGCAGTGTTTTAGGAAAGAGGAGGTGGGCAGGCCTGAGTGACCACAGACACACAAATAGGGTCCGAAGGAATGTATCTACTAACTGTCCATCCTTGCTTCTTACTAGCACAACAAAATAGTGCTTGGAAACAGTAAATTGCTTACATTCCTGTAGAAAGCATTAGGCTTGAATCTCAAAGTATTTGGTAACTATTACAACCCTGTACCATTCAAATGGGGAAAACAAACTGATTTCACTGAACTAACTCAGCATATTCACATAGAATAAAGGTATCAAATTTGGCCTTGGAGTCTTTCATTGTATTCTGCTTTCAAGATTCAAAAAAATACAAATGAACAAAGAGAAGACAAAAGTCTTATTTAGGAACTGAGGGTTCATCCACCAGTTTTATAAGCTACTGACTCCTTTACAGTTACTTACACTAGATTGGTAAATGTCCTGAAGGTGGTCAGAGTTGAGCCAACAGAAAGGTTATTCCCCGACTGACTCTCCCTGGGGCACAGTCTCCTGGCCCCTCTCCATCTTCCCCTAAAGTATGGAATATCTCATGTAATTTATTAAATACGGTACTGAAAGTGAAAAACAGAAGGGTTGTATGGGTACTCACCATCAACATACACAGCTGAAAGCACACTGGGCCTGGGCCCAGGAAAAGATCAAAATTCAAAGTCGGAAGTACAATTTCTACCGAATGCATATTGCTTCTGCACCACTGTAATGGCAAAAAATCATAACTCAAACCCTAAGTTGCAGACTATCTGTATTTAATAAATGCTTCAGGCTGGGTGCTGTGGCTCACACCTGTAATTCCAACAATTTGGGAGGTCGAGGCAGGTAGATCACTTGAGGTCAGGAGTTTGAGACCAGCCTGGCCAACACGGTGAAATCCCGTCCTACTAAAATAAAAAAATTAGCTGGGCATGGTGGCATGCATCTGTAGTTCCAGCTACTCGAGAGGCTGAGGCAGGAGAATCACATGAACTCAGGAGGCAGAGGTTGCAGTGAGCCAAGATTGTGCCACTGCACTCTAGCCTGGGCGACAGAGCGAGACTGTTTCCAAAAAAAAAAAAGCTTTAAAATGATTACACAGCATTCAGAATTCATTTTATGGGAGCAATCTTCTTGGACTAACTAGAATGTATTGTGATGCCTTCTCTGGCCCTTCTCCAGACAAAGGGGATTGCTTGCATTCCCCAGCCCCCACACCCCACCCCACCACCACTTATTGCCATGTTCCTGGTGCCTCCAGGCCTCCTGTTCCTATATTTCAGGCAGTTGCACTCCTGTTCATTTATTTTATTTTATTTTATTTATTTTTAGATAAACAGGGTCTCACTATGTTGCCCAAGCTGGTCTTGAACTCCTGGGCTCAAGTGATCCTCCTGCCTCGGCCTCAAGTGCTGGGATGACAGGTGTGAGCCAGCCTGGCCCAGCCTTTTGTTCATTTTTGAAAAGCCCCTCCCCTCTCCTATGACACTTTCTCTTAGCTCTCCTATGATTCCATCTCCCTCTTTAGGACTCACATAACCCTCTAAACCCTGATTTTGGCATTCAGAGAGTTGGGTTATTTTTGCTGAAATCATCCTTCTCCTTCTAGACTATAAGTTGTTTGATGGCAGTGACCAATCTAACTTCATGAGGTTTTTGCTGTTGTTAAGTTTTGTTAACTTTTTACAGAAAAAGATGTATTTTGAGAATTTTTTTTGGCAATCATTCATTCATTCAACAAATATTTATTGAACTGTGAATGGGTCCCAGGCCTTAGGCTCTATTTCAAACTCCAAAATACCAAGTAATCAGTTGAATATCTGGTTTGTGTTTTAAAAAGACAATTTTGTAGTGTCAATTTTGCTGAAAAGAACACAGAATATTACAGCAATCAAAATTGTCCTTTAAATGTTAAGTTCTATAAATTCTTTTAAGTTACACCTAACAATCCATTTAAGTTTGAAAAGAAGATGCAATAGATCACAAGTGCCTTTTTCCTGGAATTAGACATGTAACTGATCCATAATAATTTTTTTTTAAAGTCTCACTGTTTCCCAAACATTTTACAACCTTTTGAATTTTTTTTTTAACCAAAAAGAAAAAAACCTAAAGCATTTCTTTTTTTCCCCTTTACTCTCCAGTATCTGCTAAATAACTAGCACGAATATGGAAAGGGGATAAAGAATATACTTGCTTCATTCTAAAATCTTATATTAATTAGTTTTATAAAATAAAGAAGGCATTGTTTTCTGACGTTCATTATTAAAGTAAAAGATGACCAAGCCTCATATTCTAAAATGTATTACAGAATGTACAATGTATTCCTTGAGGCATAGCACACTCTAAAATCTGTTCATTTATAATAAAAGAAGAACTCTCTCAAAGAAGTCTTTCTAAAAAATAGGCCTTCACTCTGTCTGACTGCCAAGCTGACTTACTTTGGCAAGCAAGCCTGGAACATTTTAAATTTTATAAACATTATCCCTTTTTAAAAAGTTAATTTGACTACTTTAAGGAATGTCAAAATAAATCCTGGTTTCAGTGAAATCAAAATTAAATCTTACCAGACTTCTTCTAAGATCAAATATCATAATCAGATTTATGTAATCAGTATAAAGTATAAAGGCTCTCAGTTTCGGGGGCTAAAGAGGCCTATTTATTCTTCACAACCCTTTTCCTCCTCCGGAAGGCAAATGAGTGACCATCTTTTCCTATAGGTTGATGGTGTGAGGTGTGTCATTTATAAATAAAAATGAAAAGGAACACATCATGTCTTTATTTAAACCAGGTTCAGTAATAGCTTCATTTCTAAAACAATACCAACAGGATTAAGCGCAGGCATGAAACAATAACAAAAACAACAACAAAACTTAAAAGAAAAGTGAAAGGAACAAAAATGGAGAACAGAAGGGAGATTAAAATTTGGTAACAGGCACTGTGTTAAGTGCAAAATAGCTACTGTTACTCCCATTTTACAGAGATGCTCTTACTACTTTATGTTGTACAATGAGGAAAGGATTGAGAAAAGAAAAATAAATTACAATGTAGCAACAATGATTGCTTCTAGAGACTAGCTATACTTCTCTATCCTGGAGAAAAACTGCATTTTTACATTTATATTTTAGATCTACTTACAAAAAGCCCGGCAACTATAAACTAAATAAGATGATAGTTTTTGACTCATAAATAAAGATATGCAGTGGCTTTTGTGGAATGTAATTGCGGCCTCTAGAAGATTCTGAAGGATATTGCCTACTTGTTACACAATTTTTGCTAATGTAGGACTTTTAGTCCTTCAGATTTTTTGTTTGTTTGTTTGTTTGTTTTGTTTTTAGACAGTCTCCCTCTGTCGCCAGGCTGGAGTGCAGTGGCGCGATCTCGGCTCACTGCAACCACCGCCCAGGTTCAAGCGATTCTCCGGCCTCAGCCTCCTGAGTAGCTGGGACTACAGGTGCGTGCCACCACACCCAGCTAATTTTTGTATTTTTAGTAGAGATGGGGTTTCACCATGTTGGCCAGGATGGTCTCAATCTCTTGACCTTGTGATCCGCCTGCCTCGGCCTCCCAAAGTGCTGGGATTACAGACTTGAGCCACTGCGCACAGCTGTCCTTCAGGTTTTTGAAGGGATTTTATTTTTGTCATTTCTTTGTTATTTAATAAACAAAACACAAGCAAATACTAAGTAGAATTATGTCAACAACAACAACAACAAAAAAGTATTCACTGTCAAATATTGCTGTTATTCTATATCATATAAGTTTCATTTGCTGCCATGGACATTGAAAAGGGATCTCAGTTGTTTTAACAGAGCCAAGAAAGGTAGTCCTGTTCAATAAAACTCTCTGCAATGATGGAAACGTTTTCCATCTGTGCTGTCCAATATGTAGCTACTAGCCACATGTGGCTACTGAGTACTGAAATTGTGAGCAGTGTAACCAAATAACCAAATTTTTAATTTTACTGGCTTTATTGAAAAGCCAATGGTTTATTGAAAAGCAAATGTCTAAAGAATGCAGTTTAGCTATTCCTTCTTGCAAAAGACACTTGTCCAGCAGTTCCAGAGAGTCAACAATTTATATAAAAAATAAAGAGAAATGATTGTTTCACTATTAGTAATCAATCTTTCAATGGTAAGAGCGGAAAAGAGGGGAATATGAATTTGTAAAACTGTATAGTCTAGTTCTCTTTTACTATTAAAACTTTATACATAAAAATTTATACATAAAAGTTTACACATAAAACTTGCCTGTGCCTCTGTAAAAGCACTGGTATTTAACTTCTGTGCTCCAGAGAATACAACAGCTATTCTGTAAATACTTACCGATCAAAGATGGCAATCTATCTATGGTCACCCTATGCTAAAATCTAAGTGTCTTGTCTTGTCCACTCTACTTCTACATCTTTGAAGTCAGGAACCAGACTTTGCAGTTTCCACCTGTCTCCAGCACCTAACACTTACTAAGTACTCATCAAGCACTTGCTAAATAAGTGAATAACTAACTCTGAATTTCTCCATTCATTGCTGCAACATCTTAGAGAAGCATTTGAATGGACTCTGGGTGATCTGAGTAAAGCAGAGACTGTGGGATCTGCGTCAATGATCAGGTTCATGCCACAATGTTGATGAAGTGTTCAAAGTGATTTCTGGCTCAAATTTTCTGACTAACAAAATAATACAATCACCAGGGCTAAGGAGAGGGGAAAGGATGTCATGGTACAGCACATGCCAATAAACAAGAATTCTGGTGGTAGAATTCTTGTCTTTTTAATATAACATGAGAATTCTCATTTCTTACTTTTTTTTTTTTGTTTTAAAAGAGGCCCCTTCATAGAAAATAACTAATGCCCTAAGGGGAAACAAAAAGAAAACCTCTGAGAAAAATGAGTCAGAAATTAGAAAATGAATAAAGAAATGAAAGGAAATGTAAGTTATAAAAATTATACAGTCATAACATATGGGGGTGGCAGGGACAATATTTAGTTAACTTTAAGAGGCTAAGCTAGTCCCAGGGTTCTACGGTTCCCTCTACGCCAAGCATTCTTAACTCTGTATAGCTCTAATTCCTCTAGTGAGTCACATGAAACATTCAAAATGGCCATCTGTCTATGAAATCACCTTAGGTAAATAAAAATGCATTTGGCAGGTACCCAAAAATATCACAGGTTCCCTATCATGATAATGAGTCTGTGGCATTGCCAAGTATCATTTATGGAGTCCTCTGTTACAATCAAGAATATTTCTTTGCAACACCGAATTAAAAGGTAAGTATAGTTTAGATTAGAACTCTAGTGTGCTATTTTTGGATGCAGAACTCCTTATTAATTTTGCAATAATACCACTACTCTTTCACTTTAATACGGCAATAAGAAGATCCCAAATGAATAACTCAAAACTTGCTTCAACCAGCACACGTGGAATGTGACTGGCTTTTGAGAGGTATTTTCCAGCTCTCTGGAGGATAAAGAACAGATCATCAAATGGACTGTTCAGGACGTAGATTGGGGACACCCACAATGACCCTCCGCTCCCACAATCTTGTTCTCTTTACCTTTCTCACATGGGTTTTTTTTTTTTGAGACGGAGTCTCGCTCTGTCCTCGAGGCCGGAGTGCAGTGGTGCGATCTCAGATCACTGCAAGCTCTGCCTCCCGGGTTCAGGCCATTCTCCTGCCTCAGCCTCCCGAGTAGCTGGGACTACAGGTGCCCACCACCACGCCCAGCTAATTTTTTGTATTTTTAGTAGAGAAGGGGTTTCACTGTGTTAGCCAGGACGGTCTCGATCTCCTGACCTCATGATCCGCCTGCCTCGGCTTCCCAAAGTACTGGGATTACAGCGTGAGCCACTGCGCCTGGCCCTTTCTTACATGTTTTAAGAAATATTTTAAAGCTTTGGTTTTTGAAAGCTTTCCC
The DNA here is from genome assembly GCF_000001405.40 of Homo sapiens. NCBI lineage: Eukaryota > Metazoa > Chordata > Mammalia > Primates > Hominidae > Homo > Homo sapiens. The sequence continues at coordinate 222,950,264 of NC_000001.11, read as the reverse complement.
TTCACAACTTTCCTCCACTTTCCATGTTTTGCCTCCTCGAGTCCCTTCATTCATTTCTAGTCATCTTTCAAGGGCCATTCATGTTCTGTTCTTCTCAGTCAGACTGTCCCTAACCTCAATAACCTACAGGGATCCTTCCAGGGGATCCTTCCCACCTCTCAACTCTTAGAGTTATTTATTGTTTCTACTGCAAAAGAAATATCTTCTTATTCTACTTATTTTATTTTTAATTCCCCAGGTGACTCCAAAGATGATCAGCTAGGTTTAGGACTTGTTGGTATAAGTCTTGCCTCATGGTGAGGAGAGACTATTTTCAGCCTTTTAAAATTCCTTATTGTGGCTGGGCGCTGTGGCTCATGCCTGTAATCCCAGCACTTTGGGAGGCTGAGGCAGGCGGATCACTTGAGGCCAGGAGTTCAAGACCAGCCTGGTCAACATGGTGAAACCCCATCTCTACTAAAAGTACAAAAATTAGCTGGGCGTGGTGGTGTGCGCCTGTAATCCCAACTGCTCAGGAGGCTGAGGCAGAAGAATCCGTTGAACCCAGGAGGTGGAGGTTGCAGTGAGCTGAGATCGTGCCACTGCACTCCAGCCTGGGCGATGGAGCAAGACTCTGTCTCAAAAAGAAACAAATAAATAAAATAAGATAAAATAAAATTCCTTATTGTTCTCAATTAGACATGTTAATTAAGGGCTGAATAATGTATATGAGGACAGGAATCTACAAATATAAAAGCCTGAAGCTTTAAAATGAAATCTAAAGCTTTAAAATAAAATCGATTTAAGCTACTTAATATTTGGCAATAATTAAAATAGACATATTAAATGTGATCCTTGCAATAATCTTTATTTTAATTTTATGTATTTTTTTTTTTGAGAGTCTCCCTCTGTCGCTCAGGCTGGAGTGCAGTGGTACGATCCTGGCTTACTGCAACCTCCACCTCTCGGATTCAAGTAATTCTCCTGCCTCAGCCTCCCAAGTAGCTGGGACTACAGGTGCGCACCACCACACCAGGCTAATTTTTGTAGTTTAGCAGAGACAGGGTTTCGCCATTGCTGGCCAGGCTGGTCTCGAACTCCTGACCTCAAGTGATTGGCCTGCCACAGCCTCCCAAAGTTCTGGGATTACAAGCTCAAGCCACCACGCCTGGCCTTAATTTTATTAATCGGAACACTAAAAAGGAATTTTTTTTTAAAAAAAACACACAGATGGTTGATATAATGAATCTTTTAGAAAGATTTATTAAAGCTTAAAGAATCAAGAGGGGATGAAAGAGAGTCTACTATACAAAAGGTGGTAAGTAGCAAATGGCCTACGTTAAAATTATATTTTCTATCTGATTGATTCTTTAAAACATTCTCTATGGCTTAAGTGCTTTATAAACAAATAAAAACTTTAGAAAACACTTTCAAATACAAACAGGTGGGCCCATTTGTGGTATAGGTGCAAATAACAATAAAAATTGATAGCACTTAGGATCTTCCATCACCATACAATTTTACTCTAAGGCGGTCAATGTTTAACACATCCTTTAAAGTAATGTGAAGTCATAAATACACCTTAAACATTAATTGAATAACATTTCATTAAGTACTTACTTGACCTTATCAATTTAAAAAGAACTTAAAAATTACATAGCAATAAACCACAATAAAGAAAACTAAAAAGACTTGAAGTTCCTGGTCGAGATCAACCTCTAGAACCTTTGTTACAGTAAGTTCCTGAAAGAGTTGCGTAGAATAATCAAAGGCAGTAAAGCATGGTACAACATCCTCATTTTCAGAATTCCTTACCAAGGACATCCTGTGCAGACTTTCCCAAACTGCCCTGTTCTCCCATACATAGATAGCAGCTCTATCGAAGAGCACATTTGCTTCTGTGGATATTTTATTGGTTGGGTAAAGGACGAGATAGCATCTCACTCAGTGCCTTGCCCATAGCACAATTCTGCAAATATAATACCTGCTGGCCTGAGTCAAAGTGCTTCAGTGTTCATTCTAAGATAACCCCCACCAGTATTGCCCTCAGTGCATTGTCATGTATTACTCAGCAACCTCATTCTTTCAAATAAGCTCAAGGGACATCACACTTTCACTGTTACTGTTACTCTGTAGTCCTCTCTGGAAGCTCAATGTCTCAGCTCTGTTTACTTAGTTCCCTTCTTCTGTCTTCCCCATTTTAGTGAATGGCATTACCATCTACCCAACCAGTTGCTCAAGCCAGGAAACTGAAAATCAGTTGTGATTCTTACTCCCTTTGCCCCTCCGATATCCAATCATCCACCAAATCTAGTAGATTCCACCTCCTAAATCTCTCTAGAATGAATTTATTTCTAAATCATGGTTCAAGTTATCACATTTCTCACTTGAACTACTGCAACAAGCCTTATAGTGTTCTTCCTATCTACAACGGTCCTGACCCAATTCAATCTACTCTCCACAATGCAAACGATGAAATTTCCTAAAATGTTTCTTACTGTGTTTTTTTTTTCTGCTTTAAAATTTATAATCTCACATCAATTAGGATGCCTACTCTTAAAAAAGAAAAAACAGATAAAATAACAAGTGTCGGCAAGGATCTGGAAACACTGGAACTTTTTGCACTGCTGGTGTAAAATGGTGCAGCCACTATGGAAAACGGTTCCTCAAAAAGCTAAAAACAGAATTACCATATGCTCCAGTAATTCCACTTCTGGTCTGAGCATATACCCAAAAGAACTGAAAGCAGGGACTTGAACAGAACCCAAGCTCATAGCAGCATTATTCACAATAGCCATGATACCTGAAAGATCGAAGTGTCCATCAATGAACTGATAAAATGTATTGTGTAATTGATAAAATGATAAAATGTAACTGATAAAATGATAAAATATAATATATAAATATACAATGGAATATTATTCAGCCTTAAAAAGAAAGGAAATTATGACACATGCTACAACATGAATGACCCTTGAAGACATTATGTGGAGTGAAATAAGCCAGACAAAAAAAAGGCAAATACTATAGGATTCAACTTATTTGAGGTATCTAGAGAAGTCAAATTCATGGAGACAAAAAGTAGAATAGTGGTTTCCAGGGGCAGGCAGAGTTATAATTTAGTGAGTATGGAGTTTCAGTTTGGGAAGATGAAATAGTTCTGGACAAAGGTAGTAGTGATGGGTGCACAACAAGGTGAATGTACTTAATGTCACTAAACTGTATACTTAAAAATGGTTAAAATATTAAGTTTTATGTTATGTATATTTCACCACAATAAAAAAAATCACAAACACACACAAATCTATAATGAGTCCTCATTAGCCTCAGGATGAAATCTAGAGATTGCCTTAATGTGGTTCACAATACCCTTCAGGATTTAGTCCTAGTATACCTCTCCTCTTGCTACCACTCTCTCTTCCACTAGGGTCCAGCCATATTGACCTATGCTGGAGCTGAGCTCACACCACCTTGTAAAAGTATTTGCACAAACTGTTCCCTCTGCCTAAAAGACAAGCCTCTTCAATTCTCTCTCCATCTGTAACTTTTCTTCATCTTTAGCCCTGTGTATTCCTTCTTGATAGTACTTACCACAATACTGTACCTGCCTATTTGCTTTACTGGCTCCCTTCCTACTAGTTTATAGCTGTATGAAGGCAAAAGAATGTCTCAACTTGTTTGGAATTATATCCTCGGTGCCTGGCACATATAAGAATTCAGTAAACATTGTGGATTATATAAGTAAATGTAGAAAATAGCAAAGTAATCATTGAGGCACAATAAAGTATGTAACATACACAAATGGACACATACCATTCCTCTGCAGGCATCTTTAAAATATTTTATGTCTGTTACAAACAGATAACCAAAAGGCTCAAATTCTTTTTTTTTTTTTTTTTTTTGAGATGGAGTCTCACTTTGTCGCCCAGGCTGGAGTGCAGTGGCGTGATCTCAGCTCACTGCAAGCTTCGCCTCCTGGGTTCACGCCATTCTCCTGTCTCAGCCTCCCAAGTAGCTGGGACTACAGGCGCCCGCCACCATGCCCGGCTAATTTTTTTTTTTTTTTTTGTATTTTTAGTAGAGACGGGATTTCACTGTGTTAGCTAGGATGGTCTCGACCTCCTGACCTCGCGATCTGCCTGCCTCCGCCTCCCAAAGTGCTGGGATTACAGGCATGAGCCACCACGCCCGGCCAAGGCTCAAATTCTTGAGATAAAATTCTAAATATAAAAAATTTCCTTCATACTAATCTACTTTCTTCTACAAATTTTTTTGATGGACAATTGTGGCAATTTTAAAGTTAATGTTTTTCAAATTAAGTATGAGTGTTTTTATTTCTCTCATAACTTTTAAAATGTAAACATTATATAGTTCAGCCACTGCCTTTACTTCCAAGCAACTTCTCCATGGGTGTCAATTCCCTTTTAAATAAAATACTATTTTTCCAGAAGGCAGTTAGCTTTTCATCATTCTTTCTCTTTAGATAACATACAAAGACAAATCCTATACGGACAAGTCTATGGACCCAGTGCTCATACACAGTCTCAAGTCAGTCCACCATGATTGCAAAAGCCCCAGTTCCAACAATGACCCCACAACCAAGGGTAGTGATGAGCTCAGCCACCTGCCTATCAGTTCGTTTTTTTAATGCCATTCTATTTCAAGTGTACACAGGGATCTCACTGCTTTTGAATTAGGTCAGTGAGAAATGCTAAGTCAAAATCCTGAAAATCTTGGCACAACCTTCCATACTGAAAGAATTGGTTATTTGTTCACCAGTTTTATGTTGTAATTTTTTAAGAGGAGGTATCAGCTTCAAAATGCAGAAATATCTATCTTATTTCATACTTTGCAACCATATAATTTATTATTTGAAACATCAATATTTATGATAATTTAATAATCAACTGTTCACACAGTTTGATTCAAAATGGAAAGAGTCTAAAACTAGCCATGTAGCACAATGTGGTCAGGACAAATCTTCTAAGAAATGGCTTTGGTAAATGTGGTGAACTTCTTATCATAGCCTATAATTAAACGACTCTCAAAGCCAGTCTGGAAAATGTATTCAGAAACTGCAGTAACATGCTGTGAAGGACTCTCCTCTTTCCCCCTCCTCACTCTTTCTTTCTGCTTTATTACCACGTTTCCCTTCCTCTCTTTAAAAAGAGTGTAACCAGATAATCTCAACAATGTTCAAAACCTGATAAAGGTGAAAAGTATTTATCACTTAATCCCTTTTTGGATCTGACTTTTTTCCCTTTTTTTTTTGTAGATACAGAGTTTTGCTATGTTGCCCAGGCTGGCATTGAAGTCCTGGGCTCAAGCAATCCTTCCACCTCAACCTCCCGAAGTGTTGGGATTCTGTAATCCCCGCAGCCATGAGCTGCAGCACCCAGCCCTGACTCTTTAATCAGAAGTGAATTTGTTACATGCATACAGTGGATTACTACTCAGCAATAAATGGAAAAACAAATACATACAATAACTAGAAGAAACTCAAAAATATTATGCTGAGCAAAGATTGCCAAACACGAAAGAGTGCATACTGTATGATTCCACTTATCTGAAGTTCTAGGAGTAGGCAAAACAAATCTATAGTAATAGAACTCAGCAGTGATTGCTTCTGGTGAAGACAGAGGGAATAACTGAGAAAGGGCATGAAGGAACTTACCTTCTGGGGTGACAGAAATGTTCTACATCAGACCAAAATATGGGTTACACTTTTGTATACGTTTGTCAACACTGATCGAACTGAATAATTAATCTGTACATTTCCCTGTATATAAATTATACCCTAATTTTAAAGAGAATGCTCTTTTTCTAGTTAAACTTTTTATTACTTAAAAATGTGAACTAATACTAGGTCTCTAGAAAGTACTTAGTATTTTGTAAAATATATTACCATTGCTAACCTATACTGAATGCAACTTAACTTACCCATGGAAAAAATAGCTGAAAATCATACATATGAGAAACTATGGACTGAGGTGGAAATAAGCACTGGCAATGATATTGATTTTTCTAGTACTTTTCAAGGTACCAGATCTAAAAATGCTTTACAAAAAATATTTTTAAAAGTCCCGTGCTACAATTCACAGGTTTTATCTGCTATGAAGGGAATTGCTACTTTCATTTGATCTCAGCATACCACATAGTCACCAAAACACAGGAATAGAAATGTTGAGTACAGCCATAAGGCAGCATGAGGAGGCAAGGTGTTTTTTTGTTGTTGTTGTTGTTTCTTTTTTCTTGGAGACTGAGTTTCACTCTTGTTGCCCAGGCTGGAGTGCAATGGTGTGATCTCGGCTCACCACAACCTCCACCTCCCAGGTTCACGCGATTCTCCTGCCTCAACCTCCTGAGTAGCTGGGATTATAGGCATGCACCACCACGCCCAGCTAATTTTTTGTATTTTTAGTAGAGACGGGGTTTGTCCATGTTCGTCAGGCTGGTCTCAAACTCCCAATCTCAAGTGATCCGCCTGCCTCGGCCTCCCAAAGTGCTGGGATTACAGGCATGAGCCACCGCATCTGGCCGGCAAGGGGTTTTTTACTTCTTTTTCATAAATGTTCACCACTATCAATAACAGCAAATAAATGACTGCTGTTTAGTCTCATCATAAATATGCTTCCCATGTACAATAACAGAAATTGCTAACAATAAAACTTTTTGTTGAATTTTATAACTCAAGGTCTAGCAGATATTCCTAACCAGTTTGCAGACAGGGAAAGGGGAAGGGAGGATTTGACTAACAAGTCAGTGGATAAAATCGATATACAGTATTATTTTATTTGCGTTTTTGTTGGCTTCACACAATCCACAGAATATGCGTTTTCATGTTTTCTTTCTGTGCCTCATTTTTCTCCTCTCCTTTCAGGAAAATAAACACAAGCTGTCATGTTCACGTGGCATTAGTTGAATGCTAAAAGCAAAACTTTCGGATCACTTACCTTATGTTGGCTATGTGCTGTTGCACAGGCTGATGCTGAAAATGGTCAGGCCACGGATGATGCAGGCAGAAGGATGGAGAGGGCTGAAGACAGCACGTAGTCTGATACACAGGTGAATGATTTGGACAAAGAGATGCAGAATACTCGGAGTGTGGCTGCATGCAACACGAGGCCAAAGCAGAGGGTGCTGCAGGGCCAGCCTCGGGATGGCACTCTTGGTGACTGCTATGGCTAGTCAAAGGGTGATGGTATGGGCAAGGATGGCAGCATTGGGGTAACATCTGAGGCATTCTTTGGTTGTCTAAAGGCAGAAAGGATGATTTGACCGTGCCATTAAGTTGCAGGCATCCATTTGGACTCACTTTTGTTCTTGTTGCTTCTTTGGGTGTGAGCTGCTGGGCTGCATGGTCTCCATCACAGGGGGTGAGGGGACTCGGGTTAGCAGCACTGGTTGCGATGCTGCTGTTGCTCAGAACCACAAAATCATTGTTTCCATTGCTCATAGCCATGCTCCAATTTCTTGACTCTAAGTAAGAAAATCATAAAATCGCCCAGTTACAGTCAGGCAGGCAAATATGTAGGAAAGACAAGTATGATATTTAAAAACAGCTCATTGAAAATGAGGGTTCTTGCAGAGTTGTGAGACAGTGGTAGAAATTCCGCAGCATCTGTGATGGAACCAGCCAACACAGTGGCACTCCTCTTCTTTCCTCCAGCTATTTTAGGCACCTTAAAAACCCTCTTCTATTCCCATTGATCACTTTTCTCCTGCCCACCTCTCCTTTCAGTGCCCTTCTTCTCACCCCATCCTAGATGCACAAGTAATCAGTTAAGAACTAGACCATTTTGCATGAGAGGAGAGGATACAAATAGCATCCTTTAGCTTTTCAACAATATCATGGTTGGCTTATATGTTCTGATTTAGGAGTGACGGGCAAAATGAAGGGCCACTCTGAGGGTAATTCATTGTACAAGGTTAAAATAATTTGAATAATCTTAAGAATGTTTTGTATCTTAGAAAAATCTCAAGAATATATGATTTTTCCCCTTAGTCATTCAAGTCTGAGAATAATAAATTAAAACCAGTCAGGAAAGCTAAGAATTCTAGCAACCAAAATATCAGATGCAAAATTCTATATAATATACTACAGGTGACATTGCCTGCACATGAGAAAAATAATACTATGGGTGGGATTTGCTTCAAATGAGTTTTTTTTCTTACTTTTTTTTTTCCTTCCACCAAAAGGTTCAGGGCTTCAATATAAAGGAAGATCCTTAGATGCTCAAATTACCAGCAGCAAGTGTGTCCAATCAACAAACAAAAAAACAGACAATCTCCCTATCCCTTTGCTCACTGCACTACCCTCTGAGCAACATACACACAAAATCCGGGAATTCACAGTAAAAAAAAAAAAAAGGGTCATCAAATGCTATTAGTCTATTCAACATATACATAAAAGCCAACAACAACAACAAAAAGAAAACTGTAATTTAGCTCGCTAACCCTTCTAGCATGCCATTCTCTAAGTAGACAAAACGGCTTGTGCAGGAATCTCTTTCTAGTCCTTCCCCACCTCTGGCAGACACACAGGTAATCAGAAGAAATCATCTTTTTCAGTCTGAGTACATAGTAATCTCACTGGCAAACCTGGATCCCCCATGAGGATTCCTATGTACATTTTCACCCAGTATGTAAACTGCTCAGCAGAGGCATTTGTGAGCAGAGCATGCCCATACTAGGATGTAAATTTAGCATATTTACCTTTCAGACAAAATTCCTCAAACACACCCTACCCCACATACACAAATTCAGTTAAATAAACATCATGCAATAGGAATTTCTTAATAAATTGCTTAGTGGGAAGACAAAGCATTTAAAAACATCAAAATATATATAAAATCAAGTAGATGTTACTTCCCTCATTAGTCTTACATCACTTTTGAAAATGGCTTGCCAATCCCAAACTTCCTTTTACAATGACCATTGAGAGGGATTCTGAACTGTAGTAAATACAGTTGCTCTCTCCTTCATTAAATCACTTTCCAATGTTCCCAGTGTTAAACAAACATCCACTGTAAAACATTCAAAGAATATACCCAACACAGAGTAATAGTAGTTAATGTATTATCTAAACTAGCAGGAGGTAGGGTAGATATACTGACCGGCAAGAGCACTAATGTGATCCAGGAGGCAAGAACTAATCTCATCATTTTCTAAATGTGCCATCTCAGCAAGATCTGCTCATTTATGCTTCAGTTTACTGAAGAATATAACCTCCCTTTTGTTGTTAACAAAAGAAAAAGCCATATGCAAAGGTTATGAAAATAACAAAACATAAAGGACATTTAAAGAAGCACTGGACGTTTTTTAAAAAAGCTAATTGAAATTTAAGATGTTTAATTGTGTCTTAGATAATGTAGGAAACAATCACTAGATGAGATCAATGTAATTATTTCCCAGAATTAGAAACTCTCATTGTACGAGCACTCCATTCAAAGAAATCACTGCAGGCACACGCTTTTCTCCAACCTCCACCTGTACCTCAGTTAAACTATCACAGCTGATGGGAATCTGCTGGGCTAAATGGGAAAGTCAACTCCTCCTGCCCTTTCCATCAGGAGGGCTGAAGGAAAGAATACTTCTAATTTGTTAGTTTGTTTTTACCATCCCAGGTTGGTTAATGTATCATCTCAAATAGTCTACTTTTTCCTAGGTATTTAATTCAATCAATTCTACTGATTCTAATCACAGATGCTGGGTAAGTCATGCCAGTGAGAAGCATCTAATAACAACAAATGACTTAAAAGTTTCAAAGTGAAACTGGCTGATAGGGTTTGGATCTGTGTCCTGCCCAAATCTCATGTCGAACTGTAATCCTCAGTGTTGGAGGTGGGGCGTGGTGGGAGGTGATTGGATTATGGGGCTAGATTTCCCTCTTTGTGCTGTTCTCATGATAGTGAGTGGGTTCTCCTGAGATCTGGTTGTTTAAAAGCATGTGACACATGTCCCCGGCCAACTTTCTCCTTCTCTGGCCAGCTTCCCCTTTACCTTCTGCCATGATTGTGAATTTCCTAAGGCCTCGCCAGAAGCTGAGCTGGTGCTGCCATATTTCCTGTACAGCCTGCAGAATCGTGAGCCAATGAAACCTCTTTTCTTTATAAATTACCCAGTCTCAGGTTATTTTTTTTTCTTTTCTTTTTTTTTTTGAGATGGAGTCTTGCTCTGTCACCCAGGCTGGAGTGCAGTGGCGCGATCTCGGCTCACTGTAAGCTCCACCTCCCAGGTTCATGCCATTCTCCTGCCTCAGCTTCCCAAGTAGCTGGGACTACAGGCGCCCACCACCACGCCTGGCTAATTTTTCATATTTTTTAGTAGAGACGGGATCTCACCGTGTTAGCCAGGATGGTCTCGATCTCCTGACCTCGTGATCCGCCCGCCTCAGCCTCCCAAAGTGCTGGGATTACAGGCGTGAGCCACTGCGCCCGGCCTTTTTTTTTTTTTGACAGGATCTCCATCTGTTGCCCAGGGTGTAGTGAAGTGGTGTAATCTTGGCTTACTCACTGCAACCTCCACATCCTGGGTTCAAGTATTCTCCCACCTCAGCCTCCTGAGTAGCAGGGATCACAGGTGTGTGCCACCACACCCAGCTAATTTTTGTATTTTTTGGTAGAGACAGGGTTTCACCATGTTGGCCAGGCTGGTCTCGAACTCCTGACCTCAGGTGATCTGCCCACCTCGACCTCCCAAAGTGCTGGGATTAGGATTACAGGCGTGAGCCACTGTGCCCAGCCCAGGTATTTCTTTATGGTAGTGCAAGAACTGAATACATTGGGCTTCAGACAGAATCCCATCAACCTCTAACTCCCTTCAAAGAACCCTGAAATCCCCTCTAGACCCTCCTCAATCTTCATGTTTTCCTATCTTCTAATTAAATCTGCTTATCCTCAGTAAAAAAAAAAAAAAAAAAAAAAAAAAATTATTTTTCTTCATAATCAGAATCACAACTATCATTCTCTTTTAAATTTATTACAAATGTATCGTTTTGTAGTTACACAAGAGTTAAATAGATTCTTATATGCCAGCTGGGGACCTAATCATCACTTATAACATGTTTTTTCCACATGGTAAAATGCAGTTCAAATGCCAAATAACTGACTTACAAATGAATTTTTGGAACACAACCTATTTTGTAACTTGGGAGACTTCTTGTAATGAAGTAGGAACTAGTAAAGAATAATTTGAACTCTGACTTTGGCTTGTATTTGAAGCAAGTCACATGAGTGTTCTCTGATTCCATTTCTTTAATTATAACATGGGACCAATCAATTTGACCTCATAAGTATGTAAAAAGTACAGGTAAAAAAATTTAGAAGCAAAAACAGAAAAAATATTTTATGAACTGTCTATAGATTATTTAAGTTCAATGGATGCATTTGGGTAGGTGTTCAGGTGACCAGCCAGAATAGGAAAGTATTTCACTCTGAGATCAGGAGTTAACCCTAAGGCCCATACAGAGAAAGATCATCCCTTCCCCCTCTTCATCCCGTCCTTCCTTCCTTCCTTCCTTCCTTTTTTTTTTTTTTTTTTTTTTTTTTTTTAAAGACAGGGTCTTGCTCTGTCACCCAGGCTTGAGTGCACTGGTGCGATCATGGCTTCCTGCAGCCTAGACCTCCCAGGCCCAAGCAATCCTCCTGCCTCAGCCTCCTATGTAGCTGGGACCATAGGCATGTACCATCATGTCATGCTAATTTTTAATTTTTTTGTAGAGGTGGGTTCTCCTATGTTGCCCAGTCTGGTCTCAAATCCCAGAGCTCAAGCGATCCTCCTGCCTCAGCCTCCCAAAGTGCTAGGATTACAGGATGAGCCACCATGCCCAGCCTCCTTTTTCTTTAGAACTGAGATAAATGAGGAAAAAATCCAGTCTGAGCCTAAGACGGAGGGAACTAACAGGAAAGAAGAATAAGATAGAGGAAGTATAAGTATAATAGGAGTGGAATAAGGAGTTCCTGAGAGTCTTAATACCCTTACATTTGTCAAACTATTGTGATAAGTGTAATGGTATATGATTATGAATGCAGTGATAGTAATATTTATAGTGAAAGTTTAAAATCGGTTTTGGGTAAAATATAATGAGTAACTTTAAAAGACAGCTATGTTGAGACTGGGCACAGTGGCTCATGCCTGTAATCCCAGCACTTTGGGAGGCTGAGGCAGGAAGACTGCTAGGGCTCAGGAGTTTGAGACAAGCCTGAAAATATAGTGAGACCTTGTCTCTAAAAACAATTTAAAAGTTAGCTGAGCATGGTGTTGTTTGCTTGTAGTCCCAGCTACTCAGGAGGCTGAAATGGGAGGATCACTTGAGCCCAAGAGACGGAGGTTGTGGTGAGCTTGAGACACACCACTGCATTCCAGCCTGGGTGGTAGAACGAGACCCTGTCTCAAAACAAAACAAAACAAAACAGCTATTGTTGAAATCACCTGTTCTCCCAGGGCCATAAAACACAGGGGAATGCAAAAAAAAAAAAAAAAAAAAAAGGCAAGCTATTATTGAAGCATTGGCTTGAGATGTGATGTGCCCACACCAAGATATTTTAATGCATTTCCTGCTGTTCATGAATATAACATGCCAATATCAACAAATTCAAGCTTCTAATCTCATATCCCCTATTTTACATTTTTAGCCAGCATTTTAATGTCCAGAATGATTTAGCAATTTTGGGGCTACAAGGTCTTTGGCCAAAAACCATCTTTCGATTAAATTTTAAAATATACATTTCATAGGATTACTATGAGAATGTAAAAATGTTTTGAAAACCAGAATGGGCTATATAACACGAGAGTGTTAATACCCTTGTATATATAACACTATGTATGTATACATATATGAATACTCTTGTATAATACATAACGCAAGTAAATTAATATATTGAAGTATAGAGAGGGGCAGGGCGCAGTGGCTCACGCCTGTAATCCCAGCACTTTGGGAGGCTGAGGCGGGTGGATCACGAGGTCAGGAGATCGAGACCATCCTGGCTAACACGGTGAAACCTCGTCTCTACTAAAAATACAAAGAAATTAGCCGAGCGTGGTGGCGGGTGCCTGTAGTCCGAGCGACTCAGGAGGCTGAGGCAGGAGAATGGCGTGAACCCAGGAGGCGGACCTTGCAGTGAGCCGAGATCACGCCACTGCACTCCAGCCTGGGCGACAGAGCAAGACTCCGTCTCAAAATATATATATATAAACTGTAATATATTAAATAATATATTATATATTGCATATTATATATAATATATTATATAATATGTAATATATAATATATAATATTCTATATTATATAATATTATATATATTATAAAATATTATTTATAAATAATATAATATGTAATATATAATATATATTACATATTATATAATATATAATATATTATATATAAATAATATATTATATATATCATATATATGATATATAAATTATATATCATATATATGATATATATAATTTATATATATTATATATAATTTATATATATAATATATTATATATATTATATATGATATATATAATTTTTATATATCATATATATGATATATAATTTTTATATATCATATATATGATATATAATATATATGATATATATCATATATTTTATATATTATATATACCTCATATATATGAGAGATATATATATCTCATATATATGAGAGATATATATATCTCATATATATGAGAGATATATATCTCTCATATATATGATATATATTATATATAAATCTCATATATATATATATAGAGAGAGAGAGAGACATTTCCATCATACTGAAATGTAAAGAGAAAAGTGTCATCAGAGTTCATATGATTAGATGGTTCAAAATAATGACATCCAACTCCTGTTTGGAACTCAGGAAATATACAACTATAAAATAAATGGAAAAATAATGCTTCAGACAAAAAGTTGCATCACATTGAAAATGCTATCAGGATTATGATAATTTCATTTGTCAAGAGACAATCACATATCACCTAAGGACGGGGATATGTCCAGAGACATGCATCATCGGGTGATTTCACCATTGTGTGGTCATCACAGTGTACTTACATAAACCTAGATGCTGTAGCCACAGCTAGGCTATATGGCATGGTCTATTGCTCCTAGGCTACAAACCTATACAGCATGTTACTGTACTAAATACTGTAGACAACTGTAATGCAGGTATTTGTCTACCACACATATCTAAACATGAATAATAAAAAATAATGATAAACACATCTAAACATAAAAAAGGTAAGGTGTTGCATTCCAGTGTCACCATGGCTAGGCCATAGGAATTTTTCATCTCCATTATAATCTTATGGGACCAACATGGTATATGTGGTCTGTCACTGACCAAAATGTCTTTATGTGGCACATGACTGTATCATACACCAAAATTAATGACACACAATTTGTACAAAGGATGCAATCAAACTAGATGGCTCCCAGAATACAAATAGCGTTAAGAAAACCTCAGCAGCTACTTGGAATTGGCGGTCAGAACTGCTAGTGTGGCCAGAAAACTGCCAAGGTAAAATCTAAATGTACTGTTGAAGAGAATACACAGACCTGTCCCAATTACCACAGTAACCACTTAGCAAAGCCTCACTATCCGTAACAAACACAGGGCTCATATAGCCTGAAGGAACACCATTTTCATCCCCATCAACTGTTAAAATTGTACACCTCTTGGCTATTTCCAAAGCACTTTCTCACAAATGATCTCACTTGAGTTGATCCTCCTAATAGCCCTCTGGAAAAACAGGGGTGGCAGGCATTACCACTCCATTTTGCTAGGAGAAAACAACATAGAGATTCTAAGTAAGGTGCTCAAAGTCACATACTGATGACAAATGGTGAAGCTAGGAAGCATGATGCCAAGGTCTTGAGAGCTTTCTGATAAACTGTATTCTGTACACTCAGATGATGTATTTTAGAATAACTCTTTGCTTCACCAGATTCCTAATACCAAACTTAAGAATAAATGGCAAGACTGGATCACCAACAAGATCCCTTGTTGTAGCCAACCACCTTTTTCAGAAGAGTCATGCTCCCTAGAGCAGTTTCAGTAGGTAAATACAAAACACTAAACCAGTGCTTCCAAATACAAGGATCACCTAGAGATGCAGTTAGAATAAAGATTTGATACAGTACATCAGGGGTGGAGCAACAAGCCTCCAACAACATGTCCATACTGCTGATACCTAGAACACATTTTGCGTAGCAAGAGAAAACCACAAACTAGGTGGGGAGACTACAAGAGAATTATGCCTCAGTTATGGCAAGATATGCACAATTAAAGCAGAATGAAGAAAAATAAGTAGGGAAATGATAACAGTTGACAGAAATAAAGGCCCATTTTTCTTTTTAAGGCAAAGAAATGTAACACATTTAACAACAGAGGTTCTAATTGATAATCAAGTTTAATTATGGCTTGTATCATGACTCCCAAACTGTTTTTTGTGCATGCAAATAACAGCTGTTAAGATTTTGATCTTTTTAGTGCAACTCATATAAATGGACTGAAGCACCCTGCCTAGTTAACTGAGATACATTTGTTTCCCTCTCAAGTGGCACTAGGTATTAAAAGATGGGTATATAAAGAGACCTTAAGTCTTTCTTCACATCAGGTATCTTTCTTCACATCAGGTATAAAGGCAGTCTGGGGATACCTGTATCCATTATTTACCAAACTTGTTTTAATATGAAATGGTTCCTCCACAGTTGCTTCCTGCTTATCCTAAAATGATGGACTAATTTCTGATTACTGGTACCTCGTTGGCCTGCTAATATTTAGTGTTATGGCCAGAGAAATAAATGGCTGCTCTAAATGCCAACAGAAATTGATAAAGAACTATAGTGGGGCTACGCAGAAGCCAAATCAGGCAAGTATTGTCTCTACAAATATTTTTCCCTTCAAAGGGCTATTAAAATTTTTTTTAATCATCTCACTATGTCAAGCCCCTTTTTTCACAATACCTCTGTGAATTTATTATTAAACCCATTACAGAGAAAACTGAGAATCAAAAATATTAAAGTAGCTAATCCAAATTGCATGCTTTAATCTCAGACCAGTATGACTCTAAAGGTAAGGCTTTTCCACTACCTCAAGATGCCTCTAGAGCAATGCCAAGTCCAACTAGCTTTTATAGGACCACAAGAGGCTACTGATGTAAAATTCTGTCTGAAGGTCCACATGAAAAATAGCCTATGAATTCGATATTTCCCAAGATAGTTTTAAAAGGTACAATTCAGCATTCAAGAGCGCCAGAGACATATTTCACTAAATTAAGGAAAGGTGTTATCCATCCATATATCATATTATGCAAACTTAAAAAAGCAAGACAATGGATTGATCTTTGTTGTCATATAGTATATTGACTATTTAAGAATAATGTAATTGTGACCTGACAGCAAAATCTGTATCTTTAATGAAAGAATCAGACACTTTTAAGGAACTAGAAAGGATGGTCTTAAATAAAGAAATATAATCTTCTTCCCTCCTGAGACAAATTACATTTTCTTATTTTTAAGTTTGTAAACTTTCTACTATTAAACTCTCCTTCATGAGAATACTTATAAATAGCTTCCCCAAATCACTTGTAAACATTTTATATATTGCAAAGGCCTATACAAAAATAAGGTGTTAATTCTAGTATTCCCCTTAAGCATAAACTATAATAAGTTGAAAGCCATTTTCCCAAAGAAACAAACATTATATATTTGAAGATCTATACCACTAAATATTTCATAAGAGCCTACTAGGTATTAGTTAGCTCTCTGCCAACTAGGAGAAAGCGAACTGAGTTCCAGGAAATATGAAAATGAAGGTTAGCATTCTTTTACAGTGAGAACATACTGTTCTTATTATTCAATTTATGGGTAGTTTCAACTTATGATAAGCACCACCTTTGAAAATGAAATACGCCTAACATTTTTAGATAACCTCTATTAATATGATTACATACATGATATATATTGACAGAGGAACTAAGATATATGGATACACTGTAAATGTTTTGTTTCAATATTCATGGTATTCACAAACAACTTAATGATACAGAAGAAAAATTAAAGTTTCCAGATAAAGTTTCCCCCTAGAGTTACAACAAAAAATATGAATGTAAAATAACCTTAACGATATTGCAGTATATCTGCCATAGCAAATCTGAAAGCCCTACCTTTGGAAAGCAGTATTACTGCTAGAAATGAGTTAGGTTGTAAAAGCAGAAATTTTCATATGTAGAGGTGAGTGATAGAAATTTCAGGGTTGTAGAAACATCAATTTCATTTTTCTCATTTTGTTTTACATCCAATGTACCTTTGGTCTATGTGGGAACAGAAATGTGGGTATAAAATGAAGTTTATCTCTTTCAATCTCAGGTAAATGATATCAGTGATATCCTTCATTTAGCATAAACACTTATCTTCCTAAATACATATTTCAAGAGCACTCTCACAATATTGCAATTATCAAAGCACTTTTCAGAGATCTCTTTTCCAGGTTCATCCACAAAAATTATCTTTCCATGTAATATTTACCACTTCTCTCCACACTCGTGTTATAAGTACTGTGCCCATAAGCATCAATGCTGGAAAGAAAGAGGTAGGGAAGGCTTCTCATAGCTTTGCGCTCCTCTTTCAGATGAGTTTAAATTCCATTAAGCTGCACTAATTTCTTTTGAACCCTAAGTTTGGAGAATTATGTGAAATTGTATAACCAAAAATATACAAAATAAAACTAGAGAAACTTTCTATAATCAGGGATGTCAAACAATGGTCACTTTAAAAAAATTCTACAAAGTTCTCCTATATAAGTAGTTATCTAACCCCAAAACTAGCCAAAACATTTAATTAGACTCTGCTACAAGTCTTAAGGTATGCATTAAATATGAATATTAATAAAATTACAAGTCTATCACAGCAGTCTCATCTCTGGCTGCACATTAGAATCACTTTGGTAATACTAAAAAAATTATGATAAAAGGGTCCTGGCCCCAGAGGTTGAGGTTCTGATTTAATTCATATTGTAGTGAAGTGTGGACATTAGCATTTTTTAAAGCATCCTGGGTGATTTTAACATGCAGTCAGAGCTGAGAGCCACTGATTTATACTTTATATAATTAATGCTGATCAATCTATAAGAGCAAGCAACTGCCACTCAAAATATTCAACAGTCTGAAAATATTGCTTGAAATGCAGAATATTGCTGCATATTAGAAAACAGTTGGACCTGGTACTCTAAGTTTAAACTATCTTTACTTTTTTTTATTGCTCTTGTTACAATGAAAAGAGATTTCATCTGCAGTACTTCTTAAGCTGGAAGGGTGGGGAGAGAAAGCCTTGATAAGATATTAGCTCAAGCAAGACAACAGTGCAGACTTTGCGTGGAACAATGTTGTGGAAATGTGAAACACCTTGCCATATAGCCTTTATTATTTATTGATCTTTTGAAGAAAATTTGGGAAGTAGCTAATTTGACTAATGAGTTTATTTAACACTCAAGAAAAAGTTCATCCTCAATGTCTGGTCAGTCTCTAAAATGAAGGCTCAAGATCCTCTAATAAAAGAGCATGTTCCCTAAAGTTCCATGCCAGGAAAAAAAAAAAAAAAAGATTCCTGGTGGCATTTTAAGCATCTTAAACTTTCCAATTCTAGGGTTAGACAGCCTGCAGATAGCAGGACTGTTATTTAGCCTCACATCCCCACCAAATAAGAATTACAAGATGGTTTGTTAATAAACAGGATCCTTAAGATGTGATAGGTGTGTCTTTAGGCCATGAGATTTCATTTGAAACTATTTTGTCTCAACTAAAATCACAAAATGGGCGGCTTTACAACTGAGCAATCTATCTGTATCACTATAGCTCTTCCCCAGTAGAAACAGGATCATATTACCGAGCTTAACAAATGTTGAACACATCACAAGCATGTCTAAAAGATACCATGGATGTTTAATACTTCACACATGTCAAAACCTCAAAACTTAGCAGCCCAAAGGAAAAAAAAAAAACATCACTGAGGTAAATCAAACTAAGAAAATTTTACTCCCACACATTGTTAGGCAAAAGAATGTGAGAGAATTTTAAAAATGTCCTTCATAAAGCCAAAAACTGAGATCAATCACCATAAAGCACTTAAAAGTTGTTTGATTTAGATGGTAGTGTGTTGTTTTTTAATACCACACTTAGAATTATCTAAACTTTTCCCACAAATGTTTAGTATCTAATACCAGGCCCCACTCCCTGCTGTTTTGTGAAGTTTGAGAAGCAGCAAATCAAATTTCCTAGAACAGCTCCCCAAATGGGTTCTTCCCTGCAGAGTCCAGCAAATAATGTCCTATGAGTATCCTTTAGTCTACTGAGCAACTTGGGAAACATCACTCAAGGTATTTGTATAAAACACAGTTAAAGAGAACTCTGAGATTTGCTTCAAGCTTAGAAGAACATCAAACTTATAAAGACTTTATTCTTACTTGAATTGAATCAGTAAATTAAGTCTTAATAAGGGCCTGGGTGCAACTTTTATAAATCTTTCTCTATTCCTTAAATTATTACTATAAATGCTTATGAATTCTGCTGTTTGCTTTCTTGTATATATTAGATGAACTGAAATTACATTTACTATTGTGTGGGATTCTTGTTTGCTTACAAAAATAATTAAATCACATTTTTCAGTTAAATGTCCTTATTTAGCAATCATTTTGGTAAGCACCTACTATCTTCCTTATACAGTTTTCTTGGAATCTAAATATGAGCCTGTAATACATAAGCCTGTTTAATACTGATTAAAATAAGAGAATAGAAATTAAGATGGAGAGAACAAAAAGCCACCACCTTCTCCAAGTCTAGCTTTTCTAATTTTTTTTAGTTGCTCTGTCTTATATTTTTTCCAAAAGGCTGACAGGCTAAGGAGCTCATATGTCTTGATCCTAAACAACTCAGTTTTGCTTCCTGTGTCAGAATGTAATCAGGAATTGTATTTTTTCAAAAATAGGAAATGTTCATATCATCTGTATGTCAAGGCTGTCCATCATCCACACTGAGTTATAAGAATCATACAGCAAGAATGCTCAGATCCAGTCCCAGAACTCAAAGCAGTTAGAACAGAAGGTAAAGAAGTGA
Organism: Homo sapiens; assembly: GCF_000001405.40. Lineage (NCBI taxonomy): Eukaryota > Metazoa > Chordata > Mammalia > Primates > Hominidae > Homo > Homo sapiens. The sequence goes on along the minus strand of NC_000001.11, from coordinate 222,930,175 downwards.
TGCATAGCAAACACTGAAAAGCAGATTTCCCCAAAAGGCTCCACTGGTTCAATATAAACTGCAAGGCAAGTGAGACTAGATTTAAATTTTGGATGAATCCACTTTATAATACATATTTCCCAGACTGAATTAAGGTAAACATGTATTTTCTAAACTACTTTGTAGGTCAATCATTTCAGACACTTAAAACATTACACATTTTTTCATAATCAATGCAAATAGTTCATGATCACAAGTCTAAAACTGAGGTCTAAGATGTGAGCTATATGAAGCATAGAAGATACATAAAAATATCTTTTTTAATACTAAAAAGTCCTAAATAAAGTAAAATCAATAAAATATCCCAATATTTGATACGTTGGCAATGAAAGCAATCTAAGATAATCTATTGGAGATGCAAGACTAAAAAATACATGAAAGAATGCAAAATGTTTTAACATTTTAGAAAGTAGAAATGTGTCGCCAGATATTAAAACCATGGGAAGCAGAAAACCCACTACCTGCAAGTGAAACACTCATAAATTTAGAGCTTATTTACACAGTTTAGTGATTTCCCAGCCAACAAAGGGAACTGTAATTTTCTTAATTATAAATATTATGATCTAAAATAACCTTCTTGTGAGTAAAAAGGACACATTTCCTTCTTCTTCGTTCAACAAGAATACCTATTTGTAAAATTTTTTTAACAAATTGTAAAGTATGTTTTCTATTTCTTGCATTATCATTGAATAAAGGCATTTATGGTCAGTGATGTGCATGAAATATCTCAGTTTTCACTAAATTTCTCTGTTTAATTTTTTAATGTATATTTTACACCAAACATAAACATATTTCACATTAAACTAATTTGAATTTTTCCACCAGTTGCAAATAAATTATCCATTCTCATTTTAAGCAAAAGTGAATACAGCAAATATATTTTGAATTGTACTTTTAAGTAGTAAATCCAATCATATGCAGTCACTATTGTAGTTACCATGTAATGCATGAAACATTTAAACAACTAAAATATAGCTTGAAGGCCTGTACCAAGCTGTGTATCTGAAATGAACTCTGATAAGAATTACTTGCTGTTGAAGTTTAGTTCACAAGAGGGTATCTTCACCAAACTACTCTCTTTATAGGAGGGAAGATGCTAATAATTTTCTATTTTCTTATAATATTTAATTCACAAAAGTGACTAATGTGATTCCTACAACTCTACATTTATTTTTCTATCACCTGGTAATGGCAAGCACATATTTTGAAAATTTTCTGTTTTAGATAGTAGTTAAATAAGAATCTCAAAGTGTAAAACAACAAACTTCCTTAAAGCTTAGGTTTCCTTCCAACTTCACAAAGACATGACATTTTAACAAACTTAAGAAATGGCTGGCCTTACCTTACTGCGCTAGACTACAATTTAAATAAACTTCACAAGATTTTAATGTGTTAAAATGCCAAATGCCGTTCAAAGTTTACACTGAAAAAAAAACAAAACAGTGAGCTGGAATTTTAAATACAATCCTAGAAACAAAGTTCAGTTTTTAAATACATTCTCCTAAAATAACAAATTCACACACATTTCTCACACACATATTCACACAGCAAGAGAAAATGTATTACCTTTATGTTAAAAGAGGGAACTTCTCTGGCTCAGTTTGGTGCAAATGATTGCAGTAGCAACAGCGGCAACTGACTGCAGGATCACAGCACAGCAGAAAGCAATGAGTTGGCAGGCGCAGCTCCACAGAGCGGCAGGACAGACTGAATGACAAGCACATGCAGATTGCTTTGAATTAGGCATGTTAGGGGCTGGAACTTTCAGTGTTTGCTCTCCAATAGGACAGGAGAGTTTTTCTCCTACTTAACCCCTTGGGGCAAGGTCTTAATAATGGTAACAGCTGGCATACAGAGGGGCTTGATCTGAGCACAAGGTCAGCAAGCCAGGATATGAAGGTGACATGTAATTTCTAGCCTTTTCCTGCTTCCACAGGGAAACTGCATGAAGGACTGTTTTTAGTTATAACTTCCTTTGATCTTTTGGATTTTAAGTTACTTAGTAGATTAAAGCCATGTTAGCTGATATTATTTGCTTGCTTAGCCTGACTTAAGTGTTACAGATTGAGTTTTCTAACACACAGTGCTACTACATTTAAAATAACACAAATAAACACCAATCTGCATTTATTTCCAAGTTCCAGGGATTCTTGTGTTCTTTCACAAAATGGCTCAAGATCCTACTTTTAGGACAGAAAGTTCATGGTTTTAAAAAGAGGTAGAATCTTCTTTTAAAATGTTAGAGTAGTTTTAAGTGTTTTTCTTCAATTTTCCAAACAAAAACAGCAGTTTGTTAAATAAATTTGACACTGCTTTTTATAAACATATGGCCCTCATGATGCCAGTATTTAAAATCCCACAACCACAACATAAAAGTCTCTTAAATACTACGAACAAATGCTTTAAATTTACAAATGACATCCCTTAGCAAATAAGTTATAATTTATTGAAACCGTGAAATCTAACTCTTCATGACTTTGGTAATAAAAATATGTATGCAATTCTTGTAGCAGGATGTACTAACTATATGAGGACAGTAGTTTCAACAATTTCAAAAGCATAAACAAAGAAAAAAGATAAAATTGGACTTCATCAAAATAAACTTTTGAAGATCAAAAGACATTATCAAGAAAATGAAAACACAGAATGGGAGAAAATATTTGCACGTCATATATCTAAGAGTCTAGTATTCAGAATATATATTTAAAAGCTCTTACAACTCAACAATAAAAGGACAAATAATCCAATTTAAAAGAGGTAAAGTGTTTGAATAGACACATCTCTAAAGAAGAAATACAAATGGCCAATATGCACATGAAAAGATGTTCAACGTCATTAGTGATTTAGGGAAATACAAATCGAAACCACTTATAAGTGGTATCTTATTAGATACCACTTCACATCCACCATTCTGTTTCAAACAAACAGAAAATAACAAGTGTTGTCAAGGACATGGAGAAATTGGAATCCTTAAACACTGCTAGCGGGAATGTAACACGCTTTAGCTTCTGCAAAAAAAAAAAAAAATAGCTTGGTAATTCCTCAAAATATTGAACATAGAACTACCATATGACCCAGCAACTACACTCCCAGTACAGTTGATCCTCATTATTTGTGGATTCTGTATTTGCAAATATGATTATTCACTATAAATTATTTGTAACCCCCAAATAATCCTCATGGTGCTTTCACAGTCATTCAGACATGTGAATTGGCAGAGCGGTGAAAAACGTGAGTCACTCAAACAAGACTACCCTCTTGTGTTTGGCTCTCATACTGTAAACAAGTCTCCCTTTTGCGGTCGATTTAGTGCCAGGTTTTTCACATTTGTGCTTTTTTTTTGGTGAGTTCACTGTTTCAAATAGCCCCCAAGTGTAATGCTGAAGTGCTGCCTACTCTAAGTGCAAGAAGGCTGTGACAGGCCTTGTCACACACAGAAAATATACCTGGTTAGGTAAGCCGCTTTGTTCAGGCATGAGTTATGGCGCTGTTAGGCATGCACTCAATGTTAATGAATCAGCAATAAATATATCTTTAAAAAGAAACACACATAAAACAAGGTTATATATTGATCAACTGATGAAAATGTGACCAGAGTCTTACAGGAACCTAATCCTGTATTTCTCCTAGAACCAGTAATTCAGTATTCACTAATTCAGTGTTTGCAGTGACTTCAGGAACAAAACTACCACAAATAATGAGAACTGACTGTATATACCAGACAGAAAATATGTTCATACAAAAACCTGTACATGAATATTCATAGTGCCTTATTCATAACTGCCAAAAGTAAAAACAACCTAAATATCCATTAACTGATGAGTGGATAAACAACATATGTACATCTATACAATGGAATATTATTCAGCCATAAAAATAATGAAGCACTGATACATGCTACAACATGGATGAACCTTGAAAACACTGCGTTAAGTGAAAGAAACAAAAGGCCACATATTTTATGATTCCATTTATATGAAATATCCAGCAGAGGCAAATCCATAGAGACAAAATGTAGGTTAGTGGTTGCTGGGGGCTGAGGGGTGGAGACAGAGGATGGGGAGTGACTGCTAATAGGTATGGAGTTTATTTTTGGATGGTGAAAATGTTATAGAATTAGATAATGGTGATGTTTGCACAGTCCTGTGAATACACTAAAAACCACTGAAATGTTTACTTTAAAATGGTGAATTTTTTCGGATGTGACTTATATCCCAATTTCAAAAATAAGGAAGGTATAAAGTTCCAGTCATTAGACCAGTGGTTCTTAACTTGAGTGTGCATGAGGATTCCCTGGAGGGCTGATGAAAACAGAGATTCCTGAGTCCCATCCCCCAGAATTCTGATTCTGAAGGTCTGGGGTAGGGCTTGAGAATTTGCTTTTCTAGTAAGTCCTCAGGATGCTGCTGCTGCTGCTGTTCTGGGACCCACATTTTGAGAACCACTGTATGTTTGAGCTCCTAGAGGGTAGGAAAGGTAACTTTCATCTCTGTATCTCCTAATTCACCTAAAACAGAGCCAATCTTGGAAGGAAAAGGACAGGGAAAAGGAAGAGTGAAATATTTACTTGAGGAAATATATTAAAGGAGTCAATCCCTAAAATCTTAGGGTATGCTGATTTCATGTCATATGTATGCCAAATGCTGTAATACCAAAAATTCCCATGACAAAATGGAATTAAAGAATTAAAATAAAAATGAAGGTATTTTAACACTCTTTGATCATCTGAACAGTATTTTGGTTCACTTTATTAAAGCAGCTAATCCTATTTCACTGTGCTTTTCCTTTCAAGAAATGCAAACAAAGGTTCTAGAGTTGTTGATCCTATAAAGAAATCCCTTAAATTAAATATAGTGTCACAAAAACCAAAGACCTGTATTCTCTAACTCAGAAACTTATAAATTCTTATTTATATTTTTATCAAAATTACAGATTTGTATGTCTAATCACTTCATTTAAACATTTGGGGTCCATGTAAAAATAGACAAGTTAAAGTACATTTTTGGTATTGTCACATGGGACACATAATTATTTTATAAATAAATATTATCCCCAATTACTTCAATATGTTTCTCAATATATTATTCAGAGTGAAAAGAAAAGTACTAGTGACCTTACGATGTTCTAATATTTTCTGAAAACAGTATCCTTTTTGTTGTAGATCATACTATTTAGGTATCTTTCTTCATTATTAGGAAGACAAGGGCATGGGGGAGGGAAAAAGAGACTAGAGCCTGCAGGAGAGGCACAACACTTGGTACTTTTAGAAAAGTGATAAAACAGCTGCTGATAAACTCTTTCCCAGCTGCACCTAGTCAAAAATGCAATTCCGGATTCTGTTACATTTATTAACATTTAAAAGTCTTGTCTATTTATCTTTTTTCTTAGCATTAAGTGTCAAACAGTTATGAACAAGTAAACTGTGGTACATTGTAGATACTGCTTCAGCAAGATTTTTCTTTCAGTATGGTCAAATTAATAGTTTAGTAATTTGGAAGTACAAGTTCAGAAAAACTAATCATACCAAAGTTCTGAAGATAATATTCTATATTGGATTTTGATGTTTCCAGAGTACAAATAGTTCCATACCCACTGAAAACTTCAGACCAGAGCATTATGCTGCCCAAGTCATAGCCCAGTGCAGGGAATCACTGAAGACTTGAAGTTAGTCTCAGCTCTACCACTCACTGGCTATGTAACCTTGAACTCATCACTGAATCAAGAGGTTACAGTCTCCTTATCTACAAAATCCAAACACTAGATGAGATGATCTCATAGGTCCCTGCTGGCTCTGAATTCAGTTTTTATGAATTTGGATATCACTGCAAATAGATAAGATAAATCCCAATTTTACTACTCAAACCTGGATTATTTAAGAAAAGACCATGCATTCAAAGTTGAATTAGCAAGTCTGGAGCAAAGACAATATTGCAAGCAAATTGCAGGAAAACAAAAAAAATTCAAGGGATGCTGAAATTCCTCCCCAACAATTTGGAAATATGTACATCTGTCTTATATATTCCTCTTACCCAACGACAGACATTTCTTCTTTCTTATCTCATTTCCTGTTGAAAATTCTACCTCTAAAATCTACAATTTTTACAACAGAAAATTTTATGGCCTTGCCGGTCTTCCATAGTCTGACATATTCACCCTTATGACCTCGTGGCTCTAGAGTCTTTATCCATGTCCTTTCCTATTTTTACTTGCTTTGTGCTTAGTTAAGAGCTCATCGTCAGCATTTATTTACTTCACCAGCATTCCAGCCTTTCAAAGAGCTCCACTAAACTTGCTCTCCCTGCCCTTCTTTTTTTCCTTTCTCTCTTAGATTTAGAAATGTTACCGAAAAAAGTCACCAGACAAGGAAGCAGAGACCTAAAACAAATGCACACTCTCAACTCCAGAGGGCTTATAATGCGGCTGTGATTCATCTCATCTATCATAGATTCTCCACTGGAAATCTCCACAAGCATGGCTGGAAATCTTTCTCATGCTCCCTACCTTAACCTTCTCAGCAAATGATGCCACCTATTTTATGGGAAAGAATGAAACTATTTGACTATGAGTTCCTTTAAACACTACTGCCTGTACTTCAAACTTTTTCTGGAACTTGTCCCTTATCTCTCAGTGTCCAACCCTTTTTCCTGCTATTAATTACTGTATTTATCCACTGTATCTTTGCTCCCCAATAAGGTAGCCACAAGCCACATGTGGTGACTTAATTTTAAATTGATTCATATTAAATGAAATTTAAAAATCTCAGTGTTCCAGTTGCACAAGGCGTCACATTTCAAGTGCTCAAGAGTCATATGCAGTTCACGGCTTCTGAATTGGGCAGTGCAAATAGAGAATATTGTCATCACTACAGACAGTCTTACTGGACACAGGTACTCTCAATCTTGACCACCATGTCTCTTTACTCTGTCTCACTCTGCCTCCCCAAGTCCATCTTCATTTTTCCATCTTTGTCAAATTATTACTTACAAAAAATATTTAGTTTTCCCCTAGCCTGAAAAATTCCTTCCCTTGGCCTGCTAGTCCTCAGGCTACTTACCTATCTTTTCCTTTCCTTTGCCAGACAATACTCAAGTTTTAACCCCATCTCGTTCCTTCACTTCCTACAATCTTAACTACCATCTAATAAAACTGTTTCTTCAAAAATGAAACCCAGTGGTCCTTTCTCAATATTCATTTTCTTTACATTTCTTCATTTACCAACTTTGTTGGTAAATACTCTTTTCTCTTTACTTAGTTTCCATTATCCTAACATTCTCTATCTCTTTAACCTCTATTCCATTTTCTTGGCAGATCTTCTTAATTCTGTTATTCTAAATCTTGAGCAATATCCAAGGGTCTTTTCCTTTGAACTTTCTGCTTTATGTCTCCTGCCTATATTGTCACACTCCAATTTCTATTATAAGTTCCATTTCTGCAGCTTCTACTCTCTAAGGACATTTCAATGTATATATCCTGCCAGCAGCTCAAACTCAATTTAAAATACAAATGATCTTATCATCCTCAAACAACTTCTTGATTTTCCTACTTCTGCGCACCCTTTCAGTCATTTAAGCCCAAAATTTTCACTTAAATATGTATTTATTGAACACCAGATCTGTGCTGCATCCTGAGCTAGGGCAGGAGTCATCTTTGACCTTTACACCCTGTATACCCTTGTTCATTCATTCCCAAGTCCTAGCCATTGTCACATATACCCATCCTTTCCATTTCCTCTGCTACTTTCTTAGATTAACTTTCCCTTGAATTACTACAACAGCCTAATAGATGTGACCCTATCTATGGTCTCCTACCTTTTCTACCTTATCTAAGCAACATAGAGCTTCTCGATACATCATATAAGAGATAGATCTGATCAAGCTGCTCTTCAGTCCAAAAAAACACTCATGGCTCCCCCACTAGTTTAAACATCTTAGCTGGCACACAAGATTCTCCATTATCTGGGCTCTTTCCCCTCCCACTCACTGCCCTTGCCAAACAGAATTTGCTTTACTCCAAACAAGCTTTCACACACACCCTCACACCCTCAGTGCTTGTGCTAGTCTCTCTACCAGCAATGGCCTTTGTTCACATTTCCAACTTCCATAATCCCATCCATTCTTCACAACACACAGCAAACAACATGAAACCTTCTCTGATTACCTAAGCCAGAAATTCTCTCTTTCTATTCTAAGTTACATACATGACCTGAGATCCCTCATGGTACTTAGCACATGTCTTTTTTTATTGTGGTCATTTATATATCTCTTTTACCCTCTTAATCTATATGTAAAGGCACAGGTTCTATTATAATCATTTTTATACCCCTTAAGAAGGGATATAAAGTATATTATACCATGTACTAGGTCAAATATTTATACTTGACAAATGTTTATTGAACAATTGACATTTTATAACTTGTTATTACATATATCCTTTATTAAGCAGAATACAGTATTGAAATGTAGTCTGTAAATTAATATTCAGCATACAAAATCCTATTTTACTGCTGATTTATATGGGCCCCACAATATGTTACACTATTCTCAGCTTTTAAATTCTGAATACTAAACTGCTACTGAATAATAAGGAATGACAGTAATTAGCTTTCACCCTTTTCTCAGTAGAGGTTGCTCCAGAAGCTAACATGCAAGCATATTCTTGGGTAGTTTTTATAATTTTATTTTTTTGTTTTGAAGGTAGAATTTTCCCATGGCATTGACAGAAATATTTTTAAACAAGGAAAAAAAAATAAAGAGTTTTCACTTATAGTGAGTCATTAAGTATAAGTCTGTAGCTTAATTGCCAATTACTTTTTTTCTTTTTTGTTTTTTGAGATGGAGTCTCACTCTTTAGCCCAAGCTGGAATGCAGTGGCATGATCACAGCTCACTGCAACCTCCACCTCCAGGGCTCAAGTGATTCTCGTGCCTCAGCCTCCCGAGTAGCTGGGACTACAGGCATGCACCACATCCGGCTAATTTTTGTATTTTTAGTAGAGACAGGGTGTTTCACCATGTTGCCCAGGGTGGTCTCGAACTCCTGAGCTCAGGAGATCTGCCCGCCTTGGCCTCCCAAAGTGCTGGGATTACAGGCGTGAGCCACTGTGCCCGGCCCAATTAATCTTATAGTAGCAAATATGATTTCTGTGATAAAGTGTCTTAGAAATAAGTGAATCTGGAAAATCTTAGTTTTTATTTATTATGATCTTTGCTTCATTTGATTATAGACTAGAAAACCGTATGCATTTTATCACTATACAGAAAGCATTTTGGTCATCTAGAATGAAATTTACTTAATATTAATTTATATACTATCAAAAATTTTAATAGTGATCAGAAACTGGGGTACATATTTTAAAGCAAAAACCATAGAGATCATTAAATTTCAGAGAAGACGTAGTTTTTCATTTTTCTGTGAAGAAAAAAGTCTGACTAATGCTAAAAAATAGGCAAAATTCCAACCCTCCTTAACGTAACCAAAAAATTACTATAAAGAAAAGTTTTTAAATGTGAAAACTAACTCAAGCAGGTTAGTTTATTGCGGATTTCACACTGGAATTCAAGGGAACATTTTGTCTTTAACAAGAGTTTTTCTCCCACACAAAGTATAGTGTTATGTTTTAGAGGACAGAAGGCTCATATTTGATAGTTTTATATCAAAAACAAGCTGAATCACTTCAGCCATAACAAAATAAGTAGACTGTAGATCATCTAAATATATAATCTGTGCTGCACTATGATTTAAAAGCAAATTACAATAAATCCATGGGCTCTGGAGAGTTTCCAAAATATTTTTGGTTTGTGATACAGCATTTCAAAATGTAATATTTTACTTTTATGATAGAAACTCTTGGCAGGAGATTTACTCCTTGAATGAAGACCACTATGTCTTGAAGAGTCTAATCAGAACATTCTCTTTAACAGTTTCAGTTGTATTTTGTTCCCAAACTCTAAATGAATCTACATGCATGTGGTATGCATAGATTGAGAGGTTATAACTAATACACTGAAATTTTCTGTAAGACATCAAACATTTATAGAGAAGGTTACCTTTACTGTATGTCATGAAATAAAAATACATGCAAACTAATTTTCCAAAAGTTAGACTCCGTAGGAATATAAATATCACCTGCATACAAACACCTGTCATCATTGCTAAAGGCTTAGATTAAGTATAACTTAGATTACAGCAACATTAAGAAAATGACACATCACATTCCCAAAAATAAAATGAAGTTGTATGGAAAAAGGAAAATGAAAATTCAAATCCCATTTTATTGAAACTTTCTGTAATATGTGGTAATATTTTTGGCAAGGAAAGAACCTTAAGCTACCCAAGCTCTAACGTAGAAAACATTAGGGCTAGTAGGGTTAGATATTTCACTAATGTAGAGGGAGTTGTTTTATATGTTGAAAACACGTGCATTAGTTATTCAGAAGTTCAAACAGTTCAAAATTATGTCATGCTATATCTAGCTTCAGAAATTTGTTTATATGAAATAAAATGCTGTGGTTTGCCACAGTTACTACGGTTACCACAGGACTGAACGAAGGGGGACAGACGCAGAAATGAAAACTTAAAACAAAAGCAACTGTTTTAAAGAAGAGATCAGGGGAAGAAGAGGGCTCCCTGCTTCTAGTGAGCAAAGGCAGCAGCCCTGAGCTTCTACAGCCCTTCATATTTACTGGGTAGACAGAGCAGGGAGGAGCAGATAACGATTGGTCAGCTGTTTGATTGATCACAGGTTCACATTATTGCTAACAGGCTTCAATGTGCCTAATCACAAGAAACACTGCGCTCGGGGCGTGACTTCCCTCAGCATTCCTTCTGGGCGGCAGATGCAGTTTGTCAGTTTGCCAACATTCTGCATTTATGAAAAGTTTGCTGTTTACTCATATAGCCTCCAGTGGTATACTAAGTTGATCACGATCCCCACTCTTTCGGCCTGCACCATCTCTCCCTTTGTTTTTTAATTAATTAAGAAAGGCAATTGCAGGCTGTGCAGCCCTTAATTGCCGGTTGGTGGTTCGTTCAGTCTTCACATTCAAATTCAACTGGCTTATGGCTCCTACTGAGGGAACCAAGCCGGTGGTTGGGATCCATGGCTCCCTCCAGTCTCCAGTTCCGTGGTTGCACACATCTTGAGGGCACCCACACGGTTTGTACATTTCCTATAAAAACACAAGCATACCCTCATACCCACATTAGTAAATCAACCCAAACAAAAGCAAAGGCTTTTGTGGCTGCAGCCAGGAGGCATGCCGTTGCTGAAGCATCTGCTCCACAAGCTGTATCTCAGCTTCTGCCTCTTTGGTTAATTACCCCGGGGTAAAACTTTCCATTGATAACAAGAGGCAGGCTCTTTCTGATTAACAGAAGGCACAGAGAAAACAAATCAAGGTTTATTCTTCTCGTGCAATAGCACAGTAAAAAAATCAATCCTCAAGATCTATCACCATGAGAGACCCATCTCTTGCTCCCATATCCATAAGCCCACACAACTTCTTTTCTTCAATCTGCACTGCACAAGTGGGTCTACTAGATACTATGGGTTGTGATAAACTTCCCATGTAGTTGTACTTCCAAATCCCTCGATTCCCTCATCTCTCCTTTCATGGAGAAGGGTGCAATTTACAGGGAATAAGCAACAGTTGAGCAATATATTTTCCCAGTTCAAAAACCCAAAGATCTTGTGACAATACCACTACCTGAATTTCTCCTTCACAATCAAAATCAACAACTCCTGGGACTATAGTAATGCCCTATAAGTTAAGATGACTTGTGCCCAAAATTAATCCCATGTATCCTGTTGGCAAAGGTCCCCAAATACCAGTGGGAATCTTAGTGGGTTTGTTTCCTCCAATTAACGTAACCAGTTCTCTGACTGGGAAATCCAATACTGCGCTTCCAGGTGTTCCTGGGGAGAGGGAATCAATATGCCTCTGGAGACCCACCCCTGAAACAGAATTGTGGCCTGGATGGGGAATGTCCTCAATGTTTGAGGTGCCCGGGTCCAGGCCCCCTTCTCATTTCCCAACAGGGAGGTGCCGTTTTGATGACATTTTGAATGGCATTGATTAGCACAATGATTTATTTCACTTATTGCAATGAGGGCAAAGTCCTGGCATTTTTTCTGTTGAGAGGGGAACCGTGTTATAAGATCCCTTCTGCCCAGAGGTCTGACAGCATTCTTTTTTGAAATGTCCAATTTTTCTACACTTATGACATTTTCCCACTTTAGTCCCCTTGGATCAACTACCAAATAGGCCATTGCTTGAACCAACATTGTAGAGCAATGAAGCTCAGTTCCCATATCTTGACAAGCTCTGAGAAAACCTCCCAAGTTTTTTGTACATCTCACAGGTGCCAGTGCACATTTACAGTCCACGTTTGCAATCTCAAAAGCCAAAGTTAAAGTTAGCCTTCCTGTAGCCATAAAAGAAGACCGTACAAGGCAATTTTCATCCTCCCTCTTCTGTTCACCACCCTTGATAGGTGCTGTGGGTGGTGCAAAAAATTCTCTCGAATTTTGAAATAATGACAAAAGGACAATATGAACCAAATTCCAAACAGAAAAGAGAAAAGAAATAGCCAAATTCTTCCCCATGTTACCCTGATTCAAAAACTTCCCATTCTCTTTACCTCTTTAGGGCACTGACCTTATATTGCTGCTGGCAGACTTGTAAAGGGGTTTCTTGTTCGTCTGGTCAGTCTCACTTTCTCTGTTCCAGCATACCTTCCTCATTCAAGTCCCTATAGGACCCTATCTGTCCCTGTCTGTCCCTCCCTGTCCCTGCAAGTCTCTGCTAGTCTCTATCTGTCCCTGTTCGCCCCTGTTTGGGTGCCACTTGCCGCAGTTTGCCACAGTTACTACGGTTACCACAGGACTGAATGAAGGGGGGACAAATGCAGAAATGAAAACTTAAAAGAAACTGTTTTAAAGAAGAAGTCCGGGGAAGAAGAAGAGAGCTCCTTGCTTCTAGTGAGCAAAGGCAGCAGCCCTCAGCTTCTACAGCCCTTCATATTTACTGGGTAGAAGGAGCAGAGAGAAGCAGATAACGATTGGTCAGCTGCTTGATTGATCACAGGTTCACATTATTGCTAACAGGCTTCAAATGTGCCTAATCACAAGAAACACTGCGCTTGGGGCGTGAATTCCCTCAGCATTCCTTCTGGGCGGCAGATGCAGTTTGTCAGTTTGCCAACATTCTGCATTTATGAGAACAGTTTGCTGTTTACTCTTATAACCTCCAATGGTATACTGAGTTGATCACAACCCTCACTCTTTCAGCCTGAAACAATAAAATTCTGCAAGATGGTTGTGAAAAGATAAGAAATAAGGTAATGACAAATGGGCAGGAGTAAGGATATTTATTTATATCAGAATTTAAGAGTATAAGAAATATGCTAGAATATTTTACTTAGGTCTCTTAAAAAACTCTTGAAAATATACCAACACAGACGTGTTGTTAGGCTCAAAACTTAGGCCTGGCTGAAAGAATATATTTATAAATGACATACATTAGAAACTACAATTAAGTCATAGAAGGCAAAAGGGTATCCTAACATATTTAAGGACAGCATGTCACTAAGCTCAGCAAATGCCATTTCAAAAACACTGAAACAAAACTCATTACAATTGATTGGCATGCTCCACAGTCAGGCTCTTCAAGACCAAGGTATCTTTCGCATATTTATTGCAAACTCCAATGCTGAAAGCCTAGGCAAGTCCTAGCTGACCATTACCATCCCAAATGGTAGACTTTACTGGGCTGTTAGCCAGAATGAACCTCCTGGGTGTGGATCAGCAAATGCTCCAGTTCGTATTGTGAAGTGTAAACACAAGAAGAGAGCTGTCCCAATGCTCATATCAAGCGACCATATATTTGCCATAAAGTATGCTACTATGTTGGGGCACACCCAAAAGACTCAGAATGCTGTAACTGGGGCTAGATAAAACCTGTAGCAGTCATCAGAGGCACCTTTAACCTTAAATATTTTAGAGAAGAAAAATCCACAGGTTAACCTGTTCCAGGTACTCAAGCCAGGATCATTACACTTTTGACAAAAATGAAGAGGGTAAATATTTAAAGTGAATTCTCATATTTCTATTTCTATACAACAACTCACTACCTAATCTTATAATGAAAATTGCCATGACAAATAGGTTATAAGTATTGGTTCAGGCACTGAATTTGCAAAGAAACAGCAAAGGAGATGGGCATTCTAATACTTTGGTTACAAAGCAACAATAACAACAAAAAGTAAGCGTACACAATTATTGATAGCAGGAAAGTATTTTATTTACTAAGCAGGTCATGGTATCAGAGTTCTGAGTTATGTTAGCAACAAGATAACCTGTGCCTTAAAAAGAAACAGAAGAGACATTTATCACCATGCTGTTAGTAATATTCAGTATTAGACCTTGGCAAAGATCTGTCACCGACCATGCCTAATACTAACAAGAGAATGAAAGATGAAAGAAAAGGTTGAGGAGCTGGAAAAATGAAAACTAGTAAGTTATTTGTTGCATTCCTAAATTAAGGCATCTGCCCTGGTTAATCACCCAACACTATTTGCTTTCCTGATATCTAGGTCAATGACCAAGAATTCTAATGACCTAAGTATGGACTCTACTTAATATCTTCAAGTCACATTGTCTTACTCATACAGTCTACACAGCCCTCAATCACACTGAAGGAATGTTATACACTCCTCCTTCCCATCCCTATGGGATATTAGGCAATGCAGCATTCATTCCTTCCTTTGCCAAGTGTAATGCCTTGGTAATACACATCTACACCCTGCTGGCTTTGCAGGGAGTTAGTCAAATCCAGCATCAAGCGTCAAGCTCAGATCCCCTATATAGGAACAAATGGAATTGTCATAAATCTCTAAAATAATCCCTAATCTTGCATAAAGCTAAAATGTACCATTTATTTAGATCAAAGAAGCATAACTTTTGGAAACAATTGCTTTTCCCAATCTCTGACTGTATTTGCAATGATGGTTCCTGTTGATACTGATACACTGACAACAGCGACTCAGACAGTGTCCAGGACAACCACAGCTGAACTCAGATTTTAGAAAGCCAGGAGCATATGAAAAATGCTCAGTCATTGTTATTATGATCTTTTTTTCCCTTTCCTTCCTTCCTTTTTAATGAATGAATGAATGACAGAGTCTTGCTCTGACAACCAAGCTGGACTGCAGTGGTACAATCATGGCTCACTGCAGCCTCAAACTCCTGGGCTCAACCAATCCTCCTGCCTCAGCTTCCTGAATACCTGGTACTACAGGGGCAGGCTACCGTCCCCGGCTAATTATTTTAATTTTAATTTTTAGTAGAGATGAGGTCATGCTGTGTTGCCCAGGCTGGTCTCGAACTTCTTGGGCTCAAGAGATCCTCCTGCCTTGGCCTCTCAGATTGCTGGGATTATAGGTGTGAGCCACCACACCTGGCCTATGATCTTAACTTATTTACACCTTTTGACATTGCCAAAAACTAAGTTTTACAAGATCTCTCACCATATCTCTGGGGATGGGAGGAGGAAGGGAAGGATAATGGTCTCATATTCATAATAGTATTTGCAGTGCCTATTCTCACAGTGATAAATGACTATAACCTTTTCAAGAGGATGAGTGAAAGAAAGAGGGAGGCAAGAAGAATGAAAAAGGAGGTAAGGTCCTGGTAACACATCATCTTGTTTCTAAAGACAAAGCCCCTTGAACTGTTCCAAAGAAAACTTATAATCCAAATTAATAACAATGTACAGACATCACCAGGTCACACAAAAAAATTTTTTCTGAACCCAACTTCAAAGCATAAAATGAATATCCCTTTGGTGTAATATATTTTGGAAGGCAATTAAATTTGTATATAGTAATACACATTTATTTCTGGATTTAAGTACTATATTTGAAAAGTCCAACTGAGTATTTGCATAAGTCTCCCTAAAGGAGTTTTTATTTTGACAAAGTTTCTTTTAAAAACTTAAATCCTGGTCCCTTTGATCCAGACTAACTTCAAATAGAGAGGCAAGGAATTTCAAACAACCCAAAGATTTTAATGATTTCCTTCAGATCACCTAGCATTAGAGAAAACCTATGTAAGCTTGGGTTAAAAAAAAAAAAAAAACAACCAAAAAAACACATATAACAGTATGAGTTATATAAGCAGATCCTACCCATTTTTTTTTTTATTTAGAATGTATTTGAAAAAGATGAGCTATTCCCACACTTAAGTACAAATTTGGAATTAAAACAAGTTACCCCCACTTGGATTTAGAGTGTATCAAACAAGGAGTTTGAATCTCAAATTTTATAAAAGCTATTGCAAAGATAAATACTATTTAGAGGTTCCTATTTTATTCACTCCTTTTTTTTTTCTTTTTTTTGTAGAGATGTAGTCTTGCTATGTTACTGAGGCTTATCTCAAACTCCTAGTCTCAAGAGATCCTCCCATCTTGGCCTCCCAAAGTACTGGTATTACAAGCGTGGGACACCATGCCCAGCCTTATCTACTCCTTTACTGAATGTTTAGTGCTAGTACCTTGCAACTTTTTTTAAAGACAAAAAGTTAAGGAGTAATAGCAGAGAGTAAAAAGAAAAAGGAAGCCCATCACAGATAATATCTTATTGCTAAGCAAATAGAAGAATGATTATAAGAGAAATATAATTCAAGTAATTTAGATATTTTATGATTCAACTTCTTTTGCAAATAAACTCTAACTTGGAAGTTCATATTCTAGATCATTTGAGTCTAAGAGTAATGTCTCTATATTGATACATGCAAGCTAGCATTTTGATATATAAAAGTGAATGGTCTCATCTATAAAAATAAAACTTAATTTATTTGCTTAATTTGTTAATATCCTATAAAATAATTTGGTCTTAATATTATATTTCACTTCTAACTATTGTATAGGTAAATCTTTAAAGAGAATACAAGCAACTACCAAGTACCAAGAAGGTGGGGTACAGGCCATACTTCTCACATCAAAACAAACCTTTCTAATTTACTAAGTTCCAGTCACTATTTTTTTTACTATATTCCAAAACTTTAAAGTCTAATTAGAAGTTTTTTCAAGAACAAAGTTCTTGTTTTTGTTTTCATTTTAGCATTTCTGCTATAAATATCTAGTCATGCAGGTTGAGAGTACAAATTGTCTCATATCCCAAGATCACATCACTGCATATGGCAACTATGTTTCATTCTTGCACCCATTACATCACAGGTCAATACTCAGACATGAAAGCACATCCCTATCACTCTGCCATTTTTCTAACTCACATTCTTTAGTGAAACCTCAAATAACCAAATAAGTTCAACAAAAGTTTACTCAAACTTAAGAATATACTATGATTGGCTTTATTATTCTGCTGGCTAATAAGGCCTGACAATAAAATAAAGTTAAAAAGAAACACTTTGATTAATCCATGAGTCAACTCACTATAACCTTTAAGAAACCCCTTTAAGAAAACGATTTCAACAAATGAGGAAACCAAGGCAAACAGAAATAGAGGAGGAGAGAATGAGGAAAGGAAGTAACAGAAGTAAAAAGAAGTAAAAAGAAAGGAAGTAACAGACTGTAAAGGAAATGTGGGAAAAGGAAAACAGCCATAAGCAGTAACAAGGTGATAAATGTATGACATACACATCAAATAGTGGGAAGAACATAAGCAAAGCAGAAGCTAAGGCAATCTGAGGGAAAAGTAGGAAACTGAGGGGAGAGGACAAAATACAACACTGGAAACAGGTAAGTCAGAAGAAAAAGTAGGTGCTTTATGCTGCAAAGTAATCTAGCTTCTAAAACAATTTATTGAGAGAAAAATACATAAACGGTCCAAATTGCTACTCTATGCAAACCTACAGATTAATTGCAGAGATATGAAGATATGATTAAGCCCTCTTGCAAACAGTGGCTCTTCTTTAAGTTCCAACTTATTTTTTTTTCTTATAACCTCAAAAGATTCATTATAATTCTGGACATACAGCAACTTGGTTAAAGCACATTAGTAAGAGCTTATGAAAAATAAGGTACTTCTGGGAATTCCAGAGACAAGACTCAGATTCCTCCGGCCCATGGTCAAAGATCACATGAGTGCTGGCTGCTGCAACCACATATTCAATTCCTTGCTATTCTTTAAGCTGGCATCCACCATCTCACTCCCTCATTATAATCTCTTCCTAGTCCACTTGTAGTTCATAAGCAACATGATTTGGTTTTCATGCTGATGTGTGAGATGTGCCTCCCTCAAACCTTGTTACTATGTTGGCACATTACAAGTTTGACATGAAAACAAATGGGCCAGGGACAGTGGCTCATGCCAATAATTCTAGTGCTCTGGGAGGCTGAGGCGGGAGGATCACTTGAGGCCATGAGTTGGAAATCAGCCTTGGCAACATAGCAAGACCCTGTCTCTACAAAAAAATACACACACAAACAAAAAATTAGCTGGATGTAGTGGCATGCACTTATAGGCTCAGCTATTTGGGAGGCTGAGGCAGAAGGATTGTTTGAGCAATCCCAGGAAATTCCTGGGAGTTTGAGGCTGCAGTGAGCTATGACTGCACCACTGCAATCCAGCCTGGACAAAAGAGCAAAACTCTGATTCAAAAAGAAAAAAAAATTAAAAGCCAAAAAAAAATTTCTTCCATCTGTAAAAGAGGAAAAAGAAGGGTACTAGAAGGTGCCCTTCCTTTAAGAGTTCCTTAACCCTTGCTCTACAGTTTTATACTTGAAGCAAAGTAAATACCAACTTCTCCCAGTCTCTTTGGTGCAAAGATACCCTTTGTTCTCTAGACAATACAAATTGGAAGCAGGCTCTGGTTTACAGAAGATTCTCTCTGATGCTATGATATCACCTACTTTATACTAATATCTAATTGGCCTTCATTCAGTCTAAGGATCAACCAAGGAACAAAGCAAAAACAGGTTTTAACCAAAGCTGATATAATACAAAGAGGTAGAGCCTTTCAAATTACCTAAGCTAATCATCAGAAAAAGAAAACACAACTTGAGAATATGGCATTCTACAAAGAAAAAGAGAAAGCCCTGAAGACAATTACTGTGAATTTCTTAAAGATACATATGTTGCTCATTTAGAGAAGACAAATTGCTAGGGCTTGCCTGGAAAAAAGTCAGCTAAAAAGGATACCATCTCATTTATCTCAATACAGATACCCCAGTGCCTACTAGAAGGATTCCAAAAGGTTCAAAATAACCTCCCCAGTCACTCTCTTACATAAACCCTGGCCAAACTACCCTCAAAATGAGTCACTACCTAAATGCAATTTGCTCACATTGCTCTTTTTCACTGCACAGCCTCCAATGAGATTGACAAAGCTGAATCCTACATATTTCTTCAAGGTACACCTAAATTTCCTTTTCTCTGTTTAGACTGCTTTGACTCAGAAGTCATTCTCTCTTCTGGTTACCTAACAACAAGGTCCTATTGGACATATTGGACATTTGCAGTATCTTAAGAGCTTATTTTTGTAGTTAAATTAAATTAATGCTATAATTGAACAAATCATGTTCACACATTTCAAATACAAGAAATGACTACTTACATCTCTAATATTTCAATCAATTTCACTATTATTTTCTAAGCCCACCACACCTTCCCTCTGGGACATTTTTTCCTACTGAGTGCACCATTTAGTATTTCTTTTAGAAAGGTTATGTGAATGGTAAATACTCTTATACTCTTATTCCACATATGTTAAAATGTCTTAATTTTGCCCTCATCCCTTTTCGTTTGTTTGTTTTTTGGAGACAGGGTCTTACTCCGACCCCCAGGCTGGAGTGCCATAGTGCAATCATGGCTTACTGTAGCCTCGACTTCTCCAGCTCGGGTGATTCTTCCACCTCAGCCTCTTGAGTAGCTGGGACTACAGGTACACACCACCATATCTGCTATTTTCTGTATTTTTTTATAGAGACAGGGTTTTGCCATGTTGCTCAGCTGGTCTTGAACTCCTGCGCTCAAGCAATCCTCCCACTTTGGTCTCCCAATGTGCTGGAATTACAGGTGTGAGCCACCGCGCCAGCCTCATCCTTGAATAATAGTTTAGAAGGACAACATTAGGGATATTACAGAACCAGCAGGCAACTTTTTCAGTTTCTGGTCACTAAACTGTGTTTTTATCCTACTTTTGCCCCTTAGTTCACAGCTTACAATAAGACCACAGCCCCAGGCAGAGCTGGCAGCTAACGTTTTAGTGTCTATTAACAATGATGGAAATCAGGCAGGGGGAAGGATTCTCCTGGCTTCCATCCCTTCCTTCAGGCATGAGCTCCACCGTCTCCTGAGAAGTGGCTGAGGAGTAGTTGAGCAACTTCCTGCTTCTGGCCAGGAGCTTGGCAGGCTCAGAGTTCCAGGCCTACTTATCACTTTCTATTTCTGGTCGCCTCCTGGTCCTTAGAGATGTTTGTCTTGATTTTGAGACTAGGTATATTGTTTTAGTTTTATCTTTTATATCCTTTTGTTGCCATGTGGGATATGGTGTTGAAACGAGAACTTCATGGAGCTATGTGACTGGAACTCTCCTGTGTTCCTCCTTGACACTGGAGTGCTCAGCATGGTGCCAACTACAGAAGAGTTGATAAATGCTGATAAATTTTTACATGATAAGTTCAAGTAAATGTGCATATATGCAAACATGTCAATGGGATCCTGAATAACAAGAGAAATAACACATTCATAAACAATCCTAGTGGCATATAGGTTTTACTTGCTTTGATTTATAACAACCATATTGTCCATTTTATCCAAATGAATGTAATAAATCCTGGGTTATTCATAATGAGCTTTAAACAGTTACAATTTTAAGGCAACCAGGGAGCTGATAGGTATAAATCATAAACACAGTGTTGACACATGTCCTTCTGACTTCCTCTGTTCTCTACATACATTATTGAATTATAGAATTCAATACATTTATAGATATAAATGTATATCTATATATACAATATAATTTAATACAATTCAAGATATAATTCGATACAATTACAGAATTCTAAAAGATGTTTATCTTGAATCAAAAACTGAAATGAACATGAATCAACTTGAATGGTTTTGACCCATGCAGCCCACATCATCCTCAGAAGTAACCCATCCCAAGTCTTTTTTGTAGAAAGTGTATATTCTAAGGAAGAATAAGGTGTATCCCAAACCGTACCAGGATACAATAAATTTGCAAAGTGTAGTACATCAACATCACAAACAGAAAAATAATAATCTCCAGGAATTCTTTTTTTTTTTTAATGAAAGAGTCAAAGACTAAAAATTAATCAGGGTATCTTCTGTAGTGATCAGAAAAAAATGGTCTTTGCTTCTGGAAAAGGCTTCTGCTTATTTTACACTGAAATATTTATGTTATGAAGAAAGTAAATTCATTAGGTTACTGATTTCAATTAAAATAATGTTTAAGAACATCCAGGCCAAGCACAGTGGCTCGTGCCTGTAATCCCAGCACTTTGGGAGGCCGTGGTGGGCAGATCACGAGGTCAGGAATTCAAGACCAGCCTGGCCAGCATGGCGAAATCCCATCTCTACTAAAAATACAAAAATTAGCTGGGCATGGTGGTGGGCGCCTGTAATCCCAGATACTGGGGAGGCTGAGGCAGGAGAATCGGGAGGCAGAGGTTGCAGTGAGCCGAGATCGCACCACTGCACTCCAGCCTGGGCGACAGAGCAAGACTCCATCTCAAAAAAAATCATCCAACTGCCTTTGATTTAATTATCTGTTCCTCACACAACCCTTTTTAAAAATTTTTTTTACATTAAGGGTCTCACTCTGTCACCCAGGCTAGAGTGCAGTGGCATGATCATAGCTCATTGCAACTTCAAACTCCTGTGTTCAAGTGATCCTTCGGCACACAACCTCTTTGATTGATAACTTTATCTTCTAAGATCATCAACATACCAAATGAAAGTGTACTGTTCTGATTTGAGCCAGTTTTTTACCTACTATACATAATAAATTGACATTGTACTTTCCAGTTACTTTTGGGTAACTGGTAAAAATGAGTTGTTCCACCCGTGAAGCTGAAAGCCTAACGGTTCTCCACCAAAGCGCAAACATCTCTATTTTTTAAAAAAACTCTGTACATCCAATGATTAATCATCCCTGCACAGCCATACTAAATAATCAAATCTTTATTTTATTTTATTTATTTATTTTGAGATGGAGTCTTGCTCTGTTGCCCAAGCTGGAGTGCAATGGCACAATTTCAGCTCACTGCAACCTCCGCCTCCAGGGTTCAAGCAATTCTCCTGCCTCAGCCTCCTGGGTAGCTGGGATATAGGCTTGTGCCACCATGCCTGGCTGATTTTTATATTTTTAGTAGAGACGGGGTTTCACCATGTTGGTCAGGCTGGTCTCAAACTCCTGACCTCGTGATCCGCCGACCTTGGCCTCCCAAAGTGCTGGGATTACAGGCATGAGCCACTGCACCCGGCCATAATCAAATCTTTAAATCATTCAATTTACAGTTGGAAATAATCTTAGTAATTATCTCTTCTATAATCTCTAATCTCACTGCTTTTATTTGGTACCTGACTTTCCTCCTCCAGCCCAGTGGTTCTCAAATGTTAGCCTAAGGATATCAGAATCCCCTGGAGGGCCCACTAAAACACAGGTTGCTGAGTCTCCCTCCTCCCCACTCCTCACCGGGAAATTCCCATTTAGTAGTTCTGGGTTGGCCCTAGAATTTGCATTTCTAACCAGCTCCCAGATGATGCTAAAGCTGCTAAGTGTGGGACCACACTTTGAGAATCTCTGCTCTAGTTTCTTCCCCGTTTTACTCCTGTAGAGTTAATAAAACTAATTTTACTTAGACTAGACATTCACGACCTAGGGCTCTCATACTAAAGCGAACTGAGTTTAACAATGGAAGCCCTTCTGATTATTAGAGTCCTCATTTCTCCTGAGCTCACCTCTTGACCAACCTAGGAAACCCATTCACAATTCTTGCCTCTACAACAATCCTGCCTCAGTTCTCCCTCTGCTAGAAGGCTCTCCTTTTCTGCAAATCGATGGCCACTATTTTATTAATCCTTATTTATTTACTCATTCATTCATTCAATAAATATTTATGAAGTACTTGCTATGTGTTAGTCACCATGCTAAGTGGTGTGAAAAAAGACCAAGGTCAAAATCTTCCATGATTAACCTTAAATCAACTCCGAACACCTCATTACTTTGTTACTCAAAGGGGTACTGATCCAGACCCTAAGAGAGGGTTCTTGGGTCTGAGCAAGAAAGAATTAGAGGCGAATCCACAAAGCAAAATGAAAGCAAGTTTATTAAGAAACCAAGTTTATTAAGGAATCAAAGAATGGCTACTCTCATAGGCAGAGGAGCCCAGAGGGCTGCTGGTTGCCCATTTTTATGGTTATTTCTTGATGATAAGTGAAACAAGGGGTGGATTATTCATGCCTCCTCTTTTTAGACCATATAGGGTAACTTCCTGATGTTGCCATGGCATTTGTAAACTGTCATGGCGCTGGTGGGAGTGTAGCAGTGAGGACGACCAGAGGTCACTCTCATCGCCATCTTGGTTTTGGCGAGTTTTCGCCGGCTTCTTTACTGCAACTGTTTTATCAGCAAGGTCTTTATGACCAGTATCTTGTGCGGACCTCCTGTCTTATCCTGTGACTAAGAATGCCTCAACCTCCTGGGAATGCAGCCCAGCAGATGGCAGCGTTTTTTTTACCCAGCCCCTATTTAAGATGGAGTTGCTCTGGTTCAAACGCCTCTGGTAACTTTGTATCCACCTTAGAAGTTAAATTGTTCAAACAAGAAAAAGTTCCCCCAAAGCACATCGAACTCTTTTTTCCAGGAGTGGAAATAAATACGCCATGAATCTGTTTATTTTCTTTCCTGGTCTTCTTATAACTTAGTATCCATTTTAGAGAGCTCTAAAAAGAGCTAAGGGTCTAATAAAGATGCCACTATTTATATGTTGAATACATTTGCAGTATCTTCCTCTCAAGTGGCAGGTTTTTAAAAAAAAGTAACTGCTGGTAATTAAAAGTTGATGCTCGGTAGAAGGAAACTAAAATACTTGAGGGCAGGAAATAAGCCTTCCTTCTTGATATTTCTAGAGTTTACCTAGCAGGTGCTCAAAAGTTAGACGAATAGATGAAACCACCCACTGCTTATTAAACTTTTTAGATAACATATTTTTACAGATTGCACTATAGCAATACATAGTTAATGGTAACATTTTATGCACTCTTGAGTAAATCCTCAAAGACCTATGAGAATATTTTTAAATTTGCTTTTACTCATGCTTAATTTTAAATAATATTTATTCATATTCTAGAACAAGTTTGAATGAAGTCATACAAGTTATCCAAGACTTATAACCCCATGGAATAAATAAAATTTATTAATGATAAAGGAAGCTTTCAGATAGACCCAATTAAGTCAATTTTATAATTTTATTAAAGCTTGACAGAAGAGTCCATGTAAGTGCAATAAAGTTTAATGGAAACTCAGTCTGGTACTAAAAGAGTAGGCATTATATGCAATGAAAGTATAAATTATAAATAAGAAATAGTCTTATAAGAAGTTTGAATTTCCTCGAAATTAGCCAACATATACTTACAATCAAATTTATACGTTCTGTTAAGAAGACAACTACAGTGATGCTATATATTGTTTGTGCAGTCTGCATTTGAAAAATGCAGTTATTCTTTAATTAGCCATTTCTAAGCCAAAGTTAATGGTTGTTTGAAAATGAGGCTCATTACATGATTCTGCAAATGTGCTCTGTAATAACTAACATTACCACACAGCTGTATAAACATATTTACCATGACATATTCTTTTACCACAGGTGTATGTTTTCCATTCCGAGCATTACTAATATGCATCTGAGACTAGTCTGATTTAGAACTAACATTTAAGGGAAGAAATATTTCTTAAATTATTTAACTATTTATAAAATAATATTTTAACTGGAGAACACTTAATACCTCATAATCCATCTTATTTTTAGAGTTTTTATGCTCCAACTTGTTCTTAAATCAGTTTATAATAGTTACTTCTTTCTTATTTTAGATCTATTAATAATAGAATCCTCACCTAAAAAGTCAATAAAACCAGTCCTGAAATAAATGATCCGATTTGTATTTACCAGCATGCATATTTGCAGCATGAGTAGTTTTTATGTCTTTCTGGTAACAAATACAGTTTTTGAAAGTAAAAATATTCCAAAAATATAATCAAATGACTGGAAATTATTAGTTAAAATATGAGGCCAGGGGCAGTGGCTCACGCCTATAATCCCAGCACTTTGTGAGACCGAGGTGGGCAGATCATGAGGTCAGGAGTTCAAGACCAGCCTGGCCAATATGGTGAAACCCCGTCTCTACTAAAAACACAAAAATTGGCCAGGCATAGTGGTGTGTGCCTGTAGTCCCAGTTACTCAGGAGACTGAGGTAGAAGAATTGCTTGAACCTGCCAGGCAGAGGATGCAGTGAGCCGAGACCGCGCTACTATGCTCCAGCCCAGGTGACACAGCAAGACTTCATCTCAAAAAAAAAAATAAAATAAAAAAATAAAAAAAAAGAGTCTCTGAATAAACTAAAGATAAATTACTGCTTCTAAATTTATATAACATATCATATTAAAAGAGAAGCTATCAGAAATAAACTTTAGTCTCTTTTTAACATCATGAATACTAATTAAGGTACTAAATGATACTGAAAACATCTATAAATATGTTTCTATATAAATAATATCTTTGGTATAGCTCAGAACAAAAGGCTTAGTAATGACTTATGATGTAATAGCGAAGACTGAATGACTACTTAAGCACAGAGGTTTAGGAAGCTCACACAAATATATTTTCTACTAATAAGTAATTCAGACAATCTTGGAGATTACGTTTTAATTTTGGAAATGTAAAATACATTAAAAACCTCACATTGGCAGGTACTGGTTTTAAAAGATGTCTAAACCTTTACATAATGGACATGAGAATATTTTTCAGCTTTTGTCCAATAACTTACTAGCTTCATCCTTCCCAATTAGGGAAATGAATAAGAAGACTATTTTTCTTTTCCATAAAAGGAATTTGAATGGCAGGAGTACACAACCCATATGCTAGGTTTTATTTGATCTAAGTAAGGCTGCCACGCAAACACTGAAGCAGATGAAAATAAAAATAAAATGTATTTAAGCACAAATTTGATGTTTATGCACTCTATTGCCTCCTTCTGAGGAAACACCCAAAGATAAGCCTTCTAATGCACAGAAGTAGTTCTCTTCCCTAACCTCTGAGTAAACACCTCAGAACCTGGGAATGGCTTAGGTATCTGATACATATAGAATTTAGACTAGTAATCTTTGGTGTACTTGGAAGGCAATGTCAAATATCTATGATACCATCTAATTTTACATAGTGTAGATTAAGGTCACACTACATCTAAAGTTCTTAAACAGTGATCACAAAGCCAGCTTAAAAAACATGAGCTCTTTAAAGACAGTCTGCAGAACTTTGTTTTCCCTCTCATCACAAAGGGAAAGAAAAAATAAGCAATTGGTTGCATTAAAACAGATATCCCAAGTTATCCAATATCCTAGTAAATATATTTACATATATAAATTTAGTATTTACTTTTTATAATATGTATTTAGACATACCAAAATACCCATTTCTTTTTTTTTTAATTATACTTTAAGTTTTAGGGTACATGTGCACAATGTGCAGGTTAGTTACATATGTATACATATGCCACGTTGGTGTACTGCACCCATTAACTCGTCATTTAGCATTAGGTATATCTCCTAATGCTATCCCTCCCCCCTCCCCCCACCCCACAACAGTCCCCGGAGTGTGATGTTCCCCTTCCTGTGTCCATGTGTTCTCGTTGTTCAATTCCCACCTATGAGTGAGAACATGTGGTGTTTGGTTTTTTGTCCTTGCGATAGTTTGCTGAGAATGATTTCCAGTTTCATCCATGTCCCTATAAAGGACATGAACTCATCATTTTTTATCGCTGCATAGTATTCCATGGTGTATATGTGCCACATTTTCTTAATCCAGTCTATCATTGTTGGACATTTGGGTTGGTTCCAAGTCTTTGCTATTGTGAATAGTGCCGCAACAAACATACGTGTGCGTGTGTCTTTATAGCAGCATGATTTATAGTCCTTTGGGTATATACCCAGTAATGGGATGGCTGGGTCAAATGGTATTTCTAGTTCTAGATCCCTGAGGAATCGCCACACTGACTTCCACAATGGTTGAACTAGTTTACAGTCCCACCAACAGTGTAAAAGTGTTCCTATTTCTCCACATCCTCTCCAGCACCTGTTGTTTCCTGACTTTTTAATGATCGCCATTCTAACTGGTGTGAGATGGTATCTTATCGTGGTTTTGATTTACATTTCTCTCATGGCCAGTGATGATGAGCATTTTTTCATGTGTTTTTTGGCTGCATAAATGTCTTCTTTTGAGAAGTGTCTGTTCATATCCTTTGCCCACTTTTTTATGGGGTTGTTTTTTTCTTGTAAATTTGTTTGAGTTCATTGTAGATTCTGGATATTAGCCCTTTGTCAGATGAGTAGGTTGCGAAAATTTTCTCCCATTTTGTAGGTTGCCTGTTCACTCTGATGGTAGTTTCTTTTGCTGTGCAGAAGCTGTTTAGTTTAATTAGATCCCATTTGTCAATGTTGGCTTTTGTTGCCATTGCTTTTGGTGTTTTAGACATGAAGTCCTTGCCCATGCCTATGTCCTGAATGGTATTACCTAGGTTTTCTTCTAGGGTTCAGAATCTCTGCGACACATTCAAAGCAGTGTGTAGAGGGAAATTTACAGCACTAAATGCCCACAAGAGAAAGCAGGAAAGATCCAAAATTGACACCCTAACATCACAATTAAAAGAACTAGAAAAGCAAGAGCAAACACATTCAAAAGCTAGCAGAAGGCAAGAAGTAACTAAAATCAGAGCAGAACTGAAGGAAATAGAGACACAAAAAACCCTTCAAAAAATTAATGAATCCAGGAGCTGGTTTTTTGAAAAGATCAACAAAATTGATAGACCGCTAGCAAGACTAATAAAGAAGAAAAGAGAGAAGAATCAAATAGACACAATAAAAAATGATAAAGGGGATATCACCACCGATCCCACAGAAATACAAACTACCATCAGAGAATACTACAAACACCTCTATGCAAAATACCCATTTCTTTGCTCCTTTTGATTCTTATATCTCACACTTTCCATCTGGGTTCAATTTCCTTTTAGTGAAGTATATGCTTTTGTAGCATTTCTGACAAAAATCTATAAGTATTGGACAGTGGCTCACACCCATAATCCCAGCACTTTGGGAGGCCAAGGCAGGTGGATCACTGGAAGTCAGGAGTTCCAGACCAGCCTGGCCAATTGGTGAAACCCCGTCTCTACTGAAAATACAAAAATTAGCCAGGTATTGTGGTGGATGCCTGCAATCCCAGCTACTCAGAAGGCTGAGGCAGGAGAACCGCTTGAATCCGAGAGGTAGAGGTTGCACTGAGCAGAGATCGCGCCACTGCACTCCAGCCCAGGTGACAGAGTGAGTGAGACTCCATCTCAAAAACAAAAAACAAACAAAAAAACAAACAAACAAACAAACAAAAATCTATAAGTATTACATCCTCAGCTTCTGCAGGTCCCCAAATATCTTTGTTTTTCACTCTTACTCTTATTTCCCTCAGTACTTTAAAGATATTATTCCATTGCCTTTGTCATCTATTAGAAGTCCATTTTCAATATTCATTTTCATTCTTGGTAGAAAACCTATTTTTTGTCTCTAGTCACTGTTAATACTTTCTCTTTTTCTTTCAGATATCTATTTCATACCTTTTCCTGGCTCCTCAAATCTCTCACAAATCCTTCGTCCTCAAGTTTGGTTCATGACCTACTTCACTAAGAATACAGTAAGAATATACAAGCAATCAGAAGAGAACTTCCACAACTTATCACCATCAGAGCTATTCACCCACCAGCATCTGTTCGTAGCTTAGTTTTCTGCAATCCCACCGTTTCTAGAGATAATCTTTCCTTACTTCTAAAAATAATCCCTCCATTTGTGTACTATATTCCACTTCCTCTCATCTACTCAAGAAGACCATCAAATACTTCTCATCTTTCTCATTTTCCCTCTCTGTTGGATCATTCCCAACAGCATACAAATATGCTTTTATTTTTCTCATTTTAAAAATAACACAAAACAAGTAAAATACCTTTCTCAGTCCTACAGCTCCTTAGAAATAGTGCATAGATTTCCCTACAAAGTACCTAACTTTAGCTCCCACTCATCACTCTGTTCATATATTAGTAAAAATAATAGCTAACTTTATGGAGATCATACTGCAATCAACTGAAAACATCATTGACTTCACTACCTTCATCTTGATCTCTTATCTCTAATTTGTCAGATAAGTTATTATCCTGCCTTAAAAGTATGTTCTGGGTATTCTGGTTGTTGTTATTTTAATTTAAAGCATAAGTACAGTTAAGTTTCAGTCTTTCAGATTATCCAAGTATATAGTTTACAAATTTGTTGAGGATCATTACTTTTCCATATCATAATTAATTCATTACTTAATAGGATCTCCAACAGAAAAAAGAAAACAGAAGCACTGAAAATCCACAAATTAAGTATGCAATAATGTCAAAACTACTCATCAACTGGATTTTCTTTTTTATGTATCTCATCTACTGACATAGACAATCCAAATTAACTGTATCATGTGAATGGGTATGTATGACATAAATGGTTTCACATATATCATTTTAATCCTCATTCTTAGCAAAAGAGGCAAGTACTAAGATTATCCTCATTTTATCAATGAGGAAACTAAGGCTTAAAAACGTTGTCCCTAGTCATACAATGAGAAAGTGATAGAATTGACATTCAAACCTAGACAGTCTGAATCTAGAGCCTAAATTCATAACTGCTGTACTATATTCAATCTCAATTCTACTGATTAATGTTAATAAGGAAATATATATGAAGATTTTAAGAACTAAACTACCTGTATTTTACTTGTTTTAATCTTACCAGCTTACATAATTACACAGCATATCTTAAACCTTTTATTAAACTTTACAGTAAAATTATTTGAACTCTTGAAGTCAGAAGCATTTTGGGGTTGCTAAAAACAAAACCATGATTTTTTAGAAATTTTTCATTAAGGCAACAGACAGCTTTACATAGTACTTAACATTAAACTTCCTCTTGCTGGCCAGGCATGGTGGCTCATACCTGTAATCCCAACACTCTGGGAGGTCGAGGCAGGTAGATGGCTTGAGCCCAGGAGTTCAAGGCCAGCCCGGGCAAGAGTGAGACCCTGTCAAACAAAAAAAAAGAAAAATTTGCTCTTGCTGAGGTGGGTGTGGTAGCTCACGACTGTAATCCCAAGTATTCAGGGGGCTGAGGCAGGAGGATCCCTTGAGCCCAGGAATTTGAAGCTGCAGCGAACTATGATCATGCCACTGCACTACAGCCTAGACAACAGCACAAGATATCATCTCTTAAAAAAAAAATTTCCTCTTGCTCTAGGTTAAACAATCTCATTCCTGTAAGCCAGACAATATCAAACAAGACCCTCACCCTTGGCAGTGAGGACATAATTAAAATGGAGATTTTATTTTGACTAACTGATGCACATAAAAGTTAGCATTTAATGTGCAAAATAACTCTCAACCATTTATTTAATTACTCTTAACCATTTCACCAACTTGAAAATCACCCATGATAATTCATCAACTAAGAAGACATGTTCTAATTCTTTCTCAGGCAGATACTGAAAACAAATAACTTTTTAAAATGTTTTAAACATCCTATGTTAGAATCGGAGACTATTTTCTTGCTCCCCCCACAACTCCTCCCCCAAATTCAAACAGGCTGAAATTTGGGGGAGGTAGCACAATGACATGGAAAGACTGTATTAAACATAATTTCTGTGAGCCTTGGTTTTCTCATGGCCTTGCTGTAGGAATCAAAAAGGTAAAGGACTATATTCATATAAAATATTCTTACATAAGAATATTATATATTCCTATATTTATATAAAGTGTTATTTCAAATAGAAGCTGCTTAAAAGGTATTCATAATTTATTTTGTAAAAAGATATTTAGTTCTTTTCTCCAGAAACATTAAAGATTAAATGTCACAAGGTTAAAATAACTTCATGTTAGATGTGTGCACAAGTAAACCAGATTAGGGCCCAAGTATATCAACTAGATAAGTTAATTTAAACTAGTCAAGAAGTTTAGCTTAGATATACAGGAGATATACGGCAATGAAAGTAACATAATATAACCAAACCCTGAAAGCAGCCTCATACATTATCTATTAAACACTGAAAACAGTATCTTCCCACCAAGTGCAGTAAACTGTCGTGTGGGTCATGTGGGTGACACATTTGAAAATGTTTTAAACCATTAGGCATCTTTTAATTCAAAAAATTTCTGTTATTATTAAATTCCCCAAGCCTCAGCATAACACAGTTACCCAAGTAACAAACCTGAATGTGTACACTTTAATCTATAATAAAAGTTGAAATTAAAAAAAAAAAAACAGTGGTACATGGCACATGTGTAAAATGGTTTAAGGGATAAGTGTATTAATATATTCCTGAATGAATGAACAA
This sequence comes from Homo sapiens, assembly GCF_000001405.40. Taxonomy (NCBI): domain Eukaryota; kingdom Metazoa; phylum Chordata; class Mammalia; order Primates; family Hominidae; genus Homo; species Homo sapiens. The sequence goes on along the minus strand of NC_000001.11, from coordinate 222,898,475 downwards.
ATGAAGGAACACTTCAAAAAATTTTTGGCAGGAAGAGTTTCAAGAGTTACAAATTAAGAATTTTCCATTTGTTTTTCAACCAATCACCTTTACTCTTTAAGAACACTCTATGCCACATAAAAACAAAGTTGATACTTCAGTAACTGTGTTCCCTCCCCAACAATCGGCTCTATGATCTCAGTGTTTAAAAAAAAATTCTATTTACCACTTCTGAAAAAGACATTTTGATACTGGCTTCAACTTTTATAATACATCTGCTAGTGCAGGCTTTTTCCACCCCAAACAATGTTTATATCCCTGCAGTTAGATTTCTTCCACATACTATAAGCTATAATCCACATAATAAAAGCTAAAATCCCTGACCAAAACTTTACAGATAAGTGGATTTAATAAGAAAGTGTATGTTTTTCCTCAACGAACATGACTAGTGAATATCAGATGTCACCAGTTCATCTGCAGGACATCAAGATACAAAGCAGGGGAAAAAATTACAGTAAAAATGTACTACTTACTGCGAAGACATAAGACTTAAATATTCCTATGATTCAGATTCGATGGGGAATATACTTTTGAAAATAAATCTGAAATGGACATGTACATGTTTTTACATTACATGTATGTTTAACTAAAACACCAAGTACTTTAGCCTCTGTACATACAGAAAAGTAAATATAATAAAACTGGTATGTATTTTTAAAATAAAAACATTCAAATGAAAGTGAAAGTGATAGATGTTAAGAAATGTTTCCTTGAGGGAGTAAGGCTTACCTCATTATTTCTAGATTTAACCACAACTATTAGGTGCAAAATAAAATGATTAATGACAGGTTCATTGAATTGCCTCCCAGAAGGCTTAATAAAGTATCCTAGAAATACAGTACAACTCCTCATAAATTTAGCCGACAAAGGCTTTTAAAAAGTATACAAAACTATATGCTAACAATATTTTTCATTATTTTTAAAAGTTTCATGTTTTTATTTTTAAACAACTTTGAGGTATAATTTATATACAATAAAATGTACAAATTTTAAACACACAGTGCAATGAGTTTTGACAACGAATAGATGCATCCATGAAACCACAACCTCAATGAAGTTACAGAATATTTCCATCACCACCAAAAGTTCTCTTGTAACCCTCTGTAGTTAATCACCCCACTATATCCCATCACAGGCAAACTGTGATCATTTCTATCATCATAGTTTTGCCTGTTCTAGAACTTCCTAAATGGAACTATATAATATATACTCTTTTGTGCCAAGTCTTTTATTCAACAGATATCTATAAGATTCATCCGTGCTGTCTTTTTATTGCTGAGGAGTATGCCACTGAATGACTATATCAAAATTTGTTTGTCCACTTCCCTATTCATGGATACTTAGATTGTTTTCAGTTTGGGGCTATTACGAATAAGATTCACATGGACACTCATAAGTTAGTCTTTTTGTGGGCACATGTTTTCATGTATGTATGGAATTACTGGGTCATAAGGTACATGCATGTTTACTAAGAAACTCCAAAACTTTCCAAGTGGTTTTGCCATTTCACACTTGTTTTTCATTCTCTCTGATACTTGAAATCCTTGGTCTTTTTCATTTTAGCCATTCTGGCAGTTATAAATGGTATCTCATTGTGGGTTTTAAATAATTTCCCTGATGACTAATGATGATGCTCATCTTTCCATGTGCTTATTGGCCATCTGTATATCTTCTTTGTGTGTCTTTTCAAATCTTTGCTCACCTCTTAAAAGTTGTTTGCCATGTAAGAGTTCTTTTAACATTCTAGATACAAGCCCTTTGTCACACATTGTATTACAAATATTTTCTCCTACTTTGTACCTTGCTTTTTCTTTTTACCTTTTTTTTTTTTTCTCTGAGATAGAGTCTCACTCTGTCACCCAGGCTGAAGTGCAATGGTGCGATCTCAGCTCACTGCAACCTCCACCTCCTGGGTTCAAGCAATTCTCCTGCCTCAGCCTCCGGAGTAGCTGGGATTACAGGCGCCCACCAGCACACCCAGCTAATTTTTGTATTTTTAGTACAGACGGGGCTTCAACATCTTGCTCATGCTGGTCTCAAACTCCTGACCTCAGGTGATCTACCTGCTTTGGCCTCCCAAAGTGCTGGGATTACAGGCATGAGCCACCGCGCCCAGCCTCTTTTTTTTTGAGACAGGATTGTGCTCTGTCACCCAGGCTGGAGTGCAGTGGCAGGATCATGGCTCACTGCAGCCTTGACTTCCCAGGCTCAAGAAATCCTCCCATTTCGGCCTACCGGTAGCTGGGACCACAGGCATGCATCACCATGCTCAGCTAATTTTTTTCATTTGTAGAGACGGTGTCTCCCTATGTTGCCCAGGTTGGTCTCGAATTCCTGGATGTAAAGCTATCCTCCCACCTGGACCTCCCAAACTGCTGGGATTACAGGCATGAGCCACTGCACCTTGTAGCCTCGCTTTTTCATTTTTTAAATGGTATCTTTTGAAGAGCAGAAATTTGTAATTACGATAAAGTCCAATTTATCAACACTTTAAAAAATCTTATGAATAGGCTTTTTAAAAAATCTTGAGAAATCTTTGTGCCTTTCCTAAGGTCACAAAGATTCTCTATGTTTTCTTCTAAAAGTTTCATAGCCTTAGGTTTACAGCATTTAGGTCTATAATCTACTTTTAGAAAATTTTTATATTTGCTGTGGGATAGAGATCAAGTTTTCCCTCTCCACCTGCAAGAGATCCAGTTAACCCATCATATGTGGAAAAGACTGATCCTTCTCCATTGAATTACCTTGGCACCTTTGCTGAAAAATCAGCCGGCCATGTATGTGTGAGTCTTTCAGGACTCTTTATTCTGTTCCATTGATCTGTTTATCAATCATGTTATTTTAAAGAGATAAAATGTACATTAATTATTCTGTTTGTTATAAACAGTCAGAACTGGGCAACTACTGATGTATTCCCAGCATTCCCTCACAAAGGAAAAGAAAATCACAGATTGCGAAAAATGATGAGATAAATGGCAGAAGTTTGTATTTCATCATTTTTTTAAAAAATCAGTTATTCTTAAAACAATAAATATAAGCCAAATTAACAGTAAAATGTGTTGAATTTATTTTCTAAGTTGACTGGTATTCGGTTAACTACTTGGAAAGAGTACAGTGGCAAAAAAGCACCAAGGTCTACAAAAGGTTCCTAATGAGCCTTTCAGAATTTCCCTGATAACTTCAGCTGAGCATTCAACTGGACAGTATCTCCTTAGGCTCATCCCTGGTCAGCTGTTCCAAACCATAACAACCTACCTCTGGTATCTCAGCCCTGCCCTTTGCCCATCACAATTAAGAAATGTGAGTGTACTCCTTTGGAAAGAAAACTGAGACTATTCTCTAGATTTTCAAATGCATCTGTATTTCTACCCATCCTGAAATCCTTCCCCCAAAATAAGGAAAGAAGAAAGGGTGTCCCTACTCAGATGCTTATTTTTCTACCTGTGGGTCCTTAATCCCAGCCTTTGGGTCAAATCAATCTCTTAGGTGGTGTTTCTAAATCTTTAGGAAATAAATTGGAATCTACAAGAATTCTCAATCTCGTAGGTTATTCTGTATTTTTCAAATATTTATTTATGTGTTTTAAAATAATAATGATGGCACCCGCAGCCCGTCTGGAGCAGCCGCTGCAGCGTCGCCGGCTGTAGCAGGGGAGGCACAGCCGGGTTCGTGGTGCCTGTTCCAGGGAGCCAGCGGGAGCGGGAACAGGTGGGAGCCCCACCCATTTCCGAATTGGCAAAGCAGGAGCCCCATGCTCCCAGGCGCAGCTACAGCCACCCAGCCATGGCTGCGGACCCAGGCATCTCTGCACTCTTGGGGGCCCGAGAAGCCCCCTGCCCCCACAGGCTTGGAAGTGACTGCTCCTGCTGCCTGGCCTCCCCCTGCTCCCTGCTCCCAGCACTCGCTCTGATTTGGGAGCAAAGTTGAAGCCGAGTCCAGGCGCTGTCGCAACCCGGGCGGGTGTGTGCACAGTTGAGGCAGTGCTAACACTCCAGCCCCCTGCTGCCTCAGTCCCCTCTGGACTTTGGGTGCCTACAAGTATGGGAGGGAGCCCGAGGGGGCACTGAGGGTGGCTCAGCATTGGCCTGCAGGTGCCTCTCTGCAGGAACAGCCTGGGCGCGATGGACTAAAGTGACTTACGGTGTCAGGAGGCAGACTGGCTCCTGGGTGGAAAGGGGTAGGTCCCTGGTGAAGCCCCACCTTCAAGCCAGGGACGGCCTGAAGCCTGGGGACCGGGCTGTCAGTTCTAGGTGAAGTCTGCACCGGGAGTGAGAACTTAGGGAGCTTTTTCTGGGCCCAACCATGGATCAACCAGTACACACTTCCTGCCTTATGAGACCCATAACCACCCACCCAGTCAGATTCACACAGACATGGGGACTACCGGCTGGGAGAAGGAACTACCCACTTCACGTCTCCTCAACTTGTAGGGATGACCTGCCTGCGGGAGGGAGCTACCCACTTCGGGTCTCCTGAGAACTGTTCTGCCACTCAATGAAGCTCCTCTCCACCTTGCTCACACTCCAGTTGTCCATGTACCTCATTATTCCTGGACACGGGACAAGAACTTAGGACCTGCTGAATGGCAGGGCTGAAAGAGCTGTAACACAAACAGGGCTGAAACACGCCCCCACTCCATTAGCCACGTTGTGGGCAACAAGAAGGAGAGAAGGGAGCCCACATCTAGGAGCTCCCGGAGCCAGGGTTGTGACACTCTCTTTGGGGCTCTGCAGTTCCTGGCATCTCCAAGCTTCCAGGCACCACCACATTCCCCTCATCCAGACATGGGTGCCCGCAGTGGAAGCTGCATGCAGTACATCTGGTCAAGCCGCAGCCTTCCATGGAGTCAGTGCCGGCGCCTGGGGCTGCCCGCCCTGCCACAGCAGCTGATGTGCCTAGCTGTCTGTGCACAGCAGCCAGACCTCACACTCACTCGCCCACACAGCCCTCACCGCTCCATGCCTGGCTTGCCTTTGGCAGGTGTGGGATCCGGGCCGGTAGCATGAGCCAAGCACAGCCTGCCAGGTCGAGTGGGCGGAATGAGGCCAGCAGGCACAAGCAGTGCTCAGGAAGAAGGCTCCGCCAGCTACAGAGGTTTCCAGTTGGCGAAGTAACATCCCAAGGATCCCATGACAATAATGAGTGACAGTAATTATTATATACAGTGAATAATTTTTCCATGATAGGGTTATTATCCATTTAATAGAAAACCACTAAAGTTTTAGTAGTTTTCTTAACACAAAAGATTTAATAATAAAGGCATGGTTTATAATTATCAACCAATATATTGTGGTATTGTGATAAGATCGATATTTTCGTAACATAAAAATGATCTATACCTGATATAGACATCTAATAATAGAAAACATCAAGTGAAGTAAACATTAACACATGTCAAATAGAAATTATTTAAAAATTTACAGATGATATCACAAATATTTGATATTTAAAAGCCACCAATTTTTAATAAAAATTTAAAACACATAAAACATTAATTGCCTTGAGACTTGACTTTTATTTCATGACAAACATTCCAGACATAGAAAACTTTCTTTCATGTTGCATAGATGTTGGTGTGATCACCAAGCTGGACATTCAAACACATTTTGCTTCATTTAAGCTCATTTTCTTCTTTAACAATAAAAATATTTTGTATGCTTGCACTGATTTCGGTTTTGCCATTAAAGTGAATATTGCTTTGCTAATCCAGATTACAGATGTTTCTGATTTCACATCAAAGTGTTCCATAGCCACACTGTGATCATCTCTTGCATTTATTCTGTCAAAAGTATTTACAAATAATCGTAGCCTGTAGCAGATACCAAACACTGGAAGCCCTCAGCAAACATTATTAGGTATAGTATTCAAGTAACGTAACATTCAGATCTCCTAGCAACATTAATAGCATTACAAAGAATCACATGTCCAAATGACCAATTTAAGATTTTGCTGTCAAAACTTATTATTTCTCGGGACACCACTCACTGGAATCATATACAAAATATACTATGTGAATAAGCTTATTCATACTTACGTTATTTGCAAGAATGATTCACCATTAGCAGTAGTCAGGGCTAGGAATACACACTAGTACACGGCAAAGCCACAATAAGACGTGAAGCTTTCTGTCCTGTGTTCCTCTCCAGCTTCCCAGAAATAGCCATCTTAACCTTTGACTCTCTGTGTCATGTTTCCTGCTGTTGCTGCAGACTTGATGTCCATGAATTTAATCAGTAACCTCTGCCTTGACTGCTAAACGTGAAGGAAAATTACAATACCCTGCCTGTTTTCCTGATTTCCCCACCAAATTTTTCAGCATTTGGGAATCTAGAAAAACATAAAATTCCTGAGAAATGCCAGGAAGCAAATCCTAAATGGGAACACTTCTCTTACGTATCTTTATGTAAGGTATCACTCCCTCCTCTCCTCTCCTCTCCCCACCCCCATTAATTTTCTTGCTCTTGGTTTTCAGTCATACAAGATCTTCCTAAGCTCTCTACCATCTTCTAAAACTTGTATGTGCTTCCCTGTATCACCTTCCCTTCATTGCCAATTCTTAAGATAGTTGTTTATATTTACTCCTTCTTCTTCTCCATTGGCCTTTTACTCCTCAACACACACACACCCAAATCCTGGCTTCCACTTTCACTATTCTATAACCTGTTGTACTCACTAATCACCTCAAACTGGCAAATGAGATCAGATCTCTCTCCAGGTCTCATCCTACTTTACCTTCATGTAGCATTTGATGCCATCAACCAATCCCTCCTTCTCAAAACTCTCTTCTAGCTTGGTTTCCCAAGCAGTAATCCATCTACTTTTTCTTACTGCATATTGTTTTTCCTGCTTTTTTGTTTTTTTTGTTGGCTTTTTATTCTGGCCCCCTCTTTAAATATGGATGTTTTTTAAGGTTCTAGGTCTCAGCCCTCTCATCTAAAAGCATTCTTCCTGAGTAATTTTAGCCTACTTTTGACCTATAATATAGTTTACTTCCAAATCCTTATTTCCAGCTTCAATCTTTCCCTTGATCTATAGAAAGAAATTTCTATCTTTCTACTGGATATCTCTACCTGAAAATGGTGAAAATACTTTCATCACAGCTATAGGTAGGAAATTATCTTTGATTATTCCTTCCTTCACAGCATGTTCAGCTGGTCATTAGGTCCCCTCTATCTATTCTACCTTCAAAATGTCTCCGGAATTGTCACTTCACTCTTCCTCTCAGTTTCTATGCTTCAGCTACACTTCATTTCTTAAATGAGCCATGCTTCTCCAACACAATACCTTCACACATGCTGTTCTCTCTTCCTGAAAAGTCATCCCCCCTCCTCTCTTCATCTAGCTAACTCCTGGTATTACGGGTTGGATTATGTCCCCCTCAAATTCATATATTGAAGTCTTAACCCTCAGTACCTCAGAATGTGACCTTATTTGGAAATAAAAGCTGTTGTAGATGTAATTCGTTAAAATGAGTTCATACTGGAGTAGGGTGGGTCCCTACTCCAGTATGACTGATGTCCTTATAAAAAGAGGAAATCTGGACACAGACAAGCACATGGGGAGAACACAATGTGAATGTGAAGGCAGATCAGGCTATTGTGTCTACAAACCAAGTAACACCAAAGATTTCCAACAAACCACCAGAAGATAAGAGAGAGGCATGGAACAGATTCTCCCTCATAGCCCTCAGAAGGAACCAACCCAGCCTACATATTGGTCTTGGACTTCTAGCCTCCAGAACTGAGAGACAATACATTTCTGCTGTTTAAACCACCCAGTTTGTCATACTTGTTATGGCAGCCCTAGAAAACTAACACCTAGTTGTAGCTCAGATTTAAGCTCAAATGTTACTTCTTCCAGAAGTCTTCCCCGATTCCCCCAAAATGAACTATCCCTTATCTCCCTCATTTATCAGCTCTCATAAACACTCATTGCTTTTCCTTTACAGCATTTATCATATTTATCTATGTGATTAATTATACTAAAATTATCTCCTCTACTAGTCTGTAAAGTAGATCAGCTCAGGTACTTCATTAGTTCTCCCTGTATTACTCACTTTGAAGTACTGATCCCTATCTGAAATGATCTTAATCATTTATTTAAGCACTTACCACATTTATTACTTATTTCTCCCTCCACAAAGCACAACCCTAAATTATAGAACAGTGTCTGGCACATAGTTGGTGTTCAACAATTATCTACCAAATGAACTAATGCATAAACTCCAATAGAAGAACCCATAAATGTTTTGCTCACTAATGATTATATATCCAGTTCTTAACATATAGAAAGCTGGTCATATAGAAAGCAATAAATAATTATACATGTTGAATAAATGAGCCTACTTAATAAGTATTTCACTATAAGGAAGCTTATCACTTTAAAAAATCACTTGTAAATATTAACAGTTTGGAGATGATAACCTTTCATATGCTAAAGTAAATCTTTTTTAGTTACATTAATTTACTTCTACTTTCCAGTTGATATTTAATATTTAGAAACATATGCCAATAAAACAGCTTGAAAGGCACAGCTCTAAGCTATGACTGGTTTCAAAATGATTTAAATTCATAGAATAAAAATACAGAACTTCACTACTTCCTTGGTTAAGGTTTCTGCTCTGAAACAACAAAATGGAAAAGTACAAGTGTAAAAGAAGTTTTCAAGATAATGAAATCAGAAATTGTCTTCATTTTATATTACTGCAGTAATGCTGACAACAGTAAGTAATTTTTAAAAGATATTTTTACCCATTATCCCATGTCTCTTAACCTAACAGGCATTTCCTGTTTCTGTGTTTTGTGTAGTCTTTGCCCCAAGGCATATATAGTTCATGTAGTTATAATAAAACGTGGCTCTGTGAAAAAAAAAAAAAATAGTTGCATGGGGAAAATGATAAACCAACCCAATGAAAAATTTACATTTGGAAGAAAAATTGTATCACAAAAGCCAGAAGATATTATCCCAAGTGCTACTGTTTGCATTCTCTCATCTTTAATCAGAAAATCTCTTGAAAGAGTTCCCTTTAAACAGGAGGCTTAAGGAACTGAGGAAAAGCATTTCCTGGAAGAAAACAGAATCACCCATCCTCAATCAGTTCAGCAGACAAGGTATACAAGGTAACTAGATACCAAGCAAAACCCTGGCTTTCAAAGGATTAAACATCAATTTATTTAATACTAGCCTACTTAGATTTTGAGGGTTTTTTCTTCTCCTGTTCTTAACATAAAACTTCTTGACCTCAGAAGAATCCCAATACCTTTTCCCAAAATATGCCATATAGTGTAATAAAAAATATAAAATATACTCCACCCAAATTATAAAGTGTGTTTTTAAAGAGTTGGAATCTTAGGGGAAAAAAACATTTATCTTAAATGTCTCAAAGTAACATTCCCAACACACAAAAAACTGATAAATGTTTGAGATGATGGATATTCCAAGTAATCAGATTGATCACTATACATTATATGTATAGAAACATCACTATGTACTCCATGGATATGTACAATTATTATTTGCCCATTTAAAAAATTTTTTGAAGAAAGAGAAAAAAGTAAGCAACTGAATAAACTAAGAAATCTCTTCACAGCCTTTCAAATAGAAACACACACACACACACACAACTGACAAAGCCAGTTACTCAAGATAAAGTTGTCACTAAAATAACAAAAAGAAACCTTGCATTTTAATTGTTCTATAAAAGGTAATATTGTTGATGTTTAAGACGATTTGGTTACTCTCTCAGTATGTGGGAGAAAATAAAAATTTTCTAAATACTTTCTGGCTTGCTTTTTATCTTCAATGTACAACAGAATACATTCTGATAAACGCACTACATAACTCAAAATTTAATACAGCTTCTCCCATTACTTTGGGCATTCTAATTTCACAATTTTTATGCTACCCCACCCTCGGCATTCCTTTGCTCCATAAAAAAATTTACTTAAAGTAAAACTTTTTACCCTTTTTACCCAATAAAAATACCAAAGAAAATTGTACTTTAAAAAAACTTTTCCTTAAGATTGGCTTCTTCAGCTTGAAATTTTTAACTTTTTAAAAGATGGTTTGTTCAATGTATATAATGTGTGTAGAGATTTGCTCTGTCTCATTCACATGCATGCAGTAAGTAGCCAGCCTATATTTCATATGTGATACTCATTATGATTGGCTAGTAAATCTAAATTTAAAAATTACTAGCGAGACTTTCTTTCCATTACACACTGATCACTTAGAAGTGAGCTCAGGAAACTCAAGTAGGACTATGTTGTGATATTTCAGGTAATTTTATAAAGCTAAACCATCTCCTAGAAATGTTCTTAAATGAAACAACTAGTATGAAATGCAACCTGCTCCTAACAGTCAGGCAGATCAATTTTGAAAATCCACCCAAAATTGTGAACTGAAACTTCTACAGTCAACATTTCAGGGATCTGAAGCCAAGAACCCAAAAGGGTCCCAACCTGAACCCAGATTTAATATCAGTGACTGAAATAATGAAATTATAATGGTTCAGCAGTGCCACTTCTCTGCTATTGTGACCTCTATACCTTGTTCCAATTGGTCAAATTAGGACAAAAGATCTGTTTCCATTCTCAAAGACATCAACATTTTGAACATAAAAATATTAAAAACAAAAACAGGCCGGGCGCGGTGGCTCACGCCTGTAATCCCAGCACTTTGGGAGGCCGAGGCGGGTGGATCATGAGGTCAGGAGATCGAGACCATCCTGGCTAACAAGGTGAAACCCCGTCTCTACTAAAAATACAAAAAATTAGCCGGGCGCGGTGGCGGGCGCCTGTAGTCCCAGCTACTCGGGAGGCTGAGGCAGGAGAATGGCGTGAACCCAGGAAGCGGAGCTTGCAGTGAGCCGAGATTGCGCCACTGCAGTCCGCAGTCCGGCCTGGGCAACAGAGCGAGACTCCGTCTCAAAAAAAAAAAAAAAAAAAAAAACAAAAACAATGTGACATTTATAAATTACCTAATTCAGGAAACTATTATGTTTAAAACTAACATAAATATTTTGAACTATGAATTTAAGAGTAATGAAGAAGAAAATACGAGTTTCTTTATCTCAACTGCCTGAAAAATGCCCAGATATTCTGGCTACAATCAGAACAGCCAATCAGAAGGATGACATACAGGCAGGAAAATAAGGGCTTGTACTTCAGGTATTCAAACAAGTATTTTAAAAATGTGCCTGCCTTAACAAGCAACATTTTAAAGTGTAAGAGGGTAATACACACCAGCTTTCAGTTTCCAATTTCCCATTAATCTGACATCAAGAAAGAAACCTGATAACTTGGTATCTCTGAAACTGAACCTTCAGCTTCTGTGATTATTTTTCCCCCATTCGAAATCCTTTTTAGCTGGTTTTAAAAAATGTCTCAATCACAAACTTTGTGTTTATGTAAAGTTGTGCATTTATCTATAAACAAACCCTCCCCAGAAATGACTGCAGTTAAACATGCCAGTGCCCAAAAAATTCTGAGAGATGCATGACATCAAACTAGGAATTCCCATAAGGAATCATTTTGAGCAACTAATCCTCTGCCTCTAGGTAAACTAGATTAATTCCAAATGATCTCTCTCAAAACTCTTATGTAAATATGATGTTTCAAATCACTTACAGCTACTTTCAACTCTTTTTTGGCAAAGGATTTTTGTTTCTAGGCTTCCTAGGTCAACTCATTGGCCCTATGTAAGTAAAGATTGCCTTGAATCACTCTTCTTCAAAGGAAACACAACATAAATGGTCTCTCAAAACAGTTCTGACATCAAAGTACGATCTGGCTTCCTATACCTTCAGAATTGACAGGGTTAATCTATGCAAGTTAAGGAACTTCAAAGAGCTGGCACCTAGCCAGCCACATTTGTGCTCAGTTGTCTTCTTCTATACCAAGTTAATCCTCCTTAAGGAAGAAATGTAGGTATTATTACCAGGGAGATCTAAACTTTATCTTCATAGAGTCAGTGGAGCTTTATCTGAAAATAAGTTTGGCTGGCTTTTGCAATGTGATTTTTAAGCACATAGTAGATGCTCAATAAACATTTCATGACTACATGAACGTCTGAACCCGACAGCATATGAAACTAGTGCAAACTAACAGGTGTGGTAGCTGCTCCTATCATTGGTATTATTGCCTAATAAACCTCAAAGCGTTGCTTCTGTTGCTGTCTCTACCATTCTGTCAACACTCACTGTTCAGATTTTCTATAGCCTACCTCTCTTTGCCATCAGCATCAGAAAAATGTAGAAGTATAAAAGGAATTTGTGTATGAGCTCCATTATCTGAGTTGGAAACGTGTCGCTGAAAGGTCTTTTCCCTCATCCCCTTGTCTCCCCATGATAGACATGGAGGAACTCTGAATGCTACATTATATACATAGTTTAAGCCTATACATCTCCTTCCAAGTTGCCCTATGAAGTAGTTTTCAAACTTATTCACATGGCAAAGCACCAGAAAATCGTGATGCTTTTATATTTAATTCTATCATACAAATTAGGAATAATCTCAGTAGGAGAAAATACTAGTCCGTGTGTATGTGTGTCTGTGTGTGTGTGTGTGTATCCCCATGATAGACATGGAGGAACTCTGAATGCTACATTATATACATGTTAGTACATATACGTATATTTCCTCACTCTGCCCACTCAAAGGACCCAGAAGCAATGACACCAAGGAGCAGGAAGCACATCTAGCACTCAGACTTGGTTTCTAAATGCCATTCTTCAATAAAAGAAACCAGGAGCCCGGGCAACATAGCAAGACCCTGCCTCTAATAAAAATTAGGAAATTAGCTAAGTATTGTGGTAAGCAGCTGTAGTGCATACCACAACACTTGGGGAGGCTGAGGCAGGAGGATCACTTGAGCCCAGGAGAAAGAGGCTGCAATCAGCTGTGATTGCACCACTGCACCCTAGCCTGGGTGACAGAGCGAGATCTTGTCTCAAAAAAAAAAAAAAAAAGAAAAGAAATCAGGGCTCCTTGGAGCTCTAGGGTGGGTGCTGGGAAAATATAAGATGAGCCTGGAATATCTTGTGGTACTTCAAAGTATGGAAGTGCTCAAAAACATGTGGAACGGACACAAAAACCAATTCAAAGGAACTCCAAATGGCCAAAGATGGAACAATTTAAGCAAAAATATAAATTAATAACAGTATTGGATTATAAGCCATGGAATAAAATAAATATTCATGAGGCCATACTTACATAAACAAATGAGGAAGAAGAAATGGATCTTCCTTACAGTAGCTTTCCAATTACTGAATGTAGAAGAAATGTAGAAATTTAAAAGCCATCATTAGACAGGCCAGGTGCGGTGGCTCACCCCTGTAATCCCAGCACTTTGGGAGGCCGAGGCGGGCGGATCACGAGGTCAGGAGATGGCTAACATGGTGAAACCCCGTCTCTACTAAACACACAAAAACAAAATTAGCCGGGCGTAGTGGCGGGCGCCTGTAGTCCTAGCTACTCGGGGGGCTGAGGCAGGAGAATGGCGTGAACCCAGGAGGCGGAGGTTGCAGTGAGCCAAGATCGCGCCACTGCACTCCAGCGTGGGCACACAGCGAGACTCCGTCTCACCAAATAAATAAATAATAAAAAGTCATCATTAGACACATACCATAGTAATAATTGTAGGCAAGAACCATCAGTGGATGCTAAAATCAGTGAGCAAAAGATACTCATTAATCATGAAGGGAAAAATAGTAACTTTACAGAGTAAAAACTGGGCAGACACCTTAACCAAGTGATCAAAGTTAACATCACCAATAAGGCATACGGACACCATATACCCCTGATATGATGCATTAAGACTTATACAGCATCCCTTCTGTAGGATGCATAGCCAAAAATGCATAGCCTCCATCTAAATATGAGAAAACATAAGCTATACCCAAATTGAGGAACATTTTTAAAAAGAAACCTTAAAAATGCTCTTTAAAATTGCCAGGGTCATGAAAGATAAAGACAGACTGGAGAACTATCACACATTAACAGATTGGAAGAGACTACGGAGACACAACAATTTAGTACAGTGTGGGATCCAGGATTGGATCTGGGCCAGAGAAAGGATATAAGTGAAAAAACTGGCAAAATTGAAATTAATAGAAGTATTATAATAATATTAGTTTCCTTGTTTCAATAATTGTGCTATGGTTATATAAGATATTAACATGAAGAAAAGCTGGGAACCCAGGAACTCTATGAAAGTTTTCTGAAAGTTTAAAATTATTTCAAAATAAAAAGTTAAAAAAAAAAATCCCTGGGCCAGGTGAAGGGATAAGAATTTCAAGGGAGAGAGCCAAAGTGATTCAAATTCAGTTATCTGGCAGGAGTTTGGGAAGTTTATTCAGCAGCAGTGGTTAAAGAGGAGAATAACAGATCCAAACAGTAATTATCTACTGAGAGTCAATTATAGGACAGGCACTCTATTAGGCTACCAAGATGAATAAGAAAAGATGGGTCCTGGTCTTCAAAGAGCTGTAAGTTCAGTAGCTTTCCTTACAATCAGAGCCCCTCTCACCTTATAAAATATAAATGGAATGCCTTCTATTTTTGTACAGGTGTATTTTGCATTTTGTCTACTTGTAAGCAAACACAGTATACTGTCAGTTTTCCTTGTTTTAAGTATAGAATTGTAACACTACACAGCGTACACTTCCAGAGCCTAGTATATATTTTAACAGACCTTTTTGCAAGCACACTTACCACCATATGTGTATAACTAACAATATGCTTATGCCTGTGCACCTCTCTCTTAAAACTCTTGAACAGCTTGTCTCTAAACAATGTATAATCTTTATTTATTTATTTATTTTGAGACAGAGTCTCGCTCTGTCGCCAGGCTAGAGTGCAGTGGCACGATCTTGGCTCACTGCAACCTTTGCCTCACGGGTTCAAGGAATTCTCCTGCCTCAGCCTCCCAAGTAGCTGGGATTACAGGCATGTGCCACCACGCCCAACAATTTTTGTATTTTTAGTAGCGACGCGGTTTTACCATGTTGGCCAGGCTGGTCTCAAACTCCTGACCTCGTGATCAGACTGCCTCGGCCTCCCAAAGTGCTGGGATTACAGATGTGAGCCACCGTGCCCAGCCATCTTTATTTTGAAAAATGTGGACATTGAAAAAAATGTTTCCATAAAAACTTTGTATATATGTACATTGTTGGTGGTGGTGGCGGTACTGTTACTGCTTCTAAATTTTTTTTTAGGATTAATTTTTATGCTTGGAATTAATGTGTTAAAGCGTATGAACACTTTTATGATACTTAAATTGTATTACCAAATTGCCCTCTAAATCCTACACCCAGACAAATCTGAGCCTTAATATGTTTAAAAACAAAAAATGTTAGTTAAAAACACATGAAATTATTTTCCTACCTTATTTGAACTGGCATTTCTTTTATGACTAGTACTATCTCATAAGTTTCTTCACTATATGGAGATTATATATATTCTAAAGGTTGATCTAATCATAATTTACATGTAACAGATCTCAAGATTCTCTCCGAAAATTTTCTTTTGCAAAAATTTCTTTTTTAGCTTCTCTAATACTTTTTAATATTTTTTCAGTGTATATTAATTTCTAAGCATTTATACAAATACACTCTGCAGATATTTAATATAATCTTAATTGTCATCAACATTTATTTCCAGTAAGTTTAGCCTGTCATAGAAGATAAAGAATTTATATAACTCCATCATTAAATGCTTTCTTTGTTCTGTCAAATTCCATACAAAACCAAGTCAGAAAAATGGGAAATGACCTAAAAGTAAAACATATAATAAAGGAAAATTTAAAACTGGAACAAAGGAAACATACAGAGAATATTTTTCTCCATTTATTCATAAAGTTACAAAGAGAAAAATGTCCCTTTAAATTAACCTGCAAATTTGTAATATTTCTAGACAAAAATACTTTTAAATCTAACGCAGAGAAGAGAAGAACCCACCAAACTTTAATTTCCTTCTCCTTCTGCCATTGTATTAGAATTCCTCTAAATATTTGCCATTCCCAGGTTACTAAAATAGAATGAGAAACCACTCCTTTGTAGTGCAGATGACTGGAATAACCCTCTAGTAGTGAAGAAAAATTCTCACACCTTCAAGAAGGAATTAATTTGAGAGGCTGAACGATAAAAAATGAGATAAAATCATTGAAAAATAAAATGATTGTTCTTTGTAGTGTAAATTATTTTATTCTTGATTATCTCACAACATGAATACATATGGTAAACACTCCATAATGAAATAAATTAAGAAAATCTAGGACATCTCCATGTCCATTTCATATTGAAATCAGGTAATTATGTTCATGGCATATTGCTTTAAAGCTTTGTCAAAGTTCCAATTCTATAGAAAAGAAAATATCTGCTATTTTTCTAAATTTTAATTGTTAAAAGTCCATACCCCTCTCCACCTCAAAATTTCCCTTTTGTTGGTCCAGTCTTCTTAACTGCCTTTTTTAAATGTTTCGATTCAATGCAATGGTATTAAGTTATGTGTACATGTCAAATACACAAACACACACAGACATATACATAAATATATATGAAGGTACTTAACAATTGTTTTGGCCCATTCTTTTTAGTATAAGAATATCTTTATGTCCTTTCCAAATTTAGAATTAAAGATTGTCAAGGCAATATTTTTCCTTTAAACCAGAACTAAAGGCAAAAATGACCCGTAAAAATCTACAAGCAACTGAAACAACTGAAAATATTATGTTGCTAATTTTACAATCTCAAACTCTACCTGATGCCAGTAGGCCCTTGCCAACGAATCCATTATAAAGCTGCAAGCATGGCTCTTACCTCACAATGTAAAGAGAACTGAAGGAGGAAAAAACAAAAACACCCCATCTGAACATCTTGTTATTAATACTTCCTTAAAATCCATTAATGTCAGCAACTAAAGCGCTACTTTACCAACAACTCTAGGCCAGCGGCGGTGGCTCATGTCTGTAATCCCAGCACTTTGGGAGGCCGAAGCGGGTGGATCACCTGAAGACGGGGGTTTTCAGACCAGCCTGACCAACATGGAGAAACTCCGTCTCTACTAAAAATACAAAATTAGCCAGGCGTGGTGGCGCATGCCTGTAATCCCAGTTATTCAGGAGGCTGAGGCAGAAGAATCGCTTGAACCTGGGAGGCGGAGGTTGCGGTGAGCCGAGATGGCGCCATTGCTTTCCAGCCTGGGCAACAAGAGCAAAACTGTGTCTCAAAAAAAATAAAAAATAAAAAAAAATTCTAAAAGATATTGACAAGTTCTGCTTTAGAGATATATAGTAGGCCTGTCAAGGTCAAACAAATTAAAAATTAATTTTCCTATATATAACACTTTTCTAAAACTCTTCCAGACCTTTGTTTTTCTAGAGACAGGGTCTTGTTCTGTTGCTCAGCCTGTAGTACAATGGTGCAATCACAGCTCACTGCAGCCATGAACCCCTGAGCTCAGGTGAGCCTCCTGCCTCAGCCACCAGAGTAGCTAGGACCAGAGGTGCACACCACCACACCCAGCTAATATTTATATTTTTTATAGAGACAAGGTTTTGCCATGTTGCCCAGGCTGGTCTTGAACTCCTAGCCTCAAGTAATCCTCCTGCCTCAGCCTCCCAAAGCACTAGGATTACAGGCATGACTCACCATGTCTGGCCCAGACATTTTATTTTAAGATGACTAACCACCAAGTTACGTGTAGTCTTCTCTCGCCACACAGGAAATCAACTCTTTCCACCAGAACCATCTTTATTCTTAGGTGATTCATTCAAAAAGGAAAATGTTGCCCACTCTTTGAAAGACCTAAATTTTTACCTGTGATAAACAGCTTTCCATGAATAGAAATCTGCTGCAAAGGCCTGTGCAGGCTGCATTCCCTAGCATTGAAAGGTCATTGTAGAAGGGATTTTATTTTATTTTTATGTCATTATTTTATTTTTTGAGAGGTGGTCTCAATGTGTCATCCAGGCTGGAGTTTAGAGGTGTGATCACAGCTCTATAAGTGATTTTATATAACATTCACGTACTTTCTGATTACAAAAGTAGTACATGCAAACTGAAGAAAAATTAGACCACATAGAAAAGCACGAACAATGAAATAACAATCACCCATGATCTCAATGCCCAAAATACCCTCTTAACATCTTGATGTATATATTTCCAATCTTTTTTATATGCCCATGTCTATTTCTCTTTTTAAAATATAACTGAGATTGTACATCCTGCTTTTTCTCCACTAATATCATAACAATCACTTTCTCAAGTTAATTTAACCTCCATAAGTGTAAATTGTAATGGGTACAGATATCTCATAATTTATGTAAACATTCCCCCTACGATTAAACATTTTGATTGCTTCTGATTTTTGTTATTATAAAAAGGTATTTCAGTCATGGATTATCATGAATGGTAATACCTTTGATGCAAGACTTTTTTTTTTGCATACTTGTTATTTCCTCAAGAGTCGTCAAAGTGGAGTTTTCAAACATAAAGTTTTTTCTTTAATGTTATGCTCCTCTATATTCCACAGGCAATGTATGAATGCTCATTTCAACAAATTTTCAACAATATAGTGTTAAAATGTATTTTGTTAATCTTAACAGTATTTTATTTTAAACTTACATTTCTTTGATTAGTAGAGAAATTAAATTCTTTTTAATGTAGTAATGTATGTCTTGTTGAGTGAATTGCCTTTTTGCCCATTAAGACTTTGGTCTTTTTCTTGTCAATCTGTGTTTTTAACAATTGATATTTACATATATTAACTTTATCTTTCTTCACCCACCTACAGTATTACTAACTTGCCTTACATCTTTTTTATTTATGTTTTGTCTTAAAAGTGACAAAGATTAAAAGATATTCTTCATAACCTACAGAAATGTACACAATCACATTTTATTCAAATAGAAAATTCTATGATATATGAATATTCTTTATATAATTTCCAAAATATCTTTGCCATTCTTCATGACATCACATAACATCACATGAAGTTACTAAAAAAACAAACAGGACATATTTCATTCATTTCCTCATTACCACCTCCTTCACACCACAGTACTCCTCATTTTTAACAGCCAATGCTAAACATTCCCAAGAGTGATAAATAGGTATACCATATTGTTTAGCTTTAAAGAACCTCAATATATTTTCTGTGGCAAAGGAAATGGAAAAGTAAAAATATTTCACACAGAGCTAAGCCAGGTGTCTCATTGCCAGAGAATGGACTGTCACTTAAGATATTAAATAACCTTGTTTTTAAAACAAATGTTACACTAACAAGCACAATTTAAAAACTAATAGTCTTCAAAAGTCCTAAGAGGGCCAGTTTCAGTATAAGGTAAAACTGTGAAAGCCCCTAACGTATTATAGGACAGACTCTCTAACTGCTCCAAAGAAGAAACGAAGAACCAGACAAAGAACCAAGCTGCCAAATAAACATGCATTAATTAAAATGCTTCCTTTATTTATACCTCCAAAAGCAAGTATTTATACTTAATCTCCTTACACATAAAATTGTTATTGCTAGAGAGCAGACCTCAGGTTTACTGAAATTAATTTTTAATTAATTTCCCTTAAAGATCTTTTTAAGCTCCCTTAAAGATCTTTTTAAGAATTAAAATGAATATTTGAAGGTGCTGCTCTCAAAAGTAAACTTACAAAACCTATAGACATGTTATATTTCTACAATACTTTAGGTTTGCAAAAATGCTTTATCCATAAAGTGTTGTAGTTGATTGTTATTGCCTATCTTTCACACAGGCACCTATATTGAGAATATTTTATGATTCACCTTAAAGCTAATCCCTGAGCAGACCTCCTCCCTGGAGATCTTACCATATACAGAACATGGGGCCTTGGAGATAATAAACCCTCAACAAGTATTTAATTCATCAATATACAAAAACACTTAAAACATTAACATCTTAAGCACTTCAATTGGGGGGTATACTGTTAAAAAAGGAATTTAATAGTATTCTAAATAGATTCCAGTATGTACAACCAATATTACTAAGTTCACTTTCATTTACCATTTTAGGCTTTAACTTTGTGTATAACCATATAAACTTAGAATCTGTACTACAACAAGATCTCATATTTTTAAAAGAATCATTAGGGTGAACAGTTATTGGCAAAAAAGAATCAATGGGTGACCAGCACTGGTTTCTGCGTCTTCACTCTCATCTTCTTTTGAAAAGCTATCAGTACTAGCTCTAATTGCTCTGCACTAGTTCACCAGATCATTTTCAAGGACTCCGTAACAATGCCTCATTGTTTAAAGCTGTTTCCAAACAGTCCTTGAAGCACTGCTTCTGTTCACACTGATTTTAGGGAACTTTAGCTTACTATAATAGTCAGTGGCTTCCAATGGTCCTTTCCATATACCCCAAATTACCCAATGGGGACTACAGAATTCTGTGGGATCTGACTCATACCTACTTCTCCAGCCTTATCTGGCAACACCACTCTCCCACTGGAACTCTGCTCCATTTCGCTGGCCTCTCTTCAGCTTCTATTGGCTGTGCTCCTTCCTACAACATATCAGGGCTGTTCTCTTGGGTTGGACCATCCTGCCCTCCCTTCTTCACCGAGTTCCTGCTCTTTTCCTTAAAAAACCAGCCCCAAGGCTCTTCTCAAGGAGCCTTTCAAGACCTTCCCAACCAACACAAACTCCTTTATTAGAGGGATTCACAGCACTTCTCCTTCAAGACACTGATAATAGGTAAAATTTACATTTGTTTGGGTGATTAGTTGATCATCTGTCTGCCCTGCTAGACTCTACAGTCATATACAGGCAGGACAATGCCCGTGTTGCTCACATTTTATTCCCAGTGCTTGGCACTTTTGGATCCTAAACACTAGAAAAGGCTGATATGGTTTGGCTCTGTGTCCCCACCCAAATCTCATCTTGAATTGTACTCCCATAATTTCCAAGTGTGTGGGAGGGACCCTGTAGGAGATAATAGAATCATGGGGGTATTTTCCTCCATACTGTTCTTGTGATAGTGAATAAGTCTCATGAGATCTGATGGTTTTATAAATAGGAGTTCTCCCGCACAATCTCTCTCTCTTTGCCTGCCGCCATCCACGTAAGAGGTGAGTTGCTCCTCTTTGCCTTCCGCCATGATTGTAAGCCTCCCCAGCCATGGAGAACTGTAAATCCATTAAACCTATTTTTCTTCCCACTCTCGGGTATATCTTTATCAGCAGTGTGAAAACAGACTAACACAAAGGCATTTTGGATAAGCTGTTTATTCCTCACAACAAACTGGGATGAAGACATTATTATCCCCATTTTATAGATGAGGTAATAAGCTCAGAGAGGTAAAGCAGCTCTCCCAAAGCCAGAATCACGAAGAAGCAGAGACAGAACAAATCCATGCTCCTCTGACTCCAGAGGCCTGGTTCTTTCTCTCTCTTTGCTGTTTTCACAACATGTTCATATATTCATCTTAATTTGCGTGCAATATTTCAAACATAAGATAAAGAGACTAATATGAATAACCATGTAGTCTTTCAGATTTATAAAATCTTAACATTTTGTCTTATTTGCTTTTTTTTCTCTTTAAATAAAACATTACAAGTACAATGGAGTTTCCCCAAGGAATGTTCTGGAATCCTACTCCCTTTCTTTCTTCTAAAGAGGTTATCATTATCCCAAATTTGTAGTTTTCATCCCATGAATGTCTTACACTATTACTACCTGTGTATTCATAAACAATGCATGTATTCTTTTGTATGTCTTCCAACTTTGTACAAATAGTATTAGATGATATCTATAATTCTGCAACTCTTCTGCTCAATGCTGCTTTTGAAATTTATATTCATACACAGCTCTACTTTGTTCTTCTGAACTGCCCAATTTTACTCCACAGTATAAAGACATTAAAATTTATTTACCTCTTCTTTTTCGATGGGCATTTAGTCTTGATATTTTAAAATTATAGACAGTGCTGCAGTGAACCATTTTGTCTCCTTGTACATATGTAGGAATGACTCCCCTGTATTTCACTAAGAAGTGAAATGTCTGGGAAGAAGGATATGTGCATAGAAAATGCAAAACTGTTCACCAAAGTGTTGCTACTCTGCTTCATTTATATTTATCTTTATTGAAGATTTAAGGGATATCACAGTATATACTCCAGAAGCTGAATCTTACTTTCCTTTTCCTCCACCATGACTGACCACAGCCATACCTCACCACACACAATTAATGTTTATGAAATAAAATGAATATCCAAATCAGGGAAGTAAGATTAGCAGTTAAAAATTTATTAAACATTTGTCTGTGGCAGATGTCCTAAAAATTTTAACTAAATAATACCTTTTAAACCTCATGACAACCATAAGAGGCAGATACTGTTATTACCCTCATTTTGTCCTCTGATAGATCAAGTTTCCCTCAGCAACTCTCCTTTTCAGAATTTCCCTGGCTGTTTGTACATTTCTTTTTTTTTTTTCAGGAAAATTTTAGAGTCAGGTACATATCTTAAAATACAATAGTGGCAAGAGTTAAAACTCATTTAATGTTAATTCATAACAGGCATCTAATAAGTGTTTTCTGATGCTATTTTCTTTTTCTTTCTTTCTTTTTTTTTTTTTTTTATTGAGATGTGGTTTCTCTCTTGTTGCCCAGTCTGGAGTGCAATGGCACAATCTTGGCTCACTGCAACCTCCACCTCCTGGGTTCAAGTGATTCTCCTGCCTCAGCCTCCCAAGTAGCTGGGATTACAGGCATGCGCCACCACATATGGCTAATTTTTTTTTTTTTTTTTTTTTTTAGTAGAGACAGGGTTTCACCATGTTGGCCAGGCTGGTCTCTAACTCCTGACCTCATGATCTGCCCACCTCAGCCTCCCAAAGTGCTAGGATTACAGGCACGAGCCACCACACCAGACCTTTCTGATGCTATTTTCTATCTAAAATTCTCTTTGTCCCTTTCAAAGGTCAAGAGAGGCTCTGGTTCCCTACATATAAAAGGGGGGAAAAAAGCCAAAATAAGAGTCACAATAATTTGTAGTATATTTTATAGTTTAATGTCTTTAATACACATACAAAAAAACACAAGTGTATATAAAAACTGAATAGGGGATATTTAAAAATTTTTGTTTAATTATTTTTTTGAGAAGGAGTCTCACTCTCTTACCCAGGCTGGAGTACAGTGGCGTGGTTTGGGCTCACTGCAACCTCCGCCTCCTGGGTTCAAGTGATTCTCCTGCCTCAGGCTCCCAAGTAGCTGGGATTAGAGGCAAAAACCTAAATTTAAGGCACATCATGAATTTAAGGCCCAACCTAAATGACTCACCTACCCCATCCCATTATAAGCCCAAATTCTCTCTCATTTTCTATCCTCTACTTACCTCCTTCCCCAAATTGGTAAACTAATGGTTTACCAATTCGTTTACAATGGTAAACTAATAGTTTCCTTTGACCTGATAACTATCTAATTTTCACTAAGAGTTGTAATAATAGTAGGTATTAAGAGGTGGTAAGAACACCAAAAACCCATGTGTATGTCACCATCATCAAAGACCAAAGATAGATAAAACCACAAAGATGGGGAAAAAACAGAGGAGAAAAACAGGAAACTCTAAAAATCAGAGCGCCTCTCCTCCTCCAAAGGAACGCAGCTCCTCACCAGCAACGGAACAAAGCTGGACGGAGAATGACTTTGACGAGTTGAGAGAGGAAGGCTTCAGAAGATCAAACTACTCTGAGCTAAAGGAGGAAGTTCGAACCAATGGCAAAGAAGTTAAAAACTTTGAAAAAAAATTAGACGAATGGATAACTAGAATAACCAATGCAGAGAAGTCCTTAAAGGACCTGATGGAGCTGAAAACCAAGGCACGAGAACTACATGACGAATGCACAAGCCTCAGTAACCGATGCAATCAACTGGAAAAAAGGGTATCAGTGATGGAAGACGAAATGAATGAAACGAAGTGTGAAGAGAAGTTTAGAGAAAAAAGAATAAAGAATAAAAAGAAATGAACAAAGCCTCCAAGAAATATGGGACTATGTCAAAAGACCAAATCTACGATGGGGAGAATGGAACCAAGTTGGAAAACACTCTGCAGGATATTATCCAGGAGAACTTCCTCAATCTAGCAAGGCAGGCCAACATTCAAATTCAGGAAATACAGAGAACGCCACAAAGATACTCCTCGAGAAGAGCAACTCCAAGACACATAATTGTCAGATTCACCAAAGTTGAAATGAAGGAAAAAATGTTAAGGGCAGCCAGAGAGAAAGGTCAGGTTACCCACAAAGGGAAGCCCATCAGACTAACAGCTGATCTCTTGGCAGAAACTCTACAAGCCAAAAGAGAGTCTGGGGCCAATATTCAACATTCTTAAAGAAAAGAATTTTCAACCCAGAATTTCATATCCAGCCAAACTAAGTTTCATAAGTGAAGGAGAAATAAAATCCTTTACAGACAAGCAAATGCTGAGAGATTTTGTCACCACCAGGCCTGCCCTAAAAGAGCTCCTGAAGGAAGCACTAAACATGGAAAGGAACAACCGGTACCAGCCACTGCAAAAACATGCCAAATTGTAAAGACCATCAAGGCTAGGAAGAAACTGCATCAACTAATGAGCAAAATAACCAGCTAACATCATAATAACAGGATCAAATTCACATATAACAATACTAACCTTAGAAGTAAATGGGCTAAATGCTCCAATTAAAAGGCACAGACTGGCAAATTGGAAAAGAGTCAAGACCCATCAGTGTGCTGTATTCAGGAAACCCATCTCACGTGCAGAAACACACATAGGCTCAAAATAAAGGGATGGAGGAAGATCTACCAAGCAAATGGAAAACAAAAAAAGGCAGGGGTTGCAATCCTAGTCTCGGATAAAACAGACATTAAGTCAACAAAGATCAAAAGAGACAAAGAAGGCCATTACATAATGGTAAAGGGATCAATTCAACAAGAAGAGCTAACTATCCTAAATATATATGCACCCAATACAGGAGCACCCAGATTCATAAAGCAAGTCCTTAGAGACCTACAAAGAGACTTAGACTCCCACACAATAATAATGGGAGACTTCAACACCCCACTATCAACATTAGATAGATCAACAAGACAGAAAGTTAACAAGGATATCCAGGAATTGAACTCAGCTCTGCACCAAGCAGACCTAATAAACCTCTACAGAACTCTCTAGCCCAAATCAACAGAATATACATTCTTTTCAGCACCACACCACACCTATTCCAAAATTGACCACATAATTGGAAGTAAAGCACTCCTCAGCAAATGTAAAAGAACAGAAATTATAACAAACTGTCTCTCAGACCACAGTGCAATCAAATTAGAACTCAGGATTAAGAAACTCACTCAAAACTGCTCAACTACATGGAAACTGAACAACCTGCTCCTGAATGACTACTGGGTACATAACGAAATGAAGGCAGAAATAAAGATGTTCTTTGAAACCAACAAGAACAAAGACACAACATACCAGAATCTCTGGGACTCATTCAAAGCAGTGTGTAGAGGGAAATTTATAGCACTAAATGCCCACAAGAGAAAGCAGGAAAGATCTAAAATAGACACCCTAACATCACTATTAAAAGAACTAGAGAAGCAAGAGCAAACACATTCAAAAGCTAGCAGAAGGCAAGAAATAACTAAGATCAGAGCAGAACTGCAGGAAATAAAGACAGAAAAACCCTTCAAAAAATCAGTGAATCCAGGAGCTGGTTTTTTGAAAAGATCAACAAAATTGATAGACTGCTAGCAAGACTAATAAAGAAGAAAAGAGAGAAGAATCAAATAGACACAATAAAAAATGACAAAGGGGATATCATCACTGATCTCACAGAAATACAAACTACCATCACAGAATATTATGAACACCTCTACGCAAATAAACTAGAAAATCTAGAAGAAATGGATACATACACTCTCCCAAGACTAAACCAGGAAGAAGTTGAATCTCTGAATAGACCAATAACAGGCTCTGAAATTGAGGCAATAATTAATAGCTTACCAACCAAAAAAAGTCCAGGACCAGATGGATTCACAGCCGAATTCTACCAGAGGCACAAGGAGGAGCTGGTACCATTCCTTCTGAAACTATTCCAATCAATAGAAAAAGAGGGAATCCTCCTTAACTCATTTTATGAGGCCAGCATCATCCTGATACCAAAGCCTGGCAGAGACACAACAAAAAAAGAGAATTTTAGACCGATATCCTTGATGAACATTGATGCAAAAACCCTCAATAAAATACTGGCAAACCGAATTCAGCAGCACATCAAAAAGCTTATCCACCACGATCAAGTGGGCTTCATCCCTGGGATGCAAGGCTGATTCAACATGAAAATCAATAAACGTAATCCAGCATATAAACAGAACCAAAGACAAAAACCACATGATTATCTCAATAGATGCAGAAAAGGCCTTTGACAAAATTCAACAACCCTTCATGCTAAAAACTCTCAATAAATTAGGTATTGATGGGACGTATCTCAAAATAATAAGAGCTATCTATGACAAACCCACAGCCAATATCATACTGAATGGACAAAAACTGGAAGTATTCCCTTTGAAAACTGGCACAAGACAGGGATGCCCTCTCTCACCACTCCTATTCAACATAGTGTTGGAAGTTCTGGCCAGGGCAATCAGGCAGGAGAAGGAAATAAACGGCATTCAATTAGGAAAAGAGGAAGTCAAATTGTCCCTGTTTGCAGATGACATGATTGTATATCTAGAAAACCCCATCATCTCAGCCCAAAATCTCCTTAAGCTGATAAGCAACTTCAGCAAAGTCTCAGGATGCAAAATCAATGTGCAAAAATCACAAGCATTCTTATACACCAATAACAGACAGAGAGCCAAATCATGAGTGTATTCCCATTCACAATTGCTTCAAAGAGAATAAAATACCTAGGAATCCAACTTACAAGAGATGTGAAGGACCTCTTCAAGGAGAACTACAAACCACTGCTCAATGAAATAAAAGAGGATACAAACAAATGGAAGAACATTCCATGCTCATGGGTAGGAAGAATCAATATCGTGAAAATGGCCATACTGCCCAAGGTAATTTATAGATTCAGTGCCACCCCCATCAAGCTACCAATGACTTTCTTCACAGAATTGGAAAAAACTACTTTAAAGTTCATATGGAACCAAAAAAGAGCCCACATTGCCAAGTCAATCCTAAGCCAAAAGAACAAAGCTGGAGGCATCATGCTACCGGACTTCAAACTATACTACAAGGCTACAGTAACCAAAATAGTATGGTACTGGTCCCAAAACAGAGATATAGACCAATGGAACAGAACAGAGCCCTTAGAAATAATGCCGCGTATCTACAACTATCTGATCTTTGACAAACCTGACAAAAACAAGCAATGGGGAAAGGATTCCCTATTTAATAAATAGTGCTGGGAAAACTGGCTAGCCATATGTAGAAAGCTGAAACTGGATCCCTTCCTTACACTTTACACAAAAATTAATTCAAGATGCATTAAAGACTTACATGTAAGACCTAAAACCATAAAAACCCTAGAAGAAAACCTAGGCAATACCATTCAGGACATAGGCATGGGCAAGGACTTCATGTCTAAAACACCAAAAGCAATGGCAACAAAATCCAAAATTGACAAATGGCATCTAATTAAACTAAAGAGCTTCTGCACAGCAAAAGAAACCACCATCAGAGTGAACAGGCAACCTATAGAATGGGAGAAAATTTTTGCAATCTACTCATCGGACAAAGGGCTAATATCCAGAATCTACAATGAACTCAAACAAATTTACAAGAAAAAAACAAACAACCCCATCAAAAAGTGGGCAAAGGATATGAACAGACACTTCTCAAAAGAAGACATTTATGCAGCCAAAAAACACATGAAAAAATGCTCATCATCACTGGCCATGAGAGAAATGTAAATCAAAACCACGATAAGATACCATCTCACACCAGTTAGAATGGCGATCATTAAAAAGTCAGGAAACAACAGGTGCTGGAGAGGATGTGGAGAAATAGGAACACTTTTACACTGTTGGTGGGACTGTAAACTAGTTCAACCATTGTGGAAGTCAGTGTGCAGATTCCTCAGGGATCTAGAACTAGAAATACCATTTGACCCAGCCATCCCATTACTGGGTATACACCCAAAGGATTATAAATCATGCTGCTATAAAGACACATGCACACGTATGTTTATTGCGGCACTATTCACAATAGCAAAGACTTGGAACCAACCCAAATGTCCAACAATGATAGACTGGATTAAGAAAATGTGGCACATATACACCATGGAATACTATGCAGTCATAACAAATGGTGAGTTCATGTCCTTTGTAGGGACATGGATGAAGCTGGAAACCATCATTCTCAGCAAACTATCGCAAGGACAAAAAACCAAACACCGCATGTTCTCATTCATAGGTGGGAATTGAACAATGAGAACACATGGACACAGGAAGGGGAACATCACACACTGGGGACTGTTGTGGGGTGGGGGGAGAGGGGAGGGATAGCATTAGGAGATATACCTAATGCTAAATGACGAGTTAATGGGTGCAGCACACCAACACGTCACATGTATACATATGTAACAAACCTGCACGTTGTGCACATGTACCCTAAAACTTAAAGTATAATAATAATATTAAAAAAAAGAGGTGGTAAGAATTCTTCATGAATTCTTTAACAGTCTCATTTAAAAAGCTAGAAAAGATTAAGAAAATAAAATCCCTCTATTTTTCTTTATAATTATCTTACTATCTA
Source organism: Homo sapiens (assembly GCF_000001405.40). Taxonomy (NCBI): domain Eukaryota; kingdom Metazoa; phylum Chordata; class Mammalia; order Primates; family Hominidae; genus Homo; species Homo sapiens. Next base: position 222,869,675 of record NC_000001.11, on the reverse strand, counting down.
CAATTTATTTTCTTCTTTTGTAGCCTGTATCAACTAATCCTTAAAGTTATCACCAGTTTTTAGATCAGATGCTCATGATTTCTCCAAGCTTTGCTAGCTCCTCAGAGTGAAAGAATTCCCTTGTTAAAATGCAGTGCTTGAATCAAGTCTTGGTTACAAACTAAAGATATTAATTTGGTGGTGCCATAATGAAAAAAATAGAAACTTATAACAAGAGCAGTTGACTATAACACACACACCTAAATTGAGAAAAGGGCTGGTATTTTGTTTTCTCCATTCCAAATACACTCAAATTGTTACTGGTATTTTTCTCACAGTTTTTTAAATGACTGCTATTTAAATTTTACATAAAGAACAACTTTGTTAGTGCTATGTGAAATCTATGACTAACAGGCTTCTAGTAAATATTTACATCCAAAAATATTTTTCTTTTATTAGTACCTGTGATCTAAAACAAACAAATAGCCTCTTAAGACCATGGACATCCCTAATGTTGGAAAATTACAGGAGCATTTACACTTATTTGGGGTTATTGAAGGCTCAAGAGCCTTAAAACTTCACAAAATGCAGGAGTTTATTTTTTCCTCTTTTAAATAAAAATTGTAATTACACTAAGCAATTCATTTCTTGGCAAAAGGAAGGTTTAAGTCTTAACTAAATCAAAGGCATTATGAGAATTTCTTAACTTTGTTTTTGCATGGAAACAATATTCATCTTTAACTGGTGAATATGTTAACTTTAATTAGCTTGCTGCCAAATATGATATAGTTGAAAAAATATACATATGAATCATTTAAAAGATTTCTAAAATAAATGAAATTTTTAACATTATGTGAATCAAGAATATAGGCGATTGAAAAGTTTGATCTTAGGGAAAGCACCTCTAAACATTAGCTTCAATATGCTCCTTTCTGTACATATGTTATTATTGAAGAATTTCAGTATATTAGAAATACCAGAGTAGAGTCAATTCACAGTCAGATCATCTGTATTTTTCTTCTGTGGGAAATTCTGCTAACTGACATCACTGTTGTAAGTTCATTTTAAAAAGTCATTAATACAAAAAGCTATAAATGGATTTATTAGATCTCTCTAATAACAAAATAGATGCTTCATGTAACAAATTAAATAATACAACAATAAATGAAGAAAAAGTTAATAATTCCTCTCCCAAATTCTTCAATGATATAATGAATAATTCCGCTCCCAAACACTTCATGATATAATGAATGTTATTAGCCTGGTTATTTCTCCAGGCTCACTCAAATATATACAAATATTATATCTATAAACATATACATATATAAACATATATACACACACATATATATATGTAGAGTTTTGTTTCATTTTTTTCATTGGATAACACATATTACTCTGCAACTTGCCTTTTTCACTTCTGTCATCACTATGCCTTCAATCAGTAAATACAGAGCTACTTGAGTCTTTTTTTTTTAAGAGATGAGGGTCTCGCTATGTTGCCCAGGCTGGACTCGAACTCCTGGGCTCAAACAATTCTCCTGCCTCAGCCTCCCAAGTAGCTGCGACTATAGTCAAACACTACCGTGCCTGGCTAATCTAGTCTTTTCTTAATACCTGCAAAAAATTACACAGTATAGACATAACATAATTTAGTATCCTCCTAATCATTCGCCCTCCTCTTGATAGAGGTTCAGACCCTTTCCAAGTGTTTGCTCCAAACCTGACACTGCTAAAATTCCCCTTTCTCTTTAAAACTCCCTCTCACTAACTCCTTCTGCAACAACCAACTGGCCTAAGCATTAGGGAGTAGAGAAAAGCTTAGTTTAACCAATTTTATACTTAAGGCTGCCCCTCAAAGCCCTAAATTTTAATATAGATCATTGCCTATATAAATCTATACCAAGACATTGACATATATGGCAGTTAGAAGTCAATTATTTACAACAAAGATACACCTGACAGAGAACCATAAAACCCAGGCTCTATTTCTAGCTTTGCCACTAACTATTGATGTGACATTGACAAGTTAGTTAACTGGAGGTCCATTTCCTCCTCTAAACAATAAATTGCTTGCACTAGGTACTCTCTAAAGTCCCTCCACACTGAAGTCAATGATAATATACTGTTTAACAAATGCAGACTTTATGACAGCCCAGCGAGGGGAGTTTACTAAAAGAACCTTTGTGTACCTTGCACAAAGGGTTTCCTAACAAATTAACCACATGAACAATATTAAAAGAAAAAATATTTTAACAACTCAAGAAAGCAAGCCACTTAAGTACCTCCACAAGAACATTATAATTACCTATGTACAGACAAAGAATATGCTAATCACAACTATAATGGTCAATTCATTGAAGCAGCATGTCTAAAAATCTCATTATTATATATGTTTGGCTTAGTTCCAATTATTACATATCTTGAAAACAATAAAAATGATTTCTTTTAAAAATGTAGTAAATGTTCAATGACCATCAAGGGTCAGTTGGGCTCTGCTTCTGCCTAAGCCATTCAGTCTCTAGATTAAGTTTCTTCATCTCTAAAATTAAGAAGTAAACCAAAAGCTTCTAAGATTCATTGATTCATTCAATAGCTTTTTACCAAGTATTTAAAATGTGCCAGTTGCACATAATAGATGCTTTGTACTAGGGATACAATTTTGAAAAAGAAACATGAACACCACCCTAGGCATTGCTAGGATGGTATAATTCTAAACCATTCTTCACTTCAGATGATTTTCTAATCTAAACTAGTCCTCTTCTTCATTGGACTGAATTTATATTTTACTATGTGTCTTTTAAAAGATTGATGTATTTTTTTGCAAGTATTCCGCTGCATTCTTAAAGACAAAAGAGAATATTAGTTTTTTACTTCAAGTGACAAAGAAGCTTGCCAAACTGCAAATGTATAGGAAAGGAGTGGCAATGAGTTATTTAATATCCATAACTACCTTTAGGTTATATGTGATATTAAAATATACCTGGATTTTAATTTGCTTCATCTTTATCTTAAAAATATACAAAGAAGAAGGAAATATAAAACTATCCCAGGAGCTGGGCGCGGTGGCTCACACCTGTAATCCCAGCACTTTGGGAGGCCTAGTGGGGCGGATCACAAGGTCAGGAGTTCGAGACCAGCCTGACCAACATGGTGAAACCCTGTCTCTACTAAAAATACAAAAATTAGCTAGGCGTGGTGGCACGCACCCATAATCCCAGCTACTCAGGAGGCTGAGGCAGGAGAACTACTTGAACCTGGGAGGCAGAGGTTGCAGTGAGCCGAGATTGTACCACTGCACTCCAGCCTGAGCGACCCAGTGAGACTCTGCCTCAAACAACAGCAACAACAACAACAACAACAACAACAACAAAACTATCCCGGGAATATCATGTACTGATCATATATCTGAGGCCCAATTCTCCTATAAAAGGCAAGAGGGAAAATAAAAGAAGCCACAAAAAAGGCTGAGGGTGAGGATAAAGGGAGTGACAGAAAGAAAATGGCATTTGCTCCATCCAAAAGAACTGGAAAAAGAGTACCCCAACAGTTCCTCTGCTCACCCTCTCTCCAACATTCATTTTTTTTTCAAAGGAGGAAAAGAGTAAGCAGGGAGAACTAGACATTGACCTACTGAGGTCAACACTGACCCTCAGTTACCCGAGGTGGCCAGTTTCCTTTCTCTTAGTTACTTTTACCAACTGTCATCTGGGTTATTGTGTCTGTACTCCTACAAGAAGATACTGCATGACTGTAAAACCCAACAGGGGGCCGGCCCCTAAGGGAAAATTCAAGGGAAAACAAAAACGTAACTGGCTAAAAGTGCAAAGACAATTTGGGAAATATGCCAAATATACCCGCCTCTTATAGTTATTATTCTGTGTATGTGTGTGTGTATCTGTGTGTGTGTGTATAAAAATCAGTAGTACTAGACTGATGTTGGAATAAATTCTATTTATAGAGATAAACCAAAATAAGGAACAGGGAATCTATGATATGACAAAACCACTTTGCCCCACAGAAAAGAACTTTTTAAACAATTTTTAGATTTTACCTTTAAATGTCTACACTTAAAAGATACAGAATATATCTTTGCTTATATATACAGAACTTTGCTTTTAAAATTTTAATCTAGGAAAAGAAGACTATTTGTATAAATTGCAGCATTTCAGCTTTTCTTTAAACAGGAAAGGCTTTTAAGATGGAAGTGCTTTAAATGTTCTGATTTTTCTATTCATTTAAAAAGACCCACTCCCTCTTATAAGTATGGGAGGGGACAACTTAAATGTTTCTATACAGGGCTAAAGATGTTATCTTGGAGAACATTTTCTTTAAAACAAAAAGTAATCAATTCCCAGCCAGTTTTGTGAAAAAGTCTTAATAATATAAAACTAACCCCTTTTCCAACTTTTCCTACTCTGGTAGTATGATTCATGACAAATTATATATTTTGAATTCTATACCATAAGTTATAATGCATATGATACATTTAACATAATTTAGGTAACTAGAAAAAGCAAAGATAGAAAAGGATAGGGCCCTTTTTAAGCAAGTTTCTAGGAATAAAATATGAGTTTATGAGCAAGGAGTTGTTAGTTTGAATTACATCAGAGAGAAAAATATACCACGTTTCCTGAGGTTTAAGGAAAAAAAAACAAAACAAAAACAAACAAATAAAAACCTATCTCAAGAGTTAGCATCATTAATGGCTGTCCTAAATTGTAACTCTGTAACCTTTGAGGGCACAGGCGAATGAAACCCTACTGCTTTTCCCCAAATTACTCACAGAGTTAATAATATAATTTGGGAATGAGTCTTAAGGTTATCAGAAATTTCTAGTCATTTGCTCATAAGTTACCTTCAAGCATTCTTGTTTATAGCAGCTTAATAACAAGCAGCAGTGAAGTGAAAATTCTTTTTGCCTGGCAGCAGCGGGTATAGGAAGAGAATTCAAATGAAGAACATATTTCACACTGCTAGAGCTGACAAATGTGAAAAATGTGCCAAACTCTTTAAGCTACAATTTTCATAATTAGAAATTCTGAAATCTTTTCAATGATGTTGCCCATATCAAAGTTTTTTTAAAACAAAAACAAAAGAATTATTTTTAATAGATCAATTTTATTGTTACTTATGACTTTTTCTTATTGAAAAAAGGATTGACTGTTCATATTAACTGAATTTACAAGGATTCATATTTAAATGGCAAAAAAAAATGAGAGGACTCCTACAGAGTCGTTTCTCAGGTGGTTCAAAAATATATAATAAATGGTAAGAAGAGAGCTATTTACTCAAGAAAGTTTTATTTAGCATCTATTAATACCTAATGCCAAGCATTGGTCACAGCAGTGAGAATATATACTGAGATAATGCCATAACTATGTATTCACTCATTCATTCAAATGCTTAAAACAAATATAAGTTACTTAATGCCAAGGCTTGAACAAGATACTTGGGATATAAAACAATACCATGGAGCCAGGTTTCTCACTGTTGGAAATGGGAGTTGTGAATATGGAGAGAAACTAGAATGAACCCTGGAGTGCTGGATTTGAACTGGAAGAGTCAATATGAACTCTTAGTTTAGATATAAAACTTTAATTTACATATACATACATTTCTGAGCTTGGTTCCTGAGAGATCTGAGATCTGAGAGGGTCTAGAGCCAATGCTATTAGTAGCAATGAGCACACTCAGCACTTAAATCTTGGTTTTAAAATACCATTCTCCATTAAAAGGAAACAGGGCATCTCAGAAAAAGAGTTGACCCCAGGGCTTGGACAAGGAAAAGTACAGGAAGGACCTAGACTATCTTATTACACCAAAAAAGATAAAAATTCTCAAGGAACATTTAAGACAAAGCAAAAGGACAAAGGAACAGTTTGCAGGGACTCCCACTGACCAAATCTGGAATGACTTAAGCACCAAAATAATTAATGACAGCAATGGATTACAACTCATTGAATAAAATAAGTATCTATGAATTCAAACTAATATAAATAAAAAATAAAGGGAAGGTCTTTCTTAGAGTAAAATGCCAACTAATAAATGTGGAAGAATCGAATGACAGATGCTAAAATTATTGAGTGTAAGTTTCATAAATGAGGGACGAGATATTTACAGTTTCAAAGGATCTCCCCACAGATTTTTTTTTTTTTTTGAGATAGGGTCTCAATCTGTCACCCATGCTGGAGTACAATGGTAGAATCATGGCTCACCACAGCCTTGAGCTCCCTCACCCCACCCCTGGGCTCAGGTGGTCCTCTCAACTCAGCCTCCCTCCCAAGTAGCTGGGACCACAGGCACACGCCACTATGCCCAGCTAATTTTTGTCTTTTTTGTAGAGACAAGGTTTCACCGTATTGCCAGGCTGTTCTTGAACTCCTGAGCTGAAGCAATCTGCCCACCTCAGCCTTCCAAAGTGCTGAGATTACAGGTATGAGCCACCGCCTTCAGCCCTCTCCCCACAAATTACACCAAGGAAAATACGGCAACTTTACAGTGGAAATACCCTGTGGATACAACTTAACCAAGTGATGAGTTGCTCGTATTTGTGTAAAGTGACCTCATGTGCCTAAAGATATGATGTACTGAGAACAGCACAGCATCTCTTCTGTGGTTTTCCAGCCAAAACTGCAAAACCTCAATCTAATTAGGAGGATACATGATACAAACCCAAACTAGGAATATTCTTCAAAATTATTTTTTAAACTCTTCTAAAAAATGTTAAAGTCAAGAAAGAAAGAGAAATACTAGAGTACTGTTCCAGATTAAAGAAGGCTAAAGAGACATGAAACTTACCTGGAATGTGTGATCCTGGATTGGGTACCAGACAGAAAAAAAATAGCTGCAAAAGATACGACTGACGCTGAGCACGGTGGCTCACACTATAATCCCTGCAATTTGGGAGGCCAAGGTTGGGGGTTGCCTGAGCCCATAAGTTGAAGACCAGCCTGGGCAACATAGGGAGACTCTATTTCTACAAAAAATTTAAAAATGACCCAAGCGTGGTGGCACATACTTGTAGTCTCAGCTACTTAGGAGGCTGAGATGGGAGGATCACTTGAGCCTGGAAGGTGAAGGCTGCAGTGAGTCACGATAGCACCTAGCCTGGACTGTACTCCAGCCTGGGCAACAGAGTAAAGTCCTGTCTCAAAAAAAAAAAAAAAAACTATTGAGACAATGGACAAATTTGAAAACAAACTGGATTAGAAAATATTATATCAATGTTAAATTATATCAATGTTAAATTACTAGATTTTCGTAAGTTTACTGTGTTTTATTATAAAAGAGAAGGTTCTTGTTCTTAGGAACTACATACTAAAGTGTTTAGGAGTAAAAGGGTGTAATGGCAACAACTGATTCTCAAATGACTCCGAGAAACATTATATGAATATAAAAACTTTAAACTTAGTTAACAATTAATAAATCTGGGTTAACAATATATGGGATTTCCTTGTACTAATCTTGTAACTCTTCATTAAGTGTTAAACTACATCAAAATAAAAAGTTACAAACAAATAAAGCAACACTATGGTTAATTCATTCATGCATGCAGTCATTCAGTCAACAGTTAAGATTTTACTACATGCCAGACAATGGACAAGGAGGTGATAAGCAGAACACAGATTCCTACCCTTGATGACATCCCAGTCTTAAAAGGGTTGCTCAGCCTTTCAGAAAAACAGGTCGCAAAATTATCTTATTACTACTCTCTTTTAATGCAGCCAATGTCTTCGTGAGAAAAATGTACTATAAAAAAACACATTTTTCATGAAGTAGTAAACATTTTCCCCACTGTACGAGAAGTTATACAATAAACATTCCTAAAAATAAATGAATCTATCTTCTGAGAAACATGTTTTTGCTTTAAAAAATGAGTTGTTAATATGGCCTATAGTGTAATAACATTACTAGAGAATTCAGAAAAAAAGTATAACTTGCTTTATTAATGTTACATATTATTTTTAAATGCAAGTTTAATAATTTATTGTGGTGTTTTGAAATATGCTAATAATCAGAAATAACGAATGATGAAAGGTGAAAACGTTTGTGAGGTAGAGGGCCTTTAGGTGTTAATTTGAAACAAAGAGTGATAATACTTAGAAAAGAGGGTTTCAGAGAAGAGGTTAAGTGACATGGCTAGCAAGCAATAGTGATGGGATTCAAACCCAGGTTTGTCTAACCTAAAAGCCATGTTCTTAAACATTACATAATCTCTTTCTCAAAGAAATATGAGGATAATTTCAATCGTGCACATACTACTAGCTAGCCACTGAATAAATAGTGAACAAAACCAACAATCCCCGACTTCACAGAATTTAGAGTCTAGAATATATAACTGACTGGAACAGCACTGAAGCATTAATAGCCTTATCATGAAGGTTGCAATAAAGTAACTGTAACCACAAGTGACTTAAAAATCTCACAGAAAGAAACTCAGAGTTAAAACAGGAAGTCACCACAAAATAGACAAGAGAACTTACAGGCTAAGTATTCCAAGCTACCTGGTTATGTCTGAAGAACACATCAATTCCAAAGAGAGGTGAGTCGGCAAAGGAAATAGAGAAAAAGAGAAGGACCATCCTAAAGAGAAGATACCCTGGCCCTAGGATAGCCATATTCTGGTTCATTGATAAGTATGGCCTTAATATAGAAAATGATGTGGCCTGGTGCCATTAAATAAATTTCTATTTTTATCAAAACAATTCATTTAGTTTTAAAAATAGTTCTACAAGGCATATAATGGGGATAGAAAGTGGTCCCCTGCCCCACTTTTTTCTAGCAATCACTTTCTTTTTTTTGTTTGTTTTTTGTTTTTTTTGAGACAAAGTCTCACTCTGTCTCCCAGGCTGGAGTGCAGTGGTGAGATCTTGGCTCACTGCAATCTCTGAAGCGATTCTCCTGCCTCAGCCCCTCAGGTAGCTGGGACTACAGGCACACGCTACCCCGCCCAGCTAATTTTTGTATTTTTAGTAGAGATGGGGTTTCACCATATTGGCCAGGCTGGTCTCAAACTCCTGATCTCATGATCTGCCTGCCTCGGCCTCCCAAAGTGCTGGGATTACAGGCGTGAGCGACCGCACCCGGCCCTAGCAATCACTTTCAACTATTTCAGCTATCTCTAACATGCCCGTAACTGCTTTTTAAAATTTAATATCTCAGGCATTACGTATTGGCTTTCTACTATAGATGATGTGGTTTTCATTCTTCTGTAGCATTCTTCTTCCCTGCTTTCTCAATATTGGCACACCATGATGTTGGCTAAATCAATATTTAGTGTTTTACATTATGATGACTATCTAAATATTATTCCCAAGTGAATCACTTAAAGAATAAATGAGGCCAGGCACAGTGGCTCATGCCTGTAATCCCAGCACTTTGGGAGGCCGAGGCAGTCAGATCACCTGAGGTCGGGAGTTCAAGACCAGCCTGACCAACATGGAGAAACCCTGTCTCTACTAAAGATACAAAATTAGCCGGGCCTGGTGGCACATGCCTTAATCCCAGTACTTGGGAGGCTGAGGCAGGAGAATCACTTGAATCTGGGAGGCAGAGGTTGTGGTGAGCCGAGATCGTGCCATTGCACTCCAGCCTGGGCAACAAGAGCAAAACTCCATCTCAACAAAACAAAACAAAACAGAAAAAAAGAAGAAATGAATTTCCTTTATTGAAAAAAAAGTTTCCTTCTGATTAGCTGCCTCTTTTTAAAAATTTGCTTAGTTTTTCTATGCCTTTTCTCAACAAGATACAAGAATAATTTCAGTCAAAATATCTGAAGACCTAGTATGTGCACAGACTGTGACAGACAATGAATAAATAGTGAACAAGACCAACAACATATTCCCCAACATTCCAGAATTTACAGTCTAGGTTACAGAGTCAACTAGGAGAACTAATTCATCCCAAACTCTATCTGGAACTCCCTCTACTAGTCAAACATTGGAGAGCATAGTTTTCCTCTAATTGTATTTTCTTTTATTTTACATCTCCACTTTATTTTCTATCTCTTAGTCTTTTTAAATCTGCTTTTGGGAAGATAGTCTCAAATTTATCTCCCAACACTTCTACTGAATTAACAATTTTTGAAATATCCAAGAGCCTTTATTTATTCTTTGAATGATCCCATCTAAAGTATCCTGTTATTCTTTTGTGGATATAATATCTTCTCTTATCTCTGAGAATTTTAATTACCACTTTTTTAAATTTTAAGTTCTGGGGTACATGCACAGGATGCGCAGGTTTGTTACATAGGTAAACATGTGCCATGGTGGTTTGTTGCACCTATCAACCCATCACCTAGGTGTTAAGCCCAGCATGCATTAGCTATTTTTCCTAATGCTCTCCCTCCCCCGACTCCACCTCCCGACAGGCCCCAATGTGTGCTGTTCCCCTCCCTTTGTCTGTGTGTTCTCATTGTTCAGCTCCCACTCATAAGTGAGAACATGCGGTGTTTGGTTTTCTATTCCTGTGTTAGTTTGCTGAGGGTAATGGCTTCCAGCTCCATCCATGTCTCTGCAAAAGACATGATCTCATTCCTTTTTATGGCTGCATAGTATTCCATGGTGTATATGTATCACATTTTCTTTATCCAGTCTATCATTGATGGACTTTTGGGTTGATTCCATGTCTTTGCTATTGTGAATAGTGCTGCAATGAACATATGTGTGCATGTAACTTTGTAATAGAATGATTTATATTCCTTTGGGTATATACCCAGTAATGGGATTGCTGGGTCAAATGATATTTTGGTTCTAGATCTCTGAGGAATCATCACACTGTTTTCCACAATGGTTGAATTAATTTACATTCCCACCAACAGTGTAAAACTTTTCCTATGTCTCTGCAACCTCGCCAGCATCTGTTGTTTCTAGACGTTTTAATAATCACCACTCTGAATTGTGTTAGATGGTATCTCATTGTGGTTTTGATTTGCATTCCTCTAATGATCAGTGATATTAAGCTTTTTTTTAAAAAGTTTGTTGGCTGCATGAATGTCTCCTTTTGAGAAGTGTCTGTTCATGTCCTTTGCCCACTTTTTAATGGGGCTGTTTCTTTTTTTCCTGTAAATTTGTTTAAGTTCCTGGTAGATTCTGGATATTAGACCTTTATCAGATGGATAGAGTGCAAAAATTTTTTCCCATTCTACAGGTTGCCTGTTCACTCTGATGATACTTTCTTTTGCTGTGCAAAAGCTCTTTAGTTTAACTAGATCCCATTTGTCAATTTTTGCTTTTGTTGCAATTACTTTTGGTGATTTCATCATGGGATCTTTGCCTGTGCCTATGTCCTGAATGGTATTGCCTAGATTTTCTTCTATGGTTGTTATGGCTTTTGGTTTTATATTTAAGTCTTTGATACATCTTGAGTTAATTTTTTGTATAAGGTATAAGGAAGGGGTCCACTTTCAATTTTCTGCATATGAAACACAACTAGACTTTCTTTTAGGGCTAGTATAGATACTATAGATAATAGTAATTCCAGCACCATTTATTAAATAGGGAATCCTTTCCCCATTGCTTGTTTTTATCAGGTCTGTGGAAGATCAGATGGTTGTAGATGTGTAGTCTTATTTCTGAGTTCTGTATTCTGTTCCACTGGTCTATGTGTCTGTTTTTGTACTGGTGCCATGCTGTTTTGGTTACTATAGCCTTATAGTATAGTTTGAAGTCTGAAGTCTGGTAACAGATGCTTCCAGCTTTGTCCTTTTTGCTTAGGTCTGTCTTGGCTACATGACCTCTTTTTTGGTTCCATACAAATTTTTAAATAGTTTCTTCTAATTCTGTGAAGAATATCAATGGTTGTTTAATGGGAATAGCATTGAATCTATAAATTACTTTAGGCAGTATGGCCATTTTCACGATATTGATTCTTCCTATCCATATGCATGGAATGTTCTTCCATTTGTTTGTGTCCTCTGATTTCCTTGAGCAGTGGTTTGTAGTTCTCCTTGAAGAGGTCCTTTACTTCCCTTGTTAGCTGTATTCCTAGGTATTTTATTCTCTTTGTAGCAATTGTGAATGGGAGTTCATTCATGATTTGGCTCTCTGCTTGTCTGTTGTTGGTGTGTAGAAATGCTTGTGATTTTTGCACACTGATTTTTGTATCTTAAGACTTTGCTGAAGTTGCTTATCAGCTTAAGAAGCTTTTGGGCTGAGACAATGGGGTTTTCTAGATATAGGATCATGTCATCTGCAAACAGAGATAGTTGGATTTCCTCTCTTCCTATTTGACTATGCTTTCTTTCTTTCTCTTGCTTGATTGTCCTGGCCAGAACTTCCAATACTATGTTGAATAGGAGTGGTGAGAGATAGCATCCTTGTCTTGTGCCAGATTTCAAGGGGAATGCTTCCAACTTTTGTCCAATTCCAAAGTCTACAATCTTTATTCTTCATTCTATATCACAGTTTTTTTCTTTTTCTTTTTTTTAGATATGTAGTCTCACTATGTTGCCCAGGCTGCAATGCAGTAGCTATTTACAGATGTAATCATGGTATACTACAGCCTCAAACTCTAGGCTTAAGGGATCCTCCCACCTCAGCCTCCTGACTAGCTGAAATTCACAGTTTTTAAGTGTCAATTAAGACATTTTAAAATGCAAAATGAATCCATTCTGGTCGGATTTGAAGAGAATAATTGGTGATAATATTTTGAATGTTTCTGAAAGTTCTATTACTAATAATAATTATAAGAGGATGGGCACAGTGGCTCACACCTGTAATCCCAGCTCTTTGGGAGGCCGAGGCAGGCAGATCACATGAGGTCAGGAGTTCAGGACTAGCCTGGCCAACATGGTGAAACCCCATCTCTACTTAAAATACAAAAAGTAGCCAGGCATGGTGGCATGCACCTGTAATCCCTGCTACTCGGGAGGCTGAGGCAGGAGGACTGCTTGAAACAGAAGGCAGAGGTTGCAGTGAGCCAAGATTGAGCCACTGCACTCCAGCCTGAGTGACAGAGTGAGACTCCATCTCAAAAAAAAAAAAAAAACGAATTATAATAAACATAAAAACATATTGTCCAGTTAACTCAATATTCTTGCCCAAATGGCACATGCCATCAATGGATATCGTATGGTAGGCAGCAGATGCTTTCCATGACACCAACTTCCAAAAATTAGGTTCAAATCCCTAATACATTCTTGTTTTTCCTTAATACCCTACTATGTGCCTGTCTCCCACTGTTTTTTGTTTATCATCAAACTGCTATCTATACTAGCCCTAAAAGAAAGTCTAGTTGTGTCAGTGTGGAAAAGGCCAACTATCTCCAGTTGCTGGAATCTCAGGCACATTATCACTGACTTCTTGTGGGAAAAGACAAACACTGCCTTCAAGTTCGGAAAAGGAAAATTAAAAACAGTAAGCACTCATACCTGGATTAGTAATGAATGACAGCAACACAGCCTGGAACTATTAGTTTCATCTGGGCTACAGGAATTTTTGGCTGCAGCTGTGCTATTTGCTGAGAATTTTGAAAATTAAACACTGATCCACTAAAAGTAGAATGTGCCTATGTAATTCACAGTAACATGTAGTCCCTTGCAGCTAAAGGTTTATATATCTAATAAAGGACTACATGTCAAAATAAAGTTCTCAATTTTTCCATTTGAACTCGATAAAAAATAAATGATAGTGATGGAGCTCAAAATATTCACACCCTGGAGCTGCCAAGCCAAATAATTTAATATCTTTTTAAACAGAAGAATCTTTTCCCCCAGGACATATTTTTCAAAATATTAAATGTTCTGTTAGTTTAGCTCTCCTCTTGCAAGCAGCTGCATTTTTTTTTTTTTTTGAAACTGGAGAATGATGGTCTTGTCTCTCTTATAATTGGAGAAAAATTCCAGTCGCATTAGATAGGAAGCATTCAAATCACACACCTCTATAGCTTATAAATTATAGTACTCTTAAAATTATATGAAATTTGAATTAGTCAAAATATCTTCAAAATTTTGGGAGAAAAAATGTTTTAAAATAAAGAGAAGGGAACCACTTCACACTGCAAAATTAAGCTAGTCAATTCCCAAATTTCATTTCATTAGGTACGTAAGGCATTTAGCAACCAAATAAGATTAACTGTGAAAATCAGAACACGCTGGTATAATGAAGAATTGGTCCTTGACTTAAGAAGTATGGTGGCATAGCTGTATCTGCTAGTATATAATAACGATTTCCATGTGCTAACCCTGCAAAGGTTAAGGCTCATTATTGGCTAAAATACACTGCTTTCTAACTAGTTCAGTTTGTTGATTACTTCCATATATATTCTTCCTAATGAAGATAATACAAATTTCCATTTAGGTAAAAGATTTAGGAAGATAATTTTCAGGGCTTTCAAAAATTGTTTAAATCTTTCTTTTCTAACAGATCTTAACTAGTTCCCAACGCCTGGAACTCAAGTGTTATTTGTCCCTGCTTTCCTTTCTACAAAAAGGTTTGTGTGAGAGGGGCAGAGGGAATGGCAGAAGAAAAGAATAAGAGAGCACAGGTGAAAGGTCTTGATGTGGCTCCTCATCATACATGATGGAACCCTCAAGAGTTGGTACACAAACAGTAACTCAGGAAGATTCTATGACAAAGAAGCAAAAGCTAATTTATTATATTCAAAGTTCTTTGTTTTCCTTTGTGTCTAGTAGAAGTTCCTTAGTTAAAGGATGTGGGGATAAGACCCCTGCCCTTCTTGGCAACCCTATTCCCACTAGTAGTACTGAGGTTCCTCTGAGGAGCCCCAGAGCTCTCTGGACAAGTTTGAAAATGATTCAGAATGAGCTATCCCACTTTTCCAGGCCACACAAATAACTGTTAGGTCTCTAAAGAAGCCATCCTCCTATTCCCCAAAATCTTGTTCATCCCAAGCAGTTAGGTATACCCATTTATCTCCTTAACATTTGGGTTTCAAAGCACCGTATTCTGGGTAGGCGTAATATTTGCCATTTATGATTAAAAAAAAAAAAGCAAAACACTGAAAATTTAGGCTCAACTATAGGATTCCCAATTAACAAACTGAAAGGAGAACACTGCAACTCACCAGTTCACCATCTTTAACATAAAAGGATCAGTGTCCAAACGGTATTCCTTAGTGCCCAGAATTCAGAACTATCTCCAAAACAGTGACTCAAGCATCCTAATGATATGGTTTGGCTATGTGTCCCCACCCAAATCTCACCTTGAATTGTAATAATCTCCATGTTTCAAGGGTGGGACCAGGTGGAAGTAATTGGATCATGGGGGCAGTTTCCCCCATGATGTTCTCGTGATAAAGAGTGAGTCTCACAAGATCTGATGGTTTTATAAGCATGTGGCATTTCCCCTGCTTGCACTCATTCCCTCCTGCCACCCTTTGAAGAGATGCCTTCCGCCATGATTGTAAGTTTCCTGAGGCTTCCCCAGCCATGCAGAACTGTGAGGTCAATTAAACCTCTTTTCTCTATAAATTACCCAGTCTTGGGCAGTTCTTGACAGCAGCATGAGAACGGACTAAGACGCCTAGCTTCTATGATTCAGTCTTGTTAAGAGATCTGTGAATCAAGGAAACAGAGTTATAAAAAATAAAGCTCTTGCAGTTTTCTTTCCCCTATATTTATAGTCTGTGGCCAACATCTTGCCATGGTGTTTTCTTTCCAGAGCAAATTTTATATGTTTCAAGGCACAAAAATCTTGATGAGAGCTTGTTAATTGACAAAAAATAATTGTAGATATTCATGGGGTACATGGTAATGTTTTGATACATATAATGATCAGATGAGGGTAGTTAGCATATTCATCATCTCTAACATTTATCATTTCTTTGTGTTGGGAATGCTCAACATCCTTCTTCTAGCTATTTGAAACTATACAATATATTCTTGTTAACTATAATCATTTGCAGTGATATAGAACACTAGACCTTATTCCCCTATCTAGCTGTAATTTTGTATCCCTTAACAAACCTCTCCCTATCCCTCCCTTTCCCCTACCCTTCCCACCCTCTGGTATTCTCTGTTCTACTTTTTACTTCTGTGAAATCAACTTTTTTAGCTTCCACAAATGAGTGAGAACATGCAGTGTTTAATTTACTGTTCCTGGCTTATTTCACTTAACATAATGTCCTCCAGCTCCATCCATGTTGCTGTGAATGACAGGATTTCATGGTTTTTTTACGGCCAAATAGTGTTCCGTGGTGTATATATACATTTTCTTTATCCATTCAGCTGTTGTTGGACACCTGGGTTGATTCCATATTTTGGCTATTGTGAATAATGCTGCAATAAATATGGGGGTACAAATGTCTCATTGATATTTCCTTTCCTTTGGATAAATCCCCAGTAGTACAATCACTGGATCAGATGGTAGTACTATTTATAGTTCTTTGAGGAAGCTCCATACTGTTCTCCATAGTAGCTGTACTAATTTACATTCCCACTAACATATAAGTTCCCTTTTATCCACATCTCCACCAGCATTTGTTATTTTTTATCCTTTTCATAACAGCCATCCTAACGGTGGGATGACACCTCCAACGTGAGCCTGGTAGTTCTTTTCTGAACAGCCAAAAATCATGGCCTGCCACCAACTTCATTATTAAAACACAGAAAACAAATTAACAGAGACTAAATGAAAGACTCTCTTTTTTCTATGAAATAACTAATTTTTCTATGAAATAATTAATGGCATTCTAAAGCAACATTTACTCTCTCCTCAGACCCCATTCTTCATTGCACTTACTACTATTTGTATATGAATACATTTGGTATATATACACAGATATATTTGTTTTTCTCAAATACCCACTACTCACTATTGTACACCCAGAGCCCCCCATATGCCAGGCACTCAGTTCACTTTTGTTAAATATGTATTTAGCATTGTATTATCTATGTTCTACATGCTAACCCAAAGTTCATCATCAGTGGTTAAAAAAAGGAAGGGGGATACACAAGGTTTGTGTTTGTTCATTTGGTTTGATTATTCCCCAGGAGAGCCAAGGTCTTAAAAATTGGTATTTTATTTTTGAGGTCAGAATTATCAGTGCAAAGATTAAAGCAGTGCTATTTTCAAAGGAATAGTTTCCTTCTTTAGACATCTAAACATGAACAAGATGTGTAAAGAATGACTTACTGGGTTATCTCCTTTTCTTAGAGGAGTTCTACATTTTTCAGGCTGTCATGATGATTCATGTGAATGATGATTTTAGTTAAGAAAACAACTTTGGTGCCGGGCACGGTGGCTCATGCCTGTAATCCCAGCACATTGGGAGGCCAAGGTGAGTGGATCACTTGAGTCCAGCAGTTCAAGACCAGCCTGGGCAACATGGTGAAAATCAGTCTCTACCACAAAAACAAAAAACGAAAAACAAAAAAACCACCAAAAAACAAACAAACAAACAAAAAACAACTTTGGCTATTTGGCCAACTAGAAAAAAAAAATACTAAAAGTCTACATGACTGTTTTGTTATGGAAGGCTTTAAAAAAAAAAACCCCAAATGCTGTCAATTTGGAATTTTTTTTCAGTAAATTTATTTATTTATTTATTTATTTTTGAGTTGGAGTTTTCCTTCCCAGGCTGGAGTGCGATGGCGCGATCTCGGCTCACCACCACCTCTCCCTCCCAAGTTCAAGCCATTCTCCTGCCTCAGCTTCCCGAGTAGCTGGGATTACAGGCATGCGCCACCACACCCAGCTAATTTTGTATTTTTAGTAGAGATGGGGTTTCTCCATGTTGGTCAGGCTGGTCTCGACCTCTCAACCTCAGGTGATTCGCCCGCCTCAGCCTCCCAAAGTACTGGGATTACAGATGTGAGCCACTGTGCCTGGCCTCTAGCAAATTTATAACTAATTTTAAAACATTATTTTTCTACTGGACAATTAGCTTGTAAAATGCTGAATGCTTTGGTTCCAAGCTGGCTTGGATATTTCACACAGAAATGGAAAAAAAAAAAAAAGAAATATTTACCTTGTTTTAAATTGAGCTGGCCATTTGTTATGAATATTTGAAACTGGGAAAAAGAACTTTTAGGGAATGCACAATGCAAAAAAAGTTTTAAAAACAAAGTTGTTATTTATAAATATTACAACATAACACAGTGATGCCACAATTAATGAATCACCTGGGGATGAAGTTCCTTTCTAATACTATGATGCAAATCCACTATATGTGCTGAGTAACACTTTTTATTGTATAGAAAGTTTCCCTAATACTAATGAGGCAAATGGCAGAGAGGCTCAACAAATCAGCTGGGAGGGAAGGGTCGCTACATCCTATCAAGCAATGGTTCTTAAACTCATAAAATTAGTGAAGTCCTCTGAAACCCTATAAAGAACTATGGAACCTCTCGTTTAAAAAATGTGTATTCGGCTGGGTGCAGTGGGTCATGTCTGTAATCCCAGCACTTTGGGAGGCGGAGGCGGGCGGATCACTTGAGTTCAGGAGTTCAAGACCAGCCTGGCCAACATGGCAAAACTCCGACTCTACTAAAAATACAAAATTAGCTGGGTGTGGTGCCGTATGCCTGTGATCCCAGCTACTTGGGAGACTGAGGCAGGAGAATCACTGGAACCCAGGAGGCGGAGGTTGCAGTGAGCTGAGATTGTGCCATTGCACTTCAGCCTGGGCAACAAGAGTGGAAACTCTGTCTCAAAAAAAAAAAAAAAAAAAAATTAAAAATGCATATTCATAAAATTTTATATAATTTCAGAAGTTAGTAGGTCCTCTGAAGGACATTCAGAGATCTCAGGTTAACAGCCCCTGTGGCAGAAATACAGAGATACAGGCCTATGAAGGAAAGAGTAACCAATGGGCCTGTCAGATAAAAGAACAGGAGTTGGCACTATTCACAATAGCAGAAACATGAAATCAACCTAAATGTCCATCAATGACAGACTGGATAAAGAAAATGTGGTACACAGTAAATGTACTACATTTATTATGCAGCCATAAAAAAGAATGAGATCATGTCTTTTGAGGGAACATGGAGGGAACTGGAGGCCATTATCCTTAGCAAACTAATGCAGGAACAAAAAAACAAACATTGCATGTTCTCACTTATAAGAGGGAGCTAAATGATAAGAACTTATGAACACAAAGAAGGAAACAACAGACATTGGGGTCTACTTGATGGGGGAGAGTGGGAGGAGGGAGTGGGCAGAAAAGATCACTATTGGGTACCAGGCTTAATAACTGGGTGATGAAATAATATGTACAAAAAAACCCCATGATACATGTT
The DNA here is from genome assembly GCF_000001405.40 of Homo sapiens. Classification (NCBI taxonomy): domain Eukaryota; kingdom Metazoa; phylum Chordata; class Mammalia; order Primates; family Hominidae; genus Homo; species Homo sapiens. The sequence continues at coordinate 222,850,495 of NC_000001.11, read as the reverse complement.
TACCTATGTAACAAACCACATGTACTCTCAAAACTAAAATTTAAAAAAATTAAAATACAGTGGGAAAAAAAAAGTGTAGCAGTTGGAGGATGGAAAATTTTAAAAGAATAATAAAAACATGGGGTAAAGTGGAGAAAGCAGAGGGTTTAAAAAGAGAGAACAAGGGAGCTAAACAAAAAAAATGGAATGGTTACAAAACTAAAGAGAAAGGCAAAAACAATAATAATCATAATCAAGAGGGTTAGCAAAAGAGAGAAAAATGGAGGGAAAATGCACAAGGAAAAAATGTCTACTTATGTTGAACTTTACTGCCAGCATTTATTAAGGGTTTCTCATGTGCTAGTAACATGCTAAGCATTTTTTTTATGTCACTCACTTAAATTTCACAGAAACCCTATGGGGCTTATCTTATACATTTTACAGCTCAAGAAACTGAGGCAGAGAAATGTTTAGAATACTGTTCAATAGCCTAGAAAGTGACAAAGTTAGGATTTAAACAAAGCCAGCCTCTCAATCTTTATTAGCCATGTCCACATACAACCTGTCTTTCTAACACTCTAAAAGGCATCTCTAGACCTCTCCTGTTTGTGTTCCTTCTGAAGACAATTTGCTAATAAGGAAGGTGACACTAGAATAAATTTTATTTCTTAATAGATATTGTACCAGAATCTAAATTACATGCTCACTGAGATCTAAAACTGGTATGATTTTCATTTCAACCAAAATGGTACCTTTATTTGGGTTTTTAATTTTTAGAAATTTCACAATTTCACTTGTCAAAATACTTCATGTACATTAGAATATTTTCAAAAGTGTACACAGAAGTATGGCCTGTAACAGTCTACTAGTATGTGCTAATACTCACTAAGGTGCTTCAAATTTCACAGCCTCCTGCTAAGGTACATGTTTGTCAGATTGGTGGCCAGCTGTTTCATTTTAGTTATTTTTTACAATACTGTTTTGTTAAAGCTGCCTTCCCAAATCATGGATACATTTTTTTTTTAGGTACAGTGATCTTGAAAGGTTTATGTTATACAGATTTGGTCTATTGCATCTCAATGTGGTTTTCATTTAGACAGCCTTTTTTGTATAAATACTAGGTTTAGAAGTAACTTCGTTCTTCTCAGAGTTTCAGTAATTGGTATTTTTCACATGGTTATTTGCGCAAAAAATAGAATGTATGCTTGAAAGCAGGGTTGCCCCTTGACGATGTGTTTCTCTTTTATAAGTGAGTGGTTGAAATAATCTTGTCACAGGTGTGGAACAAATAGAGAACAGATGCTTGGATTAAAAATGCATTAATTTGATCTTATATAAATACAAATTAACTACCTGATGGTAGTCAAATAACTGAAAGAAGCATTCAGAGAAAATAATACTAGAACATTAGTGCTGAAATTACCATCATTTTATTAATATGTAGTATACACACATTCACTCTTGAGGACTACACATGGAATACATATTAAAAGCAGAAAATACAAAAGACACACTCCAAAAATGTGACTTTTTGCCTTCTTTGTGGTATTATATAAAGATATGGTGAGGTACAATCAAGCACTTTGGGACATAGTTCATGGGAAGTCAGCATAGAAATACTATTTAAGTATTCTCATCCCATCCCCATATTTAGAAAAATGCCTCAGTGAATGTGTAGAGCTCTGATATAAATATTTCCACATTAATGGAAGACAACTAAGTACACTGCTATACATATATTAGCCCCTGCATGTTATTTATATTTATTTATTTATATGTCTGTTTCCCCAACTAGCCTGTGAGCTGCTCACGGTAGATATTATATCCTATTCTATGCTCAAACCCTGGCACAGTGAGGTGCTGCACAGGTATTTGTTAAATGAAATAAGACACAGTCTCTGCCCTCAAAGAGCCTGCAATCCAGGACATCTGTAAGTCTAAATAGCTTAACTTTATCTAATATTGGACACATTTTTACACATAATTTATCTGTATATAAAGAATATGAACTTTTGCCATTCCATACACAAAGTATAAAAATTAAGAATCCTACAAGTTTTTATTTTTTTTAAAAAGCCACTACTTACTATAATTTTTACTTTTTTTGTAATTTACTCTCCTATTGTTTGTAAAGTTTATTCCTTTTATATTGAGATGCTAATAGTCGCTAATACGTGTTGACCATTTTATACTACACGACTGGCACCACACTGACCATTTTATGTGCATTCTCATTTAATGCTCACAATCACTCTAGGCGATAAATACTACAGTGTCCCACTATCGGGCATGCAATTTAAAAAACAAACAGATAAAAAGAACAGAAGAATATAGTAAAAGAACAATGTAGAACAGGATACAATGGAGATGGCATTTCAAATCAATGGAGAAAAGATAAATCAATCAATATGAATGTTGAAATAACTAGTTATCCATTCAGAAAAATAAAATATAATTAGATCCTAAAATATTCCCCCCAAAAAATCTCAGGTGTACTGAAAATTAAAATGTAAAAAAACCAATAGGTTCACAGAAACCAAGAAAAAAAAAGGCATAAAAAGTACTATGAAGTTTATTTTCATAACCTTTATTTGTGACATAAAAGCCAAAAGCCATTAAAAAAGAGAAAGATGGACAAAACTGACTAGTCACAAGTTTAAAATTCTACATGGCTCCTTCCTTTCTTCTATTATTTTTAACCATTGGGCTAATTCAAAAAAAAATTCACTGGGAGGAACTTTCTTCCTTCTCCCTTCCCTTTTATCCTTCTCCCTTCCCCCTGGGTTGCACATGGCTATTGGGGGTGGGGGTTGGTGTGTCTTGGAGCAAAATATATTGACTTAATAGAATCCAGGTTTCCACTGCAAGAGGAGGGAATTGCAAACAAGGAAAGGGAAAAGGCCAGAAAAAAAAATAATCTATTGGATTGGATTGGAATTGGAGGTATAGGTGTAAACTTATAGTTATTTATAAAGATGGTTTGATATAGAAAATAAATATGGATATATGTGTACTATCTATATTCCTGTGTGTATATGCACATACACATTTTTATATGTGTAAATACAACTTATAAGCTCTCTCCACTGACAAAACCTAAAAGAAATGATGTGTTCATAGCAATGAGCACACCCAGTGTTCAGATCTTTGTTTCTAAATACCATTCTCCACTAAAAATAACCAGGACCCTTGAATGAAATGGCTGAGTACAGGACTAGAACAGGGAAAGTATAAGATGAGCCTAGAATATCTTATTATGACAGAATTTAAGAAAGTTCTCAAATAACTATGAGGACATGTCAAAAGGACACAATAGTTAGCTTAACGTATGTCATTTCCACTGGCCATGCCTGGGATAATATGAGCATCAAAATAAATAAGGATAATACAGTTTTACCTCTGTGGAAAGAATGATATGAGATGTCTGCATATCTAGACAAACACCGACAGAATATCCTTATTAATGGTCAAGTTGTATTGGAAACAGAGGAGGGAAATACAGTAGAAATCTATTTAGTGGCATTATTTTTTTAATCATTTTATATAATAGATATAATAGTTTCACAACAAAATTTAAATACTGTTGAGAAGCTACAAAAATTATCACAACGGAAACTATGCAATAACATAAAAAATTAGTCGCAGTGAATTAAACAAAAAATGTTTTCACTAAGAATCTGACTATTCCTCAACATGTATACATGTGGACAAGGACAGAATGTCCTGCTATCACATAAACTCAACAGTTTGAAAACAGAACTCTTCTCCATTCATCACAATGGAGAATCATAAAACTTCCCTTTGTCCTATATTCTAGTTTTGGCCACAGGCCATTCTACTTCCTGCAACCACAAGCCTTAGATGCATCTTTACTTCTGCCTCCATGCTCACTCCCCATCCAATTCATTGTCTCTAAAATGTCATCAGATTTCTCCTCTTCCCTGCTTTTTTGATATGCAGAACTGCTATCCTAGTTCTAGTCATTATCAACTCATATTCCCTGTCCTTTCACTCTTTTTTTTTTTGAGACAGAGTTTCACTCTTGTTGCCCAGGCTGGAGTGCAATGGCACAATCTCAGCTCACCACAACCTCTGCCTCCCGGGTTCAAGCGATTCTCCTGCCTCAGCCTCCCGAGTACCTGGGATTACAGGCATGCGCCACCACACCCAGCTAATTTTGTATTTTTAGTAGAGACGGGGTTTTGCCGTGTTGGCCAGGCTGGTCTCGAACTCCTGACCTCAGGTGATCCGCCCGCCTTGGCCTCCCAAAGTGCTGGGATTACAGGCATGATCCACCACATCTGGCCTTTTCACTCTTTTCATTGCAACCTCCACACTGTCACTAAAGTTGTCTCTCTGTGCAAACATTTTCAAAACAGAAAAAAATCCATAGTCAACATACATAAAAATTAACTCAAAATGCATTATAGACCTAAATGAAAAAGCCAAAAACTATAAAATTTCTAGAAGAAAATCTAGAAATAAATCTTCAAGACCTTAGGTTAGGCAAAGATTGTTTTAGACAGCATACAAAAAGCAGAAGCCTTGTAAAAATAACTGGTAAAATGAACTTCATCAATCAAAACAAAAATGTCTACCAAGGACATTGACTAGTCACTAAAAATCCAGATTCACTGTGAATTATTTTGAATATTAAAGCATGTCAAGTGGCTAGTACATTTCCAAAAATTACACCCCAAAACAAATTTCTATCCCAAAAGTTATATATCATAGAGGGGAAAAAAGTAAATTATCTTGTGATAGAGCTGACATTAAATGGTCTTGTTGAGATACAGATAGAGCCAAAACACACAAATACATACACATAAACAAATCAGTTCACAGTCATAATAAATAATATTAAGTAAATAATAATTCAAAATGACCTAAACATATTGTTCAAAAATCCAGAAACTCAAAAAGCACAGCATTAAGAAATATTTATTGTGCTAATGAAACTGCATTGCAAATCTACATAATGTTTCAAAAACACTTGTTGAAATAGATTTAATATTTGTGGGATTTTTGTCTCTTACATGGAAAAAGTACCTAAGTCAAAACAACTTTGAATAAAAAATATGCTGAGATTTTCTTTCAAGAGTCCTTTTAAGCAACAGTATCTATGGTTAAATGTCAGAACAACATATAAATCATTAGATTATATTTACTATCCATCTAATAATTGTCTTCCACTTCTTTTTTTCACTTTAGGATGACAAATGAACGGATGAAGAATCGATTTTGAATGCACTTACAATACTTCACTGTGCCTTTCTTTGGCATTTACCAAAAGCAAAGTAAATTAATTTAAATATTCTTTAAAAGAAAAATCATTTTTGCAAAACTCTTTAGCACTACCAAAAGCTAGCAATGGCAAAAACTGCAACTGCGTTTGCACCAACCTAATATTTTAAGTGGAGATTTGACCTTTTTAGCACTACATCACAAAAAGTCATTTTACCTTAATAAACTACAATGAGCAATTTTCCTGAAATATAGAGTCAAAAAGTTAAAGCATTCCATTTTAGTAAAGTCAGTTGGCTAAACCCTAAATGTTGAGTTTGAAGTTTTAATTGTTGCCCAGCAATACCCATCCTTTTATATTAAAAATACCTCTTTCGTGGTCTACAACTAAATGTAAGCAATTGTTGAAGTTGCTGGGGGGTTATTCTAAATCTCACTTTGCTTCCCAGTATCTTAAACGACTCACACAGAAATACAATTATCAATACAAATCTCATTGTAATTGTTCCATTCTGTTTCCTTGTCACATGGCACAATGCTGCATAACGCATTTTTTGTATTGAGAAAAACTCAATGTCTCACTAAGAAACAGCTTTGAAAATTGGCTCATGGCCTATTTGCAATTGATACTAAAGCTTAAATACCTTTCCTGCAAATTTACACTAACTTCAAAATACTCTGGGATTAACCATTAAAATGTTTTTGTTTCAGTTACAACACTAATGAACACCAAATGTTAGAATTTGTTTTAACGGTCTAATACATCAAGGATTTTCTTAAAAGGAAAGGCTGGATCGGCTATCCATTATATAACTGAAGGCAGATTAGTCAGTACTGATATAGATAATACTTGAAAGATTTAATACTTAAGCGTACAATCAAGCATAAGTTTAATTCAGAAAACCTGCTAAATTAGCCATCATATTCTTTCCCTATAAAAATACTAAACTCCTGTTTTCTAAGCTACACTTGAAAGCCTCCTTCCTTTCACTCCGTACACAAGCCACTTAATCTTCAACCTGATTTCCCCATTCCTATAAAATGAGGTGATGCTACTATGCTGTCTTACATCACAAAGGAATAAAAAGAAACAAAGGAAGCAAAAAGGGAATTGAGGGAACCTCAACACATCAGGTCTATTAAAGCCTGATAAAAACAACTGATATGATGAGATTTTAGGAAACAAATGTGTAAATGCTGTTTTAAAAATACAAAGACTGGAGAATACTCTGGATACATTCTAGAGATAAACACTTAGCATGTAAAAAGGTAGTACTTTAAGGACTATCGTAATTCCATGGGTGCCTTTCCTAGCCCCAGCACCACACTTCAACAGGGGTATAATATATCTATATCTTCAGCGTAAAAACAAGAGTGACATGATTTATCTACTTTTTCTGGGGCTTTTGCGTCTTTTAATGCTGACTCTCCTGTGGAATGTTATCTGTTTGGGGCCTCCCCAATAACTAACCATCCTGGTTGCTACAATTTCATCTTTCTCTTCCACCATGTTTTCATTTTTCTTTCTTGTCTTTTGATTGCTATTGTGATTTAATACTTCTTGGCCTTCAATCTGGACTTTTACAGAACTCAAGAAGCAGATGCTTTTCCTTTTAGTTAATTATTAATCACTCCTTTCAGCAATAATAGTCAAATGTTTGTTCTTGTTTGCTATTTTTATCACTGCTCAAAAGAAATTTCCCCCCCCCATCCTTCATTAGAGAAGGTCTCTCCCCTGCCTTATTTCCATGTTTCATTCCATATTCTCAATTAGGATATAGATCACTCAGTAAATTTTTACGAGCCATACCATACTAGAAATTTGAAACAGACTACTCTATAAAGAAATGGTTTAGCAAGCAAACAGTGTAAATAAGATACATGTAATAAAAGCTAAAACTTTTGAAAAAAATATTTTAAATAATGTCACTTATTTCAGAAGTACATATATATTTGCAACTGAACTAATTACAAGTCACTGTTATTTATTCTTTAAAGGATTTCCACCCAGAATCTTCTATGTTGGCATAATTTTAGACACAGTATTTGCAGTGATAACACTGCATTTCTTAAAACTATTCTGTTTTTTTTAATACTATCTTGGATTTGCCTAGCTTCCCCGATTAGTCAAAATTAATGAGGTTTACCATTCTCTCATTATATATCAAGTGAGAGATTAAAGTCCTCGGTAAGTAATGTGTCTATAAAAGCAAGGTCCAATGTTATATAAATTCAAGGAAGATGCATTCCACCTCAAATTTCTAATAATTTTTAAATGCCATTCCTAAAATCCATTTATTAACTACGAATGAACTAATAATGGCATATTTTTGATGGGCTACTATTCTGAAACCTCATCAAAATAATAGATCTACTGTTACACTGTCACAGAATATAGCATTATATCCCAAAGAGTCATCTGTGGAGCATAAAGTGCATCAGACAACCATAAGATTAGGAAAGAAAAGGTTCTGAGGTCAAACAATGTGGGAAATGTTGAGCTAAACAAAATTAAATCCATTTTTATTACCACAGGACTTCTTAGTACCATTAATAAATTAATGTATACTGTGACTCTCCAAAGCCTGTGTGTTAACAGATGCATGTTTGTATGTTGGGAGGGGCAGTATTTATGCAATTGTTCCTCAGTTTATGATTATAAAACCATATTCCAGCAAGCCATCTCCCATGGAACATACTTTGGAAAATACTAATATACATGGATCGCTGTCACTATTGATTGCTGTTTTTGATATTTAATATAAAGCAATTTCTGCCAGACACTATATTTATAAAAGTACTAATTATCTAGGGAAAGAGGGAAGGCATAAAAAAGAAAGTATAGCTATAATCTCCTTCTAAAACAGTAATACCTAAAAGGACAAATAGTGTTCTGTCCATATTTAACCCTTCTGCTGTGGCTATAGAATAAAACAGACAATTCCTTTTTTTTTTTTTTAAAATGACAGGTTTTATTTAACAGATGCCTCCGTGAATTTGGACATCCCATTTTTAATTAGGCTACCTGAGGGCTTTAAACAATCAAAATACCAAAAAATATCACAAAAGGCTTTAAAAAAGAGCTGCATATAGCAGTAAATAAAGTGTGAATTTAAGCACCTTGATTTGTAAACTATCAAACACAAACTTAAACTAGACTAGAGTTTGAATCTTCAGACCTCTTTCCTAGACCACTAAACAAGGTAAGGAACAGAAACACTCCAGTTCCTCAGGTACCAAAATAGTTAGCACATAAGGGCATTACTAGGTTCAAAATTCATTAGGTACTTATCACAAATGACAAAAATAATTGAAAGATGTCTAAAATTCCAATCCCTCTGGATCCCACCTCCCATTTTTCCTCTGATATTTCAGAGATGCTTCAGCCAGAAAGAATACTTTACCAATACCAACAGAAAGTAAAGCACTCCAACAGTCACACATACATATTCCATCACATTTTGAAATAATGCCAAATTTTACCAATATCAATATTTTATCCATATAATTATTAGCACACAGACATCAAATATGCTTATAATAAATATCACTTTTAAAAATAAAACAGTATACTCATTAAATAGCTTGATGATAAAAGACAAGTACAGTGAATATTACCATTTGAAAATTTCTATTTTAATAAAATTTACTATAAATAACAAAAGCCCCACTAGTAAGGGCAGTCTTCTGGAGATGGAAATAATTTTTAGAGCTGGTACTTTTTAAAAATAGGAGTCTGTCTAGCGTAGTGGTTAAACACATAAACTTTGGAACCCAGACATGAGTTCAAGAAGTCCAGCTCTGACACTTACTAGCAGGATAACCTTGAGTGAGTACCTAACTTCTCTGTGCCTCAGTTTCCTCTTGTAAATGGAATATTAGCAGTAACCACCTTATAGGGTTATTAATGAGGATTAAATGGTTTAAGAACAGCACCAGGCACACAGTAAACAATGCATAAATGTTTGACAAATACAGGTTTGTTTAGTGTTATGAGATCCTACTAAAAAATAAAACTACTTAAAATAATGTATAATAAGCTTTTAAAAGGAAGGAGTCAAATATGTAGAGAAAGAAAATAAAATATGCTAACAAAAGAAAAATTTACAGATGAAAAAGGTATGTACTACACTAATTAGCATATACACACTGATTTAGTCATTAATTCATTCTTTCAAACATATTATTAATAGCATTTTATATGTCTGGCACTGTGCTATGTAATGGAATCACAATGATAAATAAGACAAAATCTGTGTCCAAGATTAATCAGGTGCTCTACTCACCTTTGCATTTATTATAATAATAATTTGATGACAGTAAGTTGTGTACATATAGTATTTAACTAAATGGTATAACTATGCACAAATTGGGGTTTTGTAATTATTTTTATTTTTTTAAGAACCCTTCTGGCTGGGCGCAGTGGCTCACACCTGTAATCCCAGCACTTTGGGAGGCCGAGGTGGGCGGATCACAAGGTCAGGAGATTGAGACCATCCTAGCTAACACTGTGAAACCCCATCTCTACTAAAAATACAAAAAATTAGCCGGGTGTGGTGGCGGGCACCTGTAGTCCCAGCTACTCGGGAGGCTGAGGCAGGAGAATCACTTGAACCCAGGAGGCAGAGGTTGTGGTGAGCCGAGATAGCACCACTGCACTCCAGCCTAGGCAACAAGAGCAAAACTGTCTCAGGGAAAAAAAAAAAAAAAAAAAAGAGATACTGTACTAATGGCCAGGCATGGTGGCTCACGCCTGTAATCCTAGTACTTTGGGAGGCTCAGTGGGTGGATCACTTGGGGTCAGGAGTTCAAGAACCAGCCTGGCCAACATGCTGAAACTCCATCTCTACTAAAAATACAAAAATTAGCCAGGCATGGTGATGGGCGCCTATAATCCCAGCTACTTGGGAGGCTAAGGCACAAGAATTGCTTGAACCTGGGAGGCAAAAGTTGCAGTAAGCCGAGATCATGCCACTGCACTCCAGCCTGGGTGACAGAGTGAGACTCGGTCTAAAAAACAAAAAAACCAAGATACTGTACCAAAAACAGGGAGATTAAATTTATACAGTGGTCCCTGATTTATAATAGTTCGACTTTACCATGGTGGGAAAAGAATATGCATTCAGTAGAAACCATACTTTTGGTACCCATATGACCATTCTGGTTTTTATTTTCAGTACAGTTTTCATAAATTACATAAAGTATTCAACTCTTTATTATAAAACAGGCTGTTAGTTGATTTTTGCCTAATTGTAGGCTAATGTAAGTGTTCTGAGCACATTTAAGACAGGCTAGATTAGGCTTCATTAAGCTAGGTGTACTAAATGCATTTTTTTTTTTTTGAGACAGTCTTGCTCTGTTACCCAGGCTAGAGTGCAGTGGCACAATCTCAGCTCACTGCAACCTCCGCCTCCTGGGTTCAAGCAATTCCCCTGCCTCAGCCTCCCGAGTACCTGGGACTACAGGCGCATGCCACCATGCCCAGCTAATTTTTTGTATTTTAGTAGAGACAGGGTTTCACCATGTTGGCCAGGATGGTCTTGATCTCTTGACCTCATGATCCACCCGCCTCAGCCTCCCAAAGTGCTGAGATTACAGGTATGAGCCACCATGCCTGGCTCTAAATGCATTTTTGACTTATGATATTCTCAACTTCCAATGGGTTCATCAGGATATAATGCTACTGTAAATTAAAGAGCATCTCTGTACTAAGCAGTGAGATCACTCCCTACCTCTCAGTTCTCTTCCTTTGTTTAACTGTCAGAAACTAGTAGCAACTTGTACCTCCCAGGCAGGAGAAAGACTCTTCTTTGGAAAGAGACATCAGCCCAAGAGAAAAGGCTATAGATAAGTGGTGCCTAATCTTTTTGGCACCAGGAACCAATTTCATGGAAAACAATTTTTCCACAGACAACGTGGGCAGGGGTGATGGTTTCGGTAGGAAACTGTTCCACCTCAGATCATCGGGCATTAGATTCTCATAAGAAGCATGCAACCTAGATGCCTTGTATGCACAGTTCACAATAGAGTTCACACTCCTATGAGAATCTAATGCTGCTGCTGATCTGACAGGAGGCACAGCTCAGGCCTGCCACTTACCTTCTGCTGTGCGGCCCAGTTCCTAACAGGCCACACAGTGTTACCCGTCTACAACCTGGGAGTTGGGGACCCCTGCTATAGATATTAAGAGTCAGCAATGTCTCAATAAAATAAATCTGATCTTCAACTAACAGCCCTAGAGTGAAACCCATGCACACAGAGTTCCCAAGATTTTTAGTATTAGCTAAATGTTTGAGGAACAACCAAGGAATGCGCCTATCACAAAATAAAGAAACCAAATCAAATAGAAAAACAAACAAAAATACAATCCACAAATTGTTTTTTAAAACCAAAATTAATATATTTGGAGAGAGATGAAATTATAACCATAAAACAATAATAGACTATAAAAATGAATGCTCACAAAAGAAGAAAAGGCTTTGAAAAGTTTACTTATATTTTTGAGACACAGTCTCACTCTGTTGCACAAGCTGGAGTGCAGTGGCACAATCATAGCTCACTGTAACCTCTAACTCTGAGCTCAAGCAATCTTCCTACCTCAGCTTCCTGACTGGATAAGACTACAGACATGCACCAATGCACCATGCCCAGCTAATTTTTTTTTCTTTGTAGATGGGGTCTCACTATGTTGCCCAGGCTAGTCTTTTAACTTCTGGCCTCAAATGATCCTTCTACCTGGGGCTCCCAAAGTACTGAGATTAAAAGCATAAGCCACCATGCCCAGCTGAAAAGTTTAAATGAGAGCAGTAAATTAAAAAATATATAATAACATTGGAAGAAAAGGCTTAGAAAATCTCCCAGACACTAGAAAAGTAAAAATTAGAAAATCAAAATCCAGGAGTTTGAATATTAGACAAAAGAAATTCTAAAAAGAAAAAATGGGAATAAAAATTATCAGGGATATAATACAAGATAATTTCCCATAAACTCCAAGAAAACAAGTTATAGAAAAACAGTAAATGTAATCATAATCACTGAGTGGCTCAAGTATGAACAATACATAATTATAACAATGAAGACACTAACCAAAAATAGTGATAATTATATTAGGGAAAGAAAAGTTGAGAGGGAAAGGAAAAAACTTAAGTATAAAAAAGCTAAATCTTCCTTTGCCTTATTAGTAAGTCGACATATATGATTAAATTGGGAAAAAAATTTAAATGGCAGCATAATTACTATTGAGAAATAATAGGAAAAACTATCGAGAGGATAATAAGTAGTTGCCTCTGGGGATAACCATGCAGGGATGAGAAAGGGTGGACCAGGGAACCAATGTTTTTCATTATATGCATTATGTCATATTTGAGTTTTTAACATTAATTAAACCTATAAACTAACCTTTGTGAGAAACAACGTTTTATAACATTAAGTAACAAGAAATAGCTCTTCATAAATTTTATGGTTTTTTGGTCTTAATTAAACAGTTTCTCATAAAGGTCTTCTTGCCCATTTCTTATTTTTTCATTCTAGATAAATTATATTTTTGGTTACTATTACGAATGACATTATAGAATTTTGTTCTCTAACTGGCTGTTGCTAGTTATTTTATATACCTCTGTTAAATTGTTAAGAATCCTTGTTTTTATTTTTCTTAAATCCACTGATAATAGAAACTATTTTCATGATCATTACATTTAGCATTGTGCCCCACCCACAATAGATGGAAAGTGAATATTTAACAAATGGTAGATAATACTGATAATGGGCCACCCACTAAACTAGGCAATTTATAATCTCTGGTCTTCACAACTCTTTAAGGTAGTGTTTTGTTTAGGCCACTGGGCAGACTAATCAGCTATAACAAAGAAATACCAAAAAAAACAAGGGCTTAAAGAAGATAGAAGTTTATTTCTCTCTCACATAACAGTACAAAAGTAAGTGGATAACCTAGGGTGGAGAGACAGCTCTGCTCCAGGGAACCCAGACTAGCCAGTCAGTTCTGCTGTCTTCATCAATTGGCGTCCATCTCTGGATCCAAGGCTGCTGCTTTAATTCTTGTCATTTCCCAGCCAAAGAGAAAAAAGAAAAGAGGGCATCCAGGACAAATGGCTTTTTCTTTAAGAAGATGACCCAAAAAGTTGCCCGCATCTCTTCCTTTCACATCCCAACGGCCCAAACTTACTGGGCCCAATCTACCGGCATCTACCTGGGAAATACAGTTGCACTTGTGTAGTCATGGGCTAGCTTAAACTTCAGGCAGGACTAGAAATTTTATTTCTGAAAAGAAGAAAAGCAGAATGGCTACTGGAGTATATTTGGCAGTCTCTGTCATAGGTAGGTATTATAATCCCTATTAAAGATAAGAAAATTGAAAATCAGAGTTATTTACCTAAGGCCACATAGCCAGCAATGATTAAGCCAGGATTCAACTCCTCTTCTGTCTCTGGATCCAATACTGTCTCCACACTAAATCATGCTAAATAACAATAGGTGTGTGTGTGTGTGTGTGTATATATATATATATATATATTCTTTTTAATTTCTTGCTCAACTGGATGATTCTAACCAGTCTTGGGTGTCCTCCTTAATACTATTTGTTTTATTACAAAATTTCCTTCCCTTAGGTGGAAAGGACCTTGATATTTAATTCTAACTGTCTCATTTTACATAGTAAGCAACTAAAACTCAGAGATTAAATGAGTTGTTTAAGGTCCCACAGCCAGTTACTGAAAAACAGGGCAAGTACAGACCCTGGGTTCCTGATTTTCATTGCAGTGCTCTTTTCACTATCCTATTCTATCTTCCAGTGAAAATAAAGTTTGTCTGTCATAATTATAGTCACTCCCAGATGTTAAATGGTTTAAAATGATAATTCTTTTCTTCCAAATGATAAGAAAGCACTAGTTCCAAGCAGATATTAAAGTTTGGTCACACATTACCACTTCTGTACATTTGCTGAAAATTCATGAAGTAATGTTATCTTTGGACTAGCATAAAGCTACAGGAAGAAACCTTCACAGTCACAGTAGTTTCTCTGTGTATCTCTAAAACCTAGCACGCTTACTTACAAACATCATGAGAGTAAAATAATTTAAGGCTGTTTTTTCCCCCCAGTTATGTTTACCTTCATTTCATGGTCACTTAAAGATTCTAGTACCAAGTGTGCCCTCAGAAAATAAAACAACTTATTCCTCCTATCTCAAAAGTCAAAATTATTCATAGTCCACTAAAAGCTCTATTTGCTACTACTATCTTAAATACAAAATAGAGATCTAGGAAGTCTGCTGAATTAAGCTCAATTTTTTTTTTTTTTTTTTGAGACAAGAGTCTCACTCTGTCTGCCAGGCTGGAGTGCAGTGACACGATCTCGGCTCACTGCTACCTCCTCCGCCTTCTGGGCTCAAGCAATTCTCTTGCCTCAGCCTCCCAAGTAGCTGGGATTACAGGCGTGTGCCACCACACCTGGCTAATTTTTGTATTTTTAGTAGAGACAGAGTTTCACCATGTTGGCCAGGCTGGTCTTGAACTCCTGATACTAGGTAATCCACCTGCCTCGGCCTCCCAAAGTGCTGGGATTACAGGCGTGAGCCACCGCATCCAGCCACTCAATTTTTAAATAGATGTTAAGGTTGCCTAAAAGTAGTATAAAAATTTGCCATAGCACACAATTTCTTTCCAGCTTATCTCTTTCCTACTCCAGTAACAAGCTCCCCACTGGGATGATTCCAAATGCACCTGGTATTTTGCATTTAAACAAAATACATTTAAAATCATTTGGGAAAAATTTTTAAATATTTGCAAGGAAACAAATTATTTACATTGTTCATGTCATATAGCATAGTAGTGCTCACTGAGATTGGGAAATCAACTGTATTACCAAAGATGTTTTTAAAAAAGAAAAAAACTCCAATACGGAGTGAATATGATATAATAGGGATGTTCTATAGTCTGAATGAATCAAATTTAGTGTAAGAGAACCATTAATTATCTGTCAAGTATACAAATAAAATCCAAGTAAAATTAAAGAGTAAATGACTCTTTCAAAATTTGAAATTACCTTTTAAATGAAGCTGCTTCTGACAGCTTGGTATATGCCTTTTGAGTTACTAAATACAATTCAACAGAAATAAGATGGTGTCTGCTCTCTCAGAAATCTATGAAAGGAAAACATAATATATATTTAGTCTAAAAACAAACGCTGAAACCCACAAGACCAACAACATTTGGAATGTTCATACTATATCAATAGTACTTACTGTCAAATGATATACAAATAATTATACATTAAGCCTACATCAAAAAATAATAATACCCACCATTAACTGAATGCCTGCTGTATACTTAATACTGCACTAGGTACTTCACATGCGTTATTTTGCATCCTAACAACAACTCTGCAAGGTAAGTATTATTCTACTTTAAGCATGGGAAAAAAACAGAGTCAAGTAAGTTGGGTAACTTGCCCAATATCACACAGCTCATGTGTAACAGAGCCTGGATGAGTCAAATAATTCACTCTCAGGAAAACTAATTTGAAGGGTATATTTAACCTACTAAAAAGAATTATAGGGATACTATCTGAAAAAATAATCTTATCTATCATCTATCACCACAGGAATGCTGATTTACATACATAAAAATATAAACAAGGTACCATTTTTTAAAGCAGTCTGAATTTTCATGTATAAGCTTAGTGTGCCCTACCTGTCTGTGACAGAATGTCTTAATAGTAAGACCTCGTGTACGCCTTTATGGTCTAGATCATCTTTCCCTGGACCCAACCCAAACTCCTATTCTGGCTTCTCCATTCCACTGCTATTCCTAAATTCCTGCCTGTCTAAGTTCTACTGAAACATTTTTCTTTTCAGGTTCCCATCTATTATCTTGTTTCTCTTTATTTGTGGCAGAAATAGAACTAAAAGAGAATCCCACTGTAACCACCCACCCTCTTTACTTTTAAGGACCAGCCCACAAAGAGTTAGCTTATCTATCCAACTACAGGACAGGATGCTATGCTCTGTTTATATCTTTTTTTTTTCTTTTGAAGACGAAGAAAGAATCATCAAACTTCTAAGGAAAGGGGGTAAGCAGAAGAAAAATGTTTTAAAGTTTTGAAACTTAGAAATAAATAAACACCATTCTATAAGATGCTGCAGATACAGTGGTACAAAATAGACAAAGTCTGTACTCTCAGAGCTTACAACTTAAAAATCTGTGCCTTACTGTTGTAGTTGCTCCAAATGATACTTAAGACACACTATGTGCCTCCAAAGACTCACCATGTACCAAGGACACTGGACATTTAAATAGCTCTTTAGAATTTTATAAAATGCTTTCTTGGCATCTCATTTAAGCCTTATTGCAACAACCTCACAACAACCTACAACAGTAATGACTATTCCCTCTTTACTAATAAGAAAACAGATTAAGAAAACCTACATTTTGTGACACAAATAATAAGAGAAACAGCCAAGGTTCAAGCCTAGGTCTTCTAGCTCCAAATCTACTATACTAAAAGTCTCTGCATAAAAATCAATCTGGCTTCTGTCAAGTTAATTAGAGCTCAGTGCATAACATCTGAAATGAACACCTCATAACTCATACATCATACCACAGTTTTAGACAGTCATGGCAAAGCAATGGTCATAGGAGGAAAGCAATTAAAGGGATGTAAAATCTAAAGAACAAGGCACAGCACCAAGCCTTTCCTACGCCCTTCTCCTCAGGCCAAACCCCATTTCCTATATTCTCCACTGCAAGTCTTGCCACACAGTTTGAATATATAACTAAACTATTCAACAGTATCAGAGATCAAAGGTTAGTTTATAGTAATAAATATGTAGGGTACTAGAGGGCGGTTGTGGGGCATACAAATATTAAATACCACTAAATACCATTGATCAGAACCCACAGAAATGTCCTTGAACAAAAAGTAGGGTGTACGGAAGAACCTACTTAATAATACCCACACTTTTGCTACACTAATATGAACTCCTGTGAGGTTATATTTGTGACTTATCTCAACTCTTATCACTTTGTTAAAAGTCTATTCTCAAAGACAATCAGATATCTATCCCAATCTGTCTAAAACAGAGTGTGGAAGCTATAATTCTGCCTACTCAGTATGCGTTTCTAACCTTTTCTGATTTAAACATCAGCAGCAATAACAAATAAACATCTACCTTGTGTTCGCAGAAGTCAAACACAGAACCCCCATTGCCTCAATTCCCTCCTCCAGCTGAAGAGATGGGTACAAGATTATTTGGGTTGTGATTTATTTAAGGTGTGTTTGGGTTTTAATTTTCAACTTATTTAAATTTAAATTTAACATGTGTAATCTAATTTAACTTACATTTATTTTCATTTTTTATTTCTTTGAGATGGAGTTTCACTCTGTCACAAAAGCTGGAGTGCAGTGGCGTGACCTCGGCTCACTGCAACTTCCACCTCCCGGGTTCAAGTGAGTCTCATGTCTCAGCCTCCCAAGTAGCTGGGACTACAGGCATGAGCCACCACGCCTGGCTGATTTTTTGTATTTTTAGTAGAGACAGGGCTTCGCCATGTTGGCCAGGCTGGTCTTGAACTCCTGACCTCAGGTGATCCGCCCACCTTGGCCTCCCAAAGTGCTAGGATTATAGGTGTGAGCCACCATGCCGGGCCTTCATTTTAATTTTAAATTTGACTTAAAATTAAATTCAACAATATCCAAAAGAAGTCAAATTAGCTAAAGTAATCCTGCATTTTAAAAGGTCTCAACTAAAAAACTTCTACGTGAAATACTAAAATTTTTGATATTCATGATAAAATAGTTCTCTCTTAGGACCAGTAACCAAAAATGAAAGTTCTTATAAAAATTTCTTAGACCTTAACATTAGAAATTTTTATAAAAATCAATGACTTGATGATTTAACAAATTTATCATCACAGACAGACTTAGACCTATCTGAAAGGGTTAAGAAACTTACAAAAGGTCATTAAGCCAACAAGTAGTAAATCAGGACTTAAACTTGGAAGTTTAGTTGTCCCAGGGCTGGAGTGCAGTGGTGCAATCTCGGCTCACTGCAACCTCCGCCTCCCATATTCAAGTGATTCTCCTGCCTCAGCCTCCCAAGTAGCTGGGATTACAGGCGCCCACCACATTTTTTTTGAATTTTTAGTAGAGACGGGGTTTCATCATGTTGGCCAGGCTGGTTTTTAACTCCTGACCTCAAGTAATCCACTCACCTCGACCTCCCAAAGTGCTAGGATTACAGGCATGACCCACCGTGCCCAGCTGCTATGTAATTCTTACCCACTCTACTTTTCTGCTTAATTGGTACCTGGCACACAACTGATACTCAATTGTTTACCAAATGAATAGATGACCAATCACCTCACTGTTTCACAAACTTCAGAGTTTTCTCAAGATGGTACTCAAGGTCCTATATGTCCTAGCCCCAATCTTATCTTTTCCTACTCTCTAAAATGTATCCCATATATTATAACCAAACTGGTCCCTCAAACACATGCTGCAACTTCCCATCCTGTCTCAGGCTTCCTCTACTGGGTACTTTGTCCCCCACACCTCTATGCCTCTACAAATCCTATCTTCAAGTTCCAGTCCCAAGTCATTATGTATAAAGTTTTCTCTAATCTCTTTGTCTTGTGATAATGTCTCTCATGTGAACTACTATTGGGTTACAAAAGTACTTGCAGTTTTTGTCATTAAAAGTAATGACAAAAAACTAGTATACAGCTTATTAAATTCAGCAGTTCTAAGCTGTAGGGTCTTTATGGACAATTCCTTATTCTATAAGAAATAAGAACTTACAGCTATTTATAAATCTACCTAGCATCAAACATAGTTCCTTATACATCATGGGCATTTATTATATATTTAATTTACTGAATTTAAGATACACTTATTATTCAAAAATAAACCTACTACCTCTGAAATAATCTCCCCATTTTTTACATATCGTTTAATTTATGATTCCACATGTGTATTTGTGCATACATATGTCAAACTATGCAATACTTAAAATGGGGTAGTAACTTAACAGATAATGGTGCTGAAATTCTCAACGTTGACAGAACCCAGTTTTTAAAAGAACCATTAAAGAAGTATTTCACATTTGCACAAAGGTCAGCATGTTAATGGTTCTGTACAATTAATCCATATACATATCCTACAGAAGAAAGAAGGAACCCAGGAACAATTTTAATAGTAAACATATATTTAAAACATTACAGGCATTCAAATCCAAAAGATCCATCAGTCACATGTGCCACCATAACAATTTAGGCAGGTTCTTCACAAATTTAGATACCATTCTTTAAGGATTAGGCTCCTTTCCCATTATCCCTAAAACAAAAAAGACCAGATCTAAATAAAATGCAGCAGTCACAATCTCACAGACACTTGAGTCACTGTCATCTCTGAAAGACGGCCACCAAATACCATACACAAAAATTGATTTTATAAAATAAATGAATGGCCTATCAGCCTCGCTAAAAGCTAACTGCTAATGGCAGAGACTGTGTTGGGAAGACCAACCAAAAAGTACCACAGAAATCTCTGCATTGAAACTTGTTTTAAAGAGGGTGGAAGGAGCCAGGCACAGTGGCTCACGCCTGTAATCCCAGCACTTTGGGAGACCGAGGCAGGTGGATCACTTGAAGTCAGGAGTTCGAGACCAGCCTGACCAACATAACTAAACCTTGTCTCTACTAAAAATACAAAAAAGTAGCCGGGCATGGTGACACGCGCCTATAGTCCCAGCTAATCAGGAGGCTGAGGAAGGAGAATCGCTTGAACCTGGGAGGTGGAGATTGCAGGGAGCCGAGATCGGGCCACGGCACTCCAGCCTGGGTGACAGGGCGAGACGCTGTCTCAAAAAAAAAAGGAAGGTGGAAGGAAGGACGGAAGGAAGAAAGAAGTCAGGAAAGAAAGATGAAATAAAAAGAAGGAAAGGAAGGGAGAAAAGTTCCAAAACCCATACACAAATTGCATAATCTTCTTTTCATTGAAATGACCCCCCCAAAAAAATAAAATCTACTTTCAAAGAGTCCTTTGAAAGAACTGCTTGATTTCATGGTCAAGTTATGTGGTTTGTAAAACTTGAAGATATTCAAGTCAGTGATAAACACCAAATCACATGACCCACTTAAGGAACAGGCAGGGAAAAAATCATCTGGAGTTTGTACTGGCTGTGCAAATGAATGTACTTAGTCATTACTGAACATCACAACTTACAAAGCAAGCAATTGTTTCCTTTCAAATCCTCATCTTTTCTATCAGTGCTAACAAAATTATTGCCAAAAACACTAAATCAATACCATCTGCTAAAAAAAACCCACAAAACATTAACCTTAACCCATTAAAAAATGTGGGTTAAGCATCTTTTCAATTAAAATATTATTTTTAACAGTGTTTTATCAGGTAAGCAAAGCAAAACACAACACATGTATCCTATGCAGGTAATCATATAAGAATATATGAAAAAATATAGAATATAGAAAATACTGCTCTAAAGTTATTTTCTATTTCTTGGCTGGGCACAGTAGCTAATGCCTGTAATCCTAGCACTTTGGAAGGCTGAGGTGGGTGGCTCACCTGAGGTCAGGAGTTCAAGACCAGGCTGGCCAACATGGTGAGACCCCCATCTCTACTAAAAATACAAAAAATTAGCCAGGCATGGTGGTGCACGCCTGTAATCCCAGCTACTCAAGAGGCAGAAGAATCGCTAGAACCTGGGAAGGCAGAGGTTGCAGTGAGCCGAGATCGTGCCACTGCACTCCAGCCTGGGCAACAGAGTAGGACTCTATCTCATGAAAAAAAAAAAAACATTCAAAGAGAACTGATGAAGTAAAGTTACCATCTCTTTGAAAACTGATACGTTTTAAGAAGTTAAGTCCTAAGAACAAATTTTGTAAAATTCCAATACAAAGATGTTTTGGCATTTTCATGGTAATTTCAGCCTTAATTTTATAAATTTTCTTAGAGCATCTGCTACCTAAACTTTACAACATGGCATCCCATGCACAGAGCAAGTAATCCTTGGTTCTTGTTTATCTTAGAAAAAGGTGCAAGGGAAAACAATACTTAATGTCCTATTAAAAGATCTTTCTCAGATTTTTTTCTTCCTCTAGAGGGCAGTTAATATAAACCTTCAGTAAGGGGAGTTTTCAAAAGTGCTTTTTGGAAGTCCTCTGTTGCTTCTTCATCAAACAAATAGTTTATTTCTTATGACTCTAAATGAAAGAGTTTCATCAGTTTCTAGGAACTTATTTTAAAATAAATTTAAAAACATCCTCTACCCATCCCCCAGCCCACATGTTCAATACAAAATACTCCCATGAAGCACAATGACAATGTGGACTTTTATTTCTGGCAATGCAGCCCCATGGCTGGAGATCACCAAAAATTGTTGTATTTAAGTACTTAAAATTTTTTTTTAATGTATAGAAGAGCCAACAATAAAGTAAGAGAAATGCTCCAAGGGCAGAAATAATTTTTTAAAAAGTACAAGTCTAGAGAGGTGAGTTAGTGCTAAAGCGAATGTGCCCCTGGGGAATCTACATATTCCTGGTGGAATGAACCTGATGGGGAGGGGAGCTATAGAAAATAGGGTAATAGGCAGCAAAACTTGAGGGCCTGTACGAAATGGAGAGCCTGAGCAAAGACCATCTCACATAAAGCTCCTGAGGGAGTAAATTAAAAAACATTTCAGCTTACAATCGATACACATGAAGGAATGGTCAAGGGAAAAAAGGTTAAATGCATATGGGTAAATATAAACACTGTTATTTCTGGGGCTGAAAGATCAAGTCCCAAAACTATAATGTCTGATAAAAATAGTTCTTATCAGAAGGAGGTTCAGGAGAAGGATAAAGATTGCATTTACATTTATTTAGACTTTGTTAAGTATGCATATTAACATTTCTACGGTAACCATAGAGAAAAAAAGAAATAGAACAGAAAACTTCCAACACAGTTCAAAGGGGGGAAAATGGAATAAAAAACAAACAAACAAAAGATAAGTAGAAAGCATATGATATGGCAGAAAGAATTTAGGTCTTGGAGTCAGATATTCTGGGCATAAATCACAATTCTGCATATATTTCTTCTAACCACAGACAAGTCACCTGCTTTTAAAATTTCAGTTTCCTCATCTTTAAAAGAGGAATAATAATACAAACTTTTTAGCCTAGTATTTGAGTTAACATGCAAGTACACTATACCTAGTACAGTCTTCAAACAAAGATGCACAGACACCTTTTCCCGTCCTCTTCATTTCATGACACTGAAGTATGCTCAACCAGTGAGGAGGTCATTCTTTTAGGCTGCTGGATCAGACTATTTTCAGCTTGAGTATCACAACTATTACATAGAATTTTTCCTTGACTTTCTGTGTATTCCTTCCTTATTCAGGATTAAAAAGCTTCTAAATCAAATTATATGTAGTATCTCAAGTTTATTTTCCCTAAACTTTGCTTAAATATGTTTAGATTTTCACAAGATTAAGTTAAATCTAATGCAAATGCCCCTTCCACAGCAAAATGCCACGATTAACAATGCATATAAAATAAAACCCAGTTGTTGCTTTTTAGATAGCTAACTACCCCTGACCTCAGTTCTAGAAATAAAAAATGATTATTAATTATATAAATTTAAAGATGTATAACTTACCTGTTAATTAAAATTTGTCAAAGAATGAGCATGTAATACCAAAATTTGATAAAATAACATCTTGTTGCATGAAGATTATTTCGTGAGTTTAGAAATTGTACTCCCAAAATTAAAGTGTTCAGTAAAAGCTTAGTAAGTCAAGTATTCCCAGTAACAGTGTTATAAAAGTTGACTCTAAGAACAAAAAAAGTGAAAAATTTAATTCAATAACCCACATATGGATGATCCATGCCCCTACCCCTTTTTATAATTCTCCAAGGCCAATTTTAAATTCTGAGTGGAATTTTTCTCTTCAACACAGGATGTTTCCAGAATTCCACCATCTGTACATTTACAGAATAAAAATTATGTATCTAAGACAAACTTCAAATGGCAAATCTGTTCCTCAAATTATAATATAATCCAAAAGAAGTACTGTACATGCTTTAACTGTTTGTCTCTACCGGTACAGAAGACTAACTTTACAGCATATATGCCAAGAACTCATCAAGGTGACATAATCCTTTTACCTGAAATAAAAATGCTAAAGGCAGAAAACGTCTTGTGAGAAACCAACTGACAACCACTAAAACTAAAGATGAAAGTTTTATTAGAATAGAAATGGAAAACCTTGCAATATATACACATACTCTAATAGAAAATAACATGGGGGAATGTTATATGTAGAAATCTTAAATAGGGGCTGTATTATTTATGAAACAGGAGGCATCAGCTTTATAGTAAAGGAGTTAAGAGCTAAAACTCTGAAGTCAGATTGTCCAAATTCAACGGTTAAAGAAATTACATTTTAGTTAGTAGCTCCCTGATAGGAGTGGATAATTTTAATATCCATCACACAGCATTCAGCAGATATATAATAATGTAAAGACCAATACCAAACAACCACAAATCATTAAAAAATTCTTAAAGTGTAGGCCAGGTCTGGTGGCTCATGTCTATAAATACCAGGACTTTGGGAGGCTGAGGCAGGAGGCTCGTTTGACCCAGGAGTTTGAGACCAGCCTGGGCAACATAGTAGAACCCCATCTCTGTAAGAAGTTAAAAAACAAAAAAATTAGCTGAGCATGGTGGCACACACCTGTAGTCCCAGCTACTCAGGAGGCTGAGGCAAGAGGATCACTCGAGCCCAGGAGGTTGAAGCTGCAGTGAGCTGTAATCATGCCACTGCACTCCAGCCCAGGTGACAGAGTGAGACCCTGTCTCAAAAAAAAAAAAAAAAAAAAAGTATTAAAGTGTAAAGGAGACTACAAATCTGCAATTGAGCCCAGAGCTCTAATTACTAATAATCAGGTTACAGTCTTAAAGGACTAATGGAATATTTCTACACTACACTGCTGCTGAAGTCATCTGGAGGAGCAACCATGAGGAATAATCAACTACAGTAAGAAGAAAAACCCAGGCTGGGCATGGTGGCTCAAGCCTGTAATCCCAACACTTTGGGAGGCCAAGACGGGAGGACAGCTTGAGCTCAGGAGTTCAAGACCAACATAGGCAATGAAACGAGACCTCTGTCTCTACAAAACAATTTTTAAATTAGCCATGCATGGTGGTACACACCTACAGTCCCAGAAACTTGGAAGGGTAAGGCAGGAGGATTGCCTCAGCCCAGGAAGTCAAGGCTGTAGTGGGCTATGATCTCACCACTGCACTCCAGTCTGGGTGACAGAGCAAGACCCAGCCTCAAAAACAAACAAACAATTTGGTAAGCACAGCAATTCAATCTGCCCCACACATAGTTTAACTGCTGAGGGGGTGAGGAGGCTGGGTTAACAATGTATTAGAGATACAGGCTATTCAGCTGGGCACAGTGGTGGCTCATGCCTATAATCCCAGCACTTTGGGAGGCCGAGGCCGCCGGATTGCTTGAGGCCAGGAGTTCGAGACCAGCCTGGCCAACATGGTGAAACCCCGTCTCTACCAAATATACAAAAAAATTAGCCAGGTGTGGTGGTGGGCGCCTGCAATCCCAGCTACTCAGGAGGCTGAGGCACGAGAATCACTTGAACCCAGGAGGCAGAGGTTGCAGTGAGCCAAGATCGTGCCACTGCACTCTAGCCTGGGTGACAGAGTGAGACTCCATCTCAAAAAAAAAAAAAAAAAAAGAGAAACAGGTTATTCCAAATGGCTTAGTTCTCTCAGGTTCCAGTGAGTTAAAAAAGGATCTACTGCATAAAATTATTAAAGTTCAGTTTGCATTTGACTTTCTTTTCTAAAATTTATTGACAGATAAAAATTGTATATATTTATGGTATACAACATGTTTTCATATACATATATATTATGAAATGGCTAAATCAATATATTTGACCTTGACAGCCTATGAAAATCTAGGCAGTTTCTGGGAAAGTAACACACATGTCTAAAACCTACAGTTGGGAATGAAAAAGAAAGACTCTCAAGAATGCTTGAATTCTTATACCACCCCCACCATCCCCCACCACTGCCCCCCCACATTCCCCATCCCTGGGGAGAGACTATTTGAGACCGAACTGTTAACTGGCAGCAACCACCCTCAGCATCACCTGAACAGGCTTCTAGGGCAACAATCTAATAACTACTCATTTGGTGGCCACTAATTTACTCTTCATTTCAAAACAGCCTTTTTATCTAGGTTTAAAAAGAATGAAACTGTCTAAAAAATTTTTTTTGCAGTAGCGGCAGATGGAAACGCATTCATCATTACCCTCCATTATCCTTTTCAGCTGGCAATAACTTGTGGTTGTAAAGCAAAGAAAAAAGAGTTTGGGTGATTTTAATCAAAGCTTGGATTCTAGCCCTGCCCTGCAGCATGCTGTAATATGAGAAAGGTTCCAGCCTCACATTCCAACAGAAATGAATTTTTATGTGAATAGCCCCCCACCATTAACTGCCACCTCTCCTTTCGTTATTCTTTTGAATTGATGCAGCAAATATTTTTAAAGTATCTGCTACTTTCAACTATGCTAGATGCTACATTAATTATGGTACCATCCTGGAAAAAAAAAAAGAATTACATTTAACAAATACTTAAAGTGGAACAAATGGAAAATAAAACACTTTTAGGAGTATGAAGATATACAAAAAAATGTAGAATCAACATGCTGCTAACTCTCTCTAAAAAGTACTTCAAGTATCAGCACCAAATCATTTAAGGTGCTTTTGAAATGTAGAAGAAAACAGTGTATAAGCAAAAGCAGAAGGGCTTTAAAATAAGCTCCACCATTTACAGGTAGCACAAGCTTAGACAAATTAATCTCTCCAAAAGTGAAATATAAACATCTACCTTATATAAGGGTTGTTGTAAGAAATGAATAATATATTAAATGCTCACTGCAGTGTCTGGCATATATGATCAATAAATAGAGGCCAGTATCATTAGAGGCATTTTCAACAAGTAGGACACATTTACTGGTAACTTTTCCTCTTTGGTGGAAAAAAATTTATCATGTTAATAAAACTTATTACTGTTCTGAAAAACAAGGTAAAATAAGTTTCACAAATTAATATGTAACTTAATATATAAATTAGAAGTATTTATCTTATAACAAGTTGGGAGATGGGAAACTGCAACTAAGGCATATAATATGTCATCAGAGTATTTAAATAAACAAACAAAAAAATGTAATGAGATTACTGAGGACCTGGAGGGAGAAAAAACGTATGAGAAGTAGCTATACCTATTTGTCAAGTTGAAAAAGGTCCTGTCTCCTCCCATTATTCTTCCTCCTCTTCTCAACTCCTATAGGGAAGAAATATGTTCTCAGATACTAGGAGTCCGAAAAAAAAAAAAAAAAGGAAAGAAAGAAATCTGAAGCAACAACGTAAACAAGGAAGCAATCTACATATATTAAAACACTTTGCTAATTCTTTGGGTGAACAGGACTTTTTAGTTTTACAAGCTTCACTTCAAAACACATATACTTTTTTGCTTTTTACTTATTTATTTTTATTTATTTGCATAAATTTAAGGGGTCCAAGTGCAGTTTTGTTACATGGATATATTGTGTAATGGTGAAATCTGGCCTCTTGTGTAACCATCACCCAAAGAATGTATGTTGTACCCATTTACAATTTCTCATCCCTCACCCTCTCCCACCCTTTCCAGTCTTTAATGACTATTACTCTACATTCTGCTTCCATGTGTACATGTTATTTAGCACTTATAAGTGAGAACATGTAGTATTTGACTTTCTAAGTTATTTCTCTTAAGATAATGCCCTCCAGTTCCATCTATGTTGCTGCAAAAGACATGACTGCATTCTTTTTTAAGCTGCACAGTATTCGTGTGTGTGTGTTGTGTGTACACCACATTTTCTTTATCTAGTCATCCATGATGGATGCTTAGGTTGATTCCGTATCTTTGCTGTTGTCAACAGTGCTGCAATAAACATATTGAGTTCAGGTATCTTTCTGATATAATGATTAATTTTCCTTTGCGTACATACTCAGTAGTGGGATTGCTGAATCAAATGGTAGTTCTACTGTTTGTTCTCTGAGAAATCTCCATATTGTCTTCCAAATAATTTGTACTAATTTATATTCCCACCAACAGTGTACAAGTGTTCCCTTTTCTCTGCATCCTGATGTAATTTGGAATTAGGTCTATCAGTCATTCCACAATTTATTCTGAATTAACTCAGACAATTCAGACTAGCTAACAGTTACGAGAGAAGCAGATTTCCTTTGGGAGAGAGGTTAAGGGACAAAAGAAAGAGAAATTGATGATTTTAATGCATGGACACTTAGGAGATGAGAAAGCATCATTATCCAAGGAGAAAGTAACAGAGCAGGGAAAAGGAGGAGATTTTAAGAAGGTGTGCAGCAAAGGCTATGGAACAAATATAATGATCACACCACTCACTCTGATATTTTAGAGGCAATAATTTGCCAGCATGTCTCACTGAAAATCAAATGCTGCTGTAGATTACCAAAACTTATCAACTGTAGAATTGTAAAACAGAAAACCTTATAATTTGAAACACTGAGGCCTGGATATATGAAGCTGTTCTAGCTCATGATCAAATTGTATTAAATCATTTATGAAAATCATTATCATTGAAAATTCAATGTTTATATAATTACATCTTTAAAAAACAGTTGGAATTACAGGAAAAGCATTCAAACTTACTTCTTCCCTCAAAAGCCTCTGTCAAGCTTTGCTAAACTCTTTCTGCTTATAAATGTAGAAATACATAAATTTCTCAACTTAATTTTAAAACCTAGCATACAAAATGATATAAAGAGGTTCTTGTCAAGCTTAAAGGGTTCCAGAAAGAACCCTTCCTAATAAATCTTCAAGCACTGCAAAGGCTCCTGAGAATGATAGCTAAACACACCATGTCACTCTGAGTCAAATGCAAATTCTACCAACCTTCTGAACACAAGTGAAATGGTTTCCAGGTCTGGTTCAGAAAGAATTACACTACAAAGTTAAGGCAGATACTCTATGCCTACTACCTAGTAATCTCACTACTGGATCTTGAGCACAAATATGTCATTCAATCCTGTATATTCCGTTTTCACACTACTATAAAGATACTACCTGAGACTGGGTAATTTACAAACAAGAGTAAACAAGAGGTTTAATTGACTCACAGTTCTGCATGGCAGGGGAGACCCCAGGAAACTTACAATCATGGTGGAAGGTGAAGGGGAACCAAGGCATGTTTTACATGGTGACATGGTGGCAGAAAAGAGAGAGAGCTCAGGGAAAACTGCCACTTTTTTTTTTTTTTTTTTTTTTTGAGATGGAGTCTCACTCTGTCATCCAGGCTGGAGTGCAGTGGCACGAGCCTGGCTCACTGCAGGCTCCGCCTCCCAAGTTCAAGCAATTCTCCTGCCTCAGCCTCCTGAGTAGCTGGGATTACAGGTGCCCGCCACCACACCCGGCTAATATTTGTATTATTTTTAGCAGACACAGAGTTTCACCATGTTGGCCAGGCTGGTCTTGAACTCCTGACCTCAAGTGATCCACCCACCTCAGCCTCCCAAAGTGCTGCAATTACAGGCATGAGCCACTGCACCTGGCCGAAAACTGCCACTTTTAAACCATCAGATCTCATGAGAACTTCACTATCACGAGAACACCATAGGGCAAACCACTCCCATGATTCAATCACCTTCAACCAGGTCCCTCTCTTGATACATGGGGATTACAATTCGAGATGAGATTTGAATGGAGACACACAGCCAAACCGCATCACATTCCTAAGTGCTTTCATATCTTATGATGCATCATCCCAGAAAATGTCTTTTGTAACCAATTATCTTTGGAGCTGGCATCTGTCAAAATAGTTTATTTCTATTCAAATAGTTGTTTACTCAAAACCTGAAGGGAAGAACCCTTTAAATAGAAAAGTTACTTCACATGCTTGTGCTTTCCATTCCTCTTCCCAACCCCATCTGAATTAATTGGAGACAGCACTGTAGTTAAGAACATCACTTCAGTTTGAAGAGATGGAATCTGCAATGAAATACAGCCAAAAGGTGCATTGTTCATTCAAAAACAACAGGCCTGCTGATTACAGAGGTAGAGAAGTACTCTACATATGGCCAGAGACATGCACCTGCTTAGAAATGATAAACTTGAAGGCAAAAGCATGCCAAAGACCCGTGGGATGGATAAGCATATTTCTGGAGTCACAAAAAATAAAATAAAATAAGTTTAAAAAAATAAAAATAAAAAAGACCTGTGGGAGTAACATAAAGCTGTAGGAGAAAAAAGGGATCTCATTCTAGTGATGTCTTCTAGTAACACCCTCAGCCAGCCTGCATGATACAGTAAAATAAATGCTACAATTTCTTGAGTACTATGTGGCAGGCATTATGCTAAGCACATTATGTACATTATCTTGTATTTCCTATAATGACTATGTACGGTAGGTATTACTATGCATATTTTGCAGGTAAAGCATAAAGTTCAGTAACTTGCCTAAGGTTTCTTCTAACTGTGCTGAGGCTGCAAGTGAGCAACAAATGACAATTATTATTATTACCATAATTCAGCTCAAATTCATGCCTGAAACCTGGCAAGCTTCTAGAATATCCATTTATGTCCTATAATGTTCTATCCCCCAAGGAGTCCTTAAAATTCTCTTCTGGAGGGTTTCCAAGCACTTGGGTTCCAAAAGCACCATGCTTTTCTATCTTTAACTTCCTCCAGAAAGGAAGCCCTCTCAGTAACTTCTCTTGGTCCATGTGTTCCCTATCCTTAAGGTCTTTTCAAATATCCCCTGTGAATCACCCAATGGCTAGCTTGTGCTAACTTGCAAAATCCTTTCAAGCCCCATGGGTATCACACGTCACTATGTGCCCCAAGTAGTTACGTAGTTAGATATTTTATGATATATCTACTCTCTGCTCATCCTTCCCCTAATGTAACTGAATAGCCCGAATACCACCTCCATTCTCGTAACAATCAACTCATACTCCCTTAAATAGACACTCAAAATCACCCTCCTTACAGAAAATCTGCCCTTGATTAGCTTCACTTAACTATAACTACTTTTGTAGCTGAAAGGGCACTGGATTGAAAACAAGGAGATCTGGCCTCAAATTCTGGTTCTTCTACTAGCTATGGTAACTGGGTAAATCACTACACCTTTCTGGGACCCTTTTGGTGAACATAAATGAAAGGAATCAGGCTAAATAAGCACAAAACTAATTCCCAGATCTAAATATTTAAGCAAAAAGATTAACAAGAGCATAAACTTTAAAAATATAGTTACAAAATTAAAAAAAAATTTTAAACACCTTAAATTAAAAATATATATACAACATATTAGCTCGGCGCAGTGGCTCATGCCTGTAATCCCAGCACTTTGGGAGGCTGAGACAGGTGGATCACTTGAGGTCAAGAGTTCAAGACCAGCCAGGCCAACATGGTGAAACCCTGTCCCTGCTAAAAACACAAAAATTAGTCAGGCATGGTGGCGGGTGCCTGTAATCTCAGCTACTCTGGGAGGCTGAGGCAGGAGCATCGTTTGAACCCAGGAGGCGGAGCTTGCAGTGAGCTGAGATCGTGCCACTGCACTCCAGCCTAGGCAACACAGCGAGACACTGTGTCAAAAAAAAAAAAAAAAAAAGATATGTGTGTGTGTGTGTGTGTATGTATATAACATATTAAAACCACAAAAAAAGAGTAACTTTTAAATGTCAGAGAGTGGAGGGGCCATTAAATTGTCCATTTTCCATTCTTTGACATAATGAAAACCCAGATTTTCACTGTTTTTAAATCCCTTAAAAAGTAACTGGGCTATGAATTTTGATACTTTTATTAGTCCATTCTCACACAGCTATAAAGAACTACCTGAATGGGTAATTTATAAAGAAAAGAGGTTTAATTGGCTCACAATTCCACAGGCTGTACAGGAAGCATAGCTGGGGAAGCCTCAGGAAACTTACAATCATTGCAGAAGGCGAAGAGGAAACCAGTGTGTCCTACATGGCTGGAGCAGGAGAAACGACGAGCACAGGGGCAGGTGGGACACACTTTTAAACAACCAGATTTTGTGAGAACTCTATCATGAGACAACACTAGAGGGATGGTGCTAAACCATTAGAAACCACCTCCATGATCCAATCACCTACCACCAGACTCCACCTCTAACACTGAGAATTACAATTCGACATGAGATTTGGGTGGGGACACAGAGCCAAACCATATCAATATTCTCCTATTGACTATGCAACATTTTACACGCCACATATTAGTTTAATACAGCAAAAGTATTTTAAATGCTGTCATGGTTAGCCTTATGTGTCAACATGGTTAGGTTATAGCACCCAGGTATTTAATCAAACACCAATTTAGGTGTTGCTATAAACATATTTTGTAGATGTAGTTAATGTCTACAATCAGTTGACCTTAAGTAAAGGAGATTACCTTCCGTAATGTTGGTAGGACTCATCTAATCAGCTGAAGGCCTTAAGAGCAAAACCTGAGGTTTCCCAAAGAAGAAAGAATTCTGCCTCAAAACTACAGAATCAACTCCTGCCTAAATTTCCAGCCTGCTGGTCTGACCTACAAATTTTGTACTTGCCAACTCCCACAACTGCATGAGCCAATTTCTTAAAATAAATCTCTTTTAAAAATACACATATATATGTGATATTGGTCTGTTTCTCCGGAGAACCATAATTATACACTAACACAGTGAAAATCAAACTGGTACTATTTTGCTTCAAGAGGCTCCACCAGGTCATTCACACAAGAGGTGGGAGGCTCCACCAGGTCATTCACACAAGAGGTGGGAGGGATTCCCCTCCCAGCCCTCTCCAGGTAACAAAGGAGTGCATCATCTGTGTGGTATTCAAAAACTATAATAACAACTAAAAGTCTTTCTGCTGTATTATCACCAGGAGCTGGCAATTCTAAACCTCAGTGCTAAAATACTCTTTCCAACTATAGCAGACAGCTCCCACCATCAAGACCCCTAGTATGTCACTGGTAGTGGTCAACTTCCCCCACCCCCCCATGCAAATCATTTATCCAATAGTTCTTCTATTCCTTAGGCTCTCAAAATTAAAAACAAAACTAATAATAACAACAAAGGTTAAGGGCAATCAGTGTGTTTTCTACAATATTTGCCATTGTGAGTTATAGCCTATCACTTTAACAGAAAAGTTCATCTACAGTGTAATGTGATGCCTCACTCAAAGCAAAACTGAGTCTATTTATATAATCCAACAAATTATGATTTAGTATTAAAAGTATTTTTAAAACAATAACCTAAACAAGAGGTTCACAGTCATAACTACATGCCTATAGGCTGGAAAATGTGCCAAGATTTATGGGATCAGATTCAGCAGAATGGACAGGGCCCTACTAACAGGACTGCAGTGATTCATCCCCTTTTGAGTCACTCTGAGGCCCAAGTCATCTTGGTCACTATTGGAGAAAAGGTCTAACTCACCAGAGGAAAAGGACAGAAAGTATTACTAAAAGCAGTCAACCCTGTGTGAGTCAACCTCATTAAGGGCCATGCTTTTCATCAGAGGCAGTGCAGCAGCTGGACCTTAAGTTAACAGATCAGCAGTCTTTCGTAGCTCCTCATCCAAAAACTGTACTTCCCCATTGTAACAAATATTCTTGATTCTATCAAGTGGCAGGAAATGGCTTTCTAACTAGAGTATGCCGATAATTGAGAACGTACTATATAATCAGAAAATTGATAACCAAAGGGCATAGAAGCAACGAGCTCAACTTAGCAAATTATTTCGTATTTTACAAACTAGAGATTAAGGAAGACAAATGTATGTGTATATGAAGACAGTGTTTTGGTTATCACTATTTTGATAGTTCTTCCAATACAGACACTGTACATATTTCAGAAATAAAAAGAAATAGTGAATCTATAAAATAGCCAGCAGTTCGCTGTACTTAATCAAAAACTGCCATTATTGGTTAAACTGTAAAATACATCTAAATCCTACGGAATAACAAAAATAATTTATCTAGAGAGAAAGCTAAATTTACTAAACAATTAGAAGAAAGAATACAATTCCAAAGATTTTCCGGAATACAGGGCAATCCAACCTCAACATACCATTCATATATATAGCTAGCCCAACTTGCCCAAGAGGGCAAGTGCTCTTGTGTTTCAACAACGAGCACTTCCTCCAACCATGAACTAATGTCTAAAGACTTGCATGCTTTCTCAAGTGCTTTATTTCTCAAAAACCATGGGAAAAGGCGGAAGAAAAATAAAATCAAGTCTTATCAGATAAACAATATTGTCTACTTAAACAAATAAGATTAAATTGAGACATATACAGAAATTAACATGGCAGTTAATTCAATTACTTTAGAGATCAGTGTTATCTCTTCATTTTGTAATTTGAAAACTTATTCAATATGCTCATTTACATGTTAAGGCACTGTTTATGTTTAGGCCTTGCTTTACACTTGTAAATATCAGCAGTCCTCCTAAACATAAGGACGTTATAACTGTGTATTTCACTCAAGCACAGATATTCAAGGCCATCAAGAATTTATAAGCTAGCAAGATATCGCAGTACCAATAAATATAAAATGTTCTAGTTTTCCTGAATTAGTTCAAGTCAGACCACCAAATCAGATCTAAAAGTTACCTGTACTAATACAGTAATTTTTAAAACAAAAACTTCTAACATTTGAAATGTGAAACACCTGAAACAAGCAAAGCAATCATCAGATCTCACCCTCCATCAGTGACAGTGTTATGATTCTTCCTAGCTACCTTGCTCACTTTGTGGCAAAAATCCAATTCACTTACTACCTACTTAAAAGCTAGGAGAATCTTTGTAATTACACTGAGTGAAACACTATATTATGTAGATTAGGAAGCACATATTAATCACATCCAATAAAACATAAATGCAAGGTAAATAATAACTAAATCAATAATTACCTTTGGTAATAATAATGAGCCCACATACCAAACACTGGCCACTGGGGAAAACTAAATGTGCTAATGTGCGTGTAACAACAGATCTTGGGTTATCAATATTTTTAAAAAACACTGACAATGGCAAATATTTATATATATATATATATATATATATATATATTTCCTTACAGCAGAAATAAAAAGGAACAGTAAAATCTTAAGAACTGCTAGTAATTTGCTGCACCCTGATGTAAAATTGCCTTTATTGGTTAAACTAAAAGACTAAACCCAACAAAATAGCTTTTAGAAAAAATGTGTTAGAAAGTTGGACAGAAAAACAATGAGTTGAAACTGCAAACATTGACAGCACTGGCTTTCCATGTGATTATCACCATAATTCTGAACGCATTTAGTTCATCCCATGACAAGGGAAATAAGACAAGCTAAACTCTGCAGGGTAGAGAAGAGTCCAAAAGGAAAACTTTGGTTGTCTTCCTTGGGTGAAGAGAACTCTCAACTACTATCAGTTTGACAAAGACACGCAGAATCTGGGTGAAGCAAGAATTCGAGCGGTCCCTAGGAATATACAATATTTTCCCGAAATCCACACGCGCGGAGCGGGATATATTTCTAAAAACAAAAAACAAACTGCATGAATTGCAAATGAAGCAATAGGAGTTCAGCATCCAATAGGTGGCTGGTCATCTTTCTGGTTCGTTAGGTCAAGACGTCCTTCTCACCTACGACCCTCAGAGAAGGACTGACTCCCTCCTCTGTAACCTCTCCCTGGAAGCCAACCTTTGCCATCTCCTGCCATCCTCTCAGTCAATCCGCCAGGACCCGGGACACGCCCCCACGAATGACTACTTTCCTCCGAGATGCAACTCTGCCCCGTGTCATCCGCAACCTCCAGTCTCAGGGCCTCTTTGGCCTCAGGGTCCCCGGTGCCTCCCTCCTCAGTCCCTAAAGGCTGCCCTTAGGGCTCTCCTGGTTCCCCGTTCTCAGTCCTGGCCCTTCTCTCAAGCCTGGGGTCCCGGATTTCCCTCCACACGCGCGGGAGATGCCGACTCTCCCGTCCCTACCCGGTCTCCCAGTCCCGCGGCGCCGGGCGGCGGCGCGCCGAAAGGCATCCACTGAGGAAACAAGTGCCTGCAACGTTCCGGCTGCGAACTCACCTCCAGTCCGGGCTCTCGGATGCTGGCCCGGAGCCGGGCTTCCGCCTGGCGCGGTCCGCGTCGCGAGCGGGACCGGAAGTCCCGCCCCTCGCCCGCTCCCGGCCCGCTCCCGGCCCGCTGGCCTCGCTTGACTACCGCTCCCCGGGAGAGGGATCGCCGGCGGCGGGCGACGGGCGGCTGGCAAGGGGCAGAGGGCAGAGGGGCTTGGCTTGAAAGGGCGAGGCAGGCGCCAAAAAAATTCCCTCTCGCGCTCCTGCTCTTTCTAGTGTATCCATCGACCAGTGTGCAAATGCTTGACCAAGCGTCTATTCTGCCCAAGCCCAGTGAGGCACAAGATGACTCAGACACTGACCTCTGTCCTCACAATCTAGTTAAAAGTTGACATAAGTAAAAACAGAAGTAAATCACGCCACAAGACAGTGTTTCTTCTTTCATTATTCAGATTATTATCACCTGCTATATAGGCCTGTGAACAACCAGGCACTGCTGTAGGGGCTGGGGATAGAGCGAACAGAGGACAGCCCCACTCTCGTGAGGCTTACACTCAGGGCGAGGAACTAGCTATAGAATAAATCGAACAGCGGCGGCTCCCTCGGGAGGCTTATGCACAGAAACAAAAATATATAAGCAATGAAACCATCAAGTGTTAGAGGCACTCTGGTGGTGCTGTAGGGAACGGTGCAATGTAGAGAGCTGGGCGGAGAAGGCTTTCTAGAAATAATGACTCTTCAATTGAGACTGAAATAAATGATGAATAAGAGTTAAAGGACAGGCACAGTGGAGAAGGGCATGCAGAGAAGAAGGACGTTATGGAGTGAGAGCTTGGCTTGTACCGGTAGCTGGCCAGGAGTTAAGCAAAGTGTCAGATGGCAGATGCAAGAGCAAGCATAATGAGAAGAGACAAGGCCAAATCATGAAGAACGTTGTGCCCTATGCTTAAAAATTTTGGACTTCAGAGACTCCGTGCAACGGAATCCGTGGGGTCATCTAAGGGAATAGACAAAACAGTGAGTCATGGGGTTGACTAGGGGGATTGTCCTAGTCATCAAAGAAAAATAATACATCATGAATAGCATGTTTTATCCTTGAGGGTGCTTTCTTGAACTGCCATACCCAGATGTAAAGGCAATAGACGGCTACCACAACCCTATAAAGGCAGGACCACAAGGGATCATACCCCTCAGGTTGCTGCATTGAGCAAATCACCCCAACCAACTGAGATGCTAACTGAAGTCACAGGGAACTATGGAATGGGCCCAGAAGAAAGAAGCTTCAACACCAGCTACAGTAATGAGGACTGTTGCATTTTTTGTTTGTTTTCTTTGCTACCAGTGTTTAATAAATACTCTCTTGCACACCAAGCCCTTTCTTTGCCTTTTTAAAAAGGAATGGTATAATACATACATTTTTCTTTTTTTCTCCTTTTGCCAGCAAAAGGCCATACATTGCAATATATGGAGATAGGATTACAGTAGAAGAAAATGAGGAATGGATATCGTGTAGAAAGTCTGTACTTAGAGGGCATAACATCAACTCTAAGTGAAGTAAAAGGTCACGCGTTTGGGTTTTCTCCCATTGGGAAGGTTAGTAGTCCATTTGTGGTGATACTTGAAATAACTGATTCACATAGCGGCAAGGTGTATTTTTGAAAGGATGGAAAGAAGAGAGTGTGTATGTGGTGTGATGTGGGGGGTGTGTGTGTGTGTGTGTGTGTGTGTGTGTGTGCCCACGCTGGGTGCCAAGAAGTAGAATGTAATAGACACTCTGTGAAATGTTTCCTTATAGCTTCTCACAATTCCTTTTTTTGTAGGAATGGCTGAAATACATAGAGGCAGTCCTTTTATGGGCCACATATGCACAAGCGACCATGTCCTAGTGTGACCAGCTACTCTGGTTTGCTAAAGACAGGGGGATACCAGGATGCTGGACTTTCGGTGCTTAAACTGGGATAGTTTTGCGAAAACTGAGACAAGTTGGTTGCGCTACCATGTCCCTTGTCTACATAACAGATTAATTCAGAGGTGGGCATATCCTAAACCAGACCATTTAGACTCTTTGCCCCAGAAATCTTAAATGAGGCATAGAGAAACACAGAGAGAATATAGTTACTCAGTAGAACTGAGTCACAAATGGCAGTTCCCTAAAGAAAAAATCTATTAACACCCTTTGCCAAAGATCCAGGACCTGCCCTGTTTCCTTTGGTTATAGGAGATATCCCTGTATAATTCCAAAACTTTTTTTTTTTTGGCTAGTCAAAGAAGATTGCTGCTGCTTGCAACCAAAATAATCTTAAGGAGCATATTCATTTCCAATCCTTGTTTAAGATAATGTGCTCCAAGAGTCTCTTCTGAATGGGCACTGAGCTGAACGAACCATACTCATTGCCACAGCAAACCAGACCAAATATGAACACTGAACTCAAACAGGCCTAGAAAGTCTCACATGCATGGATTTTGCAATGCACATATAGGGCTCCACTCTTGCATGCTAAATTAGAAATGTCCAAACCTAGAATTAGGTTAGGCATGAGTAAGATGTTCAAAACTGATGGGAAAAGGGGGAAAGCAACAGGAATGATGAGAAGGAAATAAGGATAAGGAGAGAAAGATGGAAAAAGAGAAGACTTATCTGAGAGGTGAACATCTTAGTTCCCTTCTTTTCAGTTTCTGATTCCCCAGTCCCTTATGAGATCCAGCTAAATGTTCTGCCCTTAAGTTCTACGAAAATTCCGTGTCCTTCCAGTAAACCCCCCATTTGGTTAAGAATCATTTTAGTAGGTTTCCCCTCCTAGCAATCAAACCCCAAGACATCAATTCACAAGACACAAGGTTGCCCACTCATTCTATAGCATGCACCAGAGTTCTGGAGCCACTTTCTCTCCTCAGACTCAAGAACAGGAGAAGGATTTGCACACCTCCATGGCTGCCTGGTCCATTCAGGAAAACTGTCACAATTACCATGGGTTAGATGACTTTAACTATTAAAATCACACAGGTGGGGAGAATCATGCAATCAGAGTGTAAAGTGGAAGGAGACTTTGGAAACCATGCATGTCAACAGAGGAAGGAACTAATGCCCTTCCAGCTAGGCATAGTGGTTTTCCTAAGGCTAAATAGTTCAGTAGTCCCAGAGACAGGATTAGCTAACAATCTCGTCTCTCAACAACTGAGGAAACTACTGTGAAATCCTTGAAAGTGCACTATTCAGTCTCCTCCCACTCAGCTCCTGATCTTTGGAGTTTACCCACATCTGTATAATGGCATCAGCCTGACTGCGGAACTGTGAGAGCTGTTCAAAAGCCATTTGTGGGTGACAGTAGATAGTGAATATGTTAATCTGAATCAGGAGAGAAAATTTTAAGGAAAATTTTCCTACTTTTTTTTTCCGTACTCGCCAACTGGCTCAAACAGGTAGATGGGTTAATTAACAGAGCTAATAAGGTTAGTTATTCATAAAGTTTATTTACACATTCTACATTCTCTTTAGTTCATACATGGGTATATGTCGTTTCCTTACTTTTTTTTTTTACCACCAACATAAACATCGATATATTTGCAGTTATGTCTAAAACTATATCCTCGTCCCTTTGTAATTTAGTGGCAATTTACTAAATTACTACTAAATCCAGTAATTTAGAAATTTGTGGCAAAATCAACTAGTCTACACTTGGAAGCAATCACAACACCAAACTTGCATTAATTACAGATTATGAAATGAGTGATAAATAAGGTCAGCCAGGGATCTCCAATTAATAATTCCTAACTCTTCTGCAGCTTATTAAAGGCCAGATATTTTCTATGAAGATCTTAACATCTCTTACATAAAGTGAAAAATTAATTACTAAATTTAAAGTGCCATTTCCTTCCTAATGATGTGCAAATATTACTCACCGTCATCATCTCCAGAAATTTGGCACTGTTGTCCAGGCTGGAGTGCAGTGCTGCAATCTGGGCTTACTGCAGTCTCTATCTCCTGGGCTCAAGCCGTCCTTTGACCTCAGCCTCCTGAGTAGCTGGGACTACAGGCATGCAACACCATGTTTGGCTAATTTTTGTATTTTTTTTTAAGAGATGGGGGTCTTCTTATGTTGCCCAGGCTAGTCTCGATCTCCTGGGGTCAAGCGATCCTCTTGCCTCAGCCTCCCAAACTGTTGGGATTACAGGCATGAGCCCCCGCACCCAGCCCAGAAATTTTTCATCTTCCCAAAAATGATACTTTGTATCCATTAAACAATAATTCTCCATTTCCTTCTCCCCTCAGTGTTTTGATGTAATTTTATGTTTGTATATCCTGCAAAAACATTTTTAGCACTGATTCATATCTTCTTGAAGTAAATACATTTCTAATAGAAATAATATTTTGCCCTTTTCAGCTCTTTTCTCCTGTGGAATCCAAATAAAACATGTGATTTCCACAGGGATGCCGTTCTGCTTCAGACCTCTTTAAGAGCTAAACCAATGGAAATTCCATGTGTAAAAGAAACATAACAGGGAGACTTGGCATGATACTCATTAACTAAAAATCTGGGTGGATGTGTTCCTAAGGATTTTTATTCAAGTTAATACTTTTGAACTCCAATCCTGCTTGTTTCTCTGCAAAAGCAATGGGCATTCCACGTGTTTGATTGGTGCACAAGCCTCACTTCATTTTCCTCCCAGGAAAATCAAAACTAAGCAGAGATACTGCCGCCAGAGAAAGCTTCACCTGCTAAATTCCACAGCGACTAATAAAACAAGCCTTTGTTTTTCAGTAAAAATTTCACTCCATGGTTGGTAACTAAAATAGACCCGCAGCTCTAATCCTAACTTGGAAATCTCACCAGTAGGTAAGTAACAGAATGAATTTTCAGTTCTGTGTCTCAGTGATAAGAAACATATTTCCTAAAACAGAATTAACTACAGGCTGGGAATATTGAGGCAAAACTTTTCCTGTAGAAACAATGGATTCATGCCTTAAAGGGGGCTACACCTTCTCTACTTCTCTAGTTAGTGAGAAGTCACTTCTTTTATTTTTAGCATTCTCTTAAAAACTTTTAAAATCAAACAATAAAGCACAGGTTGATTATAGTTGCCTTGAGTAGACATGGTAGAACCATAGCAGGTTATTTCTTTTCTTTTTTTTTTTTTTTTTTTTTGAGACGGAGTCTCACTTTGTCACCCAGGCTGGAGTGAAGTGGCATGATCTCAGCTCACTGCAACCTCCACCCCCGGGGTTCAAGCAATTCTCCTGCCTCTGCCTCCCGAGTAGCTGGGATTACAGGTGCCCGCCACCACGCCTGGCTAATTTTTGTATTTTTAGTAGAGACGGGGTTTCACCATGTTAGCCAGGCTGGTCTCAAACTCCTGACCTCAGGTGATCCACCCACCTCGGCCTCCCAAAGTGCTAGCATTATAGCAGGATTATAGGCCTGAGCCACCACGCCTGGCCAGCAGGTTATTTCTGATTCCTCTGAATTTTTGTCCTGAGAGGGACCTTCTCTGCATTGCAAATACTCACTGCCCAGAAAAAATGCCCTGCACATAGAGTTGCAAGATAAAATATACTAAAATATACGATACTCAGTTAAATTCGAATTTCAGATTATTTTGTAGCATAAGTGTGTCCCCAATATCACACAGGATATACTTATGGTAAGAAATTTCTCATTGCTTATCTGAAATTATATTTAACTGGGTGTCCTGCATTTTTATTTGCTCAACCTGGCCAAACCCTGCTTACACACAAGTAAGTTTCTTTAAATATTTCTAAAGGAAAGTTTCCTTAAATATAATTAATGCAATTCCCCTAACCCCATCAAAAGTGTGAAAAGAACATTGGACTGTCAATATACTATATAACTATCTAGCATTGTATACTTTTATTATTTCGTAATAAAAAACAGAAGCAAGACCAAAGGTCTGGGATGAGTATTAAGAATTAAACAGAAAGTGGGCCAGGTGTGGTGGCTCACGCCTGTAATCTCAGCACTTTGGGAGGCTAAAGTGGGCAGATCACAAGATCAGGAGATGGAGACCATCCTGGCCAACCTGGTGAAACCCTGTCTCTACTAAAAATACAAAAATTAGCTGGGTGTGGTGGTGTGTGCCTTTAATCCCAGCTACTCGGGGGGCTGAGGCAGGAGAATCACTTGAACCCGGGAGTCGGAGGTTGCAGTGAGCCAAGATCGTGCCACTGCACTCCAGTCTGGCAACAGAATGAGACTCCATCTTAAAAAAAAAAAAAGAATTGAACAGTAAGTGTGTAAGACTGAATCAGAGAAACTGATCTGGTTTCCATATAGCTATAAGATTAATAACTTATGGATCGGGTGTTATTTAGTATGGTAGTCTAGGACATTGCTTTCTCAGAGTGGACAAATGCTATCCAACAACCAATATCTTCATGTAATCACTCTTGAAGTGCTTTTCTGTGGATTTTTAAGGTCATGTTTTATTATTTTTTATCAATTTTTTTCTCATGGCAGTCAAATAAGAATTTTGGTATTGGAGGAGTACATCCCAAATAATGTTGGAGGGATTTATGTGGCATTTATGGAAAATGGAACATTGAGACTACATTTACAAATAAACATACAGAAATTGCTGACTTTTCTCTACACACCCACATCAACATTCGCTCCAGCAGAGCCAAACTGCATATAGTTTCTGAGACATCACTGCTGCCCTGACTCAAAGTCTTG
The DNA here is from genome assembly GCF_000001405.40 of Homo sapiens. Lineage (NCBI taxonomy): Eukaryota > Metazoa > Chordata > Mammalia > Primates > Hominidae > Homo > Homo sapiens. The sequence continues at coordinate 222,808,399 of NC_000001.11, read as the reverse complement.
TCTACATATGTCCTCTATGCTTCCAACCCTTGAGGCCTCAAAGTGAAGGTCCTTGCAAATGTCCTCTCTCCACCCCAGGTCATGCTTTTTCACCTAAACACAAAGGGTCACTGCTGAAACCCAATTCCGCAACTTCTGTTTGTGAAGCACCTCCTTCAGTTTCTTCCTGCAGCCCCTCTCTACATGGGAGAGAGATCAGTAACATCGAAGACAGACACCATATTATCCTTATTAGCTTTATTAGCTTCTTGCCCAAAAGAACATTCTTCTTCTTCCTCAACAAAGCATCGGCTCATCCATCTAGTCATTTAACAAACATTCAGAGAGTGTCTACTGTTCTAGATGCTGGGGACACATTGGTGAACAAAAGACAACAACTTCTGCTGTGATGGTTAATTTTAGGTATCGACTTGATTAAGAAATACCTAGATAGCTGGTAAAGCATTACTTTTAGGTGTGTCTGTGAGGGTGTTTCCATTAGTATACTGAGTGGTGAAGATCCACCCTCAACATAGGCAGGCACCGTCCAATCTTCTGAGGGCCTAGAGAGAGGCAAAAAGGCAGAGCAAAGGTGCATTCACTGTCTCTCCTGAAGCTGGGATACCCTTCTTCTCCTGCCCTGGAACATCAGAACTCCAGGTTCTCTGGCCTTTAGACGCTGAGACTTGCACCAGCCGTTCCCTGGGTTCTCAGGCCTTTGGCCTCAGACTGAGAGGCCATTGACTTCACTGGTTCTGAGGGTTTCAGATTTGTACCCAGCCATGCTACCTGCATCCCTGGGTTTCCAGCTGGCAGATAGTCTATCATGGGCCTTCTCAGCCTTCATAATCACGTAAGCCAGTTCCTCTAATAAATCCCTTCTCATCTAGCTAGATAGCTCTCTCCTGTTTGTTCTGGCTATCTAGAAAATTAGGGCTAATATACCTACTCTTGCAGAGTTTACATTCTAATTGGAGGAGACAGAAAATAATAAACCAATAAATAAATATGTTATAACTAAATATATTCATGTATCTAGCATGATGATAAATATTTATTTATTATAATTTAGCATGCTTAATTAACATAATGATAAATACTTTGGGAAAAAAATAGAGCAAAATAAAAAGGCAGGGGTGGGAGTAGCAATTGCAGTCATCAAGAAGTGACACTGGAGCCGGGCGCGGTGGCTCAAGCCTGTAATCCCAGCACTTTGGGAGGCCGAGGCGGGCGGATCACGAGGTCAGGAGATCGAGACCATCCTGGCTAACATGGTGAAACCCGTCTCTGCTAAAAATACAAAAAAATTAGCCAGACGTGGTGGCAGGCGCCTGTAGTCCTAGCTACTCGGGAGGCTGAGGCAGGAGAATGGTGTGAACCCAGGAGTTGGAGCTTGCAGTGAGCCGAGATCGCGCCACTGCACTCCAGCCTGGACGACAGAGCAAGACTCCATCTCAAAAAAAAAAACAAAAGTGACATTGGAGCAGAGGCTTGAAGAAAGTGAAAAAAAAGTGACTGGGCACGGTGGCTCATGCCTGTAATCCCAGCACTTTGGGAGGCCGAGGTGAGCAGATCACTTGAGGTCAAGAGTTTGAGACCAGCCTCACCAGCATGGTGAAACCCAGTCTCTACTAAAAATACAAACATTTGCCAGGTGTGGTGGTGCGCACCTGTAATCTCAGCTACTCGGGAGGCTGAGGCAGGAGAATCGCTTGAACCTGGGAGGCGGAGGTTGCAGTGAGCCAAGATTGCACCACTGCACTCCAACCTAGGTGACAGAGCAAGACTCCATCTCCAAAGAAAGGAAAGGAAGAAAGGAAGAAAGAAAGGCAAGGAAGAAAGAAAGAAAGAAGGAAGGAAGGAAGGAAGGAAAAAAAAAGCATGTCTGAGGAAAAGTATTCCATGCAGAAAGAATAACCAGAGACCAGGCGTGGTGGCTCACGCTTGTAATCCCAGCACTTTGGGAGGCCGAGGTGGGTGGATCACCTGAGGTCAGGAGTTCGAGACCAGCCTGGCCAACATGGTGAAACCCTGTCTCTACTAAAAACACAAAACATTAGCGGGGTGTGGTGACTTGCACACCTGTAATCCCAGCTACTCAGGAAGCTGAGGCATGAGAATCCCTTGAACCCGGGAGGTGGAGGTTGCAGTTAGCTGAGATTGCACCATTGCACTCCAGCCTGGGTACAGAGCTAGATTCAGTGAGAAGTGAAGGGAAGGGGCAGGATGGGAAGGGAGGGGAGGGGAGGAGATGGGATTGGAGGGGAGGGGAGGGAACAAGGAAGGAACAGGGCAAAGACCCTGAAGCAAGAACACACAAATCAAATTCTGGATATCCAGTTCTCTAGAATGCAACATGTTCAAACATGTTTCAGTTCCAGCTTAGGCCTAGACTGAACCTCCTGCTAGAAAGCTTGAGCTGCTTGCATCTCTGTCTGCACAAGTCAGTCCAATGGACATTTCTTCTTTGCCAGTTGCTGTCCAGTAGACTTTGCCAATAGGGGGCAAAAGAAGGATACTGAAAGCAGACAGAGAAGGGACATTCTCTTTCCTGTCTGCTTCCTTTTTCCTATTGGCATCACCTGGAATGGCCCTTCTCCTTGGGAATGGCTATCAGGACCAGTTTCCAGCTTTTACCCTACTTCCAAAACCAACTTCATCAGGTCCCCAAGAGTACCTGCTACTGAAAGGTGGCCCCTCCTCAGAGTCCCAGGCACCACTTCTGCAGCCCCTGCTCTTCCCTTTGTTCCTCCAGCCCTAGAGATGTGAGCTGCTTCCTGCAGCTTCTGTCTCTCTATGACCTCAGTGACCCCTCTTGCCTTTTCAGTTGTCCATCACTCACTTAGCCAATTCCCAATACTGAATTCACTGTGTTATGATAACTAATGTGGTTTCTTTTTATTGATATGGGGAGCTAGGAGGTAAACTTCCTGAAGCCACAAACAATGTTTTATTTGTCTCCGACTCCAAGCAATTAGCATGAAACCTAGCATATAATAGAGATCAATAAAGATTTGTTGAATAAATAGTGAACAAATGTCATATCTGCTCACTGGCAAAGTAAATTCAGACAAATTCCTGGACACTTAACACCCAACCCCAACTTTCCCATTAAGTATTCAGAAAATTGCCTTGGCTTGCCTTGTCAGGGCCTTAATGTGAACAGCAACCTCCACCCCTCATTCCCATCAACCACACAGAGGCAGTCTGTGCCAGTCAGGAGGGAACACACGGAGAATGCAGGCAGGAACAACCACGTCCTTAGGCAGACCACCATTAGTCTGTGGAGATTTTAAAAGAAGAAGAGAGTGTTTGGGTTCAAATGATTTACTCAAGTCATTTGAGATTGGCCCACTGCCCACCCAAACTCTGGCAAACATGAGCCACTTTCTGACAGGGATTCATAGCAAGACACTGAGTGGCTTATTTTCGTTTGGTCAGAAAATATAAAAGAACATCTCTCTGGGAATACCTGTGCATGAAGGAAATACCATGCCACATTTTAAATGCTAGATTATATTTCTACTAGGAAATTTAGTTGTAATAAAAATGAAGTAAATGATACTTGAAAGTAGAGCAGAGTTGCATAGGGGCTTGCATGAATGAGCATGCAATAAATATTTGCCAAGTTCTTCTATTGCCACTCTTTATCAAAGTTCTGATTTATGATGAAATCATTCGAGAGAACTCAGAATGCTTTGCATCCCACAGCAAGCATATAAGAGATAAAATTTTGACACAGTATGTTTTTTGATGTACTTTTCCATCCTGGCAGCTGTCTCAATATAAACTCTTCTGTTTGAATTATTATAACAGCCTCCAGACTGGACTTCTTGCCACTAGCTGTGAGCCACACTCCACATTGCTATCAGTTATTTTTCTAAAACTCCCTTACTTAGTTCAAATCCCAGTTTTGTCCACTACTATCTGTGTGGTCTTAAGTAACTTACCTAACCTCTCTGTGCCTCAGTTTCATCATCTTAAAATGGGGATGATAATAGTTCTTACCTCATAGGGTTGGTACAAAGTCTAAGTTAATGTATCTAAAATACTTAGGACAATGCCCACCACATTGAAACTGCAATATAAGTGATAGCTATTATTATTACAGTTGGAAGCACTAGTTGGCTTCATGTTGCTTATGGGATAAAATCCAATTCCTTAACAGATATGGGTTTTCCTACTCAGAACCACCAGTTATCTTTCCAGACTCATCCTGTATCTTTTCCCTCGCTACCTCTCCCCCAAATTACCTATCTTCTCATCCCTTCTGACAAAATCTAGTTTTCTCTTTAGAGCTTCCATGAAACAGACCTCCAACCACCCTGTCTTTCCAGTCTCTTCTTACTGAGTTTCTTTGCATGTGTTTTGCTTTGTACCTGGAATGTCTTCCTTCTGCCTCTTCAACTGTTATACTCCTACTCAACCTTCAGGACCATCACAAATGTGACCCTATGAATCCTCCCAATGGCCTCCAAGAGGAGGTAATGAGTCTTGTCCTCTGGCCTCATCCACGGCTTCATATCTCTGCAGTGTTAATGACCATATTATATGCTATATTTACGCATTTACATAGCTGTCTCTTCCCACAGTAATTTACATTCCTGGAGGGCAGGAAGTATACCCCAAAAGATGACTGTGCTTTCCAGTGATTGACATAGTTTGTGTCTGATAAATGACAAAGAGATAAACAAATCAACACATGAATCAACGGGGGGAAAAAAAGCCATTCAAAACAGGCAGAATTGTCCATTTTTTGAGATCTCCAAACAGAAGTGAATGACGATCTTCCACCATTGCTTTAATGAGAAGTGGGTGAGTGTGGGCCAGATGACCTAACTTCTGACTCTAAGATTCCAAGAGAATCTGCAATAAAGTTTGTGTATGTGTGTTAGTGTATTTTGCTTAATATAAATGAAGTCAAATTGGACTCTAATGTTATTATTTTATTTTACACCATTGAATTTTTAAACTAAGAAGGTATATTTAAATACACACACACACACACACACACACACACACACACCATATGTAATATACCAAAAATTGGTTCTCTGGCCCATGAATGGTACAAAAGTTCACAGAAGAAAGTTCACAGAAGTTCACTCACCTTTACTTGTATTATATGTAAAGGGTCATTCTCCAACTTGGACAATTTGAAAAATGCAAATTTAATCTGTTTCTATTCCAAAACAAAGTCAAATACAGAGAAAGAAGAATGATAAAACGGTAGGTAAAGAAAGGTAGGTGCTATAAGGAGAGAGTTAAGGAACTGCCAGTGGGACTAGAAAAAAAAAAAAAGATAGTTGATAGTAAGGTGAACAGAGAGGGGTCTTAGATGACTCAGGAAAGCTAACTGTCCAAACAGTTCCAAATCTAAAATTAATGTGTTTATTTAAATAATATATGAAATGGAAAATGTCAAGCCGCAAAACCACTAACAGTTTTTCCTTGACAAATATGCAGCATACGTAGCTAGAAAAATACCTCTTTTCATTGGAGAAGTTTCTCCCTATTGCAGGCTCGGGTACTTTACATGCCAGTGTAACATGAATCACTTCATAGAAGCAGAGGTGAAAGAATAAGCCTGAAAATAAAATCACTTCTAGTTACCTTAACAAAACAAATGTATGTTTAAAATATTAAAATCATTCAGTCTTGATGTGAAATGTAATTTTTAAATAAGAAAAATAATTGTTTTCGCCAAATCAACATGAAACACTTAAAATAGTCCATTACCCAACCAACTCGCTTTTCACCTTCCTCTTCCTGTGTATTCCTAGTCTAAAGAGAAAGATAACTTTCTTGCTTTTTTTTTAAGGTCCCAAAGAGATTTCAGTTTACAAAGGTAGATAACATTCTTTCTACACCTTCTAAGCATCAGTTTATCTTAAAAGCTGGACTTCCCTCAAACACTCCCAGAATGCCAGCATTCACATGTTCTTCAAAACATCAAAGCCATTTACCATGGACTTTTTGAATAGTTCATTGCTAGCTGCCCAAATAAGTGTGTTATGGTTGATAATAACCTTTTCTTGACAGCTAACACATATGACAATAAAATATACAGTTTTAAACAATAAAAGTCTTTAAACCAAAGTGTCCAAATAAAAAGTGTAATATTACCCAAAACTTTAGACCAGTAATTTTTCTACAATTTTTAAGGGGAAGAAAAGTTTGCCTTACATTTCATGTGGCATCTAGCCAGCAGATCTAATTGTAGGTTGGGAAGGGTGTAACTCGTAAGTGAAATGGGAGTCGGCCACCTTTGGCTAAATCTCATTATAATCTCAGGTATCCTATCCTATTATCCATGTAAGTATACTTATACTTGTCAGTTTTATTTCAAAAATATGATCCCTGAACTTTTGACATGTAAGCCAGTAATGATTTTAAATACTGCTGGGACAGGAACGCTGAAAAAGGTCGGATTCTTAGCAAAATTATGGAACATAATCATCAGCCCTCTCATATTTCCTCTGTGTTCCCACCCCTTGTTATGGTATTAACTAAAATTTGAGGTGGAAGCTGAAGAGGTCTTAAGCATTGATCCTCCCAGGAGTGTTCTTTTATTTCCTTGGAAAATATTCATTTAAAAAAAAGGCCTTCAAGAATTAATGAAATGAAGCATTAATAGTGGATTGACATATGGAACAGGAGGGCCTCAGTTTACCAGCACAGTGCTATGGTCCCAGGCCCTTCCACTCTTCCTCCCGGGAGGTGTGAAGCTCTGCAGAACTGCTGTCCCTCTGCCCATGTGCCCTTCCCCTTGTGTCCTCCTCTCCCTTCCCACCTCCTCCATGTCCCTGCAACTAACTGCTCCAGTGTCACCATACATCCTGAATTCCTACCTAAGAGTGAATGAATAAAAACAGATGTGCTACTTTGGAGAAGAATGACCTCTGGCCAAATCATAAACTAACTGAAAAGACCTGAAAGGAACAACCTAAATGATGAGCCCTTTATCTGGTCCTCAATTAAGGTCTAAGCACATGAATTCAGCCAGTCTACTCCCTCCTCCTCATCAAACTCCTTCGTGTTTGCTGAAGTAGTTACCCACCTACGGTTCACGTCAGACATCTTTCCTCTGTCCATTAGGGCTTGGCTGGAGAGTCTTTTGACCTGAATGATTTGTGTGAGCCTGCCTCAAAAAAATCAATTCTGGCAAATGAACTCAGAGTATTTACAATAAATAAACCCTATCATTCCGGGATGGATGACTTTCTGTTCTTGGACAGCTATTTTCTAGTTTGATGCTTCAGAACCACTGCCTGTGCCATTCACTCCACCCACCCCTCCTGCTGTCTTGTACCAGCATTAGACTTTGCTCTTGGGCTCCTTGTTTTTTTTTCTGGTTCTCACCCAGAGTCAGTCCTTCTTGCCCTTATTTCTTTAATGAGAATGATTTCCCTTCTGAAAATATGATCCAAAATATACACCGATTCTCCCAGGAAAAAGTACGTGCTCACACACACAATTTTACATACAATTTCAGTATGCTCATGGATGATCCTGTTAGGTCCATGATCCCTTATCTTGGGAAACTTTGACAAATTACATAGGCAAAGTTAACCCAATCTATTAGAGAAAAAGTATACCCTGCATTTATACATGCATATAGTTCATAGCTAAGTTCATTAGGGAACAAAGTTTGTGGGACTCTTCTTTTTTTTTTTTTTTTTTGAGACAGGGTCTCATTTTGTGGCCCAGGCTGGAGTGCAGTGGTACAATCTCAGCTCACTGCAATCTCCACCTCCCAGGTTCAAGCGATTCTCATGCTTCAGCCTCCTGAGTAGATGGATTACAGGTGCCCGCCACCACATCTGGCTAGTTTTTGTATTTTCAGTAGAGACAGGGTTTTGCCTTGTTGGCCAGGCTGGTCTCGAACTCCTGACCTCAAGTGATCCACCTGCCTTGGCCTCCCAAAATGCTGGGATTACAGGCATGAATCATCGCGCCCAGCCTGTGGGACTCTTCTTGAGAAAACCACACTATGAGAACTAACCCAAAGTCTGCTCACCTTAGGATACTTTGAAGATGTATAGAGTCAAAGATTCAGGCTTCACTTACTGTAGCTAGAGGAATGCCAACTAGTCTACAATTTTTGCTTAAGGCTCCATTTTTCTATTACCCAAAACATAATTTGAATTATCATTTCATTTGAAAAATGTCATGAATAGTTCATATTTCCTTTTCCATGCCTTTACCTTTCCTACATCATTTTTTTTAGAGGTGAGGAAAAAGGAAACATGATCAGGATAAGAAAATCCAATAGCATTTGTTAAATACCTGCGGTGTCACCATTCATGAGTTTCAGAGAGCAATTATATGACAACTCAGGTTGCTGAAGTATAATCGAGTTAAGATCATTCTCATGTAGAACAAATCCTGAGATGTGAAGAACTTAATGGTGTCATTATAATTACTGAGGATTATAATTAATTTTGGATTATGAGTGTCCATGAACTTGAAAATGACAGTTTAAGTGCAGTTTGGCTCTTTATGGAGACATTTTTACATTTATAGATTGAAATATAAGGAATATAGTGTTTTTTAAAGTACTTTCAAAGCCTTCTTCATAAAATCTATTATAAATCCCCAAACCACTAGTTAAGTTACTTTGAATCTACAAATTCCTGAGTAAAAGGAGAGTAGATGGAAAAGGAGAGAAATAAACAGAAATGTTGCAATTTTTGAAAAGTGGTATTTCTGTTATTCAACATTTTTGAGCATGCATACATTCTTACTACAGAACATTAAAAAGAGCATTAACAGCATGTTTGCAGGCTCAACATGTAGCCAGACAGAGTACAATGGAAACTACCACTGTGGGACATGACTCTGGAACCAGAGGAGGGATGAATTCCTGTCCCTCACATCTGCCTCATTGTAGCATCTAAGGCAGGATGAATGGGCTGTTGTCTTAGGGAATGAGGGACCAAGGACCCAGGGGCTGCTCCAGATCCGGTATTAAAGGAGGGCGGTCCTGGTTAAGAACAGGGCTAAGGAACATCTCCTGGAGCTGTTTCCAAAGCGAGCCTATGGTTTTCTCTTAAATTATAAAAAGTACTGCCCATAGAGTGCACTTATTTGGGATAGCTTGAGGAAGGGTGATGGAAGCTATCATGTGTGGGGGTGTCCTTAAAGTCCCACTCTGGAGCTTCTATTACACCTGCTTTCCTGTTTCTCCCACCCTCCCCATGCTGTTCTCAGAAATACCTTGCTAGCCACTGTTCGCTGGATCTCTCGCCTGAGCCACACCCTTCTCTGCTTCCTGCCCTTCAGTCAGCCTCATTTTACTGCTAGCATCACCTCTGCCTGCAGGTGCTGATGGAGGTGACCAGTCTTCTGGGTGAAGTTAGCTTACTGGAGCTTTCATCACCGTGTCATCAGGGCAGCTTAAGATTCTTCATTAAGACCACTTAATGTTGCCGGGTGTGGTGGCTCACACCTGTAATCCCTGCACTTTGGGAGGCTGAGGCGGGCAGATCACCTGAGGTCAGGAGTTCAAGATGAGCCTGGCCAACATGGCAAAACCTCATCTCTACTAAAAATACAAAAATTAGCTGGGCATGTTGGCGTGCACCTGTAGTCGGGAGGCTGAGGCAGGAGAATTGGTTAAACCTGGGAGGCAGAGGTTGCAGTGAGTTGAGGTTGCACCACTGCACTCCAGCCTGGGTGACAGAGTGAGACTCTGTCAAAAAAAAAAGACCACTTAATAAGTGCAATTATTTCAGAGGGGTTTCAGTGACCAACCCTCATGGTGACAAAAGTGGCTCACACTTATTGATTAGCTTCAATTAGTCTATTCATTCAAGGGCTTTGCATGAATCTACTCATTTAATCCTCACAATAACTAGACATTAATTTTGCTCATTCTCAAGCTTTGTAATAAAGAAAGAGTATGTATTCTTTTGAGTAGCTTCATTCATTCCACATTACTTTCTTTCATTTCTGTATAGCATTCCACTGAGCAAATGAGAACAGGATTTCCTAGCTTAGGTTTATATGAAGACTATTGTGTTAACAGCTCAACAGAGCAAGACAGGTTTTTTTTCTGTTTAATTCCAGCATGACTCATGTTTGAGTTACTAAAGTTCTTTAGACTTTTTTTTTTTTTTTTTTGAGACATGGTCTCACTCTGTTGCCCAGGCTGGAGGGTGACAGCAAACTCCTCCCCCCAGGCTCAGAAGATCCTCCCCCCTCAGCCTCTGAAGTAGCTGGGACTACAGGCACATGCCACCACAACCAGCTAGTTTTTGCATTTTTAGTAGAGACAGAGTTTCACCATGTTTGCCAGGCTGGGCTCGAACTCCTGAGCTCAAGCAATCCTCCCACCTTGGCCTCCCAAAGTGTTGGAATTACAGGCATAAGCCACTGCACCCAGTCAGGAATATTTTCATTACACTTTAAAAATTAAGATTTAACTGAAAGAAAAAAAGAGGAAAGCATTTAGGGTTAAGAGTACTTGTTTGTATTGAGAGTTAGTGGGGGAATTCTGAAGCTGTTCTGTGAGCCCCCTGAAGTTTTCAGGTGAATGCTAGATCTTAATAAAATTTAGCAAAGGGTATAGAAGAAAGGGCTTCAGAAGCTGAGGCCATAACTTAGGGGACAGGAAGAAAAGAAGGAGTTAAACTTTTAGGTCATTGTTCTCATTCTCTAGAAGTTAAATTTCCAATAACTCTTCAATCCCAAATGTTTTCATACCCACAGAGAAGTGTGCTAGAGATAAACTCTGAATGTGTTTGTTTAACCCAAACTTCTAGATTTGGATAAACTGACACTTGAAGACATAGAAACTTGGATGGTCAGTTTCTTTTAGTTACCCCTTTTAAGTCCATAATTTGTAAGAGAATGGAAAATAACCCCATCATTTCTTTTTTAGAAAAGAACAAAGAATATATTCTCCTTAAAATGTCAACAAAAGTGTATAATTCTCTTTATTCTTGCAGGAGTTTCCCCTTGTTCAAATTAAATAAATATTTATTGAGCATCTACTGTGTGCAAATCCCAGTAATAGGTACTTTCAGTACATATAAATGAGTGACAGACATTTCCTTCTATTGAGGCACTTAAGATTGGGAGAATAGGTGAGTTAAAAATACAAAGAATATCGACAGACACAGTGGCTCATGCCTGTAATCCTAGCACTTTGGGAGACTGAGGTGGGCAGATCACCTGAGGTTGGGAGTTCAAGACCAGCCTGACCAACATGGTGAAACACCATCTCTACTAAAAATACAAAATTAGCCAGGCATGGTGGCATATGCCTATAATCTTGGGAGGCTGAGACAGGAGAATTGCTTGAACCCGGGTGGCGGAGGTTGCAGTGAGCCAAGATAACACCATTGCACTCCAGCCTGGGCAACAAGAGCGAAACTCCATCTCAAAAAACAAACAAACAAAAAAACAAACAAAAAAAACCAAAGAATCAAAATTAAAGCTGCAGAAAATGAGGACTATCAGAAAGGCATGCACACACAAAAAAAGTGGTAAGGGAACCAAGAGAAAAGACTGATAAAATCAAATTTAGAACAGAGGAAAGATTTTATAGAGAACTCGGTAATGGCATTGGCTTTAAAAGACGGGCCGATTTTCATAGTAGAGAGAAGATAGGGAGCTGCATTTGCCCAGTGAAGAAAACAGTAAGGGCAAAGCTATGGAGACTGGCATATTAGGAAAACAATGAATAATACAACACATAATAATGCATAATAATAATACAAAAGAGAGATATGTGGACCCCTCCCTCCTGTGGTCCCAGTGTTCTGCCCAACACCATTTCTCCAAAAATTTATTGCATTTACTTATTGTCTTTGTTTGCTAGGGCTACCATAACAAAATACCTACAGGCTGGGTGGCTTAAACAACAGAATTTGTTTTCTGATAGTTTTGGAAATCCAAAATCAAGACTGTGTTATGGGATCTTTGGGGTGCCATTTTTCTGGCTGGAAATCTCTGTAGCCGGTGGTACCTTTGCCCAAGTTTTGCTCGGGCCTGCTGGGCTCTTTTCTCCTACTTGGCTAGGCAGGATGAACTTGTCTCACACTACTGACCTGGGTCCCATGCTTGTCAAGGATGAGTCAGGCGTGGAATGGTGAGGGGTGTGTGAATGAATCTGTGGTCCGGCCACTGCGCCCAGACAGACATGCTGGCTGCTGCAGTGGGGTGGGCAGCACCAGGTGCTGGCATGGGTGCTGGCTCTCTGAGAAGCTGCAGCTGAACCAGACGCAACACAAGTAGCTCATCATGGCTGGCACTGGGGAATATGGTGGCACCTGGAAGCTTGGAGATCCCAGGAACTGCAGGGCTTTAAAGAGGGAGTCACAGCCCTGGCTCAGGGAGCTCCAAGGTCTGGGATCCCCGAAGGGCCACAGCTCATCTCTCCTTTTCTTTGCCTGCAACATGGCAAGCAAGGGGCATGTTTCAGCTCTGTTTGCATTATAGCTCTTTTAGCCCCGCCATTCAATGGGTCCTGAGTTCTTGTCCTGTGACGAGGAAGAATGAGGTATGCAGACAAGTGGAGAGTGGGTAAGATGAAGCGGAGCTTTATTGAGTGATAGAACAGCTCGGTCTCCCACAGAAGGCAGCGCCTTTCTGTAGCTATGGTGTCCCATTGGCGAGTGTTCAGCTCCTGGCAGAGAGGAGACCCTGTTGTAGGAAGCTCCTCTCTGCAGACAAGTTATACCATTTTCTCTGCAGCTCTCAGCAGAGAGGAGTCCCTGAAGTGGGTAGCTCCTCTCTGCAGCTGTTCATCCCAATGTCTACTCAGCTCTGGATGAACCCAGGACTTTTATGGGCCTCAGAGGGGAGGAAGTGTGTGCCGATTGGTCCACAGGTGGCCATGGGTGGGCCGGGAAAAGGCACCAGGAGTTCCTACTCTGGTTCATGGGACTAGCAGTCCAGCCCACAGTCTTCAGGCCCTCCCTAGCCTGAATGTGGGGCCTCACCAGGGACCTGCCCACTTCTGCCCAGGAACCTGTCTGCCTTCAGCTGCCATCCATGGTATCCAGGCTGTAGTTGCCAAGGGGCACCTGCAGGCCAGTGCAGAGCTGCCCTTAGCCACCCTTGGCTTCCTTCCTATGCTTGTTGGTGCCCAAAGTCCAGAAGTGGCTGAGATGGCAAGAAGCTGGCATGTCAGCACTGCCCCAAGAGTGTGCACACTTGGCTGGGCTCCAACAGTGCCTGGGCTCAGCCTGACTTTGCTTCAAGATAGAAGCAGGTGCCTACAGCAGAGAGAAGCCAGGCAGTGGGAGCAGGCACTTCCAAGCCTGTGAGGGTAGGAGGAGGCCTTCCAGGGCCCCTAAGAGTGTAGAGATGCCTGGGTCTGCAGCCACAGTTTGGGCGGCTACAGCTGTGGGGGTGGAGGAGGGGCAGGAGGGGAGGTGGCTCCTGCCTGCTCCATGGAGCAGGAGGCCTGGATCTGCAGCCCTGGTTTGGGCAGCTGAAGCTGTGCATCAGAGGTTGGAGCTCCCACCTGCTCCCGGGCCCCAAGAGCACAGGGATGTCTGGGTCCGCAGCTGTGGCTTGGGCGGCTGCAGTGGCATCCAAGGAGCTCCTGCCCCAACTCAGAATGGGTGGGGCTCCCACTTCTCCCCAGTTCCTGCTGGCTTCATGGAGTGTGCAGCCCTGGCTGCGCCTCCCTGCTGCAGCTGGCATGATGGCAGCGGTTGCTACAAATGGCCTGCCACTGCCATCAACTGGAAGTCCAAGATCAAAGTGTTGGCAGGTTTGGTTTCTCCTGAGGTCTCTTTCCAGACTTGCAGATGGCTGTCTTCTTTCTCTCTGTGTCCTTACGTCACCTCTCCTCTGTATGTGTGCATCCCTGGTGTATCTCTCTCCTTTTACAAGAGCACCAGTCCTACTGGATTGGTGTCCTACCCTCATGACCTCATTTAACCCCTTTACCTCTTTAAAGGCCCTATCTCCTAATACATTCTAAGGTACTGGCGGGTAGGGTATCAACATATGAATTGGGGATGGGCACAATTCAATCCATAACACTTATTTAGTAATCTTCTGCTTATCATGAGGGAAGGGATCTGGTCTTGTTCATATCTCTACTCCATGTGCCTTAGTCCAATGCATGGTACATAAACATTTCTTAACCCACTTTTTGTTGATTTAGAGGTAGAGTGAAGACTATGGAGGTTGAAGTCAGGTGATGGAGAGATTTAGATGCTAAGAATAGGAGTTTAAATGCTTAGAATAAAGAAAGGGGCTGGGGGTTGTATGGTGAGAAGTACTATTCAAGAGAATTACTCTGTCAGCAATGTAGAGGATTTGTTGGAGGTAAGAGGAAAAGGAAGCAGGAAATTCTATCACTGTGGCCCAGGCCAGGGGCACTGAAGACCTGTTCCAAAGCTTGGATGTGACAATTGATTAGGAATGGAAGCAAAGGAGAGGAAGCAGTTCAAAAAAAAAAAAAAAAAGTTTGGGTTTTTAAACTTTATTTATTTTTAATTGACAAAAATAATTATGTGCATTTATGAGGTACAACATGATGTTTTGATCCATGCACACATTGTAGAAAGGTTAAATCCAGCTAATTAACATATCTAACATATCTATCACTTCATCAATTTATCTTTTTTCTTGTGAGATGTTAAAAATCTATTATTTTAACAGTTTTGAAATACACAATACATTATTATAGATCATTGAAACGTATTCCTTCAGTCTAAACTGAAACCTTGAACCCTTTGATCAACATTCCTTCGCTTCTCCCACCCTTCTCCCCCTCACCAGCCGATGGTAACCACAACCATCTTTCTGCTCACTGTTTCTATGAAATTTACTTTTTTAGATTCCACATATAAGGGAGATCACCCAGTATTTGACTTTCTGTGCCTGGCTTATTTCACTTAGCATAACTGAGATTTTTGAGCTTGATGACTTAAGAGAACAAGTCATGTTTCCATTCAAGTCAAAAGGTGGTGCTCAGGATGAATATGATGAGTTTGAGAAGCAGTTCAGCTACATGGATGCTACCTGAGAGATTTTCAATGTGGGAAACGAAAAGACAAGTTTAGTTCCTATTGCAAAAAAAGTTGAAAATGTGGGTCGGTTGTCCAAGAAAGAGCCGTAAGAGTAAGCTGCATGGTGGTCAAAACTTTGGCTGTTTTATTCACTCTTGTATACTCAGCTCCTAGTCAATGTCTGGCACATATATAATGTTCAATAAATATTTGTTGAATAGATGAAATAGGGATTGAGGAGTGATCTGCATTGCAGGCACTGCAGTGAGAGAGATGGTTGTTAAAATCGAAGGCATGAAAGAGGAAAAAGAGGGGAAGCAAGGAATAAGGCCAATTACTCCTACTTGACTTCAAATTATTTCTCTGCAAATTATGTGAAACACAACAGATAATTCTTATCAAAATCAAATAGAGAAAAATCAATCTCAGTACCTCTGCAAAAAAATACAGGCATTTGGGGGTGGGCAGGGTGTTGATAATGTGTTATCAAATAGCAACACCTAGTGATCAGTTCCGAAAACAACATGGGGATTTTTCAATGAGTTTTTTAGTGAAGTTTTTCATAGAACTCAGACATGCAGAAAAGGAAACTTATCGAAATTGACCAGTTTTGCAGGTGGTAGTAACAATGATAACTAATATTTGTATGACACTTAATAACTTATAAAATGCTCTCTTATACTTTATCTCATTTGATAACAGATGAATATTGTGGTAGAATAAAGGTGAGGTTGATGTAGAGAAGATGGTTGGGGTCTGGGCTACTTGTTATGATTGAATCCAGCACAGTGGCAGGCAGCCAAAGAGGAAGGTTTGATTTCTGAACAGGTTTTACTCCAACAATTTACCATAGAGTGTACGCAGGTCCTCCATCTCTGCCTTTCATTGCAGAAATGGTGGGTTATAAGCAGTGGTAGGCAAGAAAAGGGGGATTTAAAGAAGCATCTCTAAGGAGAGCCATGCAGCTACACACACACACACACACACACACACACACACACACACACGAATACGAACACATACGCATATATATGTGCACACGCACGCACGCGCACACACACACACCCTTTCTCCCTCTACCCACAGGTGAAAACTTAATCCAATTTGTCAGACCCTCTTGTTGATTTCCATTTGAACCTCATCAACCTTTTTAAATTTTCCTACTCTCAGTCCCTGAATCCTGAACTGCAGAGGCTGACTGCTCTGGGACTTGAATGCCAGTTCCAACACTTCCTTACTGCCTGACCTTGAACAAATCACTTAATCTTCTGTGTCTCAGTTTCACCACCTATAAAATGGGAGTAATAACAGAACCTACCTCCTAGGTTTGTTACGAGGTTTAAATGTGTTTGTATCTCAAGCACTTAAAAATTCCTATCTTATAATAAATATTAGCAATTACTTTTCTATCATCATATTCTAACTATTTATTTACATTTGATGCCTTTTTCCCTAAACTTCAGTTTCCTTGAGTATAGAATACTTTTTCCTTTTTTTTTAGAGATGAGGTCTCCCTATGTTGGCCAGGCTGGCCTCTAACTCCTGAGCTCAAATGATCCTCCTGCCTTGGCCTCCCAAAGTGCTAGGATTACAGGCATGAGCCACCATGCCCAGCCTCTTGAGTATAGAATATCGTTCATCTCTGAAACCCTAACACTTAGGTATGGCACATAGTAGGACTAGGTAAGCAGTTAGCTTCAGAGATTTCAGAGGAATAGCAGGATGTCTGAAGAGTTTCCTGGAATATGGTGCTATTTAAAGCAGGTCATATTAGGGGACCCAGGCAGGCTGTCCAGTCTAGAATTCTTAGCTGTCCTTAACTTGTGAATGGGCAGTCTTGGGTAGGCTAAAAAGGCACAGCAACAGAAATTGGAAGGGGATCCACGTACAAGAACTAAGGATAACATGGGCAAGATGACTCAGGATTCAGGAACAGGACAGAAACTTTGATAACAGAATTGGAGCAAATCCAAGGCTGGACTCTCACTGCATCTTTCCTGGATAGATTTAATAGTCTCGTAAGTCTCCCTTTTTCAATTATTTCTCACACTGCCACCAGAGTCAGCATTCTAACACTCTGATTATGCCATTTCCTTGTTCATAAATTAAATGTTCAGTGGCCCACTGTGTCAGCCATTGTCTCATTTTCAAACTCCTCTTCTATACTCAGTTTGGTGCTGCTGGGATCAGGACTTTGCAAACCACTTTTCTGTTTGCCAGCTGGCTCCAAGCTAGACTCTGCCAAGAGAGGTTGGTAGAGGGAGACTGCGAGGCTGGAGAAGAAAGAAGGAATTTTTTTCTGCTTCCTGTCAGTCTCACCCTAGTAATTCTTCTTCACCAGGCAGCAGCAATTAGTTTAGTCCCAGTACCAGCACTTGGTTCCAGTTGGCAGTTTTTCCAACACTTATAGGGGTAGCCTGATCATCGTGCCTCCTTCAAGACACCAGTAGCAGCCAGTCCATCCCCACCATATCCAGAGGTCCAGGTCTCAGCCCCACAGGGCCTTTCCTCTGAGCTCAGAGACACTAACACTCCAAGGTCTGAGCTTTAGCTCTGCAAAGTTCTTCTTCCAAACTTATAAGTGTTTTCGCTTTGTTTAAATATTGGTAAACATGTAACATGAAACTTACCACCTTCACCATTTTTAGTGTGCAGTTCAGTGGTGTTAAGTACACCCACATTATTGTGCAGCCAATACCCAGAACTCATTTCATCTTGCAAAACTGAAACTCTATACCCATCAAGTAATGACTCCCCATTTCCTCTTCCCCCCCATATTAATCCATTTTTGCACTGCTGTAAAGAACTGCTTGAGACTGGGTAATTTATAAAGAAAAGAGGTTTAATTTACCTACAGTTCTGCATGGCGGAGGAGGCTTCAGGAAACTTACAATCGTGGTGGAGGAGGAAGGAGGCACGTCTTACATGGCAGCAGGCGAGAAAAGAGCAGGGGAAACTGCCACTTATAAAACCATCAGATCTTGTGATAACTCACTCACTATCACAAGAACAGCATGGGGGAGACTGCCTTCATAATCCAATCACCTCCCACCAGGTCCCTCCTCCACACGTGGGGATTACAGTTAGAAATGAGATTTGGGTGGGGACACAGAGCCAAACCATATCACTCCCACAGGCCCCTGGCAACCACCATTTCTGTTTTCTGTTTCTATGATTTTGACTACTCTAAGTACCTCACATAAGTTGAGTCATACAATATTTGTCTATTTGTCCCTGGCTTATTTCATTTAGCATAATATCCTCAAGCTTCATCCACCTTATAGCATGTGTCAGAATTTACTCTCTTTTTGGAGTTGAACAATATTTCATTGTAGGTAATTAAAACGTTTATCCATGCATTCATTGATGGACACTTGGGTTACTTCCATCTTTTGGCTCTTGCAAATAGTGCCTCTATGAACATGGGTGACATAGTTTGGCTCTGTGTCCCCACCCAAATCTCATGTTGAATTGAAATTTTCGCTTGTCAGGAGAGGGGCCTGGTGGGAGGTGATTGGATCATGGGTGTGGATTTCCCCCTTGCTGTTCTCATCATAGTGTTCTCACAAAATCAAAAAATTTTAAAACACAAAATAGTTTAAAAGTATGGCACTTCCCCCTTCTCTCTCTCTCTCCTACCACCATGTGAAGACCTGTCTTGGTTCCGTTTTGCCTTCTGCCATGATTGCAAGTTTCCTGAGGCCTCCCCAGCCATGCGGAACTGTGAGTCAATTAAACCTCTTTTCTTCATAAATTACCCAGTCTCAGGCAGTTCTTCATAGCAGTGTGAGAATACAATGTGTGTACAAATATCTCTGAGTCTCTGCTTACAGTTCTTTGGAATATATATCTAGCAGTGGAACTGCTACATACTAGGTAATTCTATTATATATTTTTTGAGAAACTGCCATACTGCTCCATACTTCCAAGTTTTAATAAGTCCATATTCTTCTATTAGTTTCCTAAGCTCTAGGGAACAAAGCTTCTCCCTGAAGCTGCTTCCTTTCTGATACCTTAGTTATTTTTAGTTCTTTAATACCTATTTAATAGTTAGTTGTATTAAGTTGCTGCTCTTAAAATAACAGTTGTGATTAGTCTTTGCTGGAGATTAATTTTGTGGGAGGTAAACTTTACAAATTAATATTTAGTTATAGAGTATTCAGATTGCATTATGACTGGATTTGAGGAACAATTAATAGTATTCTGATTGGATTCAGATAGCTGTGTCCACTATTATGTGACAAATCAAGGACAGGCCCTTCAGCACATCCTCCAAGGGCTTCTCATGCACTGGGCCACTCCCACTTGGCCCCAGATCAGTTTTCCAGCCATATTCTTCATTCACCCTACCTTCTGCTCCAATGAGACCTCTTCCCATTCTCCCCACAAAGTCTTCAGCCTGCTCACCCTATTTCCTCCTCTTACATAGGAACAGCAGAACAGATGACTGGGTGCACCTGTTAGGTGCTGGACACTGCGGTAAGTGCTCTCATGCATGTCATTTCATTTTTTACTCAGAGCAACCTTGTGTCTTAGTATGTTCGGTCTATTATAACAAATACCATAAACTAGGTGGCTTATAAACAGAAATTTATTTCTTGCAGTTCCAGAGACTAGAAGTCCAAGATCAAGGTGCCAGTAGATTTGGTGTCTGGTGAGGACCTGCTTTCTGGTTCATAGTACAGCACCTCCTGACTGTGTCATGATGAAAGGGGCAAGGAAGCTTCCTTGGGCCTCTGTTGTAAGGGCATTAATCCCATTCATGAGGGCTCTGCCCCAGTGACTCATCACCTCCCCAAAAGCTCCACCTCCTAATATTATCACCTTGGGGATTGGGATTTCAACATACAAATTTATCAGGGGACAGAAACATTCAGACGATAGCACCTTGTGTCATCATTTTCCTAATTTTAGTCATAAGAGAATTAAAACTCAGAGAGGTTAAGTGACTTTCCTATAGTCACACAGCTAATTAGTTTGACAGCCAAGATTCCAGCAGCCTTAATATCTTTTTCCAGTGCTATCTATTTGTCAAAACCCTATCTAGTTTTCAACACTCTGGGAACATTCCACCTGCTCCATTAAGCCTTTGCCAGTCCTTCTATGTGGAATAAAATCTTCATTTTTCCGTTCACCAATAGCACTGTGTCTGAACCATTTTTAGAGGTGTTACAACATCATCTTACTTAGATGGAGTTTCTGTTTACTATATTTTTGTCTCCTTGAGGGCAGGCATCATGCCTTCTTCATCTTCACACTCCCACCACTGGAACTGAGCAGAGTGCCTTGTATATTATAGTACCCAATAAATGTTGATGAGCTTGAACCTCTAGGGATTACTTAGGGAGATTTGCACCACCAGGATTCATCTGTTTGGAAAATGGCTAGTTGGTTACCCTGTGACCCAGTGTTTGACTCTTCGGGTTTTGTAGGAGTCCGTATCAGTACAGTCAGACATTCCTTTTCAAGTGCTGCAAACATATGCTGTTCACAAAGCTCACTGGAGGATCTCACATCTGAAATAACCTCCCTCAGCTGTGGGGCCACACCCGGGGTTTGGCTGCCTTGAAGTGGGAGGCGTAAGGCAAATAATAGTGTTTAAGTCATTTGTTTTGTGTGGTTTCTATGTTTATTGGGATTCACTTGACCAGCCAATGTGGAATATTATATGTATAACATACATTATAATGACTATTGTTTATCTCCTTATGTGCAGCTACGGAGGACTTTGAAGGGATGTGAAAAAAGTGCTTAGATACTGTTTCAGGGGCATCCAGGACAAAGCCATGATTAATATCAAAGCATCATGCCCTCTACAAGGGCGTCCTGAGGAGGACGGCAAGTAGAGCACACCTGGCCTCCACACACCAGGCCATGTGCCCATGGGTGGTATCCTTCCAACGGGGTGCCTTTTTCTCATTCATACAGAGGCACTGAAGGGTCTGGTGGAAGGGCCCTATGACCACTCCATCTGATGAAGCTTTCCCCTAATTGCCAATGGTTCCTAAAGTTTAGTCCTTGGTCCACGTGCATCGGAATTCCCTGAGTCACTTACATCAAGAGATCCCTGGACCTTCTTGATGAAAACCTCTTAGGGAGACCAGGAATTTGTATTTTCAGCAAGTCCCCTTGGATGATTCCAATGCATAGTCAGACCTGTGGATGCAGGTGTGTTGGCCATCTCTTACCCAGTTTTTTGTACTGCTATTTGGCCCTTTGTGCATTTTAGACTTGCCTCCCTATTGAGAGCATAACTCCTGGAGGGTGGATATTCCACCATGTAGTACATAGCCACTGAGCACCTCACATGAAACAGGGTGTCAAGGAATGCATAAACTACGAGGGGCCCAATTCCTCAACAACAGGAGTTCATGCAACATGTAGATGTCCATTTGATAAATACTGCTTGAACACTTACTATGGGCTGGTGCTGTGCCAGGGACTGAGGAGACATAGCTCTACCCACATGGTTTCTACCGTCTGGGCTACAGACAAATAAACGGGCAATTACAATAGATTGTGGCAGCGTAGAAAGGAGAAGGGATGAGTGATGGGAGCCAGGGGAGAAGCAGCTTAGGCTTCGGAGGCCAGAGGTGCTCAGAGAATGCATCATGGGGAATCCTGGGAGTGAAAGGGTAGAAATCGTCATCTGGGCAGAAGAAACATGAGCGACAGCCTAGAGGTCAAAGAGAACTTCATTTGTTAAGGGAGGCTGGAGAGTAGGTTTTAAGGAGGGGATAAGGTTGGAGAGATAAACAGAAGCCAGCTCATGAAGGGCCTTGCATGCCACGGTAGGTAGAGTGGAGGTGGCCTTGGCATTAAGTGCAAATGTCCCTCCAGCACAGCAGACCTTTTATGTAGGAGCAAGTTTGGAACCAATGTCCTACAGCTTGAAGATTCCTGGCTCATCTGCTCAGGGTTAAAGGAAGAACATTGCTTTCCCCAGGAGGACTTCCAGACTGGCAATCGCCTCTCTCTGTTATGTCAGTCATGTTCCTTCCATCCCTCAGTGCTTGTGGGGGGTTAGGGGGCAGAATATTAATGTACAGGCTTGGCTAGGAAACAGTCCCCTGCATAGGGTAAGGAAGATATATTGCAGATTTAAGGGAATTGTTCAGTCTAGGAATTGGAAGAGCTGAGGAATGCAGTCTTGGCCCAGGACCAAGAATACCAGGTGCTGAAACAATAGGGAAATTTAGATTAGGCTCTGCATGAGAAGACATTACTAAATCAATGTTAAATATTATGGTGATGTGGAAGATTACCTTTATTCTTAGGAGATAGTTGCTGAAGTATTTAGGGGAAAATTGTCATGATATCTGCAACTGACACACACATACCCCCCCATATATATACACACATAGACACATATATCTATTAATATATCTATATACATGCACACATATATACATATATATATGAAAGCAAATGTGACAAAATGTTAACAATTGGTTAACTGAAATAGAAGGCACCTCTATAGATGTGTGTGCTAGAATACCTGTATGTGCTATTCTTTCAACTTTTGTGTAGGTTTGATATTTTTGAAAATAAAAAATTGGGGGAAGAAGAGAAGAAAAGACTGTCAAATATCTGGCACAATTCAGTTCTCAGACCTCAAGTTTCCTGTCTGTTTCTCTGAGATGATGGCAGTGCAAGATTTTCAATCCAGTGTATTGACGGCAGGCTTACTTCAGCACTTTGGAGCTCCCAGAGTATATAAGATCTTGAAGATTTGTTTCGAAGTTGCAAAAATCCTATTTCTTTCCTTCCTCAAAATCAAAACACACATGCTAAAAGACTTAAGAAATTGTTTTGCATGCTCTGCAAGATTCTGTTGCTTTTTGTGTTGGCAAAGGATTTACACAAACAACCTAGTCAGCATTCATTTTTAAAATACCACACACAAAATACAAAGAATGTATCATTGTTTACGTTATACCTTTCTTGGGATTTTGGTATTAAACTACCAATTGAATTCTCATTTTAGGCACTCATGATCTGTGCTGCTTTAAATAATTCAAGCACAAATGTATCATCTGTTCCCACTATATTCCTCACTCCAGAGATTTATAAAGTGTGTTTTTAGGTGATTGCATATGGACTTAAGAAATATAGCAAGGGGTTCTTTTGAGAGAAGAAGAAAATGACTTATAACTAGTGAATGCAATAAATGACATGAGAATAGGTATAATTAGCAAAGGAAAGCTGTATGCTTGAACAGTTTGCTCTGAGCTTCAACAAGTGGCACATGATATGCAATCTTCAGGGAAGTGGTTTTTCAGGAAAACTCAATCTGATCAGAAATCTCTCAGTCCACTTATCTTTTACCATCTATTTGTTCTGTAAGCATGTTTGGCAATATTCCTAAAGAAACAGAGCATGACCCGTTTTTCTAAGGAGATGTTATCACACATAATTCACTCCCCATATTTCCACTGGATGTAAACCATTGTACATTTCAGTGCAGTGAAATCGTTCTGTCAGTGCTCTTCAAACTTTTTAACCTTTACCCAGAGAAAGAAATACATTTCCACAGAGACCCAGTACACACACACAGCTATAAAATCAAAACAAGAATTTCATGGAACTACTTTACTACCTGCTTTCTGATACTTTCTTTTTTATTCCACTTCATTTTTTTTAAAACAAATGGATGTTTGAGACTTATTTAATCAATTTCAAAACGTTTTGGTTCTGACCTTGAGTTTGAGGAACTCTGAAATAGAGGACTACCTTTTCAGACACATCTTTCCGATGGAGAAATAAAACACAGAAATGGAAAAGAATAGGACAATTGTAGGTTCTTCACTCCACAGAGGTTTGGACAAAGAGCTAATGTCTGATAATTCAACAAAGAAAGTTCTCAGTACTGTGCGTTCTGCCTGGCACATGATAGGCACTTAACAAATGCTAATCAGTGTCTGCAGTAATAGCATTTCCTACTTGATGTTCAGAGCACAAATCCTGATAGTCTGCTTTTCTTTTATATCTTGTTTCTTAGCCTCTCCTCTGCATTGTCAGTGTTAGATACTACCATAGGCAGTAGTTCTGTTCTATTTTTTTTTTCTTCACACAATCAAAGATCCTAGAACTGAGATTTAAAATATGAAAAAGGATCTGTTGGCTCATCAGCCAAAAGAGAAAGTCTTTCTTTACTTTTCAGAGAGAGGAAGGAATTATGATTCCCAAGTCCAATTTAATTCTCCACAGATACACTGGAAATTAGCGTCTAGCCAATAACACTAAAATTTACTGCTTTGTCTCCCTTTCTTCTGGAGACATATGGAGAATGCTGTCCAAGAACAGCCTTCACTGGATGGGGCATTTGGACACTGAAACCTCCTATTTTTGATACCCTGGAAAGACAGTCATGAGACCTCTAAGAAGGCAAAATGGCATCAAAGACTCATGCCCTATTCTTTCCTGACGCCAACCCTGTGGGTACTTCAGCAACACAATTAGGTGGGAAATTGCTAAGCATATTCCAGCAGGACTCCAGATTGCTTAGTCCACCTCCACTAGGTTTCCAAGATTTCACCAGCTCTTCCCTATTCCAACTAACCCCACCACTGCTGAGGGCCCCAAGGAAAACAAGAAACTCTGTGGCTAGAGACTCCTGTCCCACTTTGTTTTGCCAATCCCAGTTCCAGGGAACTGGAAACTCTTACTGCTGGTCTCCACCGTGCTTTGGATAGATAAGATTCCGCTCTCCATTGGGCATTGTCACCGTCTCTGCTCATCACTCCCAGAGCTGTGATCATCAAGTTATCCAAGTCAGACTGAGTTTTGGTCTCTTTCTTCAAAAAACCTTGTAGAATTAAATCATTTTTATATGTTGCAGTATTTTGATATATTTCCCCATCATGTTCCTTAGTATTTCTCTCTTGAATGACTCATTATAATTATAAATGTTATATAACAAAAAAATGAAAAACCGTATAATGGTCAAAATCACTGTACCCATCAACGTTCACCTAAGTGATACCTGACACAGAGTAAGCATGTGTGCACACATTCATCTAACTTAAACATCTGTGGATGCTCCTGTGACTGCTTAAAGGCACTCAAGCTATTCTCTTTCAAAAAAATGAGAAAGTGTTCCCTCTTCCTCAGTTTTTTTGGAAGAATGTGAGAAGGATTGGCATGAATTATTTAAGAATTTGATAGATTGCCACCATGAAACCATCTGGTCCTAGGCTTTTCCTTGTTGGGAGATTTTCTGATTCAGTCTCCTTACTCATTATTGGTCAGTTCAGATTTTCCATTTCTTTATGATTCAGTCTTGGTAGACTGCATATTTTTAGGAATTTGTTCATTTCTTCTAAGTTATCTAATTTTTTGGTGTATAATTGTTCATAGTAGTCTCCTATGATCCTTTGTATTTTTGTGGTTTCAGTTATAATGCCTTGTCTTTCACTGATAATTACATTTATTTCAGTATTTTTTTTTCTTGGTTAGTCTAGCTAAAGATTTGCCAAATTTTTTTCCATCTTTTTAAAAAACCAACTCTTAGTTCGTTGATAATTTGTATTGTCTTTCTAATCTCTATTTTATTTCTTTCTTTTTCTTTTTTTTTTTTTTTGTAGGAGTCTCACTCCATCACCCAGGGTGGAAGTGCAGTGGTATGATCTCGGCTCACTGCAACCTCCGCCTCCTGGGTTCAAGCAATTCTCATGCCTCAGCCTCCCAAGTAGCTGGGACTACAGGTGCATGCCACCACTCCTGGCTAATTTTTGTATTTATAGTAGAGATGGGGTTTCGCCATGTTGGCCATGCTGGTCTTGAATTCCTGACCTCAGGTGATACGCCTGTCTCGGCCTCGCAAAGTGCTGAGATTACAGGTATGAGCCACCGCACCCGGACTATTTCATTTATTTCCGCTCTAATATTTATTTCCTACCTTCTGCTGACTTGAGCTTAGTTTGTTTTTCCAGTTCCTTGAGGTGTGAAGTTAGGTTATTTACTTGGTGTCTGTCTTTTTCCTTAATGTAGGCATTTATCACCACAGACTTTCCTCTTAGCACCGCTTTTGCCCCATCCCATAAGTTTTGGTATGTTGTGTTCAATTTTCATTTGTTTCAAGACACTTTTTGAGTTTCTTTTGTTTTCTTCTTTGATCCATTGGTTGTTCAGGAGTGTATTGTTTAATTTTATGTATTTGTGAATTTTCTAAAATTCTTCCTATTGTCAATTTTTAGTTTTGTAACATTTCGATCAGAAAAGATACTTGATATGATTTCAATCTTCTTAGATTTAAGACTGGTTTTGTGGCCCAACGTGTGATCTACCCTGGAGTAGGTACTGTGTGCTCCTGAGAAGAATGTGTGTTTGCTTCTGTTGAATGGATTGTTCTGTCTATGTTTGGTAGGTTGATTTGTCTATAGTTTTATTCACATCTGCTATTTCATTACTAATCTTCTCTCTAGATGATCTATCCATTGTTGAATGTGGGTGATTGAAGTCCCTTATTATTATTGCATTGCTGTCTGTTTCTCTTTCTAGTTCTGTTAATATTTGCTTTACATATTTAGGTGCTCCAATGTTAGGTGCATATGTATTTACAATTGTTATACCCTCCTGATGAATTGACCTCTTATCATCATATTGTGATCTTCTTTGTCTTTTGTGACAGATTTTGTTTATTTTTTATTTATTTGTTTTTTTCAAGATAACGTCTGGCTCTGTTGCCAAGGCTGGAGTGCAGTGGCATAATCTTGGTTCACTGCAACCTCTGCCTCCTGGGCTTAAGCCATCCTCCCACCTCAGCCTCTCAAGTAGCTGGGACTACAGGCACACACCAACATGCCTGGCTAATTTTTGTATTTTTTGTAGAGATGGAGTTTTGCCATGTTGCTCAGGCTGGTCTTGAACTCATGTGCTCGAGTGAACCGCTCACCTAAGCCTCCCAAAGTGCTAGCATTCAAGGCATGAGCCACAGCACCTGACCTCTTGTGACAGATTTTGACTAAAAGTCTAGTTTGTTTAATATAAATATAGCTACCCCTGCTCTCTTTTGGTTTCCGTTTGCATGGAGTATCTCTTTCCACCCCTACACTTTCAGTCTGTGTGCCCTTGAGACTAAAATGAATCTCTTGTAGTTAGCATATTATTGGATCTTGTTTATTAATCCATTCGGCCTCTCTGTGTCTTTTGATTAGCAAATGTAATCCATTTATATTTAGAGTAATTATTAATAAGTAAGGGCATACTGTTGCCATTTTGTTAATTGTTTTCTGACTGTTTTGGATATGTCAACAAAAGCACTAGCGACAAAAGCAAAAATAAACATATGGGACTATATCAAACTGAAAAGCTACTGAACAGCAAATGAAATAATCAACACAATGAAAATGCAACCTGTGAAATGGGAGAAAACATATGCAAACTATATATCTGATAAAGGGTTAATATCAAAATGTACAACAAACTCCATAGCAAAAAAATAAGTAACCCAATTAAAAAATGGGCAAAAGACCTAAATAGGCATTTTTCCAAAGATGACACACAGATTGCCAACAGATATATAAAGAAGTGCTCAAAATCACTAATCACCAGAGAATTCTAATTAAAACCACAATGAGATATCACCTCACATCTCTTAGGATGGCTATTATCAAAAAGAAAAAAGATAACAAGTGTTGACAAGGGCATGAAGAAAAGGGAACCTTGTATACTGTTGGTGGAAATACCAATTGGTACAACTATTATGGAAAACAGTATGGAGGTTCCTCAAAAAATTAAAAATAGAACTACCATATGATCAAGCAATCCCACTTCTGGGTATATATCCAAATGAAATGAAATCAGTATCTTGAAGAGATATCTATATCCCCATATTCGTTGCAGCATTATTCACGATGGCCAAGATATGGAAACAACCTAAGTGCCCATTGACAGATGAATGAGTAAATAAAATGTGTTAGATACAATGAAAGATTATTCAGCCATAAAAAAAAATCCTGTCATTTGTGACAGCATTGATAAACCTAAAGGATATTATTCTAAGTGAAATAAGCTGGACACAGAAAGACAAATACTGTATGACCTCACTTGTATGTGGAATCTCAAAAAGTTGAACTCAGGGGCAGAAAGTAGAATGGTGGTTGCTAGGAGTTCGAAGTGGAAAAAATGGAGAGATGATGGTCAAAGAGTACAAACTTTCAGTTTTAAGATGATAAAGTTCTGGGGATCCAATGTATAGCATAGGTGGTAATAGATGGGTTAATTTGATTGTCCATATCACAATGTATATGCATATGCCTCATCACATTGTACACCTTGAGTATATACAATATTTGTCAATTAAATATTTTAAAATAAAAGAAAAAAGAAAAATCATAATTTATTTTAGAACTATATCTCAGTATTTAAATTAGTATCCTCGTATATTTTTTATCGTTCCTACTAAATAGAAAATCATAGCCTGGCGTGGTGGCTCACACCTGTAATCCCAGCAGTTTGGGAGTCTGAGGTGGGTGGATCACTTGAGGTCAGGAGTTTGAGACCAGCCTGGTCAACATGGTGTAACCCTGTCTCTACTAAAAATACAAAAATTAGCCAGGCGTGGTGGCATGCACCTGTAGTCCCAACTACTCAGGAGGCTGAGGCACAAGAATCGCTTGAACCCGGGAGGAGGAGGTTGCAGTGAGCCGAGATAGCACCACTGCACTCCAGCCTGGGCGACACAGCGAGACTCTGTTAAAAAAAAAAATCAGTAATCATGTGGTAAATAATAATAATAATAATTATTATAAAAGAACAGGGAAATTCTTTAGTCTCCTTTTGTTTCCTATTACTCCTCTCCTCTGCCAAAATTTACAATCTGTTATCTATTCTTTCATGCTTCATTTGTATTCATACAATCACGTATAAACTATATATAATAAGCTTTTCTTTTCTAATTCATGTGTATTTTACAAAAATGGGATCATATTATCTGTATTCCTTTGTGTCTAGTTTTTTTTACTTTTTTTTTTCTCTTGATACATTATGGAATTTCCCTCAGTGGTATACATCCAACTCATTCTTTTTTTTTTTTTTGAGACGGGTTTTCCCTGTCACCCAGGCTGGAGTGCAGTGGTGCAATCACGGCTCACTGCAGCCTTGACCACCTAGGCTCAAGCAATCCTCCTATCTTAGCCTCCTGAGCCACCACACCTGGCTAATTTTTAAATTTTTTTGTAGGTACGGGATCTCCTTATGTGGTCCAGGCTGGTCTCAAACTCCTGGGCTCAAGCAATCCTACTGCCTTGGCCTCCCAAAGTGCTGGGATTACAGGAGTGAGCCATCATGCCCTGCTGCAACTCGTTCTTTTCAATAATTAACTTATATTCCATGGCTTAATTGTATCACAGTTTCTTCCACCATATTGAAAGGCATTTACTCAGTTTCTAATTTTTTGCTGCAACAAACAACGCTATGGTAAACATCTTTGCATGTATATTTTTACATATTGGAATTTCACTTATAGCAGATAGATTTCCAGAAGGATTTCTCCATCAGAGTATGTAAATTGTAAAATTTAAAATATATATCTGGATTGCTTTCCATAAAAGCTGTAACAATCCAAATTTCCCCTGGCAATATATGCACAGAATAGGTTTTTTTCACATTTTCATCAATAGTAAGTTTTTATTGTCTGCTAATTTGGTAGATAAGTTGAGACATCTCATTGTTACTTTAATTTGCATTTTCTCCACATTAGAAAATATTTTCATTGGTTTATTGACCATTTGCATTTCTCTTCTATAAATTGACTTTTTATATTTATTTGTCTCTATTTCTGTATTCTGTTGATAGTCAATTTATAGGAACCTTCTGACAGATATGCATATTCATTTTATGTGTGAGTTATTTTTGTGGCACATACTTTTTATCAATCTTTTTGTCTTGTGATTTTGTTTTTATTTTGCCATATAACATTTTATATTTTATATCATCGAATATATTTATTTTATATTTTATTGCCTCTAGGCTCTTGTCTTGATTAAAAAGGTTTCTCTCTCCAAACCCTAGCTTACACATATATTCTTTTAAAATTGTTCTATAGTTTTTGTTTACATATAGAGTTTAAGTTTTTCTGGAAATTTATTTTTGTATATGGTGTGAAGCAGGGATCCCAATTTTATTCTTCTCTAGGCCAGTTGTGTCATAACCAATTTAAAATAAACCATAGTTTTCCCATTAACTTGAAATAGCACTTTTGGCATACAGCCATGCATTGCTTAACAATGGGAATACGTTCTGAGAAATGCATCATTAGGTGATTCTGCCTTTGAGTAAACATCATAGAGTGCCCTTACATAAACATGGATGATAGAGCCTACCGCACATCTAGGCTATATGGTATAGCCCATTGCTCCTAGGCTACAAACCTGTACAGCATGTTACTGTACTGATATTGTAGGCAATTGTAACACTGTGGTAAGTATTTGTGTATATAAACATAGGAAAGGTATGGCAAAAATATAGTATTATAATCTTATGGGACCACTGTCATATATGCAGTCCATTGTTGACCAAAATGTAGTTATATAGTGCCTGACTATATATTCAGTTATCATATATATATACTGACATCTATTTCTGGACATTTTTTTCTCTTCTACTTTTCTTTTTGCCTATTACGATACCAATATCATAAGGTTAATACAAAGGCCAAGAAGGAGACAATGGAAGAATACTTTTTCTATTGTCCATGCCCTAGGTGTGTGGTAGGCTATACAATTTAGGTTTGTGTAAGTACACTCTGTGATGTTTGCACAATGACAAAACCACCTAATGATGCATTTCTCAGAACATATCCTCACTGTTAAGCAACATCTGACTGTATGCCAAAAGTGCTATTTGAAGTCAATGGGAAAACAATGGTTTATTTTATATTGGTTAGGACACAACTGGCCTGGAGGAAAATAAAGTTAGACCCCTGTTTCACACCATATACAAAAATCAATTTCCAAAAAAACTTAAAATCTGTATGTAAACAAAAACTATAGAACAGTTTTAAGAGAATACATGTATAAGCTTGGGTTTGAAAAGAACTTTTTAACCAAGATAGACCTAGAGGCAATAATACATAAAAACTATTCTCTTTGATGTATTGTTGATAGAAGTAAGCTTCTTATATCACATGTGAAGTGGAATAATATCACTTGAATGTAGACTGTGATATGTTAAAGATGCACACTATAAGGCAACCAGTAAATTAACATTAAGAACAAAGAGTTATAGCTAATAGGCCAATAAAGGAGATAAAGTCATACTTAATCCAAAAGAAGGAAGGGTAAGAGGAAAAAGAGAACAAAAAACCCAGATAAAACACATAAAAAAAAAATAGAACCCCAACCATATTAACAAGTATGTTAAATGTAAATGGTCTATACACCCCAACTGAAAAACAAACATTGTCAGACTGGTTGAAAAGTAAGACCCAGCTATATGTTGTCCACAAGAAACCCACTTTAAATATAGACACATGTAAGCTAAAGGTAAAACAGTGAAAAAAAAAGTCATCTTATGCAAACCCTAATCGAAAGAAAGCTAGAGTGGCTATATTAATACAGACAAAGTAGACATCTGAGTGAGAAATATTACTAGGGATAAAGAGGGTCAATCACAATGATAATGAGCAACTACCATAACATTTTAGTACTAGATCTTAAAATACGTTTTAATATCTGGAAAGGGAAGTATCTCTCAGTATTCTTCTTTTTCACAATTTTTAAAAAGTCTTTAACCTTTAGTCTTCTATAAAAGCTTTAAGATCATTTTATCTCATTAAAGAATATAATAGTGGCCCGGTGCAGTGGTTCTTGCCTGGAATCCTAGCACTTTGGGAGGCTGAGGCAGGAGGATTGCTTGAGGCCAGGAGCTCAAGACTAACCTGGTTAACATAACATGACCCCATCTCTGAAGAAAAAAGAATAGAAAAGTGAATCTCATTGAAATATATTGTATATGCCTATTAATATTTGGAAGATTATATTGTCTTCCTAACTAAAAGCATAGTTTTTTATTGGTTCTTTTTTGATCCAGGATTTATTTAGAAAGACACTTTTTAATTTTCAAGTAGAAAAAAATACAATTACCATCCTTTAGTTATTTATATTTAATGTAATTGGTATTTGATTAAAGAATTTTGCCTGAAAAAATATCTACTTTAAAATTTTTATTAACAACCTTTATGGTCAAGGTAATACCAACTTTGGAAAATGCTTCACAAACAATAAAATAGTTCTCCATTTATAGGACATAAAACTTTGGACTTTTGCATTATTCAGTCTTTATATGTCTTACATTTTTTACTACTGTATCTATTGATCTGAAAGACATGAGTTAAAATCTCTCAGAGTAATTGTATATTTTTTATCAAAGTTTCATATTTTAATTACCTTTGGCTTCATATATAATGCAAAGCTGTTTAGTATATACATAATTATTACACATCTTCTTTGTAGATTGTGTCTTTTATTGTTATATAATATTCTCCTTTATCCTGTTTCAAGCTTCTAAACTTACATTCCACCTCGTTGACATTCCTGATTTCTTTTTGTTTGCATTTTGTCTAGTGTTATTTGTCCATCCTTTTATTGTTAATCTTTGTCACCTTAAGAGTGATATGTTGATATATCTGACATTTATAATCAAATATACTTATTTTTGGTTTTTACTGTATCAAAAAGTTTCTATGTCTCAAATGGATAAAAGTATCCTCTTCATACATAGTAAAATAACTGATGTGCTTCTTTTCATCACTTCCATCTTTATTTTTATTAGGTACTTTGATTTGTGGTTTTTCTTTTCCCTTTTCATTGTTTTTGGTGGTGTAACAAAATTCCTATATAATTCTTGTGGGGTTTTTTTGTTTTTGTTTTGTTTAAGTTTTGGTTTTTTGGGAGACAGGGTCTCACTCTGTCATTCAGGCTGGAGTGCGGTGGCACAATCATGGCTCACCGCAGCCTCAACCTCCTGGGCTCAAGCGATCCTCCCACCTCAGCCTCCCGAGTAGCTGGGACTGTAGGCATGTACTACCACGCCTGGCTAATTTTTGTATTTTTTGTAGAGACTGGGTTTTTCCATGTTGCCCAGGCTGGTCTCAAAATCCTGGGCTCAAGCAATCTGCTCGCCTTGGCCACCCAAAGTACTGGGATTACAGGCATGAGCCACCACATCCAGCCTTTTCACCTTGTTAATTGGAAAGTTTTACCATATTTTCCCATTTCTGATAGCTATCTTCTCTTCTCTGACATTTATAATCAAATATATTTCTTGACTATTTCATCAAAAAAGATGCCACCTGTCCCCACCCAGGTGCTCTACTTACCACTGGTCTCCCTCCCTAAGAATATGAAACCCTTAGAATGTTATGCCCATTGTCCATATCTGTTCCCCTGCCCCCAAAAAAGATGAGACCCAAGAGTTGGTTTACTTCCCTTCTTTCTCTTTCCTCTATCCCTAGGTTTTGCTGAGATAATCTGGTACGTGTAATTTTAACTTTGTAGTAAATTTTCTCTTGCAGAAAATATTTTCTATTTCAAAAATTCGAATTCTGCCTATATAATCCCACTCTATCATTATCTATTTAAATTTTAGTACATATTGCAAGGCTCATTTCTCATCATTGTTTTCATCTCTTTTCTTCTTCTCTCTTGAAATCTCTGTTTTGATTTTTTTCTTATTTGGCTGGCGTTCTTTCTCAAATATTTTCTTCAGATGAGATACATGGGTGGTTTATTATCTAATAACTTTCATTCCCCTGTCAGGTGGTATCTTTGAAGCAGTAATGATGTTTAAATACTAAACCAGAGACTGGCCAGTCAATAAGAAAGGTGTGCCAGGCATTAACTCCTTAGTTGCTGAATCCTGTAGAACAGGGTAGGAGTAGAAAGGGCTGGTGGGGAGATGATCAGGGACAAAGCTATTTCATAGACAGTGTGAAAATATTTTAATTTTTTTTTTTTTGAGATGGAATCTCGCTCTGTCACCCAGGTTGGAGTGTAGTGGCGTGATCTTGGCTCACTGCAACCTCTGCCTCCTGAGTTCAAGCAATTCTTCTGCCTCAGCCTCCCAAGTAGCTGTGACTACAGGTGCATGCCACCACACCTGGCTAATTTATTTATTTTTAGTAGAGACAGGGTTTCGCCATGTTGGCCAGGCTGGTCTGGAACTCCTGGCCTCAGGTGATCCGCCTGCCTCGGCCTCCCAAAGTGCTGGGATTACAGGCGTGAGCCATCACAAATGGTCAATATTTTAATATTTTAACAATAGGTGTGGCAAAACCACTGAGTTCTAGCTATGTAGTAGTCCTGGGTATCAGTTCTCTTTTTTTCCCAGGAAACTGGATGTTATTTTATTATTTTCTAGTTTCTAGTGCAACAGATGAAAATCCAATGACAATCTAATTTCTTTTTATTTGTAAATAATGTTTATATTTGATGTCTTGTAAGTCATTTATTTAACCAGTATATGTCTAGGTACACATCTTTTTTATCATAAATTCTATGTAATACTTATTGAACTCTTGAAATTTGCAGCCTCAAGTGTTTCTTTAGGTCAGGGAAATTTTCCTCTGTTGTTTAATTGTTGTCTTTTTCCCATCTATCCCTTTACCCACTCTTTTTTGTACTCCTATTTTTATTAATAGACTTTATTTTTAGAGCGGTTTTATGTGCACTGCAAAACTGAGTTGTAAGGTACAAAAATTTCCCATAGACCTCCTGCCCCAACAGGTGCACAACCTCCCCCATCGTGCACCCCTACAGAGTGGGGCATTTGTTGTAATCAATGAGACTACATGGTCACATCATTATCACCCAAAGTCCATATTCTAGGACACACTCTTGGTGTACTTTCTTTGGGTTTAGACAAGTGTATAGTGACATGTATCTACCATTATAGTATCATACAGGGTAGTTTTCCCATCCTAAAAATGCTATATGTTCCCCTATTTATCCATCTTTCCCACTACTATTTTTCACATGTAAGATCTTTTGGATTTGTCATTCCAATCTTTTATTTTTATTATTTTATTTTCTTCTACTTTTTTGAGACAGAGTCTTGTTCTGTTGCACAGGCTGGAGTGTAGTGGTACAATCTCAGCTCACTGCAACCTCCGCCTCCTGGGTTCAAGCAATTCTCATAACAGCCTTCCAAGAAGCTGGGATGACAGCTGTGAGCCACCACGCTCAACTAATTTGTGTATTTTTAGTAGAGACGGGGTTTTGCCATGTGGCCAGGCTGGTCTCAAACTTCCGGCCTCAGGCAATCCATCTGTTTTTGTTTTCTGTACCACATTTCCTTCTCTATATTTTTTGCCCTGGGCTTTGAGATACTGCTTCAACTTGAGCTTTTGGGGAACTAATTAGTGTTTCAACAGTGAGTATCTTTTCCCTTCAATTTATCTACTAAATTTTGAATATAAGAGTTCTTCTTTTTAGTTCTAGAAAGTCCTTTGCTGTAATTTTTTGTTCAAGTTCTATTTCCTAGAAGTTGCCTGTTCTGTGTATTCTGCTTGTTGTTTCTATCTGGCTGTTAGTCTTCCTGAGTGCAGCGTTATATAATTTTGCCTTCACATGGCTTTATGCACCCTTGGGACTCAGATCTACTTCCTTAGTGTGCTTTCAGCAGCAGCCATTCAGTGAGCAATAAGAAGACACATACACGGCTGGGTGCGCTGGCTCATGCCTGCAATCGCAGCGCTTTAAGAGGCCAAGGCAGGTGGATCACTTGAGGTCAGGAGTTCGAGACCAGCCTGGCCAACATGGTGAAACCCCCGTCTTAATATAGAAAAATTAGCCAGGTGTGGTGATGTGTGCCTGTAATCCCAGCTACTCAGAAGGCTGAGGCAGGAGAATCTCTTCAGCCCAGGAGGCGGAGACTGCAGTGAGCCGAGATTGCACCACTGCACTCCAGCCTGGGCAACAGAACGAGACTCTGAATTAATTTAAAAAAAGAAAAAAAAAAAGAAGGAAAGAAAGAAAAGAGAGAGAGAGAGAAGAAGACACATACAGCTGGCAAGTTGTCAGTTGCTTGTGAAGAAACCCTTTAACTTCCAGTCTCCTCAGCTATAGAGTGTGCTCTGCCAGCCTCAGGAGTAGGAAGGACCCAGCCTGCTTCTCCAGTTCGCTCCATGGTCCCCACCTAGGGGCCAGGGAAACCAGATGATCCTCGCTCACCGCCCCCCCCCGCCCCCCGCCCCCCACACAACACTTACACAGGCTGTGGCTCCCCTTCCTCTAAGAAAACCCATAATTCACACACTCTAATCTCTGCCCCAGAGCTTTGCTGTAGATCTTCAACATCTGGTAGGATCCAGAGGGGAATAAAGTTCTTTCAAGACTTTCTATGCCCCTGCTGTGGCAGAGCCCCAGGCCTTGTTCATATCCTCCAAAATGTACTTGCCTGCTGCCCTCTCAGATCATCCACTCAGGACAGGTGGTTGGTAGCTGGAGTGGAGCAGAAGGAGGGTATCAGGGCCTTACATTCAGTCTCCTGCACTCCTGTAAAAAATATTTAAATGTTTGTTTTCTTGGTTGCTGTTTAAAATTATATTATTTTTCAACAATGTAATACATGCAGTTTTTTTAAATAGTAAGAGAACCAAAAAGACATAATCAATTCCTAGCCATATACCCATATGGCAGCCAAAAAGATGTGCTGCTCCTAAATCCTTTTAAGAGAGATGCTGCCACGGGGAATGCAACCAACTGACAGCCTTCAGCTGTGGGTGACTCTAGGCTCTGCCTCGGCTTTCTTTTTTTTTGTTCTTTTCTTTTCTTTTTTTGAAACAGGGTTTCACTCTTGTCACCCAGGCTGGAGTCAGTGGCATGATCTTGGCTCACTGCAACATGATCTTGGTCAAGAGAACTGTCACTTTTTGCCAAAAAGGGACTCTTCCATGGGCAATCTTTGTTCTATAGCTTGAACCTCCCAGGTTCAAGGAATTTTCCTGCCTCAGCCTCCTGAGTAGCTGGGACTACAGGCACTGGCCACTACACCCACCACCATGCCCACCACCACAAAAATTGGCTAAATTTTGTGGGTTTTCTTTTTTTGAGACAGAGGCTTGCTCAGTCTCCCAGGCTGGAGTACAGTGGTATGATCTTGGCTCACTGCAATCTCCGCCTCCCAGGTTGAAGCGATTCTCCTGCCTCAGCTTCCTGAGTACCTGGGATTACAGGTGCCCGCCACCAAGCCCGGCTAATTTTTGTATTTTTACTAGAGACAGGGTTTCACCATGTTGGTCAGGCTGGTCTCAAACTCCTGACCTCAGGAGATCCACCCACCTCGGCCTTCCAAAATGCTGGGATTACTGGCGTGAGCCACTGCACCCGGCCCATTTTTTTGTGTTTTTAGCAGAGACAGGGTTTTGCCATGTTGGCCAGGCTGGTTGCGAACTCTTGACCTCAAGCCATCTGTCCACCTTGGCCTCTCAAAGTGCTGGGATTACAGGTGTGAGCCACCGTGCCCGGCCTGCCCGAGCTTTCAAGCTGAGGCTACGAGCTTCCTGGGCAGTCCCCAGCCAAAAACTGGTCAAGAGAACTGTCACTTTTTGCCAAAAAGGGACTCTTCCATGGGCAATCTTTGTTCTAGAGCTTCTCATTGGGCTGGCTAAGACTTTCTTAGAACTGCACTGCAGAAATATCTGAGGCTCTTCCTACTCAATCTCTTTCCTAGCTCCTCTCCTTTCACAAGTGAGACCAGCACCATTGTCTGAAGGTTCTCCCTGCCTTCCCACTCCCTATGCCCCTTATCTTTCACAGATGTTACCCCCAAGAAATCTCTTGGGCTTCTAACTCTGTGTTAGTGTTGGCTTCCTAAGACCAACTGACACCATCCAAGAGAAATTCTTACATATGAACATCACGAAACATGTACAAGAATGGTTTTGGCAATACTGTTCATAAGAGAAAAACCTGGAAGCCACACAACTTCTCCAACTTTCATAGTGACAAAGAGGTACCATGAGTCATTTATTTACTTAATTAAAGACAAAGAATCTTAGAGTTAAAATGGGGCTTTAGTCCAAAGATTTCAAACTGGCAGCCTTTGGGGACAAACCCAGCCTATAGAAGTGTTTTGCTTGGCAGGCACAGTGTTATTCAAAAATTTAATGCAAATGGCTCTAACCAGATTTAGTGTTTCTAGTTTTCCATGGTCTCTCCCACATAATATTTTTACACTGGCTTAATTAACATATTTATGTTACAAACTTGGACCATGTGGACATTTGAACTAACACCCTGTTAGTCCTGGAAATTGAGGCCAAGAGGTGAAGTGACTCACCCAAGTTCATATTCCTTAGTCCATGCATACCTTTCCTGATCTGCATGGCATGAAATCCATGCCACTTGTATAGCTATCTTTTTTTTAAAGCATATTCAACAGGAGTGATACTCCCCCCAAGGAAGCAAAAATTGGTTCAAGGTTGGGGGCAGGAGTCTTGCTCTTTTTACGTATAAAGTACAGATATACAAACAGTACATAAATATGTATATAAAGTATATGTACAGCATTAAAATTTCACAGTGGGAGACAATTCAGAAAAGATGTCTGAAAAGGCTCCTTCGGGGACAATGATATATAAAGGTTGAGAAACACTGAACCATACACTCAATAAATGTTTATGAATTTTTTCTTTATGTAGGCACAGCAGAGACAGCATTTCACAAAGCAAAACTGCTCCCTAATCTCAGGTGAGAGAGAGAGACTGAATTCACATGCCTGGGTTTGAATCTTAGATCTGCCACTTGCTGGCTCTATGACATTGGACAGTTTAATTTTTATATTCCTTGGTTGTGTCATATGTAAAATGGTGGTAGAATAGTACTTTTTAAAGACTTGTGTGGATTAAACAATTGACATAAAGTAGTTAACATGATGCCTGGCACATGAAAAATGATCAATGAACATTAGCTACTAAGTAATATATGAATATATAATTTCAAATTGTTGCAACCATGCTGATTATCAATTGCCTCTCATTTCCATATTCACCCTTCCTTGTCTGCTCTGTGAAGACGGATCTGGGCCCTTTAATTTTTACCCTTTTGTTAGTTGGCAGTAACCTTTGTCAGTAGAGGGAGCTAGAGAGACATTGAAGAAGGAGGATGTTTTCCTTCCTGATTCTGACATGATCTCTCCAGAGGCTCCTGCAGCATACACATGGCTTCACTACCACCTTGCTCCTGCAGCACAGGCAGCTTCTCCAGCACCAGGCCTCTGATGTGCACCCAGCAGACAGCAATGTCCCCAACATCCCTTCCTCCGGGTGGTTTTGTAACAGAATGCCTCCACTGAGACACCTCTCCATGAACAGCTTTTCCCAGCACCCTAAAGGGCAATTCTCCAGCAATTTCAGAGAGCAAGTTTCCAGCAAGTTCCACCAACATTAACCATAGTGATTTCTCTGCCACTCAGTGAGCCAGGGCCTTGCCTTCTCCAATAAGGTTTGGATCTAAGCCCTGAATTATGAGGGCTCTTCCTTTGTATACTCTATGTCAGTCCTAGGGAAATTAGTGAATGCTGCTTCTATCTGCTATTTTTATATTCTTTAGAGTTCTCTGTACTTCTTACTAGCCAATCCCATGTTATAGTAATAATTCTTTATAGTAAACATTCCCTGTTCAAATTACCATATGGTTTCTCTCTCCTTTTTGGACCCAAGCTAATACAGCAGTCCTGAGACCAAAGAGTTCAAGAACCACTGCCTTAGAACACTAGTTCTGTGGGATATGAATAGCTGTTAATTGGTGGTCAAAGTTTAAGACACTCTGAGTTAAGCAAAGTGAAATAGGATTCTCTACTGCAGGACATCTCAGAGGTAAAAAACATATTGTAAATCTGCAAGAAGGGATTGTGATATGTAGCATTTCCCAATTTTATTTGACCTGGTGGTGGTGGTGGGGTGTGTGTGTGTGTGTGTGTGTGTGTGTGTGTGTGTGTGTGTATCTGTGTGTGTGTGTGTGTTTTAATGGCGCATTTTGTGGGACTGGTATTCTAAGGATCACACTATAGGAAATGCTGAGTTAGTAGTTGTATCTACTAATTTGGAAACCATTTATTTGGCTGTTTCTTGGAAGTTGCTCACCTTTTTTAAAATCTACTTTTTTGTCCTTTTATACACTACCTTATTGTTTATTCTCTAATTTATGGCTCCCCAGTCTAAGCTTTTTAATCTTTGTTTCTACAGTGGCAAATGAAAGATTTTCTTTTTCTTTTTCTTTTTTCCCCTACTCTGGGGCACATTTCCAGATGTTCACCACAGGAGTCAGTCTACAGCAGCTTCCAGTGAAATGGAGTGTAATATTTTTGTAGGTTGAGTCCTAGGCAAAGACAAACATTATAACATACTTTTTAAGTGGACTGGGGAGAGCAGTAATGGTCTAACCATTGAAAATGGCTTGCTCCATTAGGTTTCCTATACAGATTAGTGCGTTGTTTTTTCCTTTGGAGTAATAGGGGCAATTTTAAATTTCTTCCTCCAGAAATATCAACTCGGAACAATGCTTTTTTTCAGCTCTGTTGGAAACTAGGAAAGCCTGTATAAAAAACTGCCAACTTCACATAGTAATTAAAGTCAGCTCACTAAATGTCACTACTGGATAACTTCTGAATTGTTATGCCTTCAAAAATATGTGACATAGGAAAATATAGCTACTGATGACACAGAATTGACTTACAGTAGTACATTCAGGGCCATGGAGAAATGTCAAAATTTTCATTTGCTCTTTAGATTAGGTGAAAAATAGACACCACCCACCTTTCACCTCTAATCTTGACCTTATCTTTTTAATTAAATTCATTGTTGTGCCTTCCATACGCATAGGTCCTATGCTAGGTGTTATGGATACTACAAATGTACAGAACAGAATGGCCTTCCAGAGCCTTAGTGGGAGAGAAAGGGGCAGAAAGCAGATACAGACATAGCCACATATGTATTGTCCTCGTATTTGCATTTTAAAGTGGTAAAGGTGTCAGGAGATGTGAGAAGAGGGCAGGGGAAAGGAGAAATGAAAGGCAAGAAGGGGGAGTTGAGCAAATCCTACTTCCATTTAGAAACCAGGGAGTAGAAATAAGCTGCCAAAAACCTGGAGCCTGGTTAACCACTTCCTACCCAAGTTCTCCTACCCTCTTTTCATCCCCAACCTAGGT
Source organism: Homo sapiens (assembly GCF_000001405.40). Classification (NCBI taxonomy): domain Eukaryota; kingdom Metazoa; phylum Chordata; class Mammalia; order Primates; family Hominidae; genus Homo; species Homo sapiens. The sequence goes on along the minus strand of NC_000001.11, from coordinate 222,767,291 downwards.
ACTGTCTTTCCTCTGGTATTAGAGCTCCTGAGATGAAAGGTACACCACAATGTGGTCGTGCTTTTAACGCCCTTTCGCTTGCTGGGTATAAATGATGTGCCCAAGCTGCTGTGATGGCCCTGCTGGAGGAGGCTGTCGCACCATCACTTAGATCATTTTGTTTACAAACCAAGGAGGGATCCCAGAGGGTGCTTAACAATCCCATTGTTGTAGGGTTTATTTTTATTTTTATTCTAGAGCCTATTTGGTAGGCATAGAAATTCATTCCTTGTGGTAGGAGATCACACCAGGGGTTCATATAAAACTTACTAGGAGTGCTTTTATAGACACAAATATCCAGGTTCCCATTCCAAGCCTCTTGAAATCAAGATCCCCAAGGGTGTCTCTGTGATATGTGAGTTGGAGGAGATTTTTTTTTTTTTTTTTTCGACAAGGTCTCTGTTCTCTTGCTCAGGCTGGAATGCTGGAGTGCAGTGGTGCAATCACAGCTCACTGTAGCCTCCACTTCCTGGGATCAAGTGATCCTCCCACCTCAGCCCGCACCCACTTTCAAGTAACTGGGCACTAATTAAAAAAAATTTTTTTTTTTTTGTAGAGACGAGGTCTCACTATGTTGCCCCAGCTGGTTGCAAACTCCTGGGCTCAAGTGATCCTCCCGCCTCAGCCTCCCAAAGTGCTGGGATTACAGGCGTGAGCCACCATATTCAGCTAGAGATTCTTATATGCACCTATGATTAGGAACTGCTACCACACAGGATCCCAGGTGCTCTATCTTACACTAGGACTTAGAAAGATGCACAGTTTCTGTAAGAGAGCACCCAACAGGTATCAGCAATTTGGGACCATCATGTATCCTTTCCGCCCCCAAATTTTATAAAGAAATACAGCCAAGTTCAAAGACTATGATAGTGAATACCCTTATATTCATAGCATCTTGATTCTATCATTAATATTTTACTGTCAGTTGAGATCACACCACTGCACTCCAGCCTGGGCAACAGAGCAAGACTCTGTCTCAAAAAAATTTTTTTTATACTATACTTGCTTTATGATATATCTATCCATCTATTCATCCTCCTATCCATCCATGAATCCATCTTATTTTTGATCCATTTGAAAGTAAATTTCAGACATCAGTATATTTCCTTCTAAATACCTGAGCATACAGATTTTTGTATTATTATTATTATACTTTAAGTTCTAGGGTATATGTGTACAACATGCAGGTTTGTTACATAGGTATACATGTGTCATGTAGGTTTGCTGCACCCATTAACTCGTCATTTACATTAGGTATTTCTCCTAATTCTATGCCTCCCTCCTGTGATATTCTCCACCCTGTGTCCAAGTATTCTCATTGTTCAATTCCCAACTACGAGTGAGAACATGTGGTGTTTTGTTTTCTGTCCTTGTGATAGTTTGATCAGAATGATGGTTTCCAGCTTCATCCATGTCCCTGCAAAGGACAGTAACTCATCCTTTTTATGGCTGCATAGTATTCCATGGTGTATATGTGCCACATTTTCTTAATCCAGTCTATCAATGATGGACATTTGGGTTGGTTCTAAGTCTTTGCTATTGTGAATAGTGCTGCATTAAACATATGTGTGCATGTGTCTTTATAGTAGCATGTTTTCTAATCCTTTGGATATATACCCAGTAATGGGATGGCTGGGTCAAATGGTATTTCTAGTTCTAGATCCTTGAGGAATCACCACACTGTCTTCCACAATGGTTGAACTAATTTACACTCCCACCAACAGTGTAAAAGCATTCCTATTTCTCCACATCCTCTCCAGCATCTGTTGTTTCCTGACTTTTTAATGATCACCATTCTAACTGGTGGGAGATGGTATCTCATTGTGGTTTTGATTTGCATTTCTCTGATGACCAGTGATGATCAGCATTTTTTCATGTGTCTGTTGGCTGCATAAGTGTCTTCTTTTGAGACGTGTCTGTTCATATCTTTTGCCCACTTTTTGATGGGGTGTTTGTTTTTCTTCTTGTAAATTTGTTTGAGTTCTTTGTAGATTCTGGATATTAGCCCTTTGTCAGAGGGTGGATTGCAAAAATTTTCTCCCATTTTGTAGGTTGCCTGTTCACTCTGATGGTAGTTTCTTTTGCTGTGCAGAAGCTCTTTAGTTTAATTAGATCCCATTTGTCTATTTTGGCTTTTGTTGCCATTGCTTTTGGTGTTTTAGTCAGGAAGTCCTTGCCCATGCCTATGTCCTGAATGGTATTGCCTAGGTTTTCTTCTAGGGTTTTTATGGTTTTGGGTCGAACATTTAAGTCTTTAACTCATCTTAAATTAATTTTTGTATAAGATGTAAGGAAGGGATCCAGTTTCAGCTTTCTACATATGGCTAGCCAGTTTTCCCAGCACCATTTATTAAATAGGGAGTCGTTTCCCCATTTCTTGTTTTTGTCAGGTTTGTCAAAGATCAGATGATTGTAGATGTGTGGTGTTATTTCTGAGGCCCGTGGTCTGTTCCATTGGTCTATCTCTCTGTTTTGGTACCAGTACCATGCTGTTTTGGTTACTGTAGCCTTGTAGTATAGTTTGAAATCAGGTAGTGTGATGCCTCCAGCTTTGTTCTTTTTGCTTAGTATTGTCTTGGCAATGCAGGTTTTTTTTTTTGGTTCCATATGAACTTTAAAGTAGTTTTTTCCAATTCTGTGAAGAAAGTCATTGGTAGCTTCTTGGGGATGGCATTGAATCTATAAATTACCTGGGGCAGTATGGCCATTTTCACAATATTGATTCTTCCTATTCATGAGCATGGAATGTTCTTCCATTTGTTTGTGTCCTCTTTTATTTTGTTGAGCAGTGGTTTGTTGTTCTCCTTGAAGAAGTCCTTCACATCCCTTGTAAGTTGGATTCCTAGATATTTTATTCTCATTGAAGCAATTGTGAATGGGAGTTCAATCATGATTTGACTCTCTGTTTGTCTGTTATTGGTGTATAGGAATGCTTGCGATTTTTACACATTGATTTTGTATCCTGAGGCTTTGCTGAAGTTGCTTATCAGCTTAAGGAGATTTGGGGCTGAGATGATGGGGTTTTCTAAATATGCAATCATGTCATCCGCAAACAGAGACAATTTGACTGCCTCTTTTCCTAAATGAATACTCTTTATTTCTTTCTCTTGCCTGATTGCCCTGGCCAGAACTTCCAATACTATGTTGAATAGCAGTGGTGAGAGAGGGCAACCTTGTCTTGTGCCAGTTTTCAAAGGGAATGCTTCCAGTTTTTGCCCATTCAGTATGATTTTGGCTGTGGGTTTGTCATAGATAGCTCTTATTATTTTGAGATACGTTCCATCAATACCTAGTTTATTCAGAGTTTTTAGCATGAAGTGCTGTTGAATTTTGTCAAAGGCCTTTTCTGCATCTATTGAGATAATCTTGTGGTTTTTGTCTTTGCTTCTGTTTATGTGATGGATTAGGTTTATTGATGTGCATATGTTGAACCAGCCTTGCATCCCAGGGATGAAGCCCACTTGATCATGGTGGATAAGCTTTTTGATGTGCTGCTGGATTTGGTTTCCCAGTATTTTATTGAGGATTTTCGCATCGATGTTCATCAGGGAAATTGGTCTAAAATTCTCTTTTTTTGTTGTGTCTCTGCCAGGCTTTAGTGTCAGGATGACAGCACACAGATTATTAACTGGAGTTTAATACTTCTTACAAATTTCATTTGGGGTAAAATTTGTATTAAACAAAATGCACAAATCTTAAGTATGCATTGTGTGACCCAATGTACAGATCTTTGTAATATAAACTGCTAACAAGATAGAACATTACCGTGACCCCAGAGAGTTCCTTCATGCCACTACCCAATCAATCCCCTCCCCTACTTCCCACAAGAAATCACTGTTTTAATTTTTTTCAATCATAGATTAGTTTTGCCTATTCTAGTTTTTGAGATTTAGTCTTGTTGCATGTATACATATTCGTAGCTCATTCCTTTTTATTGTTGGGTTGTATTCCATTTTATGAATATACCAGTTTGTCTTCCATTTTAATTATTATAACATCATGTATTCTTGAGTAAATAATCATTAGCATCAGATTGTATTTGTGAGAGATATTGCTACCCTATACTGGGATCTACCTTGCACAAAACAAATACACAACACACAGTTACTTTCTCTAGGATTTTAAGTCTTAAGATATTAATGGGGTCAGGTGTGGTGGCTCACGCCTGTAATCCCAGCACTTTGATAGGGTGAGGCGGGCAGATCACTTGAGTTCAGGAGCTCCAGACCAGCCTGGCCAACATGGTGAAACCCCATCTCTACTAAAATACACAAATTAGCTGGGCATGGTGGCACGTGCCTATAATCCCAGCTACTCAAGAGGCTGAGGCAGAAGAATTGCTTGAACCCAGGAAGCGGAGGTTGCAGTGAGCTGAGATTGTACCACTGCGCTCCAGCCTGAGTGGCAGAATGAGACTCCATCTCAATAAATAAATAAATAAATAAATAAATAGGAGTGATTTGTGGAATACGAACTCTAGAGACAACTGAAAGAACAGATGAGATAGAATACTTTTTTAATTTTTTATTATTACACTTTAAGTTCTAGGGTACATGTGCACAATGTGCAGGTTTGTTACATATGTATACATGTTCCATGTTGGTGTGCTGCACCCGTTAATTGGTCATTTACATTAGGTATATCTCCTAATGCTATCCCTCCCCCCTCCCCCCCACCCCACAACAAGCCCCGGTGTGTGATGTTCCCCACCCTGTGTCCAAGTGTTCTTGTTTAATTCCCACCTATGAGTGAGAACATGTGGTGTTTGGTTTTCTGTCCTTGCAATAGTTCGCTCAGAATGATGGTTTCGAGCTTCATCCATGTCCCTACAAAGGACATGAATTCATCCTTTTTTATGGCTGCATAGTATTCCATGGTGTGTATGTGCCACAATTTCTTAATCCAGTCTGAGATAGAATACTTTCAGTAGTGCTTTGAGTTTGTTTTTCAAGTAAACCTCTTCCCATGCCATGCGTCCTATTGTAATGATTGCTAATGATTCTAACATTGCTGTAACCATATTTTACCATAATTAACATTGTAGATATTTGCCTGCCCAATTAGCTGGAGGCTCCTTGATGGCAGAGACTGCCTCCTTGGTATCCCCAGCACACAGCACAGAACCTGGCACATAGTAAGTATTTAGTAAATGTTTCATGAAGTATTGAATGAATGATTAAAAAGCATTCATTGAATGACTTCTTTACTCAAACTTCTGCTTCAGTCCTTCTCTACATAATTTAGGCAATATTTTCTTACACCCGCTTATTTCTGGCTGTGGAATATCAAATGTCTTTCCAGTCATGTGTGCTTTGGTTTCTCACTAGACTAAAAACTAAAGGCAGGGTCAGGGATGTATCTTCTGTATCCCTCAGCAGAGAAGTGGTGTGAAGTCAATATCACCTAAATGCTGGTTTTAAAAAAGTTTATATTTAGAATGATAGAACTCCCAGAAGGTGCCAAGACCATAGAGTCCCAGCCCCTGGTTCTTCAAAAAGACCAGGAACATCGAGAGGACAAAAAATGTCCTATGTATTTGGGTCTTCAGGACCCAGTACATTGCCTGGCAGTAGTTGGCATTCAATAAATATTTAGCAGAAGAAACAAAAGAAGGAGAAAAGGAAGGAAGGAGGGGAGAAGAAGCTGGGAACTGAAGCTTAGAGTCATAAAATGATTTCCCCAAAACTTACATCAGAACCCAGACCTCTTCTTTCCTAGTCCAGCTCTGCTTCTGCTGGATTGTTTGAATTTTTAACATTACTAATGTCAAAAATGGCATCTCTTTTCCTTCTACTGATGGCAATTTAATCATGAAAGCAGTTGCTTTGCTTCATTGCAGCTGTTGCCTCCACGTACCTGAAATGCCAGTGCTCCAGCTGTCTTGATTGAGAGGCCTAGTTTGCAAGAAAACAAGACAAAATACTTTGCTGCCTTAATTCCAGTGGGAATTTAATTTAATTAGCATCTGATTTACACAATGCACTTCTGACAGCTGTGTTTGTGGAGTCTCTGTGGAAGCAAGAAATTACCATCCATTGAAATCATCATCAAAGCTTATTTATCATCCTGCCATGTCTTTCCAGCCTTCAGCCTTGGGAACTTCTGTGTGTTTATTGCACATTCATGAAGGTTACAGTAAATAATACTCAAGTAAGTGCATCAGGGTTTGTGGAGGGTTTGGTGCAGGCTTGTTCCAGAGCCTTAATAGGATGAATCTGAAAATGAGGCTTTGGAGATTTGATCAAAGGACAGGTGTCTTTTAATGTTGAGTTTTTAAGAAACATTAAGGATCTCAAATGAGAGAACACTTACCACCTGGACAAAAAGGACATTCAACAGTGGCATTTGGGGCTTGTGCCGTTACTGTTTGAACAGAGTAACTGTGAACTGTGAACTGGCTCAAGAAGATGTGAGTGATTTGGGATGGACCTGCAATGGGGCCTCTCCTGAAGGAGAGGACTAGGAACCGGACTAGGGCAACCAAGGGATTGATGGTAAGGTCTTAACCATGTTTATGTTCCCCAGTACCTAGCACATAATAAATAGTTGTTGAATGACTGAATGAATGAGATCAGAGATGATTGAACTGGCTGCAGTTTTTGTGCCTAGTCCAGTCATTCCCTATACCCCTGTGTTCAATAAATTTATTATCTGAAGAATGATTAGCATGACTTTATAGATCATCATAATACCAGGAGGGGGCACATTAGATGAGATAGGTACTAGCCAAGTACAGAGAGGGGAGAGCTCACATCTAAATAAGGGTGCAAGGGAAGGTTTCAAAGAAGAGGTCGCATTAGAGCTGGGTCTTGAGTGATACAAATGTTTTATTGGAGACAAGTGTTTTAATAAAAGATAAGGGGGAGGAATCTCAAGGACAGAAAATTATGTGAAAAGAGATGAAAAAGCATGAAATAAGATATCTTTAAGGAGCAGGGAGCTTGGCTTATAGAGATAAGAAAGGAAAGTTAGGCCTGGACATTGACTGACTTTGAAGAATTTAAAATTTTATTCTGTGACACTGTAGGACGTTTGAAAATATTTGAGAAGAGGAGTAATCTGATTAGATTCATGGTTTGCAAGAAAAACCTCTGGTGTGAAGGTAAAGAATAGACCGGCAGAGAGAAGGAGACTTTTCCTGTCTTTGCTAGAGAAATTTTCAGTGTTTCCACCAGCAAAACAACAATCAAAACACAGGTCCATCAGTAAAGCCCGGAAACAGGATTAGTGACATAGAAATGAGTTTCAGAGACACCATAAAGGATGAATTGTCAGGATTTAGCAATGGACAGATTGATGGCCAAGAGTCAAAGTGGCCCCTAAAGTACTGAAGTTTCCAGCTTGGCTGACAGCAAGAATAGTGACGCCATTAAAAGAGGAGAAAGTTTAAAGGAGATGCTGGTAAAATAAAAACTATTTTCTACTCTAGCACGTCATTCATACAACTGGCAAATGTCCACTTTCTTGGCACCATCCCAGCTTTATAGAATAAGAACATTAGAATTAAAAGGCACTTTATAGATTTTCTAGGTTAATGTTTCTCAAAGTAAGTTCCTCAGACTGCTACTTCTGGAAATCCTCCTTGCACAAGTGATTTTATGACCACATACATTGGGAAATATTGTATACTGTGTATTTTTGTTTTGTTTTGTTTTTTGAGACAGGGCTTCCCTTTGCCACCCAGGCTGGAGTGCAGTGGCAGGAACATGGCTCACGGAAGCCTGGAACTCCAGGGCTCAAGTGATTTTCCCACCTCGGCCTCCCAAGTGGCTGCGACTATCTGTCTTTTGGAGCTTAATGAGGCACATTAGTTTATTAATACCCTGAAAAACTCTGTGGCAATGATACTTTTTTGTTTTGTTTTGTTTAACCAAATTCCTCCAAAAAATTAAGTTTCTCAGATCCTCCTTTTTAATATAAAACTTATTTGGCTGCTGCAGTGGCTCATGCCTGTAATCCCAGCACTTTGGGAGGCCAAGTCAGGTGGATCACTTGAGCCCAGGAGTTCAAGACCAGCCTGGGCAACATGGCAAAATCTTGTCTCAAAAAAAAAATTAGAGGGGCATGGTGGCATGCACCTGTAGTCCCAACTACTTGGGAAGCTGAGGTGGGAGGATGGCTTAAGCCTAGGAGCTTGAGGCTGCAGTGAGCCATTTTTGTGCCACTGCCCTCCAGCCTGGGCAACAAAGCGAGGCCCTGTCTCAAAAAAACAAAACAAAACAAAACAAAAAAATTATTAATATTCAGAGGAACATACTTTAGGTAAAGCTAATTTAGTCCAAACTGCCTCATTTCATAAATTAGAAAACCAGACCCATGGATAGTAAATTTTTCTAACGTCGTGTAACTTTTTAGTAGCAGAGTCAGGACTAGAATCTAATTTTCATGACTTATTATCCAGAGTTCTTCCCACCTCTCTAGGTTTCTAATTGCTATGAAGATGATGATCGGTGTCTCTTTCCTAAACTACTATCAGCTGAAGGGTTTAAGACTCCATTTGCCCCATCCTGCCCTCTTCCCTCACTTCCACCCCAGACAAGAAGCTCTCTCAAACCCCGAAAGTTGGTGAAGAGCTTATTATATGGTGAAGAGTATATTATTATATATGTTTCCCACACAATGACATGTTTCTCCATAGATAGGGACTAAATTGAACCATTATAACTGTATAAACATGGGGTGGAGGGAGTGAATATAACATATTTTGTTTTCCATAAAATCACACCTCCTATGGGAATTAATGCAGAGAAGGGCATAGAAATAGTCTTTAGCACATGTTCTCATTGTCCAGTTTTCTATTTCTGGATATTATTGATAGGGGTTGAAGAGACCAAAGGAGATAAGGTAACACTGATGTGCCATTGGTATAGAGCTTTGATTAATGCTTTCACATACAGGATCTCAATTAATTCTCACCTTTTGTAGGGATGCTGGCTTTTATTATCCTCATTTTGAGGACAAGTCTGAAACTTGGCCTGAGTATGGCCCCCCAGCTAATGACTAGAGACCCTGGAGTTAAAATCTAGGCTTCCTGGCTCTTGAATACTCACTATGCTTTTCCTTTAATCTCCAAGTTCCCTTCTCAGATTCCAGGCATTCACGTTCTGCCTCTTGTGGGAACTGCTGGGCCTGTCTTTTATCCACTCGCTGTCCCACAGCCAGCTGGATGGAAAGGTTTTAGTTCTCAGTTACGCAGTTCTACGTGATTGCCATTAATCTGTAGAAAGAGTGAACACAGGCCCAGGTACTTCTTTGTAAATATTAAGATGTTAAACGTCATTTGAAAGGTTTTTGTGCAAGAATGTGAGAGTGTAAGCATGTTTAAATCTGGACTGTGTGAACTAAGATGAAGCAGAGAAGACAGCTGTCCTGCACACCGCATGATGGTAATATTGGCCAACTGGCCCACGTGATAGTTAACTAAATATGGTAGTCGTAACTTCCTAAATGCATGTTGGGTAACAGCTTTATCAGTCAGAGTTCTCTAGAGAAACAGAATCAAGGAGATTTATTTCAAGGGATTGGCTTACATCCTTATGGGGGCTGGCAAGTCTGAAATCTGTAGGGCACGCCAGCGGGCTGGAAACTCATGTAAAACTTGAAGCTGTAGGGGTTCTTTTTGGTTTGTTTTTGTTTTTGTTGAGACAGGGTTTTGTTCTATCACCCTGGCTGAAACGCAGTGGCACCACCATGGTTCACTGCAGCCTGAATCTCTTGGGCTCCAATAATCCTCCCGCCTCAGCCTCCCGAGTAGCTGGGACTAACAGATTCATGCTACCACGCCAGGCTAATTTCTGACTGTAGAGATGGGGTCTTGCTGTGTTGCACAGGCTAGTCTCGAACTCCTGGGCTCAACCAATCCTCCTGCCTTGACTTCCCAAAGTACTGAGATTACAGGCATGAACTATCATGCCCGGCTGATGATATAGTCTTGAGGCAGAATTTCTTTCTCTTCAGGGTTTTGCTCTTAAAGGACTTCAACTACCTGGATGGGGCCCCACCCATATTATCTAGCATCGTCTCCTTTACTTAAAGTCAACTGATTGTAGATGTTAACTATGAAATACCTCTATAGCAACACCTAGCTTAATATTTCATTAAGTAACTGGATACTAGAGCCTAGCCAAGTTGACATATGAAACTAGCCATCACATCAGCCAATGAGGCAAAAGTTGATATTTTGATCAGTTCCTTAAAATTGGCATTAATAATTTTATATACAAAGTTTCAAGAACTACCTTCTTACAATTTGAAGAGAAAGAAGTAGGTTTTCCCACCATCACCACATTCTTGGGAGCTGTCTTGCTCTTGGGGTCATCTTACTCTTGGGGTCATCTTGCTCTGTCACTGAAACAAATTTTTTCCCCAAGACACCAAAGACCATCATAAAATGCTTACCTTGGGACACGTTTTCTACAGAAATTCACTCAATTCTGAAGAGAATTTTGTTTCTGCCACTTTGTCCTGATTTATACAGCCAGTCAAGCCTGAGGGCAGGCTTGAAGATGACAGATTAAGTAAATGTTCCAGGAAAATAATATCCACTTCCTTTTGAGTAATTTGTTGGGGGCCCTTCATTTTCTTTTTCCCAGTAAAAATACTTCCCACCCAAATTAAACTCAGATTGATAGAACCATGACACTCCCCTCTGGTTCCCAACTTAAATGAAAACTTACAGAGAAGATTTTCCCTAAAGAGCTTTCAACACTTTTGCCTAAAAAGCTGACCATTGTGTTTCCCGGCTCTTGGCAAACCTATATAAGATACCTGAGAATGAAAATGATTCAAGGTGTACTTGGCTTCATTTTGCTGTAGGTAGAGGAAATAATTATATCTTGCATTTGGAAGTGGTGTAATTTGGCAGAGGATAGAAACATTTACAGATAATTGAAGGACCACCTCACCAACAAAGATGAAAAAGACCCAAACAATTCTTGGCAGGACTGCCCAGTCAGGGAAAGACATTTGAATTTTGTATGTATGAAGATAAAGGGGGGTAAGATTGTCTGTGTGCATTTGCTAAAGAGCTTCTTTGATCACTTGAGACTCCCTGAATTTCCACTCTGAAGGTAAAGGTTTATATGAATCCATCATTAGAAAGAGAAATAATAAAATTAACTTTCATTTACCTGCATTACGCACAATGAAGTATGGTCATAATAAATAACTAAAAACATCAAGAACCAGATAATTATTCAAATTTGGTTTATTAATTCAAAGACTTTCTGCTACATAATTTGTTTAATCGGGGATATTTTTGGCCTGGCAGGAGTCTAGGGCTTACATGTTGCTGGAAGGGGAAGTGAGTTACTCCTTTCCCAATATATCATTGAATCTTGGAAGCTGCCAGATAGAGCAGGGCAATATGTTTTCTCCACATTTTGTTTAGCATCCATGAATTTGCAAAGGGCAGAAATGCCTCCTGGGAGGAAAAGGACTAGGACTGCAACATCTTCTCTCAGGTTCAAGGAGAGAAAAATGAGTTAAGATGGGCTGGGATGACACTGACCAAGGCCAGACAGCATGGAAAGATAATAAAGGCTCAAGAGGAAACCTACTATAAAAGAGGGAGAGTCTGGACCCCTGACAAGTGCTATACCAGTGTCCGGATTGTAGGTGAAGAGCATTGGTTCTGATTATAGAGTATGGCCAATGGTGGAACCCCTTCTGGTATGGTTGTCCGCACCCAAATCTCATGTTCAGTTGTAATCCCCAATGTTGGAGATGTGGCCTGGTGGGAGGTGATTGGATCATGCAGGAGGTTTCTGGTGGTTTAGCACCATCCCGGTAGTGCTGTTTTCATGACAGAGTTCTTATGGGATCTGGTTGTTTAAAAGTGTGTAGCACCTTCCCCCTCTCTCTTCCTCCTGCTCCTGCCATGTGAAGTGCCAGCTTCCCTTTTGCCTTCCACCATGATTGACGCCAAGCAGATGCTGCCATGCTTTCTGTACAGCCTATGGAACCATGAGCCAATTAAACCTCTTTTCTTTATAAATTACCCAATCTCAGGTATTTCTTAATAGCAGTGCGAGAATGAACTATATACCTTCCTACTGAGTCAACTTGACATTATGATTGTGCTTTGAGGAAAATGGTTATGGATATCTGAGTAAAATATTTTATCGCTAAAAAGCTGTACTTTCTGGGTACCTAAACTTTTTCACTTTGGGATGCTCATGACTAATATTTCGTAGAAGTGTTTTTCCTGGTACAATGAAAATCCCTTTGGGTGACTCAGCAGGTGGCAAATATGGGAATTGGCAGTGATGGCAAATAAAACAGCCAGATTCAACTTGCAGGCAATGGTTGCCTAGTTAGGCCCCCACACAGCGCAGTAAGGCAGGAAGCTTATCTGATACAGCTCAGTGAGTTCCATCTAGCCTTGAGGGAGTAAGGTAAAATTCCTGTACTCCTTCTGGGTGCATTATAGTTCTTGGATGAGTTTATCCTCAGAAGTCCTTAGGAATATTTAGGAATAAAAAATGAAGTAGTTATCCATTCCACTATAAGAAATTACCATAACATTTAGTAGCTTAAAACAATAAACATTTATCTCATATTCTCAATGAGTCAGGAATCCAGGAGTGGCTTAGCTGGGAGGTTCTGGCTCGGCATCTCTCATGAGGTTGCACGCAAGCTGTTGCCTGGAGCTGCAATCCTCTGCAGGCTGGAGGAAGGCGGTCTTCCAAGCACACTCACGTGGTTGTAGGCAGGCCTCAAGTTCCTCAAAGGTTGTTCGCTGGAGATGAAAGTTTCTTAGCACAATGAGCTCTCCAAGTCTTAATCAGTTCAGGCTGCCATAACAGAATACTGTAGACTAGGTAGTTTGTAAACAACAGAAATTTATTTGTCACGGCTCTGGAGACTGGAAATCTGAGATGAGGACGTCAGCATCGTCAGGTTCTGGTGAGGGCACACTTCTGGGATGCAGACTGCTGACTTCTCATCGTATCCTTACATGCTGAAAGAGAGCCAGTTAGCTCTCTGGCCATTTCTTTTTTTTTTTTTTTTTTTTTTTTTGAGACAGTCTTGCTCTGTCGCCCAGGCTGGAGTGCAGTGGTGTGATCTTGGCTTACTGCAAGCTCAGCCTCCTGGGTTCACGCCATTCTCCTGCCTCAGCCTCCCGAGTAGCTGGGACTACAGGCACCCGCCACCATGCCCAGCTAATTTTTTGTATTTTTAGTAGAGACGGGGTTTCACCGTATTAGCCAGGATGGTCTCAATCTCCTGACCTCATGATCTGCCCACCTCGCCCTCCCAAAGTGCTGAGATTACAGGCATGAGCCACTGCACCAGGCCATTCTGAGAGGGTACTAATCTCATTCATGGGGGCTGCACCTTCATGACCTAATTACCTCCCAAAAGCCCCACCTCCAAAATCATCACAATGGGATTAGGGTTTCAACATATGAATTTGTGGGGGAACATATTCAGTCTGCTGCACTGGCTGAGTGTCCTCATAACATGGCAGATGGCTTCCTTCAGAATGAATGATCCAAGAGAAAAGTAGTGAGAAAGATCAAGACAGAAGCCAAAGTATCTTTTATAACAATCTCTGGAGTGGCATATCATTAATTCTGCCATATTCTCTTGGTTACATAAATCACCCTGGTACAGTGTGAGAAGGAACTACACAAGGTATGAATAGCAGGAGGTGGAGATCGTTGAGGACCATCTGAGAGGCTGACCATACAAAGACTGAATGTCCTAATCATTTAGCTATTGGGAATTCAAGGCTAACAGGAAAGTAGAGATTTCTGTCTTCTTTGTTAATAGTACCTAAAACAAACAAACAAACAAACAAACAAACTGGCACATAGTAGATGTCCAATTAATATTAAATAAATGAATTAATTTTAATATTAAAGAAACTGTGGACTTATCCTGCAGGAATAGCCTGATAAGATCTGGGTATTGGGTTCCATTTGTCTTCTTTATTATATTTTGCTCAAGATTCAATTGATTTGCATATGGTCACTGACCATAAGAGAATCTTTTCTTTTAGTGAAAAAGAAAATTAAATTGAGAGTATAACATTTGCTAGATAAAAATCCACTTCTTCAATTCAAATATCACACTTTGTTTTGCCTAGTTCTTTTTTTTTTTTTTTTTTTTTTGAGTTTAGGAGCAGAGGTTTAATGGGCAAAAGAAAGAGAAAGGAGAGCAGCCCTCTTTCTCTTGTGAGAGAGAGGGGTGTCTGAAAGGGAAAAGCCCACCTAGTTCCTTAGAATCATCAATAAGTGGATATTCAAGAGGTGAATAATTTTTTAGAAAATGGAAAAGTCAAAAACAGTCCATTCCTAGGGCTATTCTGAAGCAAAATAGTAAGTAAATCAGGTATAGATTGTTAGTATGATCAGACACCTAAGACTGAAGTAACCAATGCTTAACTGATAGACCTGGTCACTTCTGCAATATGATAAAACCTTCAGATTTACTTCACCTTGAAACTGGACTAACAGAACATGTCAGATGAAGACCTAAGACTGACTCTTCAGTGGGGACAAGCCGTTCAGAATCCATGAAACCGGGATTCTCATTCAATATTATAATAGTCAGGGTTCTCCAGTGAAGCAGAACCAATAGCATAGATTTATAGAGACATAGGTAGATAGACAGATAATTGGATAGATAGATACAATGAGATTTATTATGAGGAACTGAATTTATTGTGATTATGGTGGTTGAGAAGTCCCACAATCTGCCATTCACCAACTGGAGACCCAGGAAAGCCAGTGATGTAAATCAGTTTGAGTTCAAAGACCTAAGAATGAGAGAAGCCAAGGTAGTAAATCCCAGTCCATGGGCAGGAGAAGATGAAATGAGATGAGATATCCAAGCTCAAGCAATAAGGCAGAAAAAAGGAGCAAATTCTTCCCTCCTTGGCCTTTTGTTTCATTCAAGCCCTCAGTGGATTGGATGGTGCTCATCCACATTGGGAAGGCAATCCATTTACTGAGTCCAACAATTCAAATGCTAATGTCATCCAGAAATATCCTCACAGATACACCCAGAAGTAATGTTTAATTTGGGCATCCTGTGGCCCAGTCAAGTTGACACATAGAATTAACCATCATAAATATTAATAATTGTAATTGATACTATGACTTAAGCACCTTATTAGAGCCACAGCTTTACGTGCTTTTCCTCAATTTTAACATGAAACAGTCATGGGATACCTACCTAGCTCACTGCAATTTCCTTTTCCTGAGAACCATCTTAACCCAGAAATAGGTCCCATAACCATGTTGCTACTACAAGGCTCCATCTCCCTGGCCACAATTAATTGAATTAGAGAGTGATACTTGACAAAAAGGAGCAAAACAGATTCTATCCACACTATGCTTTGAAATGGGGACGAAAGACTAGTATATCAGTCACTTGAACAGAAGAATTATCAAGAGCTATAGAGTGGGCATCTTCCTCATGGGCAAGAAAGATGAGAGATGGACAGACAGTACCTGTTGGGTGCTTGCTTGTCACACTGTTTAGATCCTATTGAGACTAATCTCCCTTTGGTGTCCATTTGATAACTCAGTGTACTTTCCACAAAATTCTTTTTTGTTGCATAAAGCTGGTTCAAATTATATTTGCTTCCTGTCTCAAACCTGTTTTATAGATGAGAACATTGAGAAGTTGAGTAATTTGCACAGAGCTACTGGGTTACAAAGAGGCAGGAGAGCTGAGATTAAATCAATATCATATTGATCCTTGAGCCTACCATTTATCTCCTATGCCATTAGAAGAAAGTGTTTCCTTTTCTCAGCTATCTTAGGAGGCTCAGACACCCATAAAATTAATTATAGCCATGTGATTTTCTTTGGTGAACGAAACATACACAGAGGTGACATGATTCATTTTTAGTGGAGATATTGATTGCCACTGCTTAACTCTCCATGCTGTTCCTTTTCCAGCAACCCCGAGAGCACATCACAGTATGGAGAAAACATAAGATCAAAGAAGCATGCAACACTGAGCTATCACACGGAGAACACCTGTCTGGGAAGCCACCTAAACTGACAGTGGACTTCTCAAGAGAAAGAAATAAACTTTCTTGTTTTAGGACACTGAGATTTTGGAGGTGTCTGTGCAGCATAATCTATCCTATCCTACTATATTCAACTCACAACTCCTTATGCTCCAGGCCTACTTCTGTCTTTGATTTCATATTAAATTAATTCCAACTTCCTCTTCTCTTAGAGCTATAATTTCAGTTATATATGGCTGCATAACAAACCACTCCAAAGCTTAAAACAACAATAAATTATTATTTCTCATAATTCTGTATAACAATAACAAGCAAAGTCAAGTCACCCATATTTTACAAAGTAGACTGGAGCTCAGAAATCTAGACATCTCAAATCACACAACTAGTAAATGGGAGAAGTGAAACTGGAACTCATGTCTTACTACTGCAGGCCCTGTGTTTTTCATTTTTTTTTTTTTTGGTTTGTTTTTTGCTATTAATGTATCACAGTTACTTTGGCCAGCACACCCTGTGTTATCTAACAATGATTTCCATGTTCGATCTTTCCAGGTTTTGAAAATTTCTTGACAAATAAATAAGAAAATAATCCATTAATATTTTTTTCTAGAGCTTATATTATTTATCAATTGTTTTAATTTGGAGGGATGTACCTAATTCTTAAAGATCTTGATAATGATCTTGTAACACAGTTATTAGCAATGTTTACTTATTGTAAAACAATCCCCAACTACGCCAGGATGGTTGTTGGAAGTACACACTATATCAAATCCTGAAAGGGGATTTATTTAGACTTTGCGGTGCCCAAATTTTCTTCTGAGGAATAGAGCTTCTTTACTGTACCCTCGTCCCATGACAGAGGATTTCAGCCAAAAACTCCCAGTCCCAAAGTTCCTTAAGGCATTTATGCTACTGTGCAAATGTCAGTACTCATGGGACTTGTATCACAGGGGTGGAGTTGAGGTGGGGTGGCTTGAATATAGAAATTATTCTGAGAAAGTGTCCAAAATTACTCTCATTATTGCTTGTAATTCCTGGATGCTTGAGACTAAGTCACACAGAGATTAGGATCAGATCTGGCTCAGAAGTGCTACCTCTGGTGTTGTTGCCATGGTAATCAATGGCCAAGGAACAGATCCAGGGAAACTGCAGTCTTTGCTGCCATCATGAGCTAGGATCTGCCACCAGACCCTCCCTGGATGAGGTGCTTCACTGAGGAATGGCCTCTGTCACATCCTGTTGTATGGTTCCATACTCTTGGACCCCAGCCTCCAAGTGACACTTTTCATTAGGAACCTCAGCTGCCTGGGCCTTTGATCCTCTCCTTTCACTTTTGTTGTCACTTTTCTGTTTTGGAGAGAAATAAGGAAATGTTTAACTGTACAAACAAAGACCTCTGAACTCCCCCTCTTGTATATAATGCCCATGTAAGAAGCTTCTACTTTAAGCAATCTGAGCCTTCTCACCCAACTACCTTCTTCTACAACACAGCTCATGACATCCTAACTTCGCAGGAGTGAGGCAAATGTGAAGAAGTGTCCCTGGGTGAACAGAACTAGAAAAATAAGTCAGTCTGACTATGGGAGCTTGGTGAAATTATAGTACATATGACCAGGTGGGAAAAATACTTCTCTATACTGGCCTAAATTTGGAGCAACCAATATTCCCATCTCAGGCCCCTTGTTTCCATCAGAGTGTCACATACCTTGTTTTGTATCCTATAGAACTCGTTTAACACATACTGATATTTGGGTTGAGTAAGACCAAAGAAGACAGCAAATCTTCCACCAAGGAATTCACATGCTAAAAGAAAGAACGAGCACTTGCGTAAACTGAATTACTAACTAAAGCTTCGCATCAGTTGAGATGCCCAGAGTTTAAACTATTCTGATAGTATAGTAATAGTGGTCTATTACTATACTTAACTTCAAGGCTGACAAAACATTTCAATTGCCTTGGCCTCTCAAAAATTCTAGGATTCAAAGGAAATTTGTCAAATCTTCTATCTTTATATGGGATTATATATAAACTATTTTTTCCAGATGTATATATCAGGAGAGATTTTCAATATACTTTAACAACAGGTATAGCATGGGTCCTGAGCAATCAGAACAGGTATTGTTCATTATCCCCATGCATACCGGCTAAACATCTGCTCCAAGTATATTTCAAATTAAACCCAAACTCAATCCAGTGTTACCAAGACCCACATCAGGAATTCTTCCATGCATCCAGACAGACTTCTCAGAAGTTGTTTAAGGCCTTCCTTTTCTGCCTTCAGTAGCAAGGTGGCCTGCAGGCTCAGCACTGGGATTGTTAGAGTCAGGGATAAAGGCATAGCATGAATAATGAGTGGTTTCCTAAAGAAGTCTCCTAGAAAAGTTTTCCTTTACAATTAGAGGATTTCCGACAGCCTTCTCTTACCCCTGAATTATAGGACTTTCTGATTCCTCTGACTCATTCTACCTCTTGGGATATTGCTCATATAGGGCATCAAAATGATGCTGTTTTTAAATATGTCTTATCTTTTCATTAATATGCTATCTCTTTGTCCTGTTTATTTGCTGCACTGCCTAGTACATGTGTAGAAGATAACTTTTTAAAAAAATATTAAAATAAATCTTAGGAAGCTTTCCTGTTTATGACCTACTAGAATTTTAAATTGAAAAAATTAATTACCTGTGTCGTCTGAGTTCCAACTCCATTCAAACAAAATCTCTGTGTAGACAGACCACAGCACTGACTGCTAGCATCTTTATGCCTCCACTACAATCTTGAAGCCCCAGTCAGGAGCATTTTACCACTGCAGTTCTGTTTGGCACTCACAAGGAAGCTAGGCTCACCATACATCCTATCCCTGCAATCTCAAATCAAAACCCAACATGCAAATCATTCTTCTTCTCCATACTCTCAATCCCATATTGAGTTTTGCTTCTTTTACCTGACCTAATCTTCTCCAATTCCCTCCCTCTAAAACATATCTTTTCAAACCCTTTTGCCTTAACCGAAGTGTAGAGAGCTTTCTGGAAGACAGCATTTTTTTTTCTGTTAACTTATTGTGGTCAGGGTAGGGTTGGTATTCACGGGATTTTCAACGTAACTTCCAAATCACTAACCCTCTGCACTTGTGTAAAAGCACTTATTTCTTGAAGGTTCATACCATCTGCCTAAATCACCCCATCTTTACTTTTTACTGTAATCTAAAGATTCCCTGGTCACTTTCATGGTCCTCAAGCTAGCCTTAGCCAGCCACACTTTCATAGCTCTCTTAAGGGGTCTCCCCCACATGTCAGCATGCCCGAGTCTTCCAGGTCAGAGCCCCTATACACTTTCTACCCTGGCAACTGTGACAACAAATTATAATTACGAGCATGTTTGCTGGTCTATATGACTCACTGAATATTGAGTCCCTTGAAAGCAGAGACTTGTCATTCATCTTTGTGTCCCAGGGTCCAGCACAGTGCTGAGCATATAGTAGACACTTACTAATGTTTTTTAAATGAATGAATGAAGATCAATTTCTAAGAGCTATTAATACAATTTCTATTTTCTCAGACTCTTAGTTTGCCTTCCTATCATATTCACAAGATGTGCAAGTTAGAAGGAAATGAGTAATTAGATGTTGTCAACTATGTCTTAAAAAAATTGATGAAAGTCAAGCAAAATAAGATTTAGTATTTTAGTTGTTATAAGTATTCACTTAGCCCATTCATTATGCCCCCAGGAGGGATCGATAAAGTTCATGTTTATAATAAAGCAGTTATGATGAGGGAAGTTAGAAACTTAGAACTGTGTCATACAACAATCATTGTTTTTTTAACTTGGAAGTTTATTCAGAAGAAGAGTCAACTCAGGGAGGACTGATTATTGCCCTCAAATATTGCCCTCTGTCCTATGAAAGAGGCATCTATAGCAGTTTTGTATGGTTAAGAAAGATAAGTAGGAACTTTAGAAGTAGATAAAATTTGGGCCGAGATAAGAATTTCCTGATGAGAGTTGGTAAAAGATGAAGGGTCTGCCTGAGGATGCGAAGTTCTGTGCCTTTGGGAATGAAAGCTTAGCCCAGATCTCACTTATTCAGGATGCGATGGAGTGGCTTACACAATTGGAAGTCCCACATACTCTGAGGGCCTATCGATATATATATTTGTTTAGGATAGAAAAAAATAACCTTAGCAGTACTTACTAGAAAATGAGGTGCTTGCTATTCGTCCTGCCCAAAATCGTAGGTAGGGCCCCCAGGAAAGTTTAGACTGAAAAAAGGAGAAATTGAGATAGAGTAGTTAATAAGAGGAATGGTGACTGCAGATTTGTTTTAATGTAGAGATTTCAAAATGCTCTATATAATATGTTCCATTTTCTCTCTCACAGATGAAGAGACCAAGATGATTAAAATTGTAAGTTGCCTATGCATGGATTTAGAAAGCAAAAAAGGAGACCAAGGACTTAGCTTAAAGCTATTCTTTCTATAAACCTTGTCTGGCTCAATCTCTTGTTCATTCACCGCCTCCCCCACCATGTTCCCTAATATTGATATACTAAGCTTACAGGGTCAAGTGTTGAATTTGTGCTCTGCTCCTCCTTTTCCTCTTCCTCCTCCTCCTCTGTGCTATATTCTTCCATGATGTCTCCGTCAACAAAATGGATAATCCTTTTAGGAGTAGTCTTTTTGGAAGGTACACTCTTCTCTAGGTCTAACTGCTGGAAACCGTCAATCTCCATAATGAAACAAAACAACTAGAAAATTAAAAACAGGGCACCTTAGGGCAAGTTACCCAGAGCTGAGAGTTATCTAGTTATTTTCAATGGATAGTAAAGACAGAGAACTCAGAGGTAATCACACCTGTGACCTCATCGATTCCTCAAATCCAAAAAAGGACTGTTCTATTCTGTACCAAAATGGAAGAGATTTGATAAATAGCGAAAACGTGAACTTACAGTCTTCAAACAAAAGTGTCAACAGGGTTTTCTTACCTTTTGTTAACGTTAAAACACACAATTGCTAGTAGGAAGGGGTCACTATCCTGCAGACGTTTCTCAATTATTTCAATAAATATTGAGAAGCAATGAAGGAAATGGTTAAGAGTACAGACTTCACACAGACAGGAGAAAACATGTGCAAAGTATATATTTGGTAAAGGACTTATTTTCAGAACATGTAAAGAGCGATTACAATTCAACAGGTAAAAGGCAAATAACTCAATTAAAATATGGGCAAAATATTTGAGTAGAGATTTTACCAAAGATATACAGATGACGAATGTCATTAGTCATTTGGGAAATGCAAATTAAAATCATAATGAGATATCAT
This sequence comes from Homo sapiens, assembly GCF_000001405.40. Taxonomy (NCBI): domain Eukaryota; kingdom Metazoa; phylum Chordata; class Mammalia; order Primates; family Hominidae; genus Homo; species Homo sapiens. The sequence goes on along the minus strand of NC_000001.11, from coordinate 222,745,956 downwards.
AACATACCCACTGTAATGGCTAATTTTCTTTCTTTTTTTTGAAACAGACTTTTTTGCTCTTGTTGCCCAGGCTGGAGTGCAATGGCGTGATCTCGGCTCACCGCAACCTCTGCCTCCTGGGTTCAAGTGATTCTCTTGCCTCTGCCTCCTGAGTAGCTGGGATTACAGGCACCGCCTGGATAATTTTTTGTATTTTTAGTAGAGACAGGGTTTCACCATGTTGGTCAGGCTGGTCTCAAACTCCTGATGTCGAGTAATCCACCCACCTTGGCCTTCCAAAGTGCTGGGATTATAGGCATGAGCCACTGTGCGCAGCCTAAAATTTTTTTGGGGGGCTGCAGAGACAGAGTCTTTCTCTGTCACCCAGGCTGGAGTGCAGTGGTGCAATCATGGCTCACTGCAGCCCTTACCTCCCAGGCTTAAGCAATCTTCCCGCCTCAACCACCTGAGTAGCTGGCACCACAGGTGCGTGCCACCAAGCCTGGCTAATTAAAAAAAATTTTTTTTTATAGAGATGGGGTCTCACTATGTTACCTAGGCTGGTCTTGAACTCCTGAGCTCAAAAGATCCTCCCACCTTGGCCTCCCAAAGTGCTGAGATTACAGATGTGAGCCACTATGCCTGGTCTCTTAAAAGTTAAACATAAAATCTTGTAATTTCACACCTAGATGTTTATCCAAGAGAAATGAAAGCGTATGTCTCCCTAAAGATTTGTATGGGAATATTCGTAGCAGTTTTATTTGTGAACACTCCAAACTGGAGTCAACTCAATGTCCATCCACTGACGATGGATAAACAAAATGTGGTCCATATATTTAATAGAATACTCCTCAGCAATTAAAAGTAATAAACAATGAATATTTGTAACACTGTGACTCTCAAATGTATTATGCTAAGCAAAAGAAGCCAGACACTGCATCGTATATAATTCCATTTATGTAGAAATTTAGAAAAGGCAAAATTATAGTAGAAAACAGATCACTGTTTGCTAGAGGAGAGTGGGTAGGGGTTAAGATTAACTATAAAGTGACAAAGGGAGCTTTTTGGGGTGACGGAAGTGTTCTAATAGATATCATGATCATAATGTCGGTTACTTGACTGTATAATTTGTCAAAATGAATCAAATTCTACACTTAAAATTAGTTCATTTTATTGTATTTAAGGTATATCTTAATAAAGCTGGAAAGCTTTGGAGATAGACTTCCTGGATTTAAAATCCTATTATTTAATATCCCAGTGTCTTGGTTTTCTCATTTATAAAATAATAGTATGAAATGATATAGTGCCAACCTTATAAAATTGTAATGAAGAGTAAATGAGTAAAGACACATAAAGAAGTTAGAACAATTCTTAGCAAATGGTGTTTAATAAAAGCTGGCTATTATTAAGTACCTATAATTTACTTAGCAGTGTATATGTCAGGCAGTATTCCAATGTTGTAAGGATACGTACACATGTATTTTTGCCTTTTTTTTTTTTTTTTTGAGATGGAGTTTCACTCTTGTTGCCCAGGCTGAAGTGCAATGGCACAATCTCGGCTCACTGCAACCTCTGTCTCCCAGATTCAAGCGATTCTCCTGCCTCAGCCTCCTGAATAGCTGGGACTACAGGCACCCACCACCACCCCCGGCTAACTTTTTGTATTTTTACTAGAGACGGGGTTTCACCATGTTGGCCAGGCTGATCTCGAACTCCTGATCTCAGGTGATCCACCCGCCTCGGCCTCCCAAAGTGCTGGGATTACAGGCGTGAGCCACCATGCCTGGCCTCATATTGTTTTAATTAAGATTTAAGATACTTTAAAATTATATCAACCAATATGGCTGAATGATGTAGAATAATTCTTCCTATTCCAGACACACAGAAATGCTGGATGAAATTAAATGAAAACATTAAATCATAAGTACACTAAGGAAGCAGAAAAAAGAGAGAGACCTAGGGATAGAGATGAGAGAGAGAGGGGCAGGGGGTTGAAAGCAAGTCAGCCAGCCTAGATGTCAGAATAAGAGAAAGAACAAAACTATAAGTATGAGCTGAAGCCGAGATGGTTGCTGGGGGGTTCAGAACCAGATATAGGCCTTGGAGCTGGAGTTTTATTACCAATAGAGAGAAGAGAGTCCAAATCTCAGATCCCATGAGTGTGGAGAGCTGAAATGAAGCCACCTGCATAAAACTAAGGTAATAAAATACTATCTTATCTATAAAATATGGACAGGAAAATCTACCCCCAGCTTGCAAAAGTAGCAAAGTAATTTGCTATCTCCTAGCAACAAGGGTAGAAATAGTCACCTAAAAAATATTGGAAACCCCCGCCAGTACCACATGCTGGTGTGTGGCCCAAATTCATAGTCCTCATATGCTGTGAAAACCTAAGATGAAGCTGAGTGAAATAAAGGCAGTGTAATCCACTGAACTCTGTCAGACGCCAAGTACAAAGTCACCTTGGAGGAATAATTCAACAAGACAGGGTATACTGAATCTCCACTAAAAACAATTCATGGCCGGGTGTGGTGGCTCACGCCTGTAATCCCAGAACTTTGGGAGGGCAAGGCGGGTGGATCGCATGAGGTCAGGAGTTCCAGACCAGCCTGGCCAACATGGTGAAACCCTGTCTCCACAAAAAAAAAAACAAAACACAAAAATTAGCCAGGCATGGTGGCAAGAGCCTATAATCCCAGCTACTTGGGAAGCTGAGGCACTAGAATTGTTTGATCCCAGGAGGTGGAGGTTGCAGTGAGCCGAGATCATGCCATTGCACTCCAGCCTGGGCGGCAGAGTGAGACACTGTCTCAAAAAACAAAAACAAAAACAAAAACAAAGCCAACAAATGCCTGCTGAGGATGTGCTTATTGTAAAAACTTACAAACTACATGAAGAAATTAGGCATCTGGAGGAAGGTTCAGCTGATGAGAAAACTGGGAGAGTCCTCACCTGAGAATTAGGAATGATAGGACAACAGGAAACATTAAAATTAGTGTGCTTAACATTAGGTTGGTGCAAAAGGAATTCCATTTTTTGCCATTAAAAGTCATGGAAAAACCGCAATTACTTTTGCCCCAAACTAATATATTCAAAAAGATAAAAGAAGCAAAATACAATATCCCGAAAGAAGACTGACTTGGAAAAGAACAAATTGCAGAAAAAAAAAATATCGTCGCATAGTCGTAGGTTGGATATTGATTAAGCATACGAAGAAATCTGAGAAAAGCTCTCACAATATAGTATAATTTTTTTTCTTTTGATGGTTGACAGATTCTTTTATTAACAGTCAAAAACTTCACACAATTGGAAAATAAATGTTTCTTCAATGAATAATCAAACAAAAATTATCCAGGACCTTATAGGATTTTCAGTATGTACCAGGCTTGATGCACATCTTAGAAGACAGGACATTATCTTGCTGGGATCATTAGGTTATGACTGAAAATGAGAAACAGTAATTTTTAAAACATTTACCTAATAATAGCTTTCCCAAACAGTAGTTCCCCTGAAATTAAAATAGGAAATACAATTTATGTTTATGTGTGGTTTTAGATATGACTCAATGTACATCAATTTTAACTTTATGGTTTGGTATTACTTTTTAAAAGGCGGTCAATAGAAATTCAAATCTCACTTTAAGACCATGAATTTCAAGTTGCAATGAAGTGTACAATAAAGTTGTAATTTCTCAACATCAAAGTTTAATTATTACGAAATAGTTCAAGCAACAGACAATACAGTATAATTTATGTTGGAGTGTGGGGTGAGAAAAAAAGAGATATATATTTAATATGAAAGAAAAGTTAGGTGATATAAAGGATAGATGAGAAAGTTCAGTACGTCTAATAGTAGTTTCAGAAGTGAATACAGGCCGGGCGCTGTGGCTCACACCTATAATCCTAGCAGTTACAGAGGTTGAGGTGAGAGGCTGACTTGAGGCCATGAGTTTTAAACCAGCCTGGGGAACACTGTGAGACCTTGTCTCTATGAAAGAAGAAAAGAAAGAAAGAAAGAAGGAAGGAAAGAAAGAAAGAAAGAAAGAAAGAGAGAGAGAGAGAGAGAGAGAGAGGGAGGGAGGGAGGGAGGGAAGGAAGGAAGAAAGAAAGAAAGAAGAAAGGAAGGAAGGAAGGAAAAAAGAAAGAAAGAAAAAAGAAAGAAAGAAGAAAGAAAGAGAGAAAGAAAGAAAGAAAAAGAAAGAAAGGAAGAAAGAAAAAGAAAGAAAGAAAGGAGGGAGGGAGGGAGGGAGGGAAGGAAGGAAGGAAGGAAGGAAAAGAGAGAGTTGAGCAAGGTGGTGCATGCCTGTTGTTCCAGCTACTTGGGAGACTGAGCTGACAGACTTGCTTGAGTCTGGGAGTTTGAGGTGAGGTTGCAATGAGCAGCGATTGTGCCACTGCACTCTAGCCTGGGCGACAGAGAAGATGCCATCTCAAAAAAAAAAAAATAGAGAATTCAATATCCAGCTAAACAATAAGTGGGAGTAATGTAATGATATATTCAGACCTACAAAAACTGAGCATTAACCATTCCTGCATCTTTATTGAAAGATTAATAATAGGAAATTCTATGTCAAGAAGAAGAAAACTAAACCCAGAGGTAAGAAAAAGTAAGATGTCCCAGGCATGGTGGCTCATGCCTATAATCCCAGCACTTTGGGAGGGCAAGGCTGGTGGATCACTTGAGGCCAGGAGTTCAATATCATCCTGGCCAACATGGCGAAAACCCGTCTATACTAAAAAAAATACAAAAAAATTAGCCGGACTTGGTGGCATGTGCCTGTAGTCGCAGCTACTCAGGAGTCTGAGGTGGGAGGATCGCTTGAACCCAGGAGGTGGAGGTTGCAGTGAGTTGAGATTGCACCACTGCCCTCCAGCCTGGGTGACAGATTAAGACTGTCTCAAAAAAAAAAAAAAAAAAAAAGAAAACAAAAAGTAAGATGCAATAAATATAAGTAAAAACATTAGTAAACAGGATAACAAACCCGGGCGCGGTGGCTCACACCTGTAATCCCTGCACTTTGGGAGACTGAGACGGGCAGATCGCGAGGTCAGGAGATCAAGACCATCCTGGCTAACACGGTGAAACCCCGTCCCTACTAAATATACAAAAAATTAGCTGGGCATAGTGGTGGGCGCCTGTAGTCCCAGCTACTCGGGAGGCTGAGGCGGGAGAATGGCATGAACCCGGGAGGCCGAGCTTGCAGTGAGCTGAGATCGTGCCACTGCACTCCAGCCTGGGTGACAGAGCGAGACTCTGTCTCAAGAAACAAAACAAAACAAAAACCAAAAACACTATTTTGGTGGGGACAGTATAAAGACAAAACAGTATTAAGTATTAGATAATAACAAAAAATATGAGCTGACAGAATTCTAAGTATTGTTTTGGGATAGGCTGGATAAGATACGTTGTGAAGTATGCATATTAACAATTGAAAGGTAACTAGACAAATAATGGAATTAGAATGTATAGCTTCAAAACCAGCAGAAGAAAATAAAAAAGAACAGAAACACTGTGAAAGAAGGCAAGAGAGAGGAAACAGTAAGGAAAAATCATGATCAAAAGAAACACTAAACAAAATATTAGCATTAATTCCAAGTTAAGTCAATAATCATAATAAATGCAAATGGACTGTCAGTCATCCATTAAAATGAAGACTAGAAGATCGAATTTTAAAAATATTTTATGGGCAATGCAAACATGATTGAATATACACACATATATATTCATATATGCATATGCTTATATATATAAAAATAAATCACCAAATCTTATTGCTACAGTGCTGAGTTTAATGCCTTTGTCAAAGGTCAGAGTTGCAAAAGATCTGCCAAAGGTTACATTTGTCATCCACAGCAAGGTGATGTGGTATCTGCCCTGTTTGGGGACCTCTGAATGGTACACATGGTTTCCCCTGACTTAGTAATGGTGTATCACAGAAAAGCCTCAGTAAGAAGTAGGAAGAGGTATTATCATTTAGTTTCTGATGCTAAATAGCAGCAAAAAATACCCATTTTAATTTGGTATGTAAGACCAACAATATGTTAAGCATAATACTATTGCACAAATAAATACTATCAGTGCCATAGGAAACAAAACACATTCTGCAACAACAAGCAAAATAAAACATTTTCAAAAAGAAACTTACATAATTCCTCTGTATTTTTCTTTCATTAATTAGTGATGTTTGGTGTTGAAAGTAGTACAAATTTTGATGTTAGAAATTGTTCAATAGATGATAAATTTAAGAGTTAAGGGTTCTGTAGGCTGAGGCCATACAGTGCACTTGGATATGCTGACGTGGAAGTGTTCTCTTGCGTGTCTTACAGGGTGGAACATGTTTGAGTTGTGGGAAGGTCTATATTTATACATCCAATATTAGCTAAGCCCAGTGGCTCTCAAAATTATTTTGTTATGAGAATCATCTGGGGGTCTTTTAAATAATTTCAAAGACAGGCCACACCTAAGACCACTTAAATCACAATCTCTGTGGGTAGAACTCAGGCACTAGTATATTTTGAAGCTGCCCAGGTCATCCCAATGTTCAGGCAAGTTTGGGGACCAGTGCCCTAAAGAGAGTGAGAAAAGAAGAAACTTTGAAACTGAAACAGAGACTTGTGATTTAGGGATTTGGTGTATTGCAGAAAGCTTAAACATCAGGCTAGTTGTAAGACATCTTGTCTATTTTTTTTCCAAGAGGCTTTCTTGCTTTCTACTTTCTAAACACTTCTTCACACTGCCCCAAGCTAAAAAGCTTAAATATCAAAAGTTTAAAAATAAGGCCTAATAGTCTCATTATAGTCAATTTACTCCTCTTAAGACTGTCCAAATTCATACATTTCCAAACCAAATGAAACATACGCACACCCTCATCCCCTGTACACCTGGCTTGCCTCTATTATCTTACAGACTGATGATATCTGTTGGCTCTCTGAAGAAAATACCAGTCTTCGTTCTTTATGATTATGGTGTTGTGCATTAATAGCCATATACATCTTTAAGTTCAGAGGGCTCTTTGGGAGGTTGGAGGGGAGTGGAGAGAGAGACCGTGAATGAGCACAAGAGTGAGCACTAGCTAGCTCACAGTTGGTTTACTGAATGTTTTTCTGCCACCTAATGGGCATTTTAGAATATGCTATGCAAAATTCATCTTTGTAATCGGTACATGTCACACAGAGGGGTCTCAATAGTGAACAGTTTGGAATCAACTTATTTACAAAAACCTTGGGAACATTGCCAGCTTCACACCTAGATGTCGGTATTTTGTAAGTGATCTTCTTTTGGCTTTGGTTTAATTTTTTTTTTCTTTTTTTTGAGACACGGTCTTGCTTTTGCCCAGGCTGGAGTGGTGCAGTGGTGCAACCTCGACCTCCCACAGGCACGTGCCACACGCCCAGCCTTTTTTTTTTTTTTTTTGCAGTTTTTGTAGAGACGGAGTCTCCCTATATTGCCCAGGCTGGTCTTGAACTTCTGGACTCAAGCGATCCTCCTGCCTCAGCCTCCCAAAGTGCTGGGATTACAGGCATGAGCCACTGCGCCCGGCTCAGTTTAATTCTTGGGAGCACCTCTACCTTTTGTTTCTTAAAAACCCCAAATACAGACTATGAAGGATAGTTCCTAAGTATATAATGTAATTAACAGGCCATATAATCTCTCTGACCTTTTAAATATTGTATTACCCCAGGGCTCAGTGATTGGACCTCTTCTCTTTCCTATCTGCTTTCTTGATGATCTCCTTTGGCCCTGTGGCTTTCAATACTATCCACACACAGATGATTGTAACATTTATATTCTCCAGGTCAGACTTTTTCCCTGAGTCTCACAGATCCAACTACCTGCTTGACATCTCTTCTTAGTTGTCTAATGGACATCTCAATCCTAATTTGTCTAAATCTTTGCTCATGCTTTCAGTGCAACTCTCCCTCCATCCCCCCAACACACACATACTCACACATTTACCTCTACTCTTCTGGCAGCCTTCTCATCTCAATAAATGGCAACTCTGTTCTTCCAGTTGCTCAGGCCAACAACACTAAAGTCATTCTTGGTTCTTCTTTAATCACACCTCACATCAAATCTGCCAGGAAATTGTCTTGGATATTTCTGGAATCATACTTTTCATTACTCCACTGCTACCACCCTGGTCTATCATCTCTCACCCTTGCCGTCGTCTCTCACCTAGATTATTGCAGCAGCCTCCTAATTGGCCCCCTCCAGTCTACGCTCGAAAAGGAGCCAGAATTGTTAAATCCTAAGTGAGACCATGTCATGTCTTTGCTTAAAACTCTCCAGTGGGTTCCCGTCTCACCTAGAGTAAAAGCCAAACTCCTCATAATGGCCTACAAGGCTGTATACCTAACCCCTACGAGCTTTCTGACGCCATCTTGTACTACTCTCCCACCACTGACATCACTCTAACCCCACGGGCCTTCTTCCTGCAATTCCCTGACCACACAGGTCCGCCCTCTCTCTCTGCAGAGAGCTCTCTGCTGGCTGCTCTATTAGTCTTTCTTTCCTTAGACTGTTTCCTTGCTCATTTCCAGTCTTTAACTCAAATGGAGACTACACTGAGCTCCGCTTTCAAGGCAACCTCCCATTGCCTTCACCACCACCCTCTGCATCTTACCTCCTGTTTCATTTTTTCTCCTTAGCACTTACCAACACTGAACACTCCATATTCCACCTGTCTCTGTCTTCCCTTTCCTCCCTGTCCTGCCCCTTGGCAGAGGGGGAGGGTTTTACCTGTTATGTTCACTGCTGTATCTTCTGCCCCTATGATGCCTTACACGTAGCTGGAACTCAGTATTTGTTTAACAAATGAATCATACATTTAGTTAAGGTTAATGGGTGGGAGGAGTTATATAACAGATTGGAAAAATAAGAACAGACTTGTAACTGTCTTTATTTCCTGCTTTAGAAATTACTATCTTCATTTAATATTTTTCTGATTACATCTATCTACTAATCATTTCAATTAGCTCCTTCACTGAAACACAGCATTGTAATCTGTACCAAGAAAATAACACACTAGTTCTACATCTTGGCATTTAACTTCAATAAGTAAATATACTATTTTAAGTATGTAACACTTAAACATTTTCTAGAGCTCTTTCCATTTTCATTTATCTAGAAAATGTTTTCAAATGGACTGTTAAAATTCAGCTAAGAACTGATGTTGGGTCATTACGCTGGAGCTAATTAGCATTGCTTGCCTGGAGCTGCTGGTCCCCCTTCCTGCTTCCACCTTTCCTTTTTTCTGAGGTGGTTGAAAGGTCAAACCCCTGGTGAGAGGAGAGAACCAAAGCCCCACTGCGTGCCTCAGATGCAGAGTTTCACAGCGTGGTATTCACTGGGTATTCACCGACATTTCTCTAGGCCCCTTCACCTGAAGGAACTGGCCTGCTCCAATCAGTGACTTGCAGTGTGTGTGTCAGGGGCAAGGATAGAGTGAGGAAAAATGTGAAATAACAAATCACTGCCGCTCCTTGAGAATTACAGGAGCATCACCTGGCAGGATTTTTGTATCCTTATTTTCAGTATTAAACCACATACATGCACCCCACTGCCTGCATGCCTGTCCATGCCTGTCCCACTGTGGTGTTTCACAGCATTTTTTACATCATGGCAGATAGAGAAAATTAGTTGTTTGGAATTCTGGAGGCGACCAGCCTGGGAGCTCCAGCCACCTTAAGTGCTGCCCAGCTAGACACCCAGAAGGCTTCGATCAATAGCTTGAGACAAACTACTTGAGAAGCTCTGCATTAGAGAAGCAAATTCAAGTCTTGACATTTTCTCAGGGGAGTGCTCTGAAAGTGACTATATAAGCTTCTACCGACCTCAAGCAAATCACAGGCATTAGATACATTAAATTGCTGAAGTGATAGCTCTGGCTTTTTGGATATGCACAATCAAATATAGTTTTCTGTTTTATAATTTGTCAACTCCCCTTCCAGATTAACTATTTTGATCCCTTTATTACTATAACATTCTTAAATATTTAAATTTTAAGCAAATTATTCAAATGTCAAATAAAATCTTTAGATACAAACTTATGGTAACCCAAAGTGACATTCCAAGTTTATTTTACACACATTAAGAGATAAGAAACCCAGTATTTTCTAAAGCATGAGTACTCTAATTCTGAAAGAATTCTGAATATGGTATTATTTCTGCATGCATTTATACAACGCTAAAAGTGCTGCCTCAAGTTTGCAAGGAATAGAGTTTTCTACAGATTATTGTACAGCGATAATGATACACTCTTTAGCTTAGCGTACCATAGTACAAATACTGTATCATGTTGGCTATTACTAAGCACGAGACATAAACAGGCCAATCAAAATCCTTTGAGATTAAGAAGTGATAGGTGCCAATAAACATAAGTAGAAACTGAACAAGGAGCGTTGAATATTTAATGAACCCATGAAGCATAAAACAATTGATGCAAATGTTTGTCATTTTATTTTTTTTGAGACAGGGCCTCACTGTGTCGCCCAGGCTGGAGTGCAGTGGCATGACTGTGGTTCACTGCACGTGCCACCATACCCAGCTAATTTTTTATTTTTTACAGAGACAGGGTTTCACCACGTTGTCCAGGCTGGTCTCAACTCCTGGGCTCAAGCAATCTTCCTGCCCAAGCCTCCTAAAATGCTAGGATTATAGGCGTAAGCCACCATGCCTGGTTATCTGTCATTTTAAAACATTACTGTGAAGAATAATTTTGCACTGTTTTAACTGCTACTGGCTTAGTAAGTATAAAAATATTTGTCGAAAAACAAAAGATCTCAATGAAATTGTAAGTAAAATTACTTTTATTTTCATAAATAAAAAGACAACCCATTATACACTTTTAGTTGAAGTAACATGTTAGTTGTCACTGCCTAGTATGAAATCCATGTAATAGTTAACAAACAGTTACACCTCTCTATAACCTTCATGCAACTTCTATACATTTGATAATTCCCCAAAATTTCCAACATTTCAAAAAACATTATATATAATGGGATACTTTAGTCACAAAGTGTCACCTTTGCTGAGTCAACAAAATATTTATATGCTCATGTCAAAGATGCCTACTGATGTAAAGTAATACCAGTATTGCTGCATTTTACAGAAGCACTGAGCATATTACATTTTCCATTTCGTATATGGTAGTATCATCCCCAAAAATGTCAATGTGAAAATTTAGTAAGTAGATTAATAAGCACAAGTACCTAAAAGAAACAGGTCCCACAGCCACAGAGTAGAGAGCTGGCATCAAGTACTGTTTAAAGTTTTGTCAGTAAGTGGCACACAACAAACAGACAAGTGATTCTGTAATAAAGACAACATAAAATACAGGGAGATTTAATAAGTGTTTTTTCCATAGATATTGAAATAAAATTAAATGTCTGTTTAGTTATTACTCCACTTATTCTGGAAACTGCAGCTTCCAATATCAATATTATACTGCAAGCAGTATTTAGTACTTCTGTATGTTAAGAAAAAAACCTCACTGAATTTATGTACCTTTTTTTAAGGAGTGTAAACTATGATATATGATTTAAGTAATCACTTATTTGAATGCAATATTGATTCAGATAGGCATAATCTATTCATTTTTCATAATGAAATGTATATTCCTATTTCAACACTTTATGCAGATTTTACTTATTTCTTACAGGGCTGCTGTGTGGATTCAATGGCTTATCTATGTAAGTGTCCAGCACAGTATCTGGCACATAGTAAGCTTTTAGTGTATGCTACTTATTTATATTAAGTGAGTCAATCTGTCACTTATAATAGAAAAACTATCTAATGCCTCAGGAGAATAATCAAAAGATAAACCTACAGATGTGTGACTTCTGTTAAAGTATTATGCATCCACTATTTCCCAAATTACTAAACTAATTGTTTAAAATGTTACAATCTATTTTTAAGATCATATTTGTTCTCTATGTTTTTGCTATGGCCTTTGGCCTAAACCAATACAATTCTGACAGGACATTATCAGAAAACCACATAAAAACAATGTACACTGAAATCAGGTAACAAAGGCATCTTACTATAACTTCTTTAATAAAGAAGTAGAGAGTTACCAGTGTAATTCAGGACAACCTACTCATTTAAGTTTAAAGTTTTTTCTTTACATCATGCAATATTTGACTTCAAAAAACATTTTCCATTCTGTCTTCTCTTATATATAAACATTAAGAGCTATTACAAAGTTCTTTCCTCTAAGTAAAAAACCCACTAGAAAAAGATATTTGTAAAAATCATTGCAGGGTTACTGATACTGAATGAAGCACAGGGGTACTGGAACAGGGATAAGTTCTTGGATAAGGTGCCAACATACCTATAAAAGCTGATTTTTGAGTAAATTATTGATTCTAACATATGTAATGGATTTGGTGTGATAATTTTCTGATCTTTAACTATAAGTGACTTTTTATTCTCCACCAGAAAAGATAAATGACTGAGAATGTAAGTCTGCGCTCTGATTAACACAATGGAGAAACGGAAAAACTATCTCTGTTAAAAACTGATTCCTGTCATTCTTCTGATATCAAATAAGAGGAAGGAAAATAAACTTTTTGTGTGTAGATAGAAAAACATACCTGAGGCCAGGTGCAGTGGATCACGCCTGTAATCCCAGCACTTTGGGAGGCCAAGGCGGGCAGATCAGCTGAGGTCAGGAGTTCGAGACCAGCCTGGCCAACATGGTGAAATCACGTCTCTACTAAAAATACAAAAATTATCTGGGTGTAGTGGTGCGTGCCTGTAATCCCAGCTACTCGGGAGGCTGAGGCAGGAGAATCACTTTAATTCAGGAGGTGGAGGGTTGCAGTGAGCCGAGATCATGCCACTGCACTCCAGCCTGGGCAACAGAGGGAGACTCCACCTCAAAAAAAAAAAAAAAAAAAAAGAAAAAAAAAAAAGAAAAAGAAAAAAGAAAAACATACCTGAAACCACATGATTCGGGCCTATACTGACCTGAAACTTATTACTATCCAGAGTTTAACAAAAAGACCCAACCCCCAAATATACCCTTTAGAGGCACAATAAAATCTTTCAAATGTTGTCCTGATTAAAAAGGAGAGTCTGAAAACAAAGCAAGAAACATCTCCGCTGTATTAAAAATTAAGAACAAGTAAGCTGAAGGCAGATAACCCTCTGAATATAATAGTTATTCTACAAGCTTCAGAGAAATCATTTTGAGAAATAAGAACTGAAATTCTGTGGTTTATCTTATTTACTGCTAGAGAAATTCTAAGTGCAAGTTGTATTTTAGGAGATGTAGCACCCAGTGTCCTTTTGAGGTTTGATGTCTGGTTCTTTCACAGGTTTCACTTCTTCTTCTGGTTTGGGTTTAGTCTAGGGAGAAAAAAACCACAGTTTAAGTACATAAACTAAGATTGAGAAAACAAACACTAAATCTTTTCCACTTCAGACTTTTAAAAGATGCTATATTAAATTACATAACATGGATACTGACAAAGCTATTTCCAGAAACTACAGACCAATTCATTTTAAGATATAATCAGAAAACAACATTTCAGTAGAGATGAAAACCTAGTTTGGTAGGCAAAAACCAAGCTAATGGTACTCCTACTCCATACTTTTTTCTAAGTGATCTATCTATACATGATAGCTTTAGGAGATATACCTAATGCTAAATGACAAGTTAATGGGTGCAGCACACCAGCATGGCACATGTATACATATGTAACTAACCTGCACATTGTGCACATGTACCCTAAAACTTAAAGTATAATAATAATAATAATTAAGAAAAGAACCCTAAAGCTTAGACATAACTTATGACAGCAATAGGCTATCTCTTAGGGCATTATTTTATAGCTGAACAGAATATAAAGATAGTTATTTTAAGGAATAAATTTTAATATGGAAAGGAAATTATATAAACACAACTCAATCTCAAGAAAGGAGCAATGGCTGTAAAATAATTCTTATTCATTTGTCACAGATCCCTAGTCTTTTGGTAGTTAGACCTCAAAATTTCCACTTAATTTACTATTTGATTTAGAACACCAAGATGTACTTAGATACCAATAAATAAAAGCACTCTTATTTTACACCTGGATTCACAGAATACTGAAATTAGGCCAAATCTGCAAATGCTCTGCAATTTGCTAAAACAAAAACAGAGTATTGCTATAGCAGTATAAACATGGATGATCTTTTCTCCCACATTCTTCTTAAAGGAGGCACTGACAAGTTGTAAAGAGGCAAGATAATGTGTTGAAAAGAATGTCATTATGTAGAAAATCAGAAGACATTTAAGGCCTAGAGGTCTTATCTCTGAGAATGTTCTACCACAGATTACATTAAGCACTATATAACTAGCTAACTTAACATTTAGACAAAGATATGTATCTATTTAGAGAAAAATATCAAAATGCTAACTCTGAATTTTCTTTTAAACTTTTGTGAATGAGAGGGAAAAAAAAAAACAATCTCATACACTGTCATCCTTGGGTCTTTTGGTGAGATCAAATGCAGCCAATGTTTCTGGTGTCCACTGAACACTTGTAGGAGGAAATTCGAAAGGTATAGGCTCTACGAGACCATAATTTGCTTTGAGTTCCAGCTGTGGGGCTTCTGTTGGAATTTTTTGAAAGTAACTGCAAAAAATAATTTAAATAGCAATTCATTCATTTGTTCGTTATTTGAGTGCCTAATATGTTCAAGGTCCTGTTTGGGACAATGACAATTTAATGATGGATAAGAGGTTTTTCTGCCTTATGTAGGAAAGTGAAAAAGTCAAGAAACTTTTGTCAATTACAATGCAATGTAATTGGAGCTACCATGGATGTAGAGTGCCATGAGAATGCAGACAAGGGGAATTAACCCAGAATTAAGTTCAGTGACTCTTTCCGAAGGAAGTGATTAAAGGTGAACTAGGCATGCTTAAGGAAGTGAAAAGCTCATTATGACTAGATGAAGAATATAAGGGGAAGAATGTAAGGACATAAAAGCAGGAAGGAGATTGAGTCTACCCACCTACACAGAAGGTGATCTACAATTTGAACAGCAGTGATTTAATAATGGAAAACCTCTTGAAAAAAAGCAAGAAAAACTGGAGAGAAAATTTATTTTCCTTCTTTATAGGTAGCTGAAACCAGAGTGAGACGAATATGCAAAGGAGGTTGAGAAGATGTATTTAAAACATATGGAGGAAGAATGGCAGGGAAACAGAGTTAAGAGAAAATGAGGACACTGTGAGTGTCCTAATGAAGTTAACTCTACGTTAATAACTCATGTTTTAATTTTAAAGTCTGCTTTTATATATTATCATCCTAAGTAGAATAAAAGGCCCTACACAACTGAAATTTATCACGAATTTAAAGAGAAAATTAACGTGAAACATAAATACTATATATATTTGAGACAGTGTCTCACTCTTGCCCAGGCGGGAGTGCAGTGACTTAATCATGGCTCAGTGCAGCCTTGACTTCCCAGCTTCAGATGATTCTCCCACCTCATCCTGAGTAGCTTGGATTTACAGGCGTGTGCCACCATGCCCAGCTAATTTATTTGTATTTTCTGTAGAGACAGGTTTTTGCCATGTTGCCCAGGCTGGTCTCAAACTCCTGGGCTTAAGGGATTCACCCTCCTTGACCTCCCAGAGTGCTGGGATTACAGTTGTGAGCCACCACGCCTAGCCCATGAGTGAGTGCTATTCAACATAAAACTTTTGGGAATAGAGACTAACAGAAATGATATTACTAAAATATTAATATTTTAATATAATCATAAATCAACATAATATTATTACTAAAGTAATATTAAACTGTACTCACATAAATCCATTTTCTCTCTGACATTTTTCTAGGGTGTTCTTCACAAGGTTTCCAAGTTTCCTAAAGAACAGATGTCCTGAAGGTTTGACTGTTGGTCCAGGTCCTTTGGTTTCTCCATATTCTTTACACAGTGCTTCTGCCTTTGCATACACTGCATGTGAAAGAGATTTAAAGTCTTTTGATTATAATTAACACTGCCTATTTATCCCTACAAGGCTTTAAACTGGAGGTGATAAGACATTTACTGCTCTTTACCTAATATAATAGCAATACCAATAATAATACTGTAAGTAGAAGGTGTGTATTTTCTACAGGTTCTAGGTTTCTGAAACATTTTTTTCTTTTCTCCAATTATGTCACCCATTCCCATTTCCCTTTCATGAACTCAGCCAAAATCTCTTTAAGCATATATTCCCTTTTATGATAAAGTCATTTGTTTTTTAAAGGGGAGTTAATATTCTGGCAGGAAAACTTACATTTTTCTGCTTCTTGGAGAGACCTGATTGCTTCACCGCATTTATCACTAGCCAATAAAGTCTCACCATGGTAACAGTAAGCCTGATGAAATAAACAAATTTTTTATTCATTCTCTCCCTTCAAGATGCTTTCCCCTATTGTTTTATGTATCTATCAGATAAATTAGTACCTTCATACACTGAAGTATCAATGCAATCCCTTACATTTTAGCTCTTCCCCAACCTTTGTTCATAGAAAAGGTGGAAATATGTCAAGTCTTGAGCCCAAACAGCCTTCTAACCATGTACTGAGAAAAAGTTATTTGCTGAAATCTGTATTTAAAATTAGGAAATAGTAGATAAAGGAGGAAATTATTGTGCTAATGCATAGGAAGAAGGAGGTATAAGAAATATTATCTACTCAGACCTGAAAAAGGTTTCTGATGATCTCTCATATGATATTCTAATTAACAAAACAATTAAGTTTGGTGGGTATAACAGACTGATACGTAACTTCCAAAATGATGTTTATTGATGGTTCTTCACTAAGCTAGGTGATATATTGTGTGATATGCCTTAATATTAGAATTAGTAAATATGTTTCTCAATGCACAGGATGAAACAATTGAAAGAATTTCATTAAGTATGCTGCAAGTGGGTTTTCAATCAAACAATAATTCTATTGCTATAATCCACTTCTACAATCCTACATCATCTCTTTCCACCCACTTTAGTTCACAATGGTTGCACTGACTCTCAGTGAACATTTACTGAGAGTTAGCTGTCCATTATTTGTAAAATGCTAATGAAAGACTCTGGTGAGATGAGAGACCTGGCACTCCAAGGGCTGGAGAAACAATAATTTACATTGTTTTTAGCGTTGTGAATACTTACATAAGCTGTGTAGAAACACATCTTCAAGTGAAGATATTTTCTCCATTTGGCAGAATATGCAGGCTCCAAACTGGATAAAGTATGATCTAAAGTTACATTTTAAAAAGCAAAATATAATTTCGCCCTGATTCACTAGAAGACTTTTAGTTCATGTGTTCTGATGATAAAAGCAGAAAGAATGCCATTCAAGTCTAAAACTCAAGAATTTAATTTTTTTTTAAAAACACCTTTACTTGATTTTACCAAATCTATACTTTAAGTTACATAAGATTGGTTAAATACTATGGCAGCTCTTTGATTTGATGGTTAATACAACTTTAAGTTAAAGATAATGATAAAAACAGATTGTGACCAAGAACTTCAAGGTGAATACTGTTTATACCGTTATATTAGCTAATTTAAAAAACTTATATAATATAGCAAAACAAATAGTAGTCTAGTCACTCAAATCAGAAATAGGATACTCTCCTCTCTACCCCCATCACTGAATTTTATGTGAAACACACACACATTCACTCACATATCCTTCTACCAAACATCTCTCAAATCTATTTTTTCCTATTTGCTACGTTGCTGTATTTGCCAAAGCTTTCATCATTTCCTTCATAAACTTTAAGAATTTCTTAAGTGCTAAGTTAAGTTAGCCTATTACTCCTTCATGTAGCAAGCCTATCTCTAATACTGCAACTATAGGGACCTTTCTTAAATTCAAATCCAATCAAGTCAGGCTTTTAATGTAGATACATTCCCAAGTATCTACAGAATGGCTTACAAACCAGTGTTTGATTCCAAGCATGCATACTTTTTCAAACTCTTCTCCTACCACTCATCCTGTGTTTCAGGTCACTGTCTGAAGTTTCCAGAATGTGCTAAGTTCTTTCTTATGTCTGTACTTACTATAGAATTCTACACCCAAACTCTAAAGCTTCCTAGGGAACATAAGACTTTTATTTACACTTCACAATAAGGCTAAAGCATCTTCTTCTAGAGTCCTTCTTTAGCATGCCCAGCTTGTTAAGGTTCCTAATTCGCCGCTGTGATGTCTTACTTCAGGATATAATAACGGGGTTACATGTTTGTCTTCTTCCCTAAACTGCAGATCTTTTCTATTTACCTCTCCTTAGCAACAAAAACAGTAACTATCCCATAAATAAAAACACATGCATGTTTCCTAAATAAGTAAATGAAGAGTAATAGGCTTATCACAGGAGCTGTGTTCTACGCCCAATCTCCCACTTTCTAGCAGTTGAATTATGGGTCATGTTAACTCTCTGGATTTTGGATTCTTGTCTAAAGCATAGTAACTATAAGGTTGTTATAAACACTAAAAAAAAATTTTAAGCAAAAAAGCTGTATAATTTTATGAGACATCACTGGTTTTCCCCTCCATTAGAAGTTATGCAGCATACTAAACATGAACAGCTCTATTTTAAATGCAATAAATAAAATATTACTCCAGTTTTGCAAATAATGACAGAATCTGAGAACCCTTTTGTTTTGTTCCCTATTCAAGATCAAATAAATCTGAAAATCTAAAGACTAAAAATGTAACGACAGAATTAGAAGCTTACCAGCTTTTTGATAGAAATTGGCTGTTTCATACGCCAGTGCAGCAATTAGTCCAGGAGCATGTTTTAGTTCAATTGCTCGAGCAATTGTTACTGTAACCAAACACAATAAAGTGAATCTATAATTAAGCTCACTTTATTCATCCTAAATTCAATTATAATAGCAAAAGACAGTCTGATAATCTCTCTGGGATTTTAATACAGTTTGTTAAACGTTTTAACGTGCAAACTTATAGAAAATGCAAACATTAACAAAAAAACACTGAGTTTGTTGGTTCCAATGCCATTTCTTTAAATAAATCATCAGCAAATTACCAGCTAATCATAGAGAATCACTATTACAAAACAGCATGACCTAACAGCAAATTCTTTTTTTCTGAGACAGGGTCTTGCTGTCACCCAGGATGGAGTGCAGTGGCTTGATCATGGCTTACTGCAGCCTCAAACTCTCAGGCTCAAGTGATCCTGCTGCCTCAGTCTCCTGAGTGGCTGAGACTACACATGCATGCCATGGCACCTGGCTAATTTCTTTTTTTTTTTTTTGAGATGGAGTTTTACTCTTGTTGACCACGCTAGAGTGCAATGGCACGATCTCGGCTCACCACAACCTCCGCCTCCCAGGTTCAAGCGATTCTCCTGCCTCAGCCTCCTGAGTAGCTGGGATTGCAGGCATACGCCACCATGCCCAGCTAATTTTGTATGTTTTAGTGGAGATGGGGTTTCTCCATGTTGGTCAGGCTGGTCTCGAACTCCCAACCTCAGGTGATCTGCCTGCCTCGGCCACCCAAAGTGCTGAGATTACAGGCGTGAGCCACCACCACACCCAGCCAACTGGCTAATTTTTTAAATAACTTTTTGTAGAGATGGAGGTCTTGCCATACTGCCCAGGCTGGTCTCAAACTCCTGGGCTCAAGCAATTCTCCTGCCTCGGCCTCCCAAATTGCTGGGATTACAGGCATAAGCCACCAGCCCAGCCATTTTCAGAGGAAGACTAGAGTTTGAAATAAAGAAAAACGAAAGCCTACAAAGTTTCTTAATTGTTTCACGTTGAGTGTCATTATTACTTGCCATTGAAAGGTGAAGACATTAAGGTAAGCCAACGAGTGAAAGAGAAAAAAGAATGAGCACAGTAGAGAGAAAAGATGAATTAAAGAATTAATGTTGTACTATCAGAAATAACATGAAATAAAAATCCTCTTAAAAAGAGCCATTAAACTGTAAGGCCTTTCCTGCTAACTAAGAGTGAAGGCAAATGCTAAAGGTAAACTTATTCCTCATTCTAAAATTTCTCAAAATCTAAAGCCTGATTCTGGCTAATTCTGATTTTTATTTTAATTAATTAATGGTTTTGAGACAGGGTCTCACACTGTTGCTCAGGGTGAAGTGCAGTGGCACGGTCTTGCCTTACTACAGCTTTGACCTCCCAGGCTCCAGCGATCCTTCCCATCTCAGCCTTGTGGGAAGCTGGGACTACAGGAATGTGCCACCATGCCCAGCTAATTTTTGTATTTTCTGTAGAGCTGGGGTTTTGCCACGTTGCCCAGGCTGTTCTTGAACTCCTGGGCTCAAGTGAGCTGCCCACCTAGACCTCCCAAAGTGCTGGGACTACATGCATAAGCCACAGTGCCCAACTTCTGATTTTTAAAGAGGAATTCAATGACAATATAGACTTTCATTTAAAAAAATCTTACAATATTTAGGATACCTTCTTGAGCTTCAGCCTGACATTGAATAACGTATGCTTCTATGAGTCGTGACTCTAAATCTCTTCCTTTTTCCGCAGGTGTAATGAGTTTTGGGAGATGACTTTCCTGAGAACAACAACAAAAAAGACAAAAAACAAAGCAGCCAAATTTTATTTTAATCCAGTTGTTAGAGATGAAGAAAATGAAAGTTATGAGACATTCAACTGGGAGGCTTAGCAGAAATTCAGAGTATAAACAAAAACTATAAAAACTAACAACAGTAAGCTTATAAATAAAAGTTCCTGTATACTAAAACTCAGCTTTTATAAGAACAAGAAATTCAAGAGCAAAATTTAAGTCATGATAGACTGCTGAGATACGCAAGTCACACTATCATCTTGAAAAATGTTAACTGAAATAGTAACCAAAATTCCTTTTGCGGGATAGCCTGTTCATTCACATTAATAATTAAAGATATAAAGAGGCTGGGTGCAGTGGCTCACACCTGTAATCCCAGCACTTTGGGAGGCCGAGGCAGGTGAATCACGAGGTCAGGAGTTTGAGACCAGCCTGGCAAACATGGTGAAATCCCGTCTCTACTAAAAATACAAAAAATTAGCTGGGCGTGGTGGCAGGCACCTATAATCCCAGCTACTCGGGAGGCTGAGGCAGGAGAATCACTTGAACCGGGAGGCAGAGGTTGCAGTGAGCCAAGATCGCATCACTGCACTCCAGCCCGGGCGACAGTGCAAGACTCTGTCTCAAAGAAAAAAAACCCCACTACAATTCTACATCTAATTCAGGATCAGAGCTTTCTAATCACTATAAAAGCATCTTATATTTTAATATGAAAAAAATCAACACTGGCCTCTAGGAGGCCTTCAATAAAGTGATTTAATTAGAATGACGTAGGGGGACATTGTTTAAAAGACACAATATTCTTTCTCCTAATTCCCATCACATCTCCTGGCAATTTAATACAATTAGAGTGCACTGATTGTCACTCTAAAGTTTTTAGTGAGATACAGAGCATACACTCAGAAGTTCAGTTTTGCAGAATCAGGACTGCTCCTGGTAACTTCTGTGGAGAGCAATGAGGTAGGTAAGAACCATCAATACTTCTACTTTCTTTTCTCCTGTCTTTTCAAAGACACAGAAAAATAAGCAGAGCACTAAAACTTAAGTTTTCTAATTGTAAAAGTCACTGGTGATTTTAAAACAAAAATGGAGACATTTAATATTTAGTAACTGGCTGCACTCATCAATAACATACTTAACATAAGGAAAACAGAACACATAGTACCTTTTTTAATATAATGAAACAATTCTTTCCCCATATCCTCCCAAAAGAAAAATTATTCAAGAATTAAAGCATTAAGAACAAATAATGGTTTTTGTTTGTTTGTTTTACCTTTAAATGTTTAAAAATCCCAGCTGCAATCTTTAGGCTTCGATGAACTTCTTTTGCTTCATCTTCTGTTATACTTAAAGATAGGGGTTACATTAGTTAGAGGATGAATTCCATTTCTGGTATTAAAACACAACAACCAATACATTATTATACATCCAAAGTAGTCATTTATGTTTCTCACTGCTAATTTTCTTCCTTTTAAAAATAAATCTAATTTTGAGGCCAGGCCTGTAATCCTAGCACTTTGGGAGGCCGAGACGGGCAGGTTGCTTGAGGCCAGAAGTTTGAGACCATCCTGGCCAGCAGGGCAAAACCCTAATTAGCTGGGTATGGTGGCAGGCACCTGTAATCCCAGCTACTCGGGAGGCTGAGGCACGAAAATCACTTGAACCCAGGAGGTGGCAGTTGCAGCGAGCCGAGATCATGCCACTGCACTCCAGCCTGGCCTGGCGACAGAGCGGCACTCCATCCCCCCGCCACCAAAAAAATTTAATTTTGACACCTAGAAAAGGAGCAAATGCATATGAAATGTACGTTTATAGGAAATTAGTAAAAACTGTAAAGGATTTTGAATGCTAAGCCAATCAGTATCCCACAAAAAGGTCTTGAAAACAAGTATATGACATAAAGGTAACATTAAGATGGCAAAAGCATGTCAATATGTCTCCAAAAAGAAGATACTACAAATGAAAAAAAAGAGACCCTAACTAGGTGTAAAATCTGCAGCCAGGCATGGTGGATCATGCCTGTAATCCCAGTACTTTGGGAAGCCAAGGCAGGAGAATCACCTGAAGCCAGGAGTTCAAGACCAGCCCAGGAAACATAGTGAGAACTCAACTTTACAAAAAACAAAACAAAATAAAATCCAGACAAAGCCTTATTTTTCCTTACAGACATTTGTATATAAACAAGACAAAATATTACACACTTAATGCATATACATGCTTAAGAAACACATAGATACACAATGGTAGCTATAATCATTACTCTGCTCTTATTTTAATCACCTAATTTACTTTAGAGATAATTTTACATCAGCACATACAATTTGACATCATTTTCAAGTGGTTGCATATTATTCCCACGTATGGATGAACCATAAATTGACAGTTTCCTATTGCTGTATCCACTATAGCTATTATAAAAATTGTATCACCTTTTATAATTATTTAATCCTGCAAAACATCTTTTCACATACTGCTAGCCTTCTGTACTTGTTTTCTGTGAATTGCCTGTTCATGTCCTTTGCTTTTCAATTGATTTGACGGTCTTTCCTTTGCTGATTTATAAGAGTATACGTTATAAAAACAAACAATTTATCATATGAATTGCAATGTTTTTGACCAATCTTGTCATTTGTTTTTTAACTTTGTTTACGGTCCTTTGATGTAGTTAAATAGTCATGCTTTTACTTTATGGGTTCTTGATTTGGGGTCTTACTTAGCAAGACCTTCCATATGACAAGACTATTAAAATTTATTTTACCTCTTAACGCTAGGTGCCATAATTCTGACACTCAAAATACTAACATTACAAGGCAATCCTTCAAACATCCAAAGTGGTACTTTTTAAAATAGATTTTTAAAATAATGAAGCGCCACATACTTGAAAAATAACACAGATGTACACAATCCTCTCCTATTAACTTACTTTTCTTTTCCAGCCAGTCTTGAAGCATATTTGGTATACCATAAAGCTACATTAAATCCCATGGAAATTAATTCAAAAACAGCATCCTGCTGGGCACTGGAATTATAAACATGATCATTAAGTTCTGTCAATTATCCAGACATCACACCATGAAGCCTACTGGATATCCGACTCAAAATTACAAAGAAGTATATGCTAACTGGTATGTATGAGGAAAATGGTTGTGTTTAATATAGATGGGGAGATAAGATGTACAGGTAATTAACTACAAATGGCTAAGTATAATGGTCCAGAAGGTACTATGTACTTAATAATAAGCATGGGAATAGGAGCTCCCAAAGTTTACTGCACATAGAGCAGCTTTTAAAATACAGATTTCTGGGCCTTAATCCCAGAGTCGGAAAGCCTGGGATGGGGCTTAGAATCGTATTTTTAACAAGTACTCAGTCGATTCTCAAAGGTGTGGCTCTTATACAACATTTTAGAAAAATCAAATTCAGAGGAGAGATTGTTTCAGGCTAGAATAATTAAGAAGGTTTAATGGTATATATAAAATCTGAACTGTCCCTGGAAAGATGACTAGAAGGGAAGCAAAAGGACATCCCAGGTGAGGAAACAATGCCATCAAAGCCCAAGAGGAGTATAAAAAATTTTCTGGTAGAAGTGACCCAATGAGCTTGACTGGAGCAGAAGGTATGTAAAAAAGAAATCAAGGAAAAGAAGGGCAAAAAGCAAGCTGAAGGCAAACTGTATAAGATTCTGAATGCCTAGCCAATCAGTATTCCAGAAAAAGGTCCTGAACACAAGTATATTTTATACCTTGTTTCCTTCAGATTCTATTATGAAGTATGAAATAAAGATGGCAAAAGCATATCAAGCAAATAAGATATTCATAACAATATATATTCACTATTGTTCTTAGAAGAACCTGAAAATTTTTTACACATGATCTCATTTATCTCAACTGATGAAGAAAGCAGAATATCCTTATTTTACACACGTAATACTAAGAAACAGAAAAGCTACCCAAAAAGAAGAAACCAGAATTATCATTCTACTTTTTATTTTTTAGTTACTTGTTGCCCCTGTCTTAAGATAAATGGAGATATGGCAACTTTTTAAATGAAAAAAAAAAAAAAAAGTGTTATAAAATATGTAGTAATTAAAAAATAATTTCTAAACTGTCTTTAGTATAGATTATAACATCCAAAAATGACAGTTATGAACAAACTTCTCAAAACAGTTTTATCCTCCTGAAAAAAATTTAATACATAGTTTAATAGCTTATTATTTTCTGCACTGAAACTATCAAATGAATTACATCTGGAGATCTAGTGGACATGTCTAATTTATAACTTTTAAATAATATAACAGTTTGGCTAATTTAGTGAAGTCTCATGAGTAACTCTTTTCCTTTATAATCCTTCATTTAACATGCCTTGTTTCCAAACACTCCATTTCTATGACACCACATAAAAGTAGTAGTCATAGTAACTATAATGGAAAAAATATTTTTCAGAACAGATAAACTCACAACACGATTTCCACTGAGTAAGCAGCAATCAAGAATAAAGTAACTTAGAAGTCTCACTTGTGCTGAATATTTAGTATTAAAGTCTTCATCACATAATTCTTCACTATCTCATAAAACTGCTGAAAAAAGGTTAAATAGTAGCTCACTTTTAAATTTTTTTATTTTTTTGAGATGGACTCTCGGTGTGTCGCCCAGGCTGGAGTGCAGTGGCTTCATCTCAGCTCACTGCAACCTTGGCTTCCTGGGTTCAAGCGATTCTCCTGTCTCAGCCTCCCAAGTAGCTGGGATTATAGGTACCTTCCACCACACGTAGCTAATTTTTGTATTTTTTAGTAGAGACAGTGTTTTACCACGTTGGCCAGGCTGGTCTCAAACTCCTGAACTCAAGTGATCTGCCTGCCTCGGTCTCCCAAAGTGTTGGGATTACAGGCGTGAGCCACTGTGCCCGGCTTTAGCTCACTATTACACAGAATCAAAATGTTGCATGGTCGGAAAAATGCCAAATTTATGAAATGCACACATTATAGAATCTGTCAAAATAATGACAGAGGTTTGATTCTTTAAAAAAGTCTTTTTAATTAAAAAAATTGCTTAATTTTGGATTAAAAACAAATGGGTCACATTAAAAAACAGAAAACAAGGTCTTAGAAAATCTGAGTATCCCAGAATATTATGAATTCGACATAAAATATTGCCAAGGAAGGAAGAAAGGAAATGAACATTTAATGAATGTCTTATAAGCCTAGTACTGTTGTCAGTCACTTCACAAAAATTTTCTTATTTTGCTTCTCACAAAGTACTCTATCTGTAGCCCCAAGATATAGTTGAAGAAGCAGATGTTCATGCAGTAGAAAACCTGGACTTGCATCTAAATATGTACAAACCCAATGTTCATACTCTTTTCGTTGTAATGTACAGTCTGCTCTGGTCTTTCAGCAACCTCCACTCCTTCCTTTCTGTTTTTATAAAATAGTAATTCTAAAGCAAATTGGGATTAAAATATACGGGCATTTCAACAACAAAATGGTGTTGAAAAACAGTAGGTAAGTAAAAAATTAACACCATTGTGATCTGTTTCGTTATAATTAGATCTATTACAAATAGTTTCAAGTGAGTGATAAGAAAGCTCTGAAGAGAAGTTTTTAAAAAGAGTAGAAATAGGGAAGAGAGATAATGAAGAAAATATACTGTGAATCAAGAGTATGGAGTTGGAGAGAAAGAATGAGACAAAGACTAATGGAAGACATGAAGTATCCATCAGCAAAAGAAAAGTAAGGGAAAAACTTAAATTCTGCTCAGCTTGAATGTAGGCACATACGGAATGTCAGTTTGGGTTCTAAATCCTCAAATCATCCTTTGTGTGTTATTAAAGGTCAAGGCTGTTCAACTGTAGTTAACATCTGTATTGATTACCTCAAAAATAGATTTGGTTGGGAGAAACAAATTATATTTTTATTATGTACTAGGATTGAGGTAAAATGCTTTTAATTAATTTCCTGGTAAGAGAAAACGCTGAGCAGACCTGTATTTTTCTTCTCCAAATACAAAGGCTATGAGTTAACCACTGGCTACATAGTTACAAAAACTGGCTCCAATTTAGTATTACTTTAGTGTTGCTTACCTTGGAACCTGTCCTTGCAATGTATCAGTCCACTTGAAATTTTGAATATATCGTAACTTGCTTTCTTGGGTAGATTCATCCAAAGAATTTATGAAACCTATAGAAAAGTACAAGACATTTTAGTTTTAGAAGAATTAGAAGAAATATTGAGTGTTCTGTTTGGAAAAATTTTCAGATTACTTTTCCAGGTGTCTGAATGAAACTTCTTGCTCTTTTCCAAAGAATACAGTCTGGAAGAGTAAACTAATCAAATTTGAAAAGTCAAAGAATTAAATGTAAACTTTTAGACAGTTTTTTAAAAAACCTCAAGTTCATATAAATAACTAACCTTGTAAAAGTGAGAAATATGAATCTGCTGCATTCTTCATCATTTCTGGATTACAGCTCAAATCAGTGAACAGTTCAAGGAGTCGTGCCCTGGATGACCTCAAGTCACTTATAAGAGATACAAAAAGACAGTAAAGTTAGCTGTACTGCAATCAATCTACATAAAAGTGGCTTCCAGGTTTCAATGTAAAAGCTTTAAAACACACACACATACACACACGCACCAGGTTTCAATGTAAAAGCTTTAAAACACACACACGCATGCACATGCCTACCTCCTCTAAGGGATTAACAAATGAATTTAATCAGGACTAAATCTAGAGAAAAAATTTCTAATAACTGTTTTAAAAGTTGTAGTAAAATAAACTCAGACCAATTAAAGGGGCAAATAATGAATTCAATTACATAATAAAAATATATGTCAAGTTTTAATTAAAAACAATCAAACAAATGCATGCACTTAAGATGTGGGGAAAGAAGAATAAAAAACTAAGCAGTTCACAATAAGTTTCTTGAAAAATGAAAATTTATCTGTGTATCATTTTAATATCTCCTTGAAGTTTCTAAATCTGACATAAAACACAAAAATGTGAAAATATACTGCATAAAAATATTTAAAAAATGAAATTACATTACATATCCTTGACATGTAATTCAACATATACATCAAGAATATGTAAAACGTGGCCATCAGTTGTTTTAAAACTGCTCCCTAATCTACATTCTCCTTTACTTCTCTATAGCAATAAATGTTATAGATCCACCTTTTCCTTCTTGAAATTATTTTCTCCTTTGATTCCAATAACACTAAATTTTCCAGGTGCTCCCCTTGTCTCTTTTAAGTTCCTTTTATATTTTTTTCTGTGTCTCCTTTTCATTCCCAACTCCAGAAATGTTCAGTCTTTGGCTTTCTGGTTTTCTCTCTTTTGAGATCTCACCTATTAGTATAGCTTCAACTATATCAATTCCTAGATCTCCATCATTAGCTTTCACTTGGTTCTATTCCAGTTCCAAATCGAATCCAGAAGGCAATTAGCTTAGTGAGGCTTCCGAAATTACAATACATGGGTATGACCAAAGACCCTTGAAATATGTGTAAACCATTAAAGAAAGACTAAATTTAAATGGTAAGCACCAAGAGAGTAGAGGCTGTATATCCAGAATTTGGTAGGTGCCTAGGATAAAGCACATATTCAAAATTACTTGTTGAGTGGAAAAAGAATAACTTTTCAAATATTTTCTTTTGAGATTTAGACTATAAGGTAGCAGTGATGTTTAGAAGAGAGCACAGACTTAATCCTGAATGGTATATCCCTTGAGTCTTATTGATTAGTACTAACTCTAAGGAGGCTTATTCCAAGAAAGTATGTATGTATTGCCAATTACAAACAGCTGACTGAAAATGTGACTGGCTATCTTATGAATTAATCATTGTTTGAGATATTTCTCTAGAAGCTGGAAAGTGATTCAATTCCTGGACTAGGCAGAAATTTGAATCCTTAAAGCCTATTCTGCACTCAAATAGTTGGCTAGCTATTTCCATACTGATGCTTGATCATCACCTACAGCTCAACTTGTAAAGTTATATTCATCTTAAATTACAGAATTTGAGAAAAATGTACCTCAGATATATTTAATTTAGGCTGTTCATTTTATAGATTAGGAATTAGGCCCAAAGAAGTTAAGGGACTTGCCCAATGGTATAGATAAAACAGCTAAGTCGGGACTTGCCTCCAGGAGTCTAGATCAGAGCTTGACAAACTACAAACTATAACCGGTTTTTGTATACCCCGCAGCTTATTTTCATTCAGCCCTCAAACTAAGAATGGTTTTCATATTTTTAAAAGGGTTGTAAAAATGAACGAAGAATAATATGCAACAGTGACTGTATGTGACCACAAAGCCTAAAATAAATACTATGTAGCTTTTAAAAAGTTTGATGACCATTGGTTTAGATTAATAAGCCAATTATCCTATCTTTTGTTGTCATCGCTTCTTCCCATAAAAGCGGCAACTCTTCAGATTTTCCTTTATTGGTACCACCAATGTCTTAATCATCTAGATTCTGTATCTCATATAGACTGAATCCTTTTCAGCCTCCCAAGGCAAATTAGTCAATCAGGTCCATTGACTCCTCCTTCAAAACATCTTTTGCATTTATCTCTTTTGTTTCAGCCAAACTGCTCTACTCACTATCACTAGCACAAAGGTTTTCCTGACAGAAATAACATTCTCCTTTCCCCTCTGACAATCTAAATCAAGAATACTCAAATATTTTTTTGGAAAGTGCCAAATAGTAAACATCTCAGGCTTTTCTGGTAATAAGGTATCCACCGGGACTATTCAATTCTGGTGTTGTAGAGGAAAGCAGCCAGAGGCAGCCATACACAGTATGTCAATAAATGTGGGGCTGGCTGTGTTCCAATAAAACTTTATTTATAAAAACAAGCAATGGTCCAAATCCATATGACACAGTTCGCCAACCCCTGATCTAAGCCATACAATTCATTCAAGGCCTATCTCAAGTACTTTTTCCTGTGTGAACACTTTGAAGGCCATTTCAGGTCACAGGGATCTCTCCTTATTCTGAAGTCAAGAAGTTTAATATGTGGCCAATTTAAAATGTCCCTATAGAGCTGGGCATGGTGGCTCACGCCTGTAATCCCAGCACTTTGGGAGGCCAAGGTAGGTGGATCACTTGAGGTCAGGAGTTTGAGACCTGCCTGGCCAACATGGTGAAAACCCGTCTCTACTAAAAATACAAAAATGACCAGGGCGTGGTGGCAGGTGCCTGTAATCCCAGCTACTCGGGAGGCTGAGGCAAAAGAATTGCTTGAACCCAGGAGGCGGAGGTTGCAGTAAGCCGAGATCAAGCCATTGCACTCCAGCCTGGGCGACAAGAGTGAAACTCCATCTCAAAAAATAAAAATAAAAATAAAAATAAAAAATAAAAATGTCCATACACTACTTTGTAGAGTCCCTTGTACTGTTGTAATATACAGATTAACTGTTTTACTGTGATTGCTTTAGCCTCTCTGGGACTCATTTACTGATCTAAAATTAAGGATCCAGGCGTAGAAGACTGCCAAATTTAAATAATCTATGATTTAACTCTTAAATGTCATTTATAAATTTATAACAAACTTAGAAACAGTGTGTTACATATTTCTGTATTGCCATGGAACCAAAAAAAGTACCTTGCATCTAAGAGTGGTTCAATCAATAAACTTACTTGCATATTTTTGAAGCAGAAGGGCCAGTGACTACACCATAGTAATTAAAAGACACAGGAGCTGTGGCTTTTAATGGGTTCCTATGAAACCAATGGGTCATTTTCTCCAGATGTTTTCTATAGACAAAAAAGTAAAAAATATACAAAAATTAAATATAAAATATTTAATAAACAAGGTAAATAGCATAACAATTTATTTCAATAGTATAAAAATTTAATTCGAAAATTAGCCTGGCTAAATTTTGTTATTTTTTTAGTAGAGACGGGGTTTCACCATGTTGGCCAGGCTGGTCTCAAACTCTTGACCTCAAGTGATCCACCCGCCTTGGCCTCCCAAAGTGTTGGGATTACAGGCGTGAGCCACCGCGCCCGGCCTCAGGTTATGTTTTGTCTATTTATGGTGGTCTATGTTCAGATCAGGCCTATAAAAAAAAGCAGAAGAGCATTTGAAAATCTGCCCACAATAACTTCAATGTTAACATACATATATAGGAGCAGTAATGTTTAAACTGTAATATACATAAAAATCACCTGGGGGTGGGTGGTTTTGTCCAATGCAGGCTCTAATTCAATAGCCTGGGGCAGGACCTGAGATGCTGATGCTGCTGGTCCCCAGACACTTTTGAATAGCAAAGTACTAGATTTTGGTTGGACAACTGCAAGTAAAAAGGGCACAGGACCAGATGAACGTAATTTCCAAAACGGGTTCAAATGGTAACCCTGATTATATCGCTAAGGCTACTTGTAATACGTTTTAAGTTAACTGCTGTATTTCCGACATATTGCTGACAACAGTGGATTGGTTATAGCATGTGTTCTACAATAAAATGTACTTTCCAAAAAATACCTAAAGAATATTTTTAAAATAAAAATGTAATACAATACTTGATCAATAAATTCTATTATAAAATGAAAACATTGGGCTGGGCATGGTGGCTCATGCCTGTAATCTCAGCAGTTTGGAAGGCCGAGGTGGGTGGATCGCTTGAGCTCAGGAATTTGAGACTAGCTTGGGCAACATGGTGAGACCCGGTCTCTACAAAAATCAGCCGGGGATGGTAGCCACGCCTGTGGTTCTAGCTACTGGGAAGACTGAGGAGGGAGGATCCCCTGAGTCCAGGAGACGTAGGCTGCAGTGAGCCCTGATCTCCCCATGGCACTCCAGCCTGGGCGACAGGGCAAGATCCTATCTCAAAAAAGGAAAAAGGAAAAAAAAAACAAAAAACAAAAACTTGGAACACCACCTAAGTGAGATGCCAACTTAAAAAAAAAATTAAGTTCCATGCCTTCTACTTAAAAAAAAAAAAACGCGCGGTGGCTCACGCCTGTAATCCCAGCACTTTGGGAGGCCGAGGCGGGCAGATCACAAGGTCAGGAGATCGAGACCATCCTGGCTAACACGGTGACTCTACTAAAAGTACAAAAAAAAAATTAGCCGGGCATGGTGGCGGTCGCCTGTAGTCCCAGCTACTTGGGAGGCTGAGGCAGGAGAACCCAGGAGGCGGAGCTTGCAGTGAGCCGAGATGGCACCACTGCACTCCAGCCTGGGCGACAGAGGGAGACTCCGTCTCAAAAAAAAAAAAAAAAAAAAGCAGCATGTCTTGTCTAAATGTCCTTGGGTAGGTAGTGCAGCAGATAATAAGGAGAAAGCCCAGGCGAAGACCTAAACATGGCAATTAGATTCCAGGAAGTAACTGAGAAAAAATTCTGATAAGGTTCATTTAATTTGAAGGCACTAAAAAATTCTGACAATCGACTTTTCCTAGTATTAGAAAATAATGGTGGCTGTACAGTGTATGAAATGCCTACATTAAGTGCTTCCTTTATGCTATTTATTCATGACAAAGCTGGTTTTGAGGAGCACCACATACTTAATGAATAGAGAATACAGTGTGTACCCAACGAAAAACTGAGCAGGTTTATTTAGGACTCAAAACATTTAACGAGTTATTTCAGAAAATATCATCTTCTACACATCTTCCATATAAATTCCGATAGCCTAATACAGCATCTATGTGCCTACAAATAATATCACACTCAGCACTTGAGGCTGCGAAATCTTCCACAAATACTTCTTTTAATGCGGCCTCCTACTTCCTGGATGAAAATGTCTGAAGTTTTGCGAATCTTTACTTCAGGAAAGAAGAGGGTTTCTGCCCCTGCCCCATCTTCTCCCCTTCTGCGACCCGGCGGTCTTCAGTTTTCGGGAGTTCCTAGGGTGGGATAGAAGAACGACACACCCACCCGCAGGGACAAGGGTGCCTTTAGAGCCACCAATACAACATTCGGATCGAAGCTGTAAGCTAACACACTTCCACAAGAGGACTCCCGCTCCTAACAAGGGACCCCCACCCCGGAAGCCCCGAGTCCCCAGAGGAACCTACCTGAGCGCCGCCCCCGAGCTCTGAGCGCCCACTTCCTGTTTACCACCCAGCCTCTTCCTCCCGTGCCCAGTCCCGTTCGAGGCAGCGGGCGGCGACCGTGCGCACGCGCCAACACTTGAGTTCCCCTCTTTCCAAACAGGCATTTTTGTGGAAAGCCGATACTGTCAACCCGGGAGAGGTGGCCAGACAACGGCCGAACGAACCCCAGTTTAGCTTGTATTATAAGCTCTCCAATGACCAATGGAGATGCGGGGCAAGGGGATTCAGCGGATCTAGCTGTTAATGCCACTGATTTGTGGTGACCAATATGGATTTTCTTTCTGTCGTTTGTTTCAAGGCACTAGAAGGAGACTTTTGGTCCACTGTCCAGGGGTCTATGGAGACTAATGTAAAAGGGGGTGATCCTATTGCTTGAGACTCCGGGGAAGTAGCGGGGGATATTACTGAGAAACACCCATCCTCTGACATACTTACCAAATTTCTCAGAGTCGGTTCAGCAGTTCTTCTAAGGGAAGAAGGGCAATATATCGGAGTCCACAAGCGAGAAAAAGAGGGAGTCGGAGAACCGAGACTACAGAACCAGGGTGACGGAAAACCAGGACGGCGCCAAGCCGGAGTCACGTGACCCGGCGGCCATGATAGCTACCGAGGCGGTAGTGCGCGCAGCTCAGGGGCGGGTATTGCCGCGGCGTTGCAGTCCCCTCAAAACGCTTCGTTCATCATCCCTTTCTAACTTCTCCCTCGGCCTTCCTTTTGAGCTATGGTCTTTTTCCCAGACAGGAAGAGAAGAGTTGCCCCTACCTCCGGAGCCGAGGGAGAATGCCGCAATAGCGATGGCGGCCCTCGGCGCAGTGGGGCGGCCTCAACCTAACCCGGGGCGGGGCCTCGGGGGCGGGGTCTCGGCGGGGCGGTCGCTTTGGAGCCGCAAAGTTTGGCTGTGGCGGCAAATGGGCTTGGGCGGCTCCTCGGCGGGTGGCGGTGGTGGCCGTAGCGGTTCCTCCTGGCCCTGTTAATGTCGGGGCCAGGCCGGGGGAGGATGGCGCCCTAGAACCCGGCCTTGCTGGGGTAGGGGCGGGAGGGGACGGGGTGGGGACCGGCCATGTCGGAGGTGACCCGGAGTCTGCTGCAGCGCTGGGGCGCCAGTTTTAGGAGAGGCGCCGACTTCGACTCTTGGGGCCAGCTGGTGGAGGCGATAGACGAGTATCAGATGTGAGTGACTAACCGCGGGAGCAGGCCAGACCGGCTCCAGTCGTGCGCCTCTCCCTTGTTTCTGTCGGTGTCTCTCATCACCGTATCTGCAGCCAAGGCTTCTCAGGGTGGGGCTCCGCAGGCACTGGGGCTGAGATCCCTCGCCACCAGCCCCAGCGAGGCTGCTCTAGGGACAACGGCTCCGCTCTCTGGGGTGACTCGCCTTCTTCCCTCTCCGCCTCCGCAGGGACAGTTCCATTCAACAGGTAGCCCTTCTTTCCTGGGGCGCAGGCCCCAGCAGGCTATCTGCTTAGTTCCTTTCCACCGTCTCGCGGGTCCCCCACTTGGCAGTCAGTTTCCTTTCCTCCTCCTCTCCCAGGTTGCTTTTCCTCGATTTCCTTTTGAAATTCTCTGAGGAATACTTGTGTGTTCTCCGCCCACGTTCCAAGGATGAGTGGCCTTGC
Organism: Homo sapiens; assembly: GCF_000001405.40. Taxonomy (NCBI): domain Eukaryota; kingdom Metazoa; phylum Chordata; class Mammalia; order Primates; family Hominidae; genus Homo; species Homo sapiens. The sequence goes on along the minus strand of NC_000001.11, from coordinate 222,711,764 downwards.
TCTGTGTGTGTCTTCCTTCTTCCATGCGTAGGAAAGGAGGGAACTGTTTGCGATTGAGGGGATGGGGGGGAGCCCAGGAAGCAACGAGGGCCAGGGATACCTCTTCTGCCAAAAGAAGGGTCTCCTCTCGCGCTCCTTCTCCACCCCTCTTTCTGGTGAGCCGTGTTTTCAGAATTCCACCTCGATTTCGTTTCGGTTTCTGGGACTGTTATTTGGTAGGCTGTGAGTCCCACCCACCCCCTCGCTCGGTTGCCTTGGGTGGAGTCCGCGCAGGATGTGAACCGAAGAGAGCAAAATGTGAATTAATGGACCACGCACAGGAGCTCCACGCCCTCCTTGGATCCCTCCTCCTTTTCCTGTATATAATGTATAGCCGCAGGGTACAAGTGAGTACCAGTTTCCTTGAGCAACCTAAGACCAATTTCTTGCCCTTTCTGGTTTCCACAGAAAACTTCAGGGTTGTCTTAAAAAATAAAAGACAAGATTTATATACACATAAAACCTTGCTTAGGTTTTTGCACATTTTACTGAACTTAAGAACTGTCTGCCAAAATGCTATTGTTTGCAAACTCGCCATTAATTATTCTCTGTTTAAAGCAAGTTATTGTTTGAGATTTCACTGAGTATGAAACCACGTATGAGTAGAATACCCCCGGCCTCCCCCACCCCCCATCCGCCCCCGACACACAACGATTTCTGGCAAGAATATACGCTTGGTACTTGGAAGATCTAAACTCTTATCGTCTCCCCGCAATAGTTATTTGTTTTTATCTATTAAGATAATTTAAATGTGTAGGTACTGACTTTGAATCGCCTGTAGCTTCAAAAAGCTCTGACAAAAACCCGTGCTCTGAGCCATTTTGCGATGTGTAACAACTACTAGCATTTGTTTTGCACTTTCACATGATTTCATTTGCTCTTGCAATAACCCAGTGAGAATATAATTATTCTCATTTTACGAAATGAGGAAAACTGAAGCTCAGGTTAAACAGATTACTCAGGTCACAAGCTGATACCACTGAAATCTGGGATTTAAAAAAGAAAATCCAAATCCTGTCTCTACTACAGAGTGCTTAAGATGTACTGAGAGAGTAATTCTGTAAGTGAATTAGACAAATGATAAGATTTTCTTTATTACTGGAGAACACACCCTTCCATACTGTAGCCAATTAGTAAGCACCTATGTATACCCATTCTGTATATTAACTAATATTGCATAGTTTGAAATAGAAAGCCATCTCTTACTTGTGAGGTGGTGAGACCTAGCAGCTGTTGACACTGGGCAGCCGACTTCACAATGGAAAGTGAAGAATACCATGTCCAATTGAAATTACAAAGGAAAATTGAATATGCAAGCTGTTTAGTTTGAATTTCTAGGAACATGAAGGTGAGGGTGATAGGCATGTGCAGATCCATTGTTGGACCTCAGTACTAACCATTGAACTTCATGATTCTAGTAGTCCTCAAATTATAAAAACTGCCAGGGTCAAATTTCAGTGAAAACATGTAATGATTGGCTTAAATTCTGTAAACATGTAGGCTACATATAAAATGAGGTCAAGAGTTTAAAATTACCTAATATATCCAGAAATGAATGCAAATTATCTTTTTCATTTGAAATATCTGGGAGGAAAGGCTGCAGCAAAATAGACCAATTGGGGGCCACTATAATGATGTAAACAAGAATTGACAGGATTTAGTTACTGACTGGATGTCGAGGGTGTAGAAGGAGGAAGAGTCTAGGATCGTTGGGATTTCTAATTGGGTAGGCAGCAATCTTATCGCCATACAACACACAGGAGCTGCTTTATGCGAGGGATGTAGGGGGAGAGATAGTGCATATCTGTATTCTCATAATGTAATAATACTGTAGCTTAAACAATTTCATGACTCAACAACTAAGGGTTAGGGATACAAAGATGAATAAAATTTGATTTCTGCCCTCAAAGCACTGAGAAGCCAATGGAAGATTTTAGAGTAACTGGGTGTTGCAATTACGGAAGTATGAAAAGAGTAAGTGCTCCCACATTCCTTGCTATTTCCTGGAACATAGTTCTGCCTTAGGGCTCTCGTATTTTTTTTCTGGGGCACTTTTCCCCCCATTATCTGTTTGGGTCACTTTGTCACCTCCTTCAGGTCTTTGTTCAAATATCCTCAGTGAGGCTGTCTCTGGCCACCCTGTTTAAAATTGCAAAGTCTCTTGTCCAACCCCACTGCCTCTATCTCAGTTTCACACCTCCTGCTCCCCATCCTGCTTCATTTTTTTCATTTTTTTCCATGGTACTTACCACAATCAAAAATATATTTTCTTTTTTTGTTTGTTTTGTTTTTTCTGAGACAGAGTCTTGCTCTGTCACCCAGGCTGGAGTGCAGTGGCGCGATCTCGGCTCACTGCAACCTGTGCCTCCCGGGTTCAAGCAATTCTCCTGCCTCAGCCTCCTGAGTAGCTGAGATTACAGGCGCGCACTACCACGTCCAACTAATTTTTGTATTTTTAGTAGAGACCAGGTTTCACCATCTTGGCCAGGCTGGTCTTGAACTCTTGACCTCGTGATCCACCCACCTCAGCCTCCCAGAGTGTTGAGATTACAGGCATGAGCCACCGTGCCCGGCTACAGTTGAAAATACATTTTCTGTATTTGTTTTGTTTTGTTTACTGTCTTTCCCCACTGTAATGTAAGCTCTTTGAGGGTAAAGTATGGGCTTATGTTGCAGGGTGTTGGGGCGGTGTCTGTTTTGTTCTCTACTGTATACTTAGTGTCCAGAGTAGTACTAGGCTATCCACACGTCATTGTTTGTTTAGATATTATGTAATTATTCTATTGAATGGATGAATTTAGGAGTATGCTATGGGAGCATTAAGGAGTTGATGCCAAAATACTATTGGAAGATTTAAATGAATTCTGTCAAGACTAAAATAGGCATCCGAAGTATTAGATGATCAATTAAAAATAACTGCATTTAGCTATCTGGGGATATGTGGCCCCTAACTTATGGTAGAGTGGCACAGAAACTGTTGCTCAGAATCAGACATTTCACAGGATCAATCCTGAGATATTTATCTAGCACATGGATACTCAATAAATATCTGCTAACTGGTTGGGTGTGGTGGCTCACGGCTGTCATCCTAGCACTGGGAAGCTGAGGCGGGCAGATCACTTGAGGTCAGGAGTTCAAGACCATCCCGGCCAACATGACGAAACCCCCTCTCTACTAAAAATACAAAAACATTAGCCGGGCGTGGTGGCGTGTGCCTGTAGTCCCAGCTGCTCGGGAGGCTGAGGCACAAGAATCGCTCGAACCTGGGAAGTGGAGGTTGCAGTGAGGGGAGATCGTGCCACTGCACTCCAGCCTGGGTGACGGAGTGAGACTCGTCTTAAAAAAACCAATAAATATCTGCTAAGTGAATCAATGAGTCTGAAGACTGGATAATGGCCACTTGTCATTTTTTTTTGAGATGGATTCTCACTCTGTCGCCCAGGCTGGAGTGCAGTGGTGCGATTTCGGCTCACTGCAACCTCCACTTCCCAGGTTCAAGTGATTCTCCTGCCTCAGCCTCCTGAGTAGCTGGGACTACAGGCGCGTGCCACCACACCTGGCTAATTTTTTTTTATTTTTAGTAGAGACGGGGTTTCACCATGTTGGCCAGGCTGGTCTCGAACTCCTGACCTCAAGTGATCTGCCTGCCTTGGCCTCCCAAAGTCCTGGGATTACAGGCATGAGCCACCAGGCCCGGCCCCACTTGTCATTTTTGCTGTGCTTTATGTCTCTGCTACTTAAAGTGTGGTCCACAGATTGGTGATGGTCTGTAAACTGTTACTGCTGTGCAGTAAGATAAGGAAAGAAATTGAGAGCATGTGGAAACTTTATAGCAATTTGACATCCTCATGATATTTTTGAAATTGTATTTCACAAAAGTATTAGTCTAGAACAAATTTAGGGAAAAAGTGATCCTTTGCTACAGATGGTTTGAGAAGCACGAATTTCTATGTCACAGAATGCTGTGGGGTTTCCAGGAGTTACTTGTGTATGTGCTTAAGGTATGTTTAAAACTCTCCCTTGAGAATAGTCCCGTTTTACTTGTAGGTACCTTTGTAGGGTGAGATGAGTCTCTAGAGAAGAATATTTGACAGGTTTATTTCACTTTTCCTAATAGAATGTCAACATTTATTTGCTCATCTAATATTCAGAACGTGTAGATTTCTCTCAGTGGACACAATCAGGTGTCACTTTGTCTTAAAATGGTATACTCATTTGTGGATATAGAAAATTAATTTTTCATGTCGGCTTAAAAAGTTCTTTTTATGGCTGGGTGCGGTGGCTCACGCCTGTAATCCCAGCACTTTGGGAGGCCTTAGATGGGTAGAATGCTTGAGCTCAGGAGTTCAAGACCAGCCTTGGCAACATGGCAAAACCCAGTCTCTACAAAACACACAAAAATTAGCCTTGTGTGGTGGTACACGCCTGTGGTCTCAGCTACTCAGGAGGCTGAGGTGGGAGGATTGCTTGAGCCCCGGAGACAGAGGTTGCAGTGAGCCAAGATCATGCCACTGCACTCCAGCCTGCCCAAGTTGTTTTTTTTTCCTCCTGTCTCAAAAAAAAAGTTATTTTACAGACAACTTTATTGAGGTATAATTTATATACATGAAATTCATCTATTTTACATGTACAATTTAATGATTTTTTAGTGAAATTTACCAAGATGTGCAACCATCGTTACAGATTTTAGAAAATTTCCATCACCCCCACAAGACACCTAGTGTTCATTTGCAGTCACTCCATATCATATTCCCACTCTAGCAACAGACTACCACTGATCTACATTTTGTCTCTATAGATCTGTCTTTTCCAGACATTTCACGAAATTTGAATCATGCAGTATGTGATCTTTTTTTTTTTTTTTTTTTTTTGAGGCGCAGTCCCACTCTGTTACCCTGGGCGGAGTGCAGGGGGGTGATCTAGGCTCACTGCAACCTCCATGATTTTCGTGCCTCAGCCTCCTGAGTAGCTGGGATTACAGGTGCGCATCACCACGCCTGGCTAATTTTTGTATTTTTTTGTAGAGACAGGGTTTCACCATGTTGGCCAGGCTGGTCTCGAACTCCTCACCTCAAGTGATCCACCTGCCTCGGCCTCCCAATGTGCTGGGATTACAGGCATGAGCCACCACATGCCGGGTGTGATCTTTTGCATCTGACTTCTTTCATTTAGCGTAATTAATGTTTTTAAGTTTCATCTATGTTGTAGCATGTGTCATTGCTTTTTTTTTTTAAATTGGTGTGTAATACTACCTTTTATGGATATACCATATTTGGTGTATCCTTTCACTAGTTGGTGGACATTTGGATTGTTTCTACTTTTGGACTGTTACTAGTAATACTGCCCTGAACATTCAAATGCAAGTCTTTGCATGGACATATATTTTCATTTTTCTTGGGTAGATGCCTAGGAGTGGAATTACTGGGTCATATGATAAATTTATGTGTAACTTTATAAAGAAACTGCCAAATAATTCTCCAAACTGGGTGTATCATTTTATATTTGTACCAGCAGTGCAGGAGGGTTCCAGTCTCTTCATATCACCAGCATTTGTTATTGTCTTTTGGATTATAGCCATTCTAGCGGGTGTATAATACATACCTCACTGTGGTTTTAATCTGCATTTCTTTAGTGACTAATAAAGTTGAGTGTCTTTTTGTATGCTTCCTTTCCTTCTGTAAATTTTTTTAACTATCTTTTCAAATCTTTTACGCATTTTAAAATTGAGTTTCCTGTCTTTTATCTATTGAATTCTAAGTGATCTTTATATATTCTGGATACAGTCTTTTATCAGATATATGATTTGCAAATATTTCCTCTGATTCTTTTGTGCATTTTTTTTTGATGGAGTTTTGGTCTTGTTACTCAGGCTGGAGTGCAGTGGTGCGATCTTGGCTCACTGCACCCTTTGCCTCCCGGGTTCAAGCGATTCTCCTGCCTCAGCCTCCACAGTAGCTGGGATTACAGGTGCCAGCCACCACGCCCCGCTAATTTTCATATTTTTAGTAGAGACAGGGGTTTCACCATGTTGGCTAGGCTGGTCTCGAACTCCTCACCTCAGGTGATCCACCCACTTGGCCTCCCAAAGTGCTGGGATTACAGGTGTGAGCCACTCTGCCTGGCCTTGCATAACTTTTATGCAAGATTCCTTTTGAATCAAGCATCCTTCCTTTCCCTATTGCCAATTAGCGGTTGAACAGGAGTGTAGAATTACACCCTTCTGACAGTGATTCTGCTTAGGTTGATGGCCACCACTGCAAATTATGTGTAGAATTACTCAAAGAAACTCATTCCACACTGTAACTTCCCTGAGTTCAGGGATGTATAGTTGATGTTGTTAAGGATACAGTGTATAGATTACTCGGGAGTACTCCATGTAGGTGGTAGGCCAGTAAGAGTTAGAAAAGAAACCAAGTACAGAACAAAGACAATGGCTATATTGTTTCTATTTGTACCTTCTCCTGTATAGAATCCACAAAAAGTGAGTCTATGAATGACATTTTAGGGAAAATATTATGAGGCTTCCAGCTTTGGGAGAAAAGAAATAAATGAATAGAAGCAGTTCGACTAAGTAACACAGTGGAGCTATCTTGCAAATATTAAGTTTTTTTGAAGCTAATTATTGCCTTATGTTAAGGAGGATGCAAACCTTTCATAAATTGGATAGAGGCCATCAAGAATAAGGTACTTTATGCCTTATCTTTAAAGACATGATTGCATAGAACTCCCATCTAGTACATTTTATTTGGAAACATAAACTATTTCCTGCAGTTGGCTTGGTAGAAAATCTAGCACTTGCTACCCTTTGTATTCCTGTTCCTATTGCCCACCCAGAATAGTACATAATATGCTTGGGAGTTTAATTTTCAAATTCTTATGCCAGTTTTTTCTCATATATTTTTTTAAAATTGAGATAAATATCACATCACATGAAACTTACCAGTTTAAAGCGTACAATTCCATGGTTTTTAGTGTATTCACAGTGTTGTACAACCATTTCCACTGTCTAATTCCTGAACATTCCCATCACTCCCGAAAGAAACCCCATACTTGGTATCAGTTACTCCCAGTTCCCTCATCTCCTGGCAACCACTAATCTGCTTTTTGTCTCTGTGGATTGATCTAGTCTGGACATTTCATATAAATGGAATCATATAACGTATAATCTTTTGCATCTGGCTTTTTTCATTTAGCATAATGTTTTTGAAGTTCATCTGTGTTACACATGTTAGTAGTACTTCATTCCTCTTTTTGACTGAATAATTTTCCATTGAATGGATATACCACATTTTGTCCATCAGTTGATGGACATTTTGGTAGTTTTCACTTTTTGGCTGTACATTTGTGTTCAGTTTTTTTGTGTGTAAACATATGGTTTTTCAGTTCTCTTGGATATATACCTAGGATTTTGAAATTGCTGGGTCATACAGTAAGTCTATATTTAACTTTTTGAGGAATGGCCAAATTGTTTTCCACAGTGGCTGGTGCCATTTTACATTCCCACCAGCAATATCTGAGGGTTCCAGTTTTTCACATCCTGTCAGTACCTGTTGTCTTCTCTCTCTTTCCCCCATAAGGATGCAGTTCCATTTTTTAAAAAATTGTACTCATTCTAGTGGGTATGAAGTGATAGCTCATTGTGATTTTGATCTGTGTTTTCATAATGACTAGTAATGTTGATCATCTTTTCATGTGCTTATTGACCATTTTATGTCTTCTTTGGAGAACTATCTATTCAAATCCTTTGTCCAAAATTGGTCTTTTTATAGTTGAGACCATAGTTTTATAGTTTAGTTTGTAAGAGGGTTGACTTTTACAAACTAAACTATACAAGTTTTTTGCTGTCTCAGAAATAACTTTGGGTCCTTATTGTTGAGCTTGGACTAATAATATAGATCCATCCACTAAAAACTCATGCAAGGCCTAGCTGTTATTTTTAAGTATAATGATAATTGGACAATGATTTCTGTTGCTGATTGGTGGAGAATTTGCTTTATTTTCCATGAAAACATGTTTTCAAAAGTATATATTGATAGTAGGATGGATTATTACCACTTTGTCATTGCTGTAATTTGGATTAGGACTAATTTTACTACCAAATCAATGACAGACTGATAAAGTATCTCTGGTTGGTATAATCACTGGTGCTCCCTGGAAGTGTTTAAGCAGAATCTGGACAACTACTTATTGGCTTATTATAGAAGAAAGTCATGCATACTAAAGAAAGTTGGATTAGATGCCCTTTGAGATTCTTTCCAGCTCTGTTTTTACTGCCTAGAGCTGAAGTTTGTCCCAGTGAAATGGTATGAAAAGTATTGTATCTTATTTTCATCATCATTGTATAAAGAGTTTTTTTTTTTTTGAGAAGAATTTGGTTCTCAATGTAGATTTGTATTTTAAAAACAGGACAATAATTGTACTTCACATGTTAAAAAGCTTTAAATTGTTACACTTTGTTGCAGTAGTTTGCTTTTCTTCCATTCTAAAGAATATGTTTTCTTCTTACAGATTAGCAAGACATCTACAAAAGGAGGCCCAAGCTCAACACAATAATTCTGAATTCACAGAAGAACAAAAGGTACCATAAAATAATCTCTAGATATATCAGATTCCAAACAAAAAGTGTTTTGTCTTTTGAGTTCATTAAGCAAAACAAAAAACAACAAAACAAAAACAAAAAACTGTTATACTTAAGTAAAAAGAATGATATTGATTATGCTTTGCCTAACATTAAGTGATTATTTAGAGATACCATATGACTTATCAATTTAAAGCAATACAATTGTTGTACTCAGCCATTTAGGCTTTGCTTAACTTTGCTTAACTTTAGTGGAGACCATTCATGCTTTCGCTGAAGAGGGGGAGAACCCAGTCCACACTTTGGTGAAGACTGGGGAAACCCAGAGACTGGAGTGTGTCTAGAGTCCTTGGGAAAATAGAAAGATTGTGGGTAATTGCATTCCACCCCAGCACTTACTTGATTCTGAACTTTCCTAACTCCTGTCTACCTTCTCTCAGAACAAACAAATACACACAAAAAACAAAAGACCAAGACAAACCAAAACACCTCTCCACTGAAAACAATTAGTTCAAGTCAAGAATTTGGCATAAAAATCCATCTGCAAAATAAATGCGTAAGGTTGCAAAATGTTTCAATCGTGCCTTTTCTCCTTGAATTAAATTTTTTGTGTGTCAAGTTGAGTTTCTAAACTGTTAGTGATTATGAAAAATGGGCGACTGAAGCTTTAAAAGAGTTAGAAGGAATGGGAGGAAACAACTCCCATTATCTCTTGGCTCAGAGTATCTAGTGTTAAGTCAATGTTTAATCTTGTAGATAATGAAAAAAAAAGTGTCAGTCTATTCCCCATCTCTTAAGAAAAGACAGTGTGAAAACTATGGCAACATAATTTGCTCTTATTCTTTACAAAGGGAATGTACAAAGGGAGTGGTAATGATTTTTCCACACTTTTATGGTAAGCCTAACAACATCCATTTTAGTCTATTCATCTACGTTCATTTGACTCTTATTTATAGGAATTTGGGAAGAAGAAGCCCCTAAAGATTAGGGTTGCCACATTTCTTACACAAGTTTGTATATTTGCATTTTAAAAATATTTAGGATCTACTTTATCTAATGTACTTTTTTATTTTGTATTTAAAAAACAAAAATCACTACAATTTAAAAGAATTTTTTTTTTTTTTGGCTGGGTGTGGTAGCTTACGCCTGTAATCCCAGCACTTCGGGAGGCCGAGGTGGGCAGATCACTTGAGGTCAGGAGTTCGAGACCAGCCTGGCCAATATGGTAAAACCCCGTCTCTACTAAAAATACAAAAATTAGCTGAGTGTAGTGGTGTGTGCCTGTAATCCCAGCTACTAGGGAGGCTGAGGCAAGAGAATCACTTGAACCTGGGAGGCAGAGGTTGCAGTGAGCTGAGATAGCACCACTGCACTCCAGCCTGCGCGACAGCCAGAGCAAGACTCTTGTCTTGAAAATAAATAAATTTTTAAAAAAAGAATATTTTTTTTTCTTAGTAGCTCCTAATATACACAATAGATATTAGGAGTCTTAGGATTTTAGCCCTGGAAAATAATGACCACAGTGGAAATTACTGATTTGCTTAAGGAAAGGAGCCTCTGTAAAATCTGAAATTTCTCTAGGAATTGATTAGGAAATGATCAGCTGGCATCACAGAATTGGGAGTTACAGTACCTAAATTTTGATAAACAGAATCACAGATAGCCACATATATAAATTAATAGCTATCAGAATGTGTTATGAATATGGAAACAGAATGAAAACTTAAGGAATTAAAAAATGTTTAATCTTTAATCACCTGTTTGAGTTACTTGCATCCTGTTTCCAACATATATTGCTGAGGTATAGGACTTCTGAGCCAAATGACCTCAAATATAAAGTGATTTGACCTAAAACACACCAAAAATTATATTTAAAGAAAAATACCACTGGGCATGGTGCCACATGCCTGTAATCTTAGCACTTTGGGAGGTCGAGTTGGGAAGATTGTTTCAGCCCAGGAGTTCAAGACCGGCCTGGGCAACATGGTGAAACCCCATCTCTACTGAAAATACAAAAATTAGGTAGGCGTGGTGGTGTAAGCCTGTAGTTCCAGCTACTTGGGAGGCTGAGGTGGGAGGATCACCTGAACTCGGGAGGCGGAGATTGCAGTGAGCTGAGATCATGCCACTGCACTCCAGCCTGGGCGACACAGTGAGACCCTGTCCCCCCCCCCCCAAAAAAAATCAAGAAATGAGTCTATCGTATAATGATTAGACTGATGAGAAAAAATTAACTTTTTCTTAATTTTCTTCAACTTTCTAAGGCTGAAGCTGGTGTTTGATAAAGCTATTTAGTTTTAAATTTATAGCTATTCCTTAGCAGCCACATGGCCACTGTCTTTTTTCAGCTTATCTTTGGTTGCAAAGACCCGCAGATCTTTTTTTTTTTTTTTGAGACGGAGTCTTGCTCTGTCACCCAGGCCGGAGTGCAGTGGCGCTATCTCGGCTCACTGCAAGCTCCGCCTCCCGGGTTCACGCCATTCTCCTGCCTCAGCCTCCCGAGTAGCTGGGACTAAGGCGCCCGCCACCGCGCCCAGCTAATTTTTTGTATTTTTAGTAGAGACAGGGTTTCACGTGTTAGCCAGGATAGTCTCGATCTCCTGACCTCGTGATCCGCCCATCTGGGCCTCCCAGAGTGCTGGGATTACAGGCGTGAGCCACCGCGCCCGGCCCGACCCACAGATCTTGTACCCCAAAAGGACCAGGAGGCAGCATGACCTAGACGAGAGAGCTGAGATCTGGAGTCAGAAGACTGGGAGTCTTGCTCTTGCTCTGGCTGTGGCCTTAATTTTCTTATGTATGAAATGAGGGACTAGAAAACTCTAAATGATCTTCAGAGTATCCCTGAATCTTCTCATGTCCTCTACTTTGAAGTGTTCTGCCCTGCCTTCTTTACTGGAGGCCTGATTTCTGAGGCATTTATTATTTATGATACCTGCCTAGGAGGCATTTGTGGCTGCCAGTTGAGACTACAGAGAGAGCTTGTGCCTGCCTGCCTATTCTTTGGACTTGGATAAGGAACCCCAAATCACTGTATACTACATTGTGAATATAAGGCAATTTGTATGCCTTTAAAAGTTTAATTTTCTTAGCCGGACGCGGTGGCTCACGCCTGTAATCCTAGCACTTTGGGAGGCCGAGGTGGGCAGATCACGAGGTCAGGAGATCGAATTCACGGTGAAACCCCGTCTCTACTAAAAATACAAAAAATTAGCCAGCGTGGTGGCGGGCACCTGTAGTCCCAGCTACTCGGGAGGCTGAGGCAGGAGAATGGCATGAACCCGGGAGGCGGAGCTTGCAGTGAGCCGAGATCGCACCACTGCACTCCAGCCTGGGCGACAGAGCGAGACTTGTCTCAAAAAAAAAAAAAAAGTTTAATTTTCTTTAAAAATGCAAGCAAAACATTCACAGCGGGCCAAAAAAAGCCATACTGACATGTAGGCCTTATTTCAATGTCACATAGGGAATAAGTTATCAGAGGCTCTAAGTTAATAAATGATTAGAAAACAGATCTTCCAGGTGTATTCTGGGGAACATTGGTTCTGAAAAATTAATAGATGTTATTTGAACAGATAGAGTTTGTGACTTCTCGGGACCTTTAGTATGCACATGTGTACGTTTAATATTTTAAAGAGTTTGGGCATGTAGTATTTTAAAATTTATTTGCTTTTGGAAGTCTCCGTCTCCCTTCAAAGAACATTTCATTGAGTCCAGTGTTCTGAAACATATTATGGGAAATTTTGATATAAACTGTTGGATCTGCAAAATTAATTAAATGCCTAGCATGCAAGCCAAAGGAGAAAAAACTCAATTGTGTTTTCTTCAAAAGAGGAAAATGGAAAATGTTCTTTACATTATGCTAAGCAAAATTGTTGTTTATGTTTTTTATTTTTAATTGGAATTTTTATGCTTTTACTATTTTTAGTGTTTTTGTAGCAATGGCAAATCTTAGAATTATGCCAACCGTTCAATAGTTTGCACAACTTTGAAAGAAAATTAAAAAAACAAAACAAAACATACTTTGGCCAGACGGGGTGTCTCACACCTGTAATCGCAGCACTTTGGGAGGCCGAGTGAGGCAGATCATGAGGTCAGGAGATCGAGACTGTCCTGGCTAACACGGTGAAACCCCGTCTCTACTGAAAATACAAAAAATTAGCCAGGCGTGGTGGCGGGCACCTGTAGTCCCAGCTACTCGGGAGGCTGAGGCAGAACAATGGCATGAACCTGGGAGGCGGAGCTTGCAGTGAACCAAGATCCTGCCACTGTACTCCACCCTGGGCTACAGAGCTAGACTCTGTCTCAAAACAAACAAACACAAAACATATTTTTAAAGTGCTTTCTTTATGAAACTTGTTACTGTCTAGTGCACAGTGAGCCCTTAAAAATATTTGATGGGCCAGGCGTGGTGGCTCATGCCTGTAATCCCAGCACTTTGGGAGGCTGAGGCGGGCGGATCACCTGAGGTCTGGAATTCGAGACCAGCCTGCCCAACACGGAGAAACCCCGTCTCTACTAAAAATACAAAATTAGCTGGGCGTGGTCAGACATGCTTGTAATCCCAGCTACTTGGGAGGTTTAGGCAGGAGAATCGCTTGAATCTGGGAGGCAGAGGTTGCAGTGAGCCGAAATCACACCACTGCACCCGAGCCTGGGCAACAAGAGTGAAACTGCGTCTCAAAAAAAAAAAAAAAAAAAATTGATGAATAAATGCTATTCTGTTGTCTTAGGTTGTTGATATTTATTCACATATGATTGTTATTTAAGACGATTAATTCTGTTTTTTAGATAAATTCTCATTTTTGAGAGAGTAACTTATATTCATTTTCACGATATTTATTTTAAGTCTAACAAGCTCTAAAGCAGAACTACTGATCTCTAAACTTTATTAATTGGTGATAAATAGTATGAAAACTTCATTTTTTAAATTCTTAATATTCTCAGCGATTTCTGGTGTAAAATAAAGTTCATGATACTTATTTGGTCTTCTTTTATGATTAGTTCACTTAGCTTTCATTTCAGTTCCTGATAGTGTTGTCATTATAACAACTGGGTTTGGTAACCAATGAATAGCTGCCAAAAGCTTTCATTCCACTGAATTCCTGACTTTGGTGTAGTAGATTTTCTCAAGTAAGTTTCTGGACAGAATAGAATATCCTGTCTCATGATGCTTAGAAAGCGTTTCCCTGTCTTGAGTCAAATTTGGTGGTAATGAGAATTCCAGCACTATATGCTTGTTTTATATTTTATAATGCTCTCCTTTCCACCCTTACCCTCATCTCTTCCCCCTCAGTTCTACCCCCACCACCTCCAGCTCCCAGCTGGACAGTAGATTACTGGCTGTTTGAATCTAAAAAATTAAGTCTGGATTAAGTGAGAATATTCTACTTTATATGTATTTTTTAAACCTATTTTTTCTTATATAGATTGAATACGTTTTAGCAAAATTAACTTAGCTCTTTAATCGTCCATTTCTATTCCATCTTTTCCTTTAACTGATCTTTTGAGCTGTCAATTTTCCTAGCAATGACAATTAATAGCCAATATTTTGAAAATGAAAGCATTTTCCAATTTATACCATATTGGATATGAGCAGTTAATTTGAGTGCTAATAATTCAAGTCTTAATTGTCAGTACATATACTCTGACACATGTGAACTTGTGCTTCTTAATCATTTTTCTGAGTCATCTGTTTCTAAGAAAAGTGAAACAATTACAGTAGCAAGCGCTTGATTTTGATATCAATACATTCTAAATGTTTTAGAAGTTAATGCTATAGCTGAAATGAGTGTTCCACTCCTTTTTTAATACTGAGGTTGGGTGTGGTTCCTTAAAATAGTTATGAATAATGCCTATGGAGGTATTTTGCCATAGTTCAGTCGATTTCTGTATTAAAAACTGTTGCAGCCAGGCACAGTGGCTCATGCCTGTAATCCCAGTACTTTGGGAGGCCGAGGCAGGTGGATCACCTGAGGTCAGGAGTTCGAGACCAGCCTGGCCAACATGGTGAAACCCTGTCTCTAATAAAAATACAGAAATTAGCCGGGCGCGGTGGTGGATGCCTGTAATCCCAGCTACTCGAGAGGCTGAGGCAGGAGAATCGCTTGAGCCTGGGAGGCGGAGGTTGCAGTAAGCTGAGACCGTGCCACTGCACACCAGCCTGGGCAACAGAGTGAGACTCCGTATATTAAAAAAAAACAAAAACAAACAAAAAACACCTGTTGCTTCTGCTTCAAGAAATGTTTAAATTTAAAATAGTTTATTGGTGGACTCATAGTTGTTAAACTACAACATTTTACCTTAAATGTTAAAAGCATGAAATCACATGGATTTTACAGTAAAGAAAGGAAAAGAAAGTAATGCTTTAAAAGACTTAGTAATTGACATATCTCACTTAATACAGACAAAATTCTTTTTAAAAATCTGTTTTCAAAGAACATGAAAGTATAGCTAAATGGTATTGATATAAAAATATTGCTTTATTATATATATTGCTATATTGCATAGAAGGCATTGCTGGTCTGCCACCATACCACCCTGAATGCTCCCAATCTTGTATGATCTCAGAAGCTAAGCAGGGTTGGTCCTGATTAATACTTGGATGGGAGAAGGCATTGATGCCTAGGGCAAGTTACTTAACCTCTCTGTGCTTCAGTTTTCACACTTTTAAAATGGTTTTATCTAACTCATAGAGTTATAGTGAGGATTAAAAGAATTACTGTTTGTAAATCACTTAGGAGAGCCTGTCACTTAGTAAGTGCTCAGTAGTTGTTAGCCATTACTATTACTATTATATTTATGTTTAGAATTATTTACTAGTTTTGTTAGAATTGAGTGGCGTGTTTGAATAACAATAATTTGAGGATATTGGATTCTACGTAGAAAAGACTATTTGCTGGTTTCTATGCAACAGTTGTTTGAGAGAGTGAATAAATCTGTGAATATCGTGAAATCTTTTGCAGTTGCCACATATAAATGTAATTTTCAAATGTAATCTTTAAATGTAAGTTTTCAGAATAAAATTGGACATCTTCTAAACTCTTGTGTTGGGATTAAAACTAATTTTTAGAGATTGTGGAAATGGTTCAATATTGTCACTTATTCTTCGGCATCGAGTCGTATCTTGCTCAGTAGTGGTTTATTTTGTGAGTTGTTGTATCGCCGTTTATTGTAGATGTGGTAGTTGCATAAGTGCTAGGGGCCAGGATGGCACTTGTTACTCCAATTTGCTCCTTATTCACCTTCCAAAGAAAATTGATAAAAGAGAAAACCACCGAGTCCAATTTACTAAACTTTTGCAAGTTATCAATACATTTAGAAAAACATGCTTTTTTCCTTCCCAGAATATTTCATTGTGCAGGCATTGCAGACATTGTGCATAAATACTTTTATGATCTGGATTTATTCCTAATAAAAACTTAAGAAGTATCTCTTTTGGAAGGACTTAAAAGCCTTGATGGGCATAATTAGCTGCCTGCCCTGATATATGTTTCTTATATGAATCTCCCTTTAATTTCTACCCTAGTTATTCATATTTTTGTTCTGATTACTATTTACCTGGACAATTGAAATAACCTGATTGATGTTGCCTTTAGTCTTTGCCCTTTCCTACTTCAACCTATGTATACTTTTATCACAATAGTCTTCTTTTTTTTTGAGATGGAGTCTCACTCTGTTACCCAGGCTGGAGTGCAGTGGCATGATTTCAGCTCACTGCAACCTCCGCCTCCCAGGTTTAAGCGATTCTCCCGCCTCAGCCTTCCCAGTAGCTGGGACTACAGGCATGTGCAACCATACCTGGCTAATTTTTGTATTTTTAGTAGAGACAGAGTTTCGCCATGTTGGCCAGGCTGGTCTTGAACCCCCAACCTCAAGTGATCTGCCTGCCTTGGACTCCCAAAGTGCTGGGATTACAGGCGTGAGCTACCACGCCCGGCCACAATGGTCTTCTTAAAGGGCAGATCTGAAAGAGGTAGAGAAAACCAAAACACAAAAAAATCCCTTCTGTGTAATTACTGCTAAAGTAATCACAGATTCCTCAGCTGGTTATTGAAGGTCCACCTCAGAATGACAGCCCCCTTCTCTCAACTTTACTTTTCTGCCTGCTTTCAGTTTGAGACTTTAGACAATTGAACCATGACAATTTTCTAAACCCTTTAATTTTAGAAATCCTCCTGGTCGTTGGGGCTTGATTCCTAATACAGATCTTGTTCTGTTTCTTTAGGTCATATAGTGGCATACCTTGCTAAAGTTCATACAATCAAATGTCTGCTTTATTTTATAGTGATTCTGTATGTGTCTTATCTCTCCTAATGCAACATGAGCTTATTAAAGGCAAACACTATCTATGCCCTATCATTAATATCCATTTTATAGCTCATGTTATATGAAACAGATCCAACTATAAAATTTACTACCGTTTATCACAAATACCAGTTTTGCTTAGTGTTGCCTATATATTAAACAAGTTGGTGTTGGACTTAAGTCAGAATTAAATTAATTATACCATTGTGCTAACTTTCAGATATTTTTAAGCCTTTTAAAAGGTGAATTTTAGGCTTTATGGAGAAGAAAAGGTGAAGCTTGGAACAGAAGATACCAGGCAGCCCTTTAAATCATATCTACAGCTGTCATCAAAGCAAACTTGATTTAGAATTAGTTGTGGCACATTAGGTCAGGGGAGAATATATACTCACCTTCTCTCCCTCATCCCAACCCTTTGCCTCTTATTTCTTTTCTCTAGAGTCTGAAAGATGCTAGAAAGAAATAAAATTTAACTTACTTAAGAGAATTATGGATCTTTTATTAATAAAAATTAACTTGATGATTTGAACTAACAGTTATGATAATTCTGGTATTTATAGCTTTTTTTATTCCCCTGCAGAAAACCATAGGCAAAATTGCAACATGCTTGGAATTGCGAAGTGCAGCTTTACAGGTAAGGAGTTTTTCTCTTCTGTAATACAAGGAAAATAAATTATTCTGCATTATTGTGATAAAACATTAGACATTTATGTCAAAAGCAGTATTGTCTCAGAAGTGTTTTATAACAACATCTATTAAATTCATACTTTTTTAGTTCATATTTCGTAAATTGTAAAATAAAAGATATGACTTCAATTTTTTCTGTTATTTTTGGCCTGAGTGTTCCAAAAATAAACAAAAACCAGTTTGGGACTTTTCATTTTCTACCTTGAAAGCAAGAAATAGAATCCTTTTGAATATTTGGTTCTTGCCACTTAAAAGACAGGGTGCAGTGAAATCCTTGTAGTGAAAAGATGTAATATGCTTATTTTAAATTTAGTCCACACAGTCTCAAGAAGAATTTAAACTGGAGGACCTGAAGAAGCTAGAACCAAGTAAGTTTAAGTTTATATTTTTTTGTGATACTCCTTTGGAAAAATAATCTATTGTAGATGTTAAGGCTATTTAACAAAGATTATGATTTGATTTATTTCTGTTAATATCTAGTCCTATGTGATTTTTTGGGTGCTTTTGTTACTTCTGTAACATTTGTAGTAATTATTTTTTGGATTTTACCTTCGTTGTAGAATATATGAGGTTGTACCTCATCTAAATATGTATTAGCCTTTATTTTGTCTTACTCACTTTAATAAAACCACAATTACTTTGGTAAACATTTGCAGCAGCATCTATTGGAGAATATAAAGCTTTAGTCATTGATTCCCATTTACACTACATGTCATTGAAAACTACAGTCCAGCTGTTGGAGCTGCTCTGCAAAATATTTTTTTTGTTGTCTTCATTTTCCTTTCTCCTTAAAACTCTTTTGAAGTAAATAATTTCTTCAAATGTTTTGATGGTTAGTATGCTGCCAAATAAAGCTTTTTTGCTGGTTTAGATGAATGTTCTTTGCAATATGGGCAAATGCACAAGAGTTGAATATAAAACTAAATGAATATAAATCAATATTCTCATTTTTCATTGAGACAAGACTGCACATCTTAACATTATTATGTATATAGAGTCTATTTATCCATCTAAGTCAAATATCTAAGTAGGGAATCATAAAATCATAGCATTTTAGAACAGAAAGGAGTTTTAAGAGTCATATAGTTGAGTTCTCTCACTTTATAGTTGAACAAAGCTGAAATGATTTGCTCTGTTTCACTTCAGCCCTTAGTAGCCACTTCTAAGGAAAATTAATGACTATAACTTGCAGTATGTTGGACTAGGTTGGTTGTTTTGCTGATGTATTCTTCAGTTTTAAAAAATCTCTTGAAAATCATGTCTGAAATTCATACTGATGGTGAAAATACATTTAATTTGCTTATAATAATCCTCAGTCACATACTACTTCTTACTCAAACATATCTCTTCATGACCCTGTAAAATTCCCTTCCATAAATTCATCCTTCAAAGTCCCTCAGATGTCCCATCTTTCTCTGTTCCCCTAGCCATATTAAACTCGGCTTCCTATCTTTTATAGTAACACTTTTTATATCCATCTTCATTGTTTGCCCTGTATTCATTTCACTCCTCAAAGAGATTGTGAATAACCTTTGTATTTTTCCCACAGAGCCTGATTCAGTGCTTTGTATGTAATATGGGCATGGCAAATTTTGTTACATTGAATAGAATTGAATGTCTTCAGGGAAACTTCTCATAATTAAAAAATAATCTTTCAGATGGGAACAGTTACCCATTTTGCCTACCACAAAAATGAAACAAGTCAGTGGCAAAGAGAACACATGTTGATATTTGTGTGTGTGTCATTTCTAGAGTGTAAGCTTCAGGAGGGTGGCAGGTCTGTGCTCCGTGAGAGCAGGCTAGGAGTGCAGAGTTTTTACTAGTAGGGTACATCCCCACGTCTGCCATTCAGAGGTCCTCAGTGTGTAGAGTCTACTGAATGAGCCAGTGAGTCCCCAACCCATGATGTACTTTGTGTTCATTTAATACCTTCTGTGAAATTATAAACTCACCTCTCCCCTTCTCCGCATCCTCCTAAAGTATAATTAGTAGTACTAGTGGAAGGAAAACCCTATGTAAAGTTTAAGGTAAATCCTGTTTTTAAAGGACATTGGAATCCCTGTTATTCTATAATTGGTGAAAATGGAAACCTATCCTACAGAAAATAAGAAAGGATTGTTTTTCCTTCCAACATTATCCACATATATTAAATATTTGATACACTCTACATTTGTAAAAACAAAATAATGAAAGGTTATTATGCCAGAACAAACATTTCCTTTTCAAAACATTGATACCTAAGAAAATACTGTTTAATTCTTCTATTACAATACAAAGGGAAGATACTCCTAGTAACTGATACAGTTTTCAGCTTTTTTGTTGGTGTTTTATACAAATGTAAAGGTTGATTTTTTCCCCCATTTTATTATTAAAATATTACTATATGTTTTTGTTTCTGATATGACTGACACATGGTCTTTTTTGTCACCTGTTCCCCTTTCCCATTCTTAGTATCTAATACAATATTATGTTAGTGATTAATTGATATTTATTGAGTTGAATTAACCATTTACTAACAATGAGCTATCATGTACGAAGTTTAGAAAGGATGTTCTTATAATTTTTTTTTTAAAAATAGTGCTTTTTAGTGAGATCTGAAATGCAAGGATTCTAGTCGGCTAAATAGTGGTAGAGAATGAGTTATATAATAATGTAGGTTTATACTTGTACTTTAAATTTTTCTATGTAATTTCGTGATTTTAATTCTGACAACAGACTCTGAAGGAAATGTTCTCATTGTAGAATTGAGGAAACTGAGATTCAGAGTGGCTATGTGAATGTTGAAGTCTTGGCATAATTCTTGGGCTAGGATTTGATTTCAAACCTTCTAACTTTCATCTTCTGCCACTTCTGCCTTGCTTATCAAACTTCTGCTATACAGTTGATTTATTCCTTGAATAAGCCTGACTAGTTTCTGCCTCAGAGCCTTTGTTGTTGCTCCAGGCTGTTCGCTAATCCCTGGAAAGCCCTTTCCCTACAGCTGCCTGCATATGGTTCCTCTCATCCTAGGTCATGGCTCAAATGTCTTCTAATAATTTGGTTTTGAAAGGCTTACCCTGTCTACCTTAGCTAAAGTTTTCCCTCTTCTCTACTTAATCCATTTACACACTCATCCTGTTTGTGTCCTTTATAACACTAATCACAGTTACATTCTTACTTGTTGGCTTATTGCTTTTTCTGATGAGAGTCTGAGATCCATATATGAGGGCAAAGACTCTCTGTCTTTATCACTGTTCTCTTCAGCATCTAAATCAGTGATTGGAACATTATAGGCACTCAATCCATATTTGTTGAGAAGAAGAAAGAAAGAGAATGAATGAGAATCTAGACACCAGCCTCAGAGTTCTTTCTCACAGGAGGGTTTGGTATAGATTACATACATAAGAATGAATATACTGTGGATTATGTATATAAGATTATATATATAAGAAGGTATAGATTATATGTATGAAGAGTATATATTATAAGATTATATACATATAAACGTATAGATTATAATATAAGAATAAGATGAAGGAATGTTGGAGTAAGTCACGGAATTGCAACATGCAGTCTCTGGATTTCCTCCTTTGGGATGCCAATATGCCACACCCATTTTAGCTCTAAACTGCAGGACTCCAAAATTAAAGATTGAGTAAACTGAGTACAAAATCATGGAAGCCTTTTAGGTCTTCCAGTTTATGCCATGAATTCACTTTAATGTAATCACGAGTAGTTACTGGGCACCCATAAGGCCAGAAATGAAACTGAATTACATACATACCCTTCAGAGGTAGCTAGAATTGTAAGATGCCTCTCTTTAAGTTTACATGCCAGAATGTAATCATTGAAATACAGATTGGTCACAGCCAGAACACAGGAGGTGGTCCCATATTGTTTGAAGTCTTCTCTTCAGGATAAATCCCTCTTTGTGAATGTGTGTATATAAATATGGAAGTACATGTGTATATATACAATCATTTGTCACTTAATGACAGGGATGCACTCAAGGAAATACATCCTTAGGTGATTTTGTTGTGTGAGCATCATAGAGTGCACTTACACAAACCTAGATGGTATAGCCTATATGGTATAGCCTATTGCTCCTAGGCTACAAACCTCTACAACCTGTTACTGTACTGAATACTGTAGGCAATTGTAACACAGTGGTAAGTTTTTATGTATGTAACCTATCTGAACATAGTAGAAAAAGGATAGTAAAAGTACATATAAAAGATAATAAAATGGTATGCCTTTATAGGGTACTTACTATGAATGGAGCTTGCAGGACTGAAAGTTGCTCTGGGTGAGTCAGTGAGTGAGTGATAAGTGGATATGAAGGCCTAGGACATTATTGTACACTACCGTAGACTTTATAAACACTGTACAATTAGGCTAAACTAAATTTATTGTAAAAATTATCCTGTCTTTAATAATAAATTAACCTTAGTTTACTGTATATAAACTTTATTAACTTTAACTTTTTAAAACTTTTGACTCTTTTGTAATATCATTTAGCTTAAAATACAAACACTTTGTACAGCTGTACAAATATATATACGTGTGTGTGTGTGTATATATATGTGTGTGTGTGTGTATATATATATACATATATATACATATATATGTATATATATGTGTGTGTGTGTATGTGTGTATATATATATATATATATATATATATATATATATATATACACACACACACATACATATTTTCTTTTTTCTTGAGACAGCTTTTGAGACAGTCTGGCTCTGTTGACCAGGCTGGAGTGCAGTGGCATGATCTCCGCTCGCTGCAACCTCCATCTCCTGGGTTCAAGCAATTCTCATGACTCAGCCTCTGGAGTAGCTGGAATTACAGGCGTGTGCCACCAGGCCTGGCTAATTTTTTTGTATTTTTAGTAGAGATGGGGTTTCACTGTGTTGGCCAGGCTGGTCTCAAACTCCTGTCTGCCAGGGATCCATCTGCCTCAGCCTCCCAAAGTGCTGGGATTACAGGTGTGAACCAATGCGCCAGCCACAATAATATTTTTTCTTTATGTCCTTATTCTATAAGTGTTTTCTATTTTAATTTTTGTTTTTACTCTTTAAACTTTTTTTTAACAACTAAGAAACACACACACACACACATTAGCTTAGGCCTACACGGGGTCAGGATCATCAATATCACTGTCTTCCACCTCCACATCTTGTCCCACTGGAAGGTCTTCCAGGGCAGTAACACACATGGAGCTGTCATCTCCTATGATAACAATGCCTTCTTCTGATACCTCCTGAAGGACCTGCCTGAGGCTGTTTTATAATTAACTTTTTCTGGGGGGAGGCTGAGGCAGGCAATCACCTGAGGTCAGGAGTTCGAGACCAGCCTGGCCAACATGGCAAAACTCCGTCTCTATAAAAATACAAAAATTAGCCAGGTTTGTTGGCTCATGCCTGTAATCCTAGCTACTCGGGAAGCTGAGGCAGGAGAATTGCTTGAACCTGAGAGGCAGAGGTTGCAGTGAGCTGAGATCATGCCATTGCACTCTAGCCTGGGCAACGGAGCGAGACTCTGTCTCAAAAAAAAAAAAAATTAACTTTTTTTTAGTAAGTAGAAGAAGTACACTCTAAAATAATGACAAAAAATGTAGTAAGTACAGTAAGTTCTATGTAAACAATATACTATAAAAAGTACAGTTTATACTAGGCAGTTGGAATTTTTCAGTTCCATTGTAATCTTATGGGACCACTGTCATGTATGTGGTCTGTCGCTGACTGAAACATTATTATGTGGTGCATGACTGATTATAATAATTTTTTAAGACTCAGAATGCCAGGACTCAGTATAATAAATTTTATCATAAAAGAAATATGAGAATTATAACCTTGCTGCTACAAACTACCAGTTTGATGGCATTGAGAGGAAATCTCAGGACAGAGAATAAAATGTACTCATGTATCTCTAACTGGGCATCTTTTATACAACTTTTTTTGAAACAGAGTATCATTCTTGCAATGGCGTGATCATGGCTCACTGCAGCCTTGACCTCCCAGGCTCAGGTGATTCTCCTACCTCAGCCTCCTGAGTAGCTGGGACCACAGACCTGCGCCACCATGCCTGGCTAATTTTTATTTTTATTTTGTAGAGATAGGAGTCTCCCTGTGTTGCCCAGGCTCAAATCTTTTAATTAAAGTACTATAGGGAGGAGGCATTCTCTTTTTCTGGTACCCCATGTCTCACCTAGGAACTTGTAGATAGGACTCAGTTTTCATGAGGGCTCTGAGACTCTGGAACTTACTCTTCTTGGAGATCTGACATTACTCTGAAGATACTGGTACCTAGAGTATATCATGGATATTTTAATTTTGCTAAGACTTCAGTGGACAAATGTACTGTGTAGCTCTCAAATGGTGGTAAGGCTGGGAATTTATATATATTAATATGCACAATAAAATTGATTAAAAATTAATCATTTAAGATATAATTTTTGATTTTGCTTCATGGAAGAATTCATGTTTCTTTATCTTCTTATTCTAGTCCTAAAGAATATTCTTACATATAATAAAGAATTCCCATTTGATGTTCAGCCTGTCCCATTAAGGTAAAAGAAACATTTATATTTGTTTTCTTATTTTATTTTATACCTCTCTTTCAGATAGTTCTGGGTTTTCTTAAATATCAACTTTGGTATTATTGATATCATTGACATCAACAATGATAACAGTATATCAGCATTTTATTTTATTTCAGTATTATTATTTTTTTGAGATGGAGTCTTGCTTTGTCACCCAGGCTGGCATGCAGTGGCGCTATCTCGGCTCACTGCAACCTCCGCCTCCTGGGTTCAAGCAATTCTCCTGCCTCAGCCTCCCAAGTAACTGGGATTACATGTGCACGATGCCACGCCCAGCTAATTTTTTTGTATTTTAGTAGAGACGGGATTTCACCGTATTGCCCAGGCTGGTCTCGAACTCCTGAGCTCAGGCAGTCTGCCCGCCTCGGCCTCCAAAAGTGCTAGGATTACAAGCATGAGCCACCACACCCGGCCTATCAGCATTTTTTTATATCAGCATCTTGCCTGGGAAACGAGTGTCTGTGAGGCTTCACTAGTATATTTAGTTTTGCAGTTTGTTGTTTTTTCTGCCCTTTTTTTGTGTAGAAGAATTTTGGCACCTGGTGAAGAAGAGAATTTGGAATTTGAAGAAGATGAAGAAGAGGGTGGTGCTGGAGCAGGGTCTCCTGATTCTTTTCCTGCTAGAGTTCCCGGTAGGTATCACTTATTAAAAATAAACATTATTTAACTGCAACCAGAGTCAGGGTGTTTGAAACTTTCTTTGGTATTTGCTAGTGGGGCAGTACAACCACTCTAAAGCTCATGCCAATCTTAGGCAAATTTTATTGGCAGTAGCTATTTCATAAGTATGGTGTGAAGTTATCTTACTATCTGTGTCAGGGGTCCTCAGGACCATTCCCATGTTCAGTGATTCACTAGGACAACTCACAAGGCTCACTATGTAGTTGTATTCATAGCTAGGATTCATTACAAGAGAACACAAGAACAAAATCAGCAAACAGAAAAGGCATATGTGCAAAGTCTGGAGGAAACCAGATGCAAGCTTTCAAGAATCCCCTTCCAGTAGAGTCACATAAGATGTGCTTAATTTCCCATTCAACAAGTTGTGACAACATGTGAAATGCACAATGTTGTCTACTAGAGAAGCTCTTTAGAGTCAGTGCCCAAAGCTTTTATTGGGGACTGATTATGTGGGTACCTTCTGCCTGGCACAGACCACAATTCCAGACTACAGAAGAAACAAGATGTTTAGCACAAACCATATTGTTCACACAGTTTAGGCACAGTGACCATTCTTATCAGGGAATGGTGGGAACCCTCCCCAAATCCAAGATCCCAGATGCCAGCCATGGGCTGACCTGGCAAGGAGGTTTTCTAAGAATAACAGTCTTAGGCCTGCTATGTTAATTCTTTTCTGTAGACTGTCATAAGTACTTCTTTTGTTTTGTTTTGTTTTGTTTTGAGACAGAGTCTCGTTCTGTCACCCAAGCTGGAGTGCAGTGGCACCATCTCGGCTCACTGCAAACTCCGCCTCCCAGGTTTCAAGCAATTCTCGCATCTCAGCCTCCCAAGTAGCTGGGATTCTAGGTGCATGCCACCACACCCGGCTAATTTTTGTATTGTTAGTAGAGACAGGGTTTCGCCATGTTGGCCAGGCTGGTCTCGAACTCCTGACCTCAGGTGATCCACCTGCCTCAGCCTCTCATAGTGCTGGGTTTACAGGCATGAGCCATTGCGCCCGGCCATAAGTACTTCTTTAATTAATCAAATTGTGGTGGTTAAAAGTGGACCCATGGGAGTGGATATTGAACAATTGCCCTTTCTTCCCCATCTTGTTTTAGGGAAGCAAAGAATATACGGAAACTTTTTTATTTCTGGAAGCTCTCCATGAGTATCTTCCCTCCCTGTAAATAACCTTGGCAAGCACCCTGGGTAAATTTCTTGCCTCTCCCAATTACTGCTTTACTCTGTTCTGTTCTTATAAAGTACAGTTTTTATTTCTAATAAACTAGTTTACTTTAGGAAGTATAGCAATCTGCTATAATATTGTGATGCATTTTAGAAGAGATTCTAGAAGCTTTCCATTATAGTTAAATACAATCTGTGTGCTGTTCAGATAGCTTTCTTCATAATTAATATTCCAGTATTTTGAATACTCCTTGAACAGTAGTCATTTGGAGTAGGAACAATATAGGCTTGGACCAACAGATAACTGGGCTTTTGAGTCTGGGCTCTGCCAATTACTAGTTGAGTGACTTTGCACCTGTGTCCTAAACCAATCTGAACTTCTGTTTCTTTATAAAATGGGATAATGATAGTGCCTAACTCATAAGGTTACTGTGAAGATTAACAAGATACTAAGTATAAACCATTTAGCATTGTATTTTTCATATGCTGAATATTAGTGGTGGCTGTTACGCTTGTCATCCTCTCTACATGGGGATAACAGTACCTATACTGCAGGGTTATTGGAAACATTGCAGGCACTATCAATGGTAGCTCTTATTGTTAATAATGTTTCTTTGGTACAAGGGCATTATTTCCAATTTACTTTGCTTTATGAAGATAGAGCTATATTTTTCTTGCTTTTATAGGGTATTTCAAGGTTGCCAAGATGGTGAGATATTTTGCTGTTTCACTGACTCGATAATTTTTATTGCCGTTTCAAACCACATACTGTAATTGGTATAGCTTCCAGTTCTATAAATTTCTATCTGATTTGGTTGTTTTCCTGCTTACTGTACTTCTGTAGCAAACAAGAAGCAGATGATGTAAATCATGAAGTGGGCAGATTAAGGTCTTTATGGGGTTCAGGTTGCTAAGTTGAAAAGGAACTTCTACCATAAATTAAATCCATTTGCTATGTAAGATAAAGCCCAAACTGAATTTGTATTCTGATATAGCATTGTGATATTTCATTTCAGAGATACAGATGCCTTACTGAACCTTTCTAGTCCCTGAATTTTTTTCCCCCCTAAAAGAAAGAGTATGTATGGTTTAATTAGCTATATTTGGTTTGGGATCATATTGTTCAGGGCCTGTGTTATTAAAAAATAACTTGTAAAATTATATTCATTGAAAATGTCATTGAAATAGCAAGATGATACTTAACTTTTAATTATAGAGCAAGAAAAACTTTCTTGTTACCCAAAGGGAACCCAAAATTTAAAATCAGTTTTACTAGGATATTTACATATGTGAAATTCACTTGGCTGGGCACAGTGGCTCATGCCTGTAATTCCAAGACTTTGGGAGGCCGAGGCAGGTGAATCACCTGAGGTCAGGAGTTCGAGACCAGCCTGGCCAACATGGTGAAACCCCGTCTCTACTAAAAATACAAAAATTAGCCAGGCGTGGTGGTGGGCACCTGTAATCTCAGCTACTTGGGAAGCTGAGGCAGGAGAATTGCTGGAACCTGGGAGGCGGAGGTGCCGTGAGCTAAGGTTGTGCCATTGTACTCCAACCCAGGCTAACAACAGCCAGACTCCGTCTCAAAAAAAAAAAAGAAATTCATTCTTTTTAATATGTACCTTTAATGAGTTTTGACCAACTCATATACTAACCACTACCACTGTTAAGATAATGAGGTGTGAGGGTATGATGTATGGTATGTAGATACGGAATGACCAAGAATAGTTTTTTTCTGATTTAAAATTTAAAATTAAAAACTTTTTAGCCAGCCTTTCATGAAAATAAAAAAAAGGTAGTCAAGCTTACTTACCTTTCTTGATATTAATCTCCTTCCTTCCTTTTCAAAATATTTAAATTTTTTAAGACAAACATATTTATGTTATATAATTGGCTTAGCCAAAATGGGAGTTAACTTTTCTAAAGATAGTCTTGGTAGATTTCATTTAAATAGAAAGTATAAGCTTATAGCCTATTATTTATAACCTAAAAATTTACTGATAGTCTTGAATAGTAAAGCTATAAAATGATAAACCAAAGCAATATAACTTTAAAAATAGCCAAGACACAACTTTACACAAGACTTTTAAAAAGATTTTCTTACTAAGTAACATGATCCAAGCTCAAATAGTCCTAGCAGTTTCAGAATTATTATACATAGGTACTGGTTCTTCATCTCTTACGTAGGCTTATGTATGCATAAAACATTATTTTTGAAACTCAAAATAAAGAATGAAATTTACCTATTTAATGTCAAACCTGTATTTGTTTTCTGCTGCATAACTATTCAATTCTGAGTTGAACTTGAAAGATAAGAAAGCATGGATTTTATTTTCCGCTGAAATGAAGCAGTTTCTTTTCTTGCTAACACACATGTAAGAAAGTCAAAAACTGCAGCAAATGTTCATTGCTTTCCTGTGACTATCAGGGCTTTCCTTTTTTGTGGAAATCCAGAACATGTTTAGGGGCCAAGCAGTTAATATCATCTGAAGTGTATGGTTGTGTTTACAAACAACTTTAATCAGGTATAGTTTTAATTCAACAGACCTACATACGATATTATTTCAATGATAATGGCCCCTAAGATTTTGTCAAACTTTTAAGATAATTTCAAAATGAACAAACTTATAATTTCAAAGCCTTTCTCTTAAAAGCTTGAGGAACCCATGTTCCTCAACTGCTTATCAATTGCTAGCTAAAATAAATTGCATATGTATTTTAATATTTTACAACGATTTCTATCTCTAAATGTAACTCAGCAATTCAAACAAATAAATGGTATCACTATGACCTGTTATCTATGTGCAATGCAAATTGCAAAGATTTTCTATTGCCAGATTTTCAAGACACATTTCATGTGTTATCTTCCATCTACCAAATATTGTAGCCAGTTTGAGCAGTATCTTTACCTTAAACTGTGTTAAAAATTATCTCAAAATAATGCAAAGCATTATCAAGTATGTATATTTTTATTATGTTTTGGCAGCACAAAGAAATATATACTCAAAAAAAATTTGGATGACTGAGAAAATCAGATATGTACCAGATATGCAAATTTAATTACAAGTATGATAAGTTAAAAATGGTGGAAACTAGCAATGCATATATTATCATGGGTATATATATTATCATATGTATATATTATGATAATGTTGAGTTTGCATTTTAGACACCTGATTGAATTCTGTCCTAAAAGTGTGGATAAAAAATTATGTACTCTTTGTTCATGACATTTAATTTTCAAAGCACCAAGGCAACATAAGGACTGACCTCTCATTGAAGTACCAGTGCCTGTGACAAGCATCTATAAAATATCATATAAAAATCAAATAAACTTAATAAGCAAATTCAAATCACGATGTTTTCAGAAGATACAATCCTTAGTAATTTTCTGAGAAGGCATTGCCTCTTTAACGTTCTGGTCTAGGTGGTGATATACTACTATTTTAGAACAAAGACCATCATGCCATTTGCCCTTCTGGACCAAAAGAAAAATTTTCCTTTGGTGGTGGTATATGATGTAAACAGTAGCAATTTTTTTAAAAGCAGAAATAATAAGACAAAAAAGGAAATGGCAGCCTTCCTCTTCTCTGTGTGAAGACAGGGTCTTAAAGGATTTCACTGACTTCAAGTCCCTTCCATGTAACCCCAGACTCCTCATCCATTCATAGTCTGGTTCTCCGTAATCTCCATTGTCCAGAGTGCCTTTGGCCACACACAGAACTAGTCAATGTGAGAAGATCCTACTCCTTGCTGGGATCTCCATTTTTATCAGCTTCCTCTTGGAACAGAGAAGTTGTAAGTGAGGGGCCTCAGATGTTCCTCCGCTTTTCTCTGTACCAGCTGTAGGAGGGAGAGTGGTACTGATTGCTGGACACCTTGGTGGTCATCTGGGGATTCACATGGCCAGCATGGACAGAGGACTTGCTTGCACAGTCCACATCCCCTCCCCATGGTGGCAGTGGCTATAACACACTCTTCTGAGAGCCTGCCCTGTTGCTAGGTTAGACACTTGTACAGTTTTCAAAACGTTCTTTTATTTTTCTTTTTTTTGAGACAGTCTCGCTCTGTCGCCCAGGCTGGAGTGCAGTGGTACAATTTCAGCTCACTGCAACCTCTGCCTCCCTGGTTCAAGCAATTCTCCTGCGTCAGCCTCCCAAGTAGCTTCGATTACAGTCATGCACTACCACACCGGCTCATTTTTGTATTTTTAGTGCAGGCAGAGTTTCACCATGTTGGCCAGGCTGATCTCAAACTCCTGACCTCAGGTAATCCACCCACCTTGGCCTCCCAAAGTGCTGGGATTACAGGTGTAAGCCACCATGCCCGGCCAATTTTCAAAACATTCTTGAGTGAACTGGTCTTTGTTGAATAAACTTAGCCATTTCTCTGATACCTAGAACCAGTTTTCATTTTATTTGTGAGAATTTTGATAGCAGCACTTCAGTGAAGAAAGCCATGAGTTGACAGTGTCAGCGTTTTCTGTTTGACACCACAGTGTACAGCCCAGGGCAGTTCCTCAGAGGTACACGTGAGGACAGGGCGTGAAATCCAGCTTGGCCTTTGCTTGTTTGGGGACTTCACAGCAGAAACAGTTTTCTTGAGTACACCATTCTTTATAGACCTTACAAATGCTATAGCATGTCATTTATTGGTAAAATTTTTAGACTCAATAGAGAAGCTTTTTTTTTATAGTTTATCACAAAACCTCTTCAGGATATGAAAAGTCATCTCTTGTGTCCACTTATTGCGCGGTTTGGGAATAGAGCCTTTTAAATTTCTTATACTATATCTTGTGCTAAAAACGTCTTGTAATTTCACATGCAGGCATTATGAGATCCTTGCCCACTGTGTGACTTTTCTTCCTCTGGGCATTAAGCTCTGCTACTAAGTAATTTCCTTTTTGAGCCTTTTTTAAGTGAACATTACTTTAGAAAAAAAAAAAGCTTTACTCTATTTTAAATGGCCATTAGGATATCAAAATAATCGGTGTCTTTACTTATCAATGGTTGTGACTTGTAGTTGCGATTTCTCGATTTTGTTGGATCCATTGCTGCATTGATAAAGTGTTTTTCACAGATGAGGCAACTTGGAAATTATCCATCCAGGTACAACCATATTAATAAGTAGGTCTCATCATTAAATGGACTTTTTTGTTTTTCCCAGTGCACTAGTGCAGTGAAATGATTCAGAAGCTTGAAATTCATTGTTTTTACTTAGGGAGAATTGTCTCTATGCTTAGGCTTAGAACCTTCCTCTCCTAGCTCATACCTCTTCTTTAGAAATCACATTGAATTGAAAAATTTCCTCCAGTTTTCTTTGCTACAAGTAGAGCATGTTTGCTTCAGCTGTTGGTGCATAAGGGAAGGTTGGGGCAGGTAAAGCTGAAGAGGCTGACGTCAGACTGCTGTATAGAGCTCATCAGCTACCAGTGGCTTCCCCTGTCTCCTGAAAAAAAAAATACTAAATGGACCAAGTCAAGTGAACATAATCTTAACTGCTTACT
This sequence comes from Homo sapiens, assembly GCF_000001405.40. Lineage (NCBI taxonomy): Eukaryota > Metazoa > Chordata > Mammalia > Primates > Hominidae > Homo > Homo sapiens. The sequence goes on along the minus strand of NC_000001.11, from coordinate 222,680,207 downwards.
GCCATATGAGGCTCAAAGACCTATAATAAAATTGCTATAGGGGCTGCATAGTCTCTTTCCATCACTGTGAACCTGCATTGCTCAGTGTACAAAGCCCATTGCAGGGGCTGCAGATGGTGTAGTATTATCCTCGTATTTTATTGTCTTTAGTGCATATTTAAAGGCAGTGCATTGATAGAAATCACTCTTTTGCGTGGAGCTCCTAGCGAGTTCAGGGACACCCTGGGATTCCACAGAACCCAGGTTGAGAAATCTTGATTTAGACAGTTGTAGCCATACAGAGCTTTTCATATTTAGAAGTGTGAGGCAGAAATAATGCATCCCTTCCCAAAGATGTCCACATCCCAATCCTCAGAATCTGTGCATATGTTTCTTACATTACACGGCAACAGAGACTTTGCAGATGTGATTATGTGAAGGACCTTGAGATGGGGAGGTCATTTCACAGCTCCTGTGTAGGCTCTATGGACAATGAAGAAATGGCCAAATGAGGTGTGGTGGTTACAAGCATGGAATCCCGTGCCAAACTGCTATATGATTGTGGGCAGATTACTTAACTTTTCTGTCTTAGTTTTCACTTCTGAAAAAATGGGACACCTTGTTATAGGGTGCTATAGCACCTGTGTTATAGGGTTGTTGGGAGGATTAAATGAGTTAGTACATGTAAAGGATTAGAACAGTGCCTGGCACACCCTGACATGTTCTGTAAAAGTTGGCTGTTTATTATTTATGCAGCTTTTCCATATGGAAGAACATTTATTATTTCTGATCCTCACTTTAGATCTAACAGCAAATGATCTAGCTGGAAACACGCAGTTTTTCATGGCTCATGTATGATTTCTTTTCTTACTTCAGTTACAGTCTTCAAGTTTTATAAATGTAGTTACTTATTCTCATATTACTCTATACAGTTGAATGTGTTCATTCTTCTTTTAGAAATCTTGCTTTTAATACATTGCCTTGATTTTTAATTATTGTATGTTTTTATCTTTGATACACAAATATGTTAACTTTTTCATCTAACCCTGGAATGGTGTGGTATTATCCTAGTATTTTATCTTCTTTCGTGCATATTATATAAGGCAGTACATTGATATATGTTTTCAGGCCACATGTTTATAGAGCATAATAACCTCTAGAACTGTAAAATTCATTTATCATTCAACAAATGATAAAAGAGTTCTAAAACAAAGATCTCTTTATTACTAGTGAAAACAATACAAAAATGAACAGTTACTCATCCCGTCTTTCAGGATGCTCACCATGTAAGACAGAGCCAAAAAAAGTACATCATCATGGTTAGAGGTGGACACAGTATATTATGAGTGAACGAAAAAAGGACTGACAGAGTTTAGCAAAGGTAATCTAGCCAGAACTGAGACTCAAAGGGAGTGTAGGAGTTGACTAGGCAGGGAGAGAGCACATTAGAAACCACTGAGAAATACACCTTTCTCTATTACCTGTCGTCTTAATCACATAGCTTCAGCTGTTCCTTAGTAAAGATAAAACTACTGAACCTTCATGGTGGAGATGAAATGTTTTATGTTCTACCTTGAATTAGGGAAGAACTGAATAAATTAAGTATCTTTCCAGCTTGGAATCACTGCCTCCATATTACATTGTTAGAAATATATTTAGTAGTTAGATTAAACCTTATTATATTCTCAGGCAAAAAAAAAGTTTGTTGGTAAGGAAGAAAGAAATGTCAGCCTCATTATTTCAACTAAAAGATCTAGACAATTACAGGTTATGAAACTGATTCACCTAAAGGTAGAAGAATTTTTAATGTTTACTTGGGAGAAAATAGTCTATCATAAAAAGAACTTGTCTCTTTTGTCTGTCAGAAAACACCATAATCAAAATCAAAATGACAAACGACTAATATTCTTAATATATAAAGAAAATTTTAAGTTGTGACAACAAAGACCCCAAACACATTAGAAAATTGGGCAAAAGACATGAACAGATAGTACACACACACACACACACACACACACACACACACACCCCAAGATATACAAATAGCTCTTAAATGTATTAGAAGATACTCAACTTTACATATGATAAAAGACATGCAGATGCCTTATATGGCAGTTCCCTGTTGCTGAGACAACAGGGAAATGGGCTCATTTATCACTGGTGGGAATAGAAAGTGGTAATAGTCCCTTTAAAGGAGAGTTCAGCAATAGCTCAGCAACAACAAAAATATACAATTTTTCTTAGTTTAGCAATCCTGTTCCTAGGAATTTACTCTGAAGATACACCTCCAATAATGTGTAAAAAATTTTTTTTTAAATACTTACATATACACCAGGTTCTCTATTGAGGTGTTTTTGGTAATAGTAATATATTAGAAACAACCTAACTGCCATACGAAGATTGGCTGAATAAATAGCCAATACATGGACTATTACAGAAAATAATTAGGAAAATCTCCATGAACTATTGAGTGATTTTTTTTTTCAGAATATATTGTTAAATCAGCAAGATACATATATCAAGGTAATTCACATTAGCAGATTAAGGAGAAGAATCCCATGATCTCAAGAGATGCAGAAAAATTTTTCAATTACATTCTAATTTCTTTCATGATTTTAAAACTTTCTTAGCAGACCAAGAACAGAACATTCTTAATCTGATAAAAGGTAGCTGTAATGACATTTAGCGCCTCAGTCATATTTAATGATAAAATGGAAAGCTTTCCTTTTCAGATCAGGAACAAAACAAGGGTGCCTCCTGTTAACTATTTTCCTCAACAGTGCTTTAGAAGTTCTGGCCAGTGTACTAGTATAAGAAAAAGAAATAAAATATAAAAATTAGAGGGGGGGAAACCTGTCCCTTTATTTGCAGATGTTATGAATATGTATTTAGAACATGAAAGAGAACCTATGGATAAGTCATTAGTATTAATAAGAGAGTAGGGTTCCTGAGTATAAAATCTGTACATAAAAATCAGTTCTTCCTGCCAGCAGAGGTATTATTAAAAAATCGATCCTCTCTCTTTAAATAAGCAATAAGTGCTCAGAAAATGAAATATTATAACGTCTATAATAGTATCAGAAAATATCAAGTATCTTATAATAAACCCAACAAAAGAAGTATAAGACTTTTGTGAAGAAAAGAAAAAAATTCTATTGAGAAAATTAAGAAGTCTTTAAAAAGTTGAGAGATATCAGTTGATGGATTGGAAGAAGCAATTTCTAAAGATGTGGTTCTTTCTAAAATTGATCTAAACTTCATTGCAATTTCAACGGATGGGTTTTTTTTTGTTTGTTTTTTTTTGTGGTTTTTTTGCTTCAGTGTTCATAAGGAAAAGAATGGGAAATTAGACTGTAAAATTATTCCATTAAATACACAATTATTAAGTTGTAAATTATTTCCTATATCAATAGTAACTAGTGGCAAATGCCTGTAGTCCCTGGTACTCGGGAGGCTGAGGTGGGAGGATCGCTTGAACCTGGGAGGTCGAGGCTGCAGTGAGCTGTGATTGTGCCACTGCACTCCAGCCTGGGTGACAGAGTGAGACACTGTGTCAAAAAAAAAGTAAAGCATTTGTTGATCAACTCTGGTATTATATTTCTCAAATGTTAGGATAATATAACAAATATTTTTAAAGTTTTTTCTTCTACCACTTCATATTGAGATGAGAAGTATATTATATAAATGAGCATATACAAAGTGTATGTATGTGAGTTTATTATTAATTATGTGGTAATTTATAATTGGGCTTCCTGGAGTGACTTAAATTTCTGCCAGACTTGAATAATTTCTGCTTTAGTGGTGACTATGAGACATGGAAGTGCAGATTTCTCTTACATATAATTAAACATTTGGAAAAATAATGCCAAGCGTTTGGGAGTTTCGGGAACCAAAATAATGCCTGGCTAGTTACTAAGTCAGTTACAAGCAAGGCTGTATCTTCTCTGTGTTCATTAAAATGTTTACTGTGAAATGATATGGAGCTTTTATTGCTTTTTCTCTGTTGCCAGGTACTTTATTACCAAGGTTGCCATCGGAACCAGGAATGACATTACTCACTATCAGAATTGAGAAAATTGGTTTGAAAGATGCTGGGCAGTGCATCGATCCCTATATTACAGTTAGTGTAAAGGGTAAGTGACTCTGTTTACTTTTTTTTTCTCAGGTGAATTTTATAATGTTGCTTCTCATTTGGGACAGTTTTATTTTGGTGGTGGGGCGGGGAGTCTTATGTATGTGACAACTCATTTTAGTTCATTCTATCATGAGGCAAAGTCCCTGGAAGAGGTCATCACTTCTTCACAGAACACTTCTGAGAGATTTACTTATTTTCTTATTTATAACTTACATTGTTTTGCTTTTGAGTTTTTCTTTGTGTGTATCTTTTTATTCTTAACATCCCATCTGGGGTGCTGGCTACACATCTTTAACAGCAGATACATCCTTTAGGATACAGGTTAACAGAATGTCCCTCACCTTCCAAAGATGTGTAGGTTTGTTTGCAAAGCCCAGTGTTCTGTTTCCCGATTCCTCCTGCATTAGGCCTTCTCCTTCCTGTCCAAGAGAGAGGTCTACATTGGAGAGTCCTACAAAGGTGGATGAGAATCAGGCCTTAAGTGAATCATCAGTGAGGACAGGAAGCAAGGATAGATCCATAGTATGCATGCTCTGAATGTAATCCTATGGAGCATTCAACAAGTGAAGTATTTCTTATCCTTAACTATGTTACTGTGGTTAGGAAGCATGATTATTCTTAGGATTTGGTTTTTTTCTCCTATCCAGTGTGGCAGTTCATTTATTCCTTAAAAACAACATTTTCAGTCTTTCAAAGGGAAACCACATTGGTTGAATTCTTTTATTGTTGCCAAACATTTTATACAGTACTTTATTTATGAAGTAGTTAACAGTCTTTTAAAAATAATTATTGGGTGATTGAGAATGAAGTTGTCATACTCCTATCCAGAAACAACTGCACAGCTAATCCAAGTGGTTTACTTTAATCTGTAATTTGAGGCAAGTCAGAGAAACAGATAGGGGCTGAAATCAAATGAAGAGAACTTTTGTCAGTCATAGAAATAAATTCAGATTCAAAAGTTCATTAGTACCAATTAAAATAAAAAGGAATTCTGCCACAGAGAGGGATTATTTGGAGACCGTGATCCACAGCATTAATGCTGTGAAACTTTAACTTCTGATGTTATCAGGTATCAAATATATGGCCTACTGGAAAGTATATATACTCTACATTATAGTTTGATAGGTCATTTACAGAACTGCGTAACTCATGCAGGAATGTACACCAAAACAAAAAGATGTTTAATGATAGTGTAGTAACTGTTAAGTTACCTTTGCATACATGTTGAACTAAAACATGTTTTTGTAAATATCTTTAAGAACTGAAACAATCAATGTACTATATTGTTTTAAGTTCTCTAAGACAAATCTGTTGAATAATACATAAACACTTGAGTAGTCATTAAATGAGTCCATGTTGAATTTGATTAAACTGGAAGATTCCTGGGTCCAGGAAATTAAAACCATACACAATAACTTAGTGTTCTTTCTAGTTGGTATAAAACAGGTTGTTACAACAAATATAATGAGAATTTAGATAATATTTGTAAAAACGTATTCATTGATGGAAGGGTTTCATTGGCAATTTTCATGTCCATTTTTGGTCCTTTGACTTGAATACAGCAGGGGGATTCTGATAATGTTAGATTTAAAGGTCTTTCCAAACCATACACTTGATCAAGTTTGGAAATTAGGGGTAAGGTCCCATTGAGGCATATTATTTACATTCTAAGTTTTTATTGCAGACAAAAATATAGTGGCCTATCTCCTAAGGAAAACAAAAAGTTCTTTTCACTTCTTCCCTATAAAGATGAAATTTTGTGTTCTACAAGCTTTCTTTTGTACCTGATTGAGACAGGTTTCCTCCTTCCCACCGCGAAATCTCCCATCCCCTCACTCAGCCCCCTCCACATGCCTCTGTGGTCACCTGCAACTCTTCAGGTACCTGCTCACACCAAATGGGAATTTCTGTTAGCCCAAGAATTTCCTCTTACCTTTCTGCAAGCATCCTTATGAAATATACGCCCTGTAGTTGACAGGGTTTTTTTGTTTGTTTTTTGTTTTTTTGACACAGAGTTTCACTCTTACTGCCCAGGCTGGAGTGCAGTGGCGCGATCTTGGCTCACTGCAACCTCTGCCTCCCGGATTCAAGAGATTCTCCTGCCTCAGCCTCCCAAGTAGCTGGGATTACAGGTGTGCACCACCACGCCTGGCTAATTTTTTTTGTATTTTTAGTAGAGATGGGGTTTCCCCATGTTGGTCAGGCTAGTCTTGAACTCCTGACCTTAAGTGATCCACCCGCCTCAGCCTCCCAAAGTTCTGGGGTTACAGGTGTGAGCCACCGTGCCCTACCTAGTTTGCAGGTTTTTGTTTTTTTGAGACAGAGTCTAGCTCTTTTGCCCAGGCTGGAGTGCAGTGGTGCGATCTCGGCTCACTGCAAGCTCCGCCTCCTGGGTTCACGCCATTCTCCTGCCTGAGCCTCCCGAGTAGCTGGGACTATAGGCGCCCGCCACCACACCCGGCTAATTTTTTTTGTATTTTTAGTAGAGACGGGGTTTCACCATGTTAGCCAGGATGTTCTTGATCTCCTGACCTTGTCATCTGCCCGCCTCGGCCTCCCAAAGTGCTAGGATTACAGGCGTGAGCCACCGTGCCTGGCCTGCAGTTTTTAAGTCTGTATATTTGAATGTTCCTAAAGAGAAACTTCTTTTCTCTTTAGATCTGAATGGCATAGACTTAACTCCTGTGCAAGATACTCCTGTGGCTTCAAGAAAAGAAGATACATATGTTCATTTTAATGTGGACATTGAGCTCCAGAAGCATGTTGAAAAATTAACCAAAGGTTTGTAATCCTAAATAATACTTGGCTTCTTATGGACAGAATTCTCATCTTATTTGTGTTTGTACATATGGTGGACCTAGCATAGTTAGTATCTGGCAGAAGTAAATGTAACATAGTGTTTATTGATTTGAATAAATATACATATTTTTAAAATGTAGAAATTAGGAATTGTGTTATCTACTTGTCTAATAGCACTGTTATATAGTAAAACAATCTTTGATAATAAAATTTTATTGTCTTTACCAACAAAACAAAGTTTTTCACACACTAAAGGGCTGGGAGAAGCAGGAGTGCGTGAAGGTTCCCTGATGATTCAGTTTTCATCTTCAAATTAAGAACCAGGGTTTTCTCCCAGTATTTCTAGTTTGGTAGAACGATAACTTAACTTGCAGTTAATTGTTAGGAAATAGGAAAGGACAAAAGCAAATTTTTGAAATAGTGAGGCTACATTTCCAAGTATGATTCTTAGTATTAAATACTTCCCCATGCTTTTCGCCCAGTGGAAATTTGAGTGTTCTCCAAAAAGGTGACTTCAGAATCCCTTTATCACCTGAGGGTTCAGTTGCAGTTTCTGAAATGTTCAAGCTCTGTAGGATATTCAAGTCCCTTTTGAAGTGATTGCCTCGGCGTCTGAAATATTCGATATTTCACTTCTCAAGTCTGGTGCTGCTGCCTCCTCTGTTCCCCCACTAAAAGACCTTTCAGTGCTTCTGTTAGAACAGTGGTTCTCAGAGTATGATTCCTGGAACAGGAGCAGCACCTGGAGCCTTCTTAGGTGGCCACCCCAGACATCCTGAATCCGAAACCATGGGGATGGGCCTAGCAGTCTGTTTTAGGAAGCCCTCTAGGTGATTCTGACATACACCAAAGCTCCAGAGTCACTGTGTTAGAAGACTATGTATGTAGGAGGTGCTTAATAAATAACGTTGAAGAAATTTCAGTTACAAAGTATGTCTTCTGAACAAAACTATTGATTTGTTTCATTTCTTTAACTCCATTGCCTTAGGAAATGTTTGTGATGTGGACGGGAGAAGGTGGAGTGTTTCATGGGCTAACTTTTCTATTTTATTACACTGTGTTCTTTCTTAATGGCTCGACTCACTAGATAATAAAAGTAGAACTAGATTCAAAATTTGACTCTATTAATTTTTTCCAGCTTCAAACTTACTGTTTACTGTTACTGTAGTTTTAACTGATATTAGTGTTAATGACCATACTTTCATGTTTACAAACATTTTAACTTAATCTTCCCAGGATATTCCTGTTTCACATTTTGTTCTTTCTTATAAAAAGCATGATGAAGGATGCAGGAAATATATTATTTACAGGTGATACAGATTAATAATTTGTTTAACTTCCTCAAAATGATGGTAACATATTTGAACTTTAGTATTGTTTTGAAACGTGACTTTATCATTCACATTTATTCAGACCTCAAGACACGATCATGAGGAGGAGATGGGTTTCCTAGCAGAAAAGACTCTGCTGTCTTTAAAATCTTTGGTTTTCTAATGACAAAATGCCTCTGAGTGCTGTGGGAGGGAGAAGAGAAGCCACCATTTGTGGAAATGACAAGGTCACACACCTAGGGAAGAGATGTTACCAGTAACCTAACTATTGTAATCCTTTCGAGCGTGTTGGGAGTGGATGGCCAAATATGCCCATCTCTCCCTCACCCACATCCCATTGTCTCCTGAGCAATTGGTTTTTTTTTCCTCCCTTGCCATGTGATGTGGTCCATTTGGACCCAAGTGCCAATGCTGTACACACATTTCTGAACATTGCTAAACTTCTAGTGACTTGTGAGTTTTGTCATCAGCGGCAGTATTAAATGTATGTTGTCTTTGCAAGCCAAGCTCCTGGACTGCTCTGGTTAAGGCAGTATTTAGAAGTAGCTGGTGAAGAGTGAGACACTGACTTCCTTCACTTTCCATGCCTTCTTTAGAAATTCATTTTTGTTGGCCACATTGATGAGGCAACTTATTTCTCCATTTTTAGCTTTTTTCTGCAGGATTGGGGGAAGAGTTTATCTGTTGGACTTTGGGGACATAGGACCGTCTAAATTTCTTATTTTTTTCTTTTTTTGAGACAGAGTCTCACTTTGTCACACAGGCTGGGGCACAGTGGCATGATCATGGCTCACTGCAGCCTCAATCTCCCTGGGCTCAGGCAGTCCTACCAACTCAGCCTCCCGAGTAGCTGGGAGTACAGGCACGTGCCACCGAGCCTGGCTATTTTTAAAATTTTTTTTGTAGAGGTGGGGTCTTACCACCCCCTTGTTGCCCAGGCTGGTCTCAAACTCCTGGGCTCAAGTGATCTGCCCATCTCTGCCTCCCAAAGTGCTGGGATTACAGGCATGAGCCACCGCACCCGGCCAGAACTGTCTAAATTTCTCATTATCACTTGCTCATTGGAGGAGAGTGGCAGAATAAATAGATTTGCTCTTTGAACCTTTGTCTTCTACAGCACTGTCTTGACACAAACATGCAATTCCAGGAAAAACATCACAGCAGTGCTTTGAATACTGAAAAAGGTGTTAAGGAAACAGATAACATTTTCCAGCTGAGCCAGCATGTGATTTATGTTGTTTGAATTCCAAAATACCCCCAAGATTGAATTTTTGAGTTTTTGTTTTGGGGTAAGGGAAACAATTCGAGCTTAAATTTTTTTAGGAACTCTTTTAAATGCATTTTCTACCTAATGAGTCTCTATGTGTATTGAAGTATCTTCTCTGTTCTTCTGTGGCATTTCATATTTTATAGCAGCTTATGATTCTACCTGTGTACATAACTGTTATACATTCTTGAGGCAGTCTAGCTCAAGAAGTTTTGCTATAGTTTGTAGAATTGGATGATAAGGAGAAATGTCACTCTACTCAGATACAGAAGAGTTCGGGGTGACAACCATAGTAAGTTACTGTCAAATCATTGAGACTGGCACAAGTTGTTTTGTCAAATTATGCCAGCTGTAGCTGTTCATATGCTTCTGGTGATCAAAGAAAATTAATTGACACACAAGAAATGTGCTATCTGTGGTTTATGTGGCTTGTTTTAATTCCTTAGGTGCAGCTATCTTCTTTGAATTCAAACACTACAAGCCTAAAAAAAGGTTTACCAGCACCAAGTGTTTTGCTTTCATGGAGATGGATGAAATTAAACCTGGGCCAATTGTAATAGAACTGTAAGTGATGTGCATATAGAATTAGTACTAATTTGATGGTGACTAGTATATCTTTCTTCTGAATCCCCCATATCCAGTATTTAACCTTGAAGAGTTCAGTTATCAATGTATTTTAAACAATGGTCTTTCTGTTGTGATTACAGATACAAGAAACCCACTGACTTTAAAAGAAAGAAATTGCAATTATTGACCAAGAAACCACTTTATCTTCATCTACATCAAACTTTGCACAAGGAATGATCCTGACATGATGAACCTGGAACTTCTGTGAATTTTACCACTCAGTAGAAACCATCATAGCTCTGTGTAGCATATTCACCCTTCAACAGGCAGGAAGCAAGCCGTACCCAGACCAGTAGGCCGGACGGAGTCCAATGCAAAGCTGTACCACAGAATTCAGAGTCCAGCACATCACACTGACGTATAGGACTCCTTGGGATACAGGTTTATTGTAGATTTTGAAACATGTTTTTACTTTTCTATTAATTGTGCAATTAATAGTCTATTTTCTAATTTACCACTACTCCTACCCTGCTTCCTGGAACAATACTGTTGTGGGTAGGATGTGCTCATCTTCAGACTTAATACAGCAATAAGAATGTGCTAGAGTTTACACATCTGTTCACTTTTGCTCCAATATGCTCTTTTGACTTAACGTCAAGCTTTGGGTTGATGTGGGTAGGGTAGTGTCAAACTGCTTTGAGAGGAATGGGACCAGTTCTGCTGCCTAAGAAGGTCTGTCTGGATGTTTATAGGCAGCACCTCTGAAGTGGCCTAAATTCACCCTGATCTGATAGTTTTCCTGCTTAGAAAGTGTGCCTTGGCCAGATCAGTATCCCACATGGGAGTGTTCCCTAGGTTGTAGCTGTGATTGTTTCCAGATGACCAGATTGTTTTTCTGAAAATGAGCATATTTTTAGTCATGTCGATTAGCTGTTCTTCTACATCACATTGTTACTCTTTCTGATGATGATTCTAGGGTTAACATTGGAACCATCTCAAAATAATTACAAAGTTTTAGATGGGTTTACAATGTCTTCTAAACAATGTAATCTAAAAATAATTGAGTCAGATGCTAACGAGATACTGCAGGCATAACTGCTGTTTTTCTGACAACTGATTGTGAAACCTTAAAACCTGCATACCTCTTCTTACAGTGAGGAGTATGCAAAATCTGGAAAGATATTCTATTTTTTTTATATAGGTAGATAGGATCGCCATTTATTTCCTATTTAGATATACTGACATTCATCCATATGAAAATATGCAGGTCATTAGCTTACTATAATTTACTTTTGACTTAATGGGGCATAAATAAAACTTTCATAGTACACATGAGGTGGATATTTGATACACAGAACATTTGCGGTGGGCTTTCTGTGGGTTAGATGTAAAGCCCACATATTTTAATATTCACTATTTTAAATGAGCAATGCATGAGGGGAATGCAGTGTCAGTACCTGGCCTATTTTTAAACTAGTGTAATCACCCTAGTCATACCATTCAGTATGTTTGCTTTTTAAAATAAGTAACCACAACTAAGTTGTTGTAGCCCTTGCACTTCAAGAGATCTAGTCTTTACTTTCAGTTGTCTGTTAGGTCCATTCTGTTTACTAGACGGATGTTAATAAAAACTATGCGAGCCTGAATGAATTCTCAGCCAAATTTAGTCTTGTCTCTCATCTTGATTGGATTAATTCCAAATTCTAAAATGATTCAGTCCACAATAGCTCTAGGGGATGAAGAATTTGCCTTACTTTGCCCAGTTCCTAAGACTGTGAGTTGTCAAATCCCTAGACTGTAAGCTCTTCAAGGAGCAAGAGGCGCATTTTCTCCGTGTCATGTAATTTTTCTAAGGTGCTTGGCAGCACTCTGTACCCTGTGGAGTACTCAGTACCTTTTGTTTGATGTTGCTGACAAGACCTGAAAAAAAATCCCTTAAAAAAAAAACCCATTAAAGTGTAGCAAAACCGATGTATTATTTTTTCTCTTTTCTCATAAACCATAAGATATGTATATCAAAATGATAATTTATATGAAGCATCTGCTATCCTTCACATAAGTATAGTTTATATGAACTACAAATACCTTTCATCAACATTAAAGAAGCTTAAATTGAACACTGTGTGATTAACTTAACTTTAATTCAGACCTGAATATAACGAGAAAATGAGTGATTATCTTGAAGTTGACACAGAATATACCACATCCCACGAATTACTTAAATTTACTTTCCAATGAAAAAAATCAGCCATTGGCGATATAACTACAACAACTATGGCAGAAATGCTTTCAGGCTGAATATTGCTGCTTCATAAATAAGACAATTTTAGCAACTAAATCCAGACACAATTAGTTGGAGATGACTTCCAAAATAGATGAAACTTTAGAGATGGAAAAGTGATTTGGCTGAGGGATGATACTCCCTATGCCATCTGCATATTGGCACCCTGCTTTGGGGTTTGCTGCAGAAATGGTGCAATCAGATGGATGTGAGGAAGCAGTTATGGACTGGCTCACAACTTCTCAGAGAAGCTACACTGGAATCTTTACAGCTTACCAGTTTCTCAATTATGTCAGATACAGAATAATCACCAAAAAAGGCTTTAGAGGGGAAAAATACTCTAATATTTTGAATTTTAAAAATAGATTTAATTTACCTTTCCTACTTACCTTCCTAGATGGCATAATCTACACTTAAATGACATTTAAAATTAGAAATTATATTAACTTCAGCATTGTTTTGTGTCCTAAAGAGATATTGACAGGTAAATTCAAAAGTTGTATTTGTGACTTAATCTTATTTTTACATGGCTAAAAGTGGCCTATGCTCTTCTGTGGAGTTTTCCTCTTAATTTCTTCTATTCTTGATATTAAACGGGAGGACATATAGATTGAATTCTCTTTTCCTGAAGAATTTTTATATTCCTTATGAACTTTGACAGAGTTGTCTTCTTTCAAAGGTCCTTATCTTTCTAAACTATCTATCTTCAGTTGTTTAGTATAAAGAGAGAAAATTGTTTCACATTGAAGCTTTTGCTCCTTTTTACAAGGTATTCTTAATCGATTAAATATCACAACAGTGACAAGACATACACTAGGTTTCAAAAATATTACATCATAGGACTTCAAAGAATGGAAGAATATAGCCTAGCAGCAAACAAAAGTATCAGCCTTTTATGATTTTAGTTTTAGTGTGGATCTGAAACTCCTTAAAAGGAGTGCTATTATTACTGTAATTAAAATGTCTGAAGTTCGTTCTTAGAAACGTTGTAGAGTATTTAAAGAAACATTGTTTTAAAGACAGTGTAGTAATGGATAAGACTTTAAGTATGGTGCAATTCCAGATGGTTAGTTACTGATTTTTAAATAAAAACACCAACGTTTAAATATTAATTAATATTAATTTTGGAATAATATCTGTCGCCCCCATTTCCCCCTAAAACAGAACTGATTTCAACCCTTGGTTGCTGACCTAGGGCATGTTATAACCCTCACAGTCCTAAATCATTCTTTCTCATGGCATTATACTCTTCCAATCTTTTTATTATATTCCTCAAAAATCAGTGGCAAGGAATGGGAAAGATAGATAAGGGACTGTACATTTTAAAATTTTTAAAGATTTCTATACTTTTATGGCCATGACACATCATTTTCATTTTTCTGTTGTGCACCCTTTTTCTACAGGAATGGTAAAAACAATGGAACATCAGGTCAAACAACTCTTGCTACTAATGTAAACTCACTCTCAGAAAACCATTCTCAAATAGACAATGAGGATCGTAAAGAAAGCATGTGAATGCTATACAAGTGGGAAATAAACTTCTTTGAAATAAAAAGACGTCACTTGTAGAGTTCACAGGTGACGGAGGAGCAGCCGGAAGTGTGCCACCAGCCACCATCTTCAGTTCTGGGAGCCTGAGTTTACATGTTCCCCAAATGGCACAAGCCTCATAACAGTCCAATGAGTCAACAGACACTTGGGAAATATTAATAAACAAATTTTTATGAGCTATTACTACAAAGAACTTCAGCAAGAGGGGAGATAGTTTAGTGATCTTTTAGTAAACATTTTTAGCGTAACAGTCTTTGTGACCAGATAGTTTAAAAAAACGCTTATAAACACCATTGCTCCGTATTCAGCTGGTGTACACTAAAAATAGGATAATGGAAATACATGTTCTTAAAGCATTTCCACAGGAAATGTTCATATTTTTCATGACATTCTAAATCATTTTGCAATTACATATGCTACATTAGCTAAAACACAGGTATTCTTTATTGCACATTTCAAAGTTGTAAGGACGCTCTAGCTTAAAAGGTGATTTTTATTTAGGGAAGAAATGACATTTTTGAATTGTTTGGCTCAAAAATGCACACTGCCAAGGCAGCTTAGTTCTAACAACAAACCTTTTAAAATAAACTTTTGGATTTTGAAGCCAATGAAATCCTTTACTGTAATGGATAATGCACAGTACACTTTCTTTCCAATGAAACCTCAGAGGTCATAGTTTTATGGGCTCTGTTTTAAAGCCTGTGAACAGTCCTGGCTAGTGCTCTGAGAGGCAGGTGGAGGCTCATCTCTAGAGCCTGACGGCAGTAAGTCTCTTACAGCAGGTGGTGGTGGGTATTCCTGGGGACCATGGGTTGGGGGTGGTAATCGGGTACCAGGAATAAAGTACTCTCTTGGGCCAAGTGAACCTAAAGGTCTAAATGGTGCGTGTCCAGGTAAAAATCCCCGAGGGTGGAGAGGCAGGTCCCGTCTTCCTGGTGGAACGCCTGGTGCAAATTCTCTTAAGCCTAGTGGTGGACGCATACCAGGGCCTGGAAAACAAAAATTATTTCCAGTAAATTCCTAGGAACGTATTTAAATTAAGATAATGCCAGGTATGTTAATATAGTCTGTCATCCTTTTTTTTTTTTTTTTTTTTTTTTGGCGGCAGGGTCTTGCCTGTCACATGGGCTGGAGTGTAATGAGTGATCATGGCTCACTGCAGCCTCAATCTCCCGGACTCAATCAATCCTCCCACCTCAGACTCCCCAGTAGCTGGGACTACAGGTGCACGCCACCACTCCCAGCTAATTTTTGGATTTTTTGTAGAGATGGGGGTTTCACCATGTTGCCCAGGCTGGTCTCAAACTCCTAGGCTCAAGGGATCCACCTGCCTCAGCCTCGTCTAATGAATGCTGGGATTCATAAAGTGCTGGGATTACAGGCGTGAGCCACTGTGCCTGGCCTGCCATCTTTATCTGAAAAAGAGAGATAGATTTGTACTTGGAAGTACTATATACCATACCAAGAAGACAGACTAAATATGGCTTCATTGCAATAAAAATTTTGATAAATTCCATTAACTACTGTGTATCAGTTAAAAATTTATGCAGTAGCTCAAGATGTACCTAATAAATGCCATAAAAATTAAGGTGCTTGCCCTGCTGGAAAAGGCTTTCCAGCTCCATCTAATTAAATTCAGCAGCATTCATTAGATAGCTGTTAAATTCTACCTTCTCTTTCATATCTCCCTTCTTTGTATTCCCAAGGTGAGGGTTGAGGGTTTTGTCTTTCCTTAATATTCTGTGACCTACTGCTTATGCTTCCATTATGGGTGATTAGAAGCTTTATGTTGTAGAATGTGTATATTTGTGACCTACAGGACATCTTAGTTAGGGGATGTATTTTATCTACCTTGCTATCCATTGCAGAGCCTAGTACACAGCCACAGATGTTCAATGTGATGAATATTTCTGGCTTTTTATAAATAGCCCCTTTCCTTGTTCTATTAGAGACAACTATTGCCCATCTAATCACAGGAGATTATGTAGCACCCTTTGTGTCTGAAGAAACTTGGGGAAAAGTTACGGTGTACTCAATCAGCTTCACTGCTGCATTGCAAAGCCCCGCAATTGCAGTTGTTTTAGCAAGGGATAGATGGAGAAGATGAATGTGCTTTACAAGTCAATTACTACTGTTCAGATCATCTTACCAAAGGGTGGAGGAAGTGGCCGAGGCCCAAAAGGTCCGCAGAGCTGAGGTGGTGGTCCATATCGAATGGGTGGTGGTACAGGGCCTCCCATGGGGGTGCTCATGAGAGGGACTCCTGGGAAAGGAGGGGGCCCTTTTGGAGCCATATTAACCTGCAGAGTAGAAACAATTGAAGTTTTGAAATACTATGGTATGACAGACAAAAGCACCAACACCAGTAAAAACTAAAACCCAATGAAGCAGATGTCAGGCACTTGTCCAAAGAGCAGAATTAGTGCAAAAAACTCTACCCCTCTCATTTGTTCCCACTGACAAGCTTAGAAAGGTTAAAAGTATGCCACAGGAGTGAACACTTGCTGTATCATATTATTGCTTACATCTGCAAATGGAAGGGAACGCACAGGTTATAAATGGAGGTCATTCCTGACTAATGATAGAAGTTACGCCATTCATACATCTATTTCTAAGGCAGTCACTCCCTCTGCACATCCCTCCTATCAGAGTAATTTCCATATTAAGAATGCAGAGAATGAAAGGGAATGAAAAATCCATTCTCTACCATGTAACAGCGATTATTCAGAGTACCTTCTGTAGGCCCTACATATATTAACACAAATTCTGACATCTCTAAATCTGTAATAGGACCATCTTGTTCTAAATATGCAGGAACACAGGCGCAGAGAGTATTAGATTTGCTGATGGTCACACAGCATGTAAGAGGCTGGCTGGAATTCCATGCCAGGTTTGACTCCAAGGCCACGTTCTTTCCACCTCTGCTTCTCCTTTCTAACAAAGTAGTCTCTACACTCTTCGAAGTCTCCTACTTCAAAGGGGTCTCGGGTCTTATCCAAGCTGCTCTTGGATAAAAACATTTCTCAAGAAATGTGTATTCCTGGAGTCCTGTGCTGGAACTTGGAAGTATTTTCCAAGAGAAACAATGTTATGTACACAAATTATACAGGCACAGCTCTATTCATCTTCATTCACTAGTAATACTGTCTACTATGAGATACTGATTAATCACTTCCTATGGGAAAGTGGGTTGGAAACTCTCAATCATTAAAATTATTTTAATTTCAATGTCGAGAATCACAGTGAGGTATGATCAGAGGACTTACCAGCCATAACAGCTATACAAGTTACAAGAGAATACACTTATGTGGACACTGTTTAAGGACACTGCTGGGAACTGGCTCAACGGGTAATTATAGACTTCCACTATTCAGTATTTCACTTCCAGCAAACATTCTTCTGTTATCAATCTGTAATTTCAGATCATTCAAAATAGGGTTTGCCTAGTATACAACTGTAGGTATTCTTAAATAGCACACTTCCAAATGAAGACATAATAATGAATTACACAATTTACAATGAATTTACTTTGCCTAAGAGCATTAAACACTGAGACACACAAGAGTGGGGACTTTTCACTTTTGTTTAAGTTAATTACAGTTACAGCAGATGCTCTACACAGGTTAAATGTCTAACCAAACAGGAGAGAGGAGAAAAGGCCAATGAATCCGTCAGATTTCAGCAACACTCCCAAGTCAAGGATAAAAGTAAGATCAATATTGCCATGCAACTTATAGCCCAGTTCAGTCCACACTTCTAAGTACTTACTGCTACTGGACGCTCAGCCAAAGATGTAATGCTGGGAACTGAGGGGACTTCAGGCTCTTGGAGAACAGTTTGCTTTTTTAAAAAATAAATGAGATAGTACAGATAGAACACACAAATAGGAGATGAGGCAAAGAGAGAGTTGTAGGAAGAGCTAAATGTTCCTGAAATAACTAATTATTCAAAATGGGTGCATTTACCTTGCCTTCATCGAGTACCCTGGTAGGGGAAGAGCCTCTTGAGCTGCTGTTCATCATGGTAGCTGTACCAGATCCTGGATCTGTTAAAGACCAGAGAACTGATGTAGACTTATTCTGACTTGTGTACTCTGTGAGGAGGATTAAAAAAAAAATCCTCTCCCCACTTCCTGCATGGTTTTAGACTCTTTGAACACTCTTGCTCCCTTACCAGAAGGAGAGGGTTTCCCAGATGCCTCAGCTGACCATCGAGGATGAGGTAGAGGCCCGTCCACTGATCCTTGAGAAAGAAATAACAGAGTCCTTATATGTATTTTTTGGAAGAAATAATAAATTGTGGACAGATCAGGGTTCAAGTCTTATCTGGAAAGCAACATTAAAAATGGGTCTCCCAATATTTATGAAGGGAAATCACTTACAATTTATGCACGGACTTAAAGAATTAAAATAAGAACTGCCTTGCACTGAAAGAACAATAAACCCTGCACATTAATGGCTCTGGTTCTATACTTCAAGCTACAGACTTACATGTACAGTATTCTACATGGTGATTTTTGTTCAGTGTATATGTAATCTGACTTCCGTATCTTACTGAGTATTATAGACATATTTAGGATTCAAAATAGACTCAACAGCGTTTCATACTATATAGTAATGACAAGTGGAAACATGTATGCCGCATAAACGATAAAGTTATTAAGGCTACTTTTATAATACAGTTGACTCGAACAATGCAGGGGTTAGGTGTGCTGATCCCCTGCGCAGTCAAAAATCCACGTGTAACTTTTGACTCCCCAAAACCTACCTACTAGTAAATAGCCTACTATTGACCAGAAGCCTTACCAATAACATAAACAGTTAACACATATTCTGTATATATATTGTATACTGTATTCTTTAATAAAGTAAGCTAAAGAAAATGTTATTGAAATCATAAGGAAGAGGAAATGTATTTATAACACTGTATTGTATTTGTACTGTACGTGTACATGGTCTGTTTACAAGATGAATCGTCTGACTGAAATGACTGCTGCTGCACACTCCAAACTATGGTATATATCAAAGCAATTCAACTTTTTCTAGTAGTGTCATGACTTTGCTTCTTGAGAATACTTCCAGCATCACTAGTGGCATTTTATATGGGTCCCATGGTGTTATTCAAGGTTTATGTTATTGCACTAAACATGAAAAATACACAAGAACCATGAGAGATTATGTTTACTGTGATACACAATTTACTGGAGAGATGAACTGCCCACATGCAGATTAACATCACACGGTGTTTTAAGCGGATACTCACAACACTTGAGCTCACTGCAATAGCAACAGGAGGTGGTTATGAAATTATTGTAGTACTACAGTATGTACTACAGCTAATCTTATGCATTTATGATTTAAAACTGCATCTTTACATGTGTTTACTTTTTCCCAATTGTGAATGGTGTCATGTACATCTGTGCTTGTGCAAGTTTTGATAAATTTTAACTTTTTAAAATAGATCTTTGTATATTTTCCAATAGTTTATAACACAAACTAGTATCTACATATATTTTATGCATTCACGACATACATAAATTTTTCTTAATTTTTTTATATTTCTAGGCTATGTGGTTCATCTGCAAGTTCTTTCAAATTATTGCAAAGCTCCAAAAAATTTCCCAAAATATTTTTTGAAAAAAATCTGCATAGAAGTGGACCTGCACAGACCAAACTTGTGTTGTTCAAGGGTCAGCTGTATTTGGGAGAGGAATCCCACAGAACTTTAATTGAAAGATAAGGGCTTACACTTCAGAGTAAAAAATTAAAGAGAAACAAAACAATAAAGGAAAATAATAAATGCCTTCTGTTCTAAAGCAAATCTTGCAGTTGAATACTTGCAGTTGAATCCACCAAGACAAATTAAGAAATTTTCTTTTCTATACTGGACAGACCCGAATTCTAAAGTGTTTGCATTAGAATTCTCAAATAAAAGGGAAAAAGCCACCCAAAAGAGTATTGCAAGGAAACATGTGAATGCTCACCAAATTCACTTCTAGGCATATCTCTTCGATTGAGAGTAGCAGAGAGAGGTCTCACGGGTGGCTCCACTGTCAATGGAGGGGAGCATTCTCCACCACTCACAGGGGATGGGCCAAAAGAGCCATTCTGGCTCAGAGGACCTAAAGATGACAGCATCTTGTTAGCATTTTAAGACAGCCTTTTTTTCTTTATTCAGTTCTTGGGATTATTCCTAGGGTACCATAACCATTACACACAGAAACAAAAAGTCACTTATATACATTTTACATCAAAAAACAGATTGTTGCCCTTTACAAGGTAGCTCCCTTACCTCTCCGTGGAGGGTTTTGTGTATTTGGTTTTCCTGGCATTGGTTTTACAATCACAGGTTCTTCTTGCAGCATTGCCATCTTTTGTGTTAATTCTAATAATCTTGAATATAGAGAAAGAATATTTAAGAAAGAGTTAAATATGAAATAGAAACCAATTCCTTAAGAGAACACGCGCTGAAAATATAGCCATCAAAATCCACATACTTGTGTCTCAAATTGGCAGCTTCCCTTTTCTCTTCAGCTATAGCTCTTTCTGCAGCACGAGCTTTGAGCTATTGAAGAAAAATATCCAAATTCAGTTGTGGGAGACTATGCACAAAATAAGGGAAAGAAAAAAAGAAATCTTACCCAGTTTTCATGAGCTTTCTTCTCATGGGTAGCGATCTGAAAAAGATAATACATCACAAAATATGCATACAGATTCATTATAATAGCCTCTATTAGTTATCAAAGAATTCCGGGCACTATATAGTAGGGCACTAGAATTATTACCTGGTTTTTAAATGACCGCTCTGTCTTCTGTAATTCATCCTCCATTTCTTCAATTCTCCGCCTAAGAATTACACTTGGCTTTATCATTTAAAGCACAACTGAATAAAAACCCAAACAATCTGACTATGTTAACCGTTACCCTAACAACTGTACCCTAATAGAGCTTATCCAGAAATATAAAGCATATTTTACATGGTTGGTTATAACAAAAGTACAATATGATGAAAACTAATGATACATAATTTCCTTTAACAGCTGGAGATTGAGTTGATATATTACAATTCCTTTAACTGTTCCTAAATATGTTCTCAAATAATCCTATTATTAATATCTTCCACTATAAACCTTTTTTCATCCTTTAATTACATCATAAAAATTTTCCCAAAGTTAGGACTACTGGGTCTATCAAATGGCAAAATCACTTTAATGGCTTTTGATACATCATATAACAAACTGCTCCCACCCCCTCCAACCCCCAGAACTGTTTGCACGAATCAAGTTCCCTTACAGTTTTGCCAGCACTGGGTATTTGTTAATATTTTTCCATTTGTTAACTTAAAATTTAGTTTTTCTTTTGTGTGAATTGATGTATTCATGTCCTCTAACCACTTATTTATGCTTTTGTGCTAATAAAAAAAGCCAACACTAGTTTCATTAGCCACTGATACCCTCTTTAGGAGGTGAACTTACTTGTAAGTTTTTACTTCCTCTGCAGCCGAAACTGCCTTTTCATCTGCAGCTGACAGCCTGTGCTCTCTTTCTTGCCGTTCATACTCTTCTTGACTCAGTTTCCTAAGATAAAACTGGTTGTCAATGAAAGTGTTTCTCTTTTCCTCCTGGCATTCTGTCTGAATACTCCAATAAAATCTCACTTCCTATCCTATTCTTAAAAATGCATAGATTATACAAAGTCACAGGAAGGAAATAAAACTGTCCTTTAGGATAAAAATCCAACTGTGGCCTGTTGATACATCACCTGCATTTTCTAACGTCTCATAATTCTCTCCTCACTAGTAAATGAAACAAATGTGAAAAAACACTATGTGTCAAAGACTGTTGGGTTGAAATGATGCTCACTTTTCTTCAATGTAGAAAGCCAGGACTGATCAACCTAACACAGTTAAGCTTATTAGGATGATGCAGGAGATAATTCTCTTATTTCTAACCATGGAAAGACCACTAATTAATTTTCTTATGGGCTGTTTCTCAATCCAAGGCTGGTACCATGATAAAGACAGCCAATGAAAGAGCTTTTTAGAACATGTCCTTAACTGTACAATTAACCCCAGAACATTTTCACACTTCAGATATGGAGCTCCCCTACCTATTTCAATGGAATCATGATAAAGCAGCGAGACAAATCCGAGTACTGGCAATGTCTGTTGAACAGAAAAAGAATCCAAACTGTCCTGTAATCAGGGTGCTATGTACTGGAAATTGGTTTTAACCTGATAACCTTCAAGCTCAAGAGGTTAGCCAACTATAACACAGATTGTAAAGGCAGCAACATTTAATGGTTTAAAAGTGCTACTTGTAGTTACCCTTGTACTTCTTTACTCATAGTTCTGATGCAAAAGATACTTGCAAATTTTCTATAAATTGGAAACAAAAATAGAGGAGCTATAGTAAAAAGGGTTATTAACACCAAAGAGAAAAAAGTTTATGTATTCTTTTACAACTGCTCATTCAATAAATACTTCAGCAAATATTTTATGAGTGGTTATACTAATTACCTTGTAAGAGACTAAGATAAAGGTATGGCTATGGTAAGTACCACCTCTGCACTAATGGAGCTCACAGCTGAATGTGTAAAAGGTGCATATAAGAACAGAACAATCCCTCTCTGACTCTGGCTTAGGAAGGGATGTGGAAAAAACAAGTCTTGAAGAAGGATTCAAGAGAATTTTGTTTCCAATAATGGATGAGTTAGTCTGCAAACACTGAAAATAAGAACATATGGACAAAAATAGAAAGAATGTGCTCGAAGGCATCAGAAAGCTAATAAGGCAGTGAAGAAAATCCAGTAGGAAAAAACACAGAATTATAAGTAAGCCCGGCATTTTAAGCCATTTCCCCCCAGGTTCATCCATGCATTGAAGACAATGCAGATATGTAAGAAGGTTGAAAAGAACTTTCAACAGATCCCTGGGTTGAGAGAAACAAGAAGCGGAGGGAGTTCAGGGCTGCCAATGAGAAGGACCCCTAGTAAAAGCCCTAGGCTTTGGGTTGAGACCAGAAAAGAGCTGCACACTTGGAGTATTGAACAGGCAATAAATACAATGTCCTTTAAAGGAACTAAGCCATTTTTGAATGATTTTAATTGCTAACTGGAATAAAGTAATGACCACCTGCTAGAGGTAATCTCATATCTTTTATGTAGGATGATAACATCATCTTAGACCTCAAATTTCCCCTACAATTTTCAAAAACAATGTTCACCACTCCATCAAAACCAACCAGACATTCCACAAGACAAGACAATGTAATCACAATCTAGAAGACCAGAGAAACACACTCATAAGGGATCCACATAATAGGATTACCACATAGATTTTAAAGCAATTGTGCCTTACAAATTGAAGGAAGTACAAGTCAAGATTACACATTTCAGCAGAGGATTAGAAACTATAAAAGTGAAAAATAGTGAAACCAAAAAGAACTCAATGATTTTAGCAGATTAGACAACTGAGGTGAGATTTTTAGCACATTGGAAGATAGGTCAGAAGAAAACATCCAGAATGAAGCATATTCAGAATGTAGGAGGCATTGGGCGAGGGGTAGGGGTGGGAGATCCTAGTATGTTGAATTGGATTCTCAGGACAAGTGAGAATAAGATAGAATTAATATGTGAAAAAAGAGGCTCCAAACTCAAGAGATGTTTATA
Source organism: Homo sapiens (assembly GCF_000001405.40). NCBI lineage: Eukaryota > Metazoa > Chordata > Mammalia > Primates > Hominidae > Homo > Homo sapiens. The sequence continues at coordinate 222,656,629 of NC_000001.11, read as the reverse complement.
ACCTCAAGCAGTATAAATGCAAAAGAAAAAGCAGGAGGGTAGGGTGGAAGGGTGATGACAAAACCCTACATGTAGGCACCTCCCAAGAAAACTGCTGAAAAACCAAAAAGAAAATGACGAAAGGCAGCTAGGGCAGGCATAAAACATTTGAAAAAAGAGAAAAGAGAAAATAAGAATGATAATAGATTCCTCAAAGAAACTTTAAAACTAGAGGATAACTGGTTATCTTTAAAGTGCTGATACTAAACAACTATCGAAATTCCAGAACCAGCAGAAAGATCCTTTTAAAATGGAGTCAAACTAAAGACATTTTCATACAAAAGTAAACTCACTGAACCTGCATTAAAGTATATTCTTTGGCCGGGCGCGGTGGCTCACACCTGTAATCCCAGCACTTTGGGAGGCCGAGGCGGGTGGATCACGAGGTCAGGAGATTGAGACCATCCTGGCTAACACAGGTGAAACCCCATCTCTACTAAAAATACAAAAAAAATTAGCCGGGCATGGTGGCGGGCGCCTGTAGTCCCAGCTACTCGGGAGACTGAGGCAGGAGAATGGCATGAACCTGGGAGGCGGAGCTTGCAGTAAGCTGAGACCACGCCACTGCACTCCAGCCTGGGCGGCAGAGTGAGACTCTGTCTCAAAAAAAAAAAAAAAAAAAAAAAAGGGAAAGAAAGTCTGGAGATACGTGATTAGCTAGGGGACTGGCATAAAAGATGACAAGGGCCTGAATTAACACAGTGACTTTAGGGGTGGACAGTAGAGTACAAACCACACATGGAGACTGAATGAATTTTGGGGAAGTTGAATAAAACACTGCCACATCAATGGGTTAACTGTATCACGAAGAAAAACAGTTGCCATTTACGTAATTCACATTACTATTGGAGGCAGAGAAGTGCTCTTTTTTAAAAAGTAATGAAATGAGGAATGTCTCTCTGAAGCAGGACAGGCATTTATTTAGAGCTGGCCTGAACAAAACCTGGAAAATCTAAACTGGCTGCCTGGTGAGCAAAGAATTAGAGAAAAAGTTAATGGTATGGTTTCAATATTTAATGGCATACAGCAGTAGCAGTCTAAGCATTTAAAAAAGTTAAATTTGCTTAGCAAGAGAGGCCTCCTCACACACTGCCATATACACCAAAGAGTAAAACATAAGAGCAAACACAAATAGCAACTGCCACAGATAACCTATTTTTAGAGAATTCAGATGTTTTTGTGGACAAAAAACTTGAACTATAAAAATATACCTCTCAAAAGGTACCTCGCTCGAAATTTGAGATATGTATTTCAGAGGATTATTATCTAAATATACACACCAAATAGTTCTACATTCAAAACTCCTAATATCTTTGCCACAATTATGTTTAGTTTGAATATTTTACTCTGTGAAGTCCAAAACTAAATGTACCTTCAATAAGTAAATTTTCCTTTTTTGAAGTTTTTATTCTACTAAAACACGTCATACAAATCCCTCAGACTGTTTAAAGGAAATTACATAATTGACCACAAAGAAAGGAAAGTGAAACAAGTGGCGGAGCCACAGACAAGGCATGGCCAGATCTTCAAAAGAGAAGCACTCCCACAGCAGCGACCGTCAGTACCAGTACACTGCTCCCCCTTAAGTGAGTTACAGGCAACAGTTTTTGACTACTGGTTAGAAAGGAAAGAAAAATGCAGCTTATGAGAAACAAAGCAGAAAGAAAGAAAGACAAATTTATACTAATTACAGATGCAAAAGAGTACAATCCTGAAAAACGATAACATTATCTATATTAGTACACATTTATTTACTGACATGACAATACAGTTAACAGTAAATGATGATAATCTTACTTTTGCAAAGCCATCTCCTTCTGCTGATAGAGCTCATTCAGAATCTCCACTTTCTGCCTCAAGGTTTTGCATTCATCTTCCAGTCCAGCTTTGGCAGCTTGTAGTGAGTTGCGGTCATCTTCCAATTTCTTTACCTGGTCTGTAAAGGATAAAACATTTGAGTTCCATATGTGTGCACAAGAACTTGAGAACTTGGTTGGGGGCTGGTGCTGAGAGAAATGAGAAGTATGAAAGCAGGAAGCCGCTCTTTATCTTTCTAATGCAATTTTGTATCTTTCCAATATATAGCAATTTCTTCTCAAGAAGCAACCTACCTTCCAGGTTACATTTAGTGGACACGGAGGCTCTTAGCTTAAGCTGTAAAAGCTTTAGATCCTCTTCAACTACCGATATTGCAGTCTGTGTCTAAAAATTGCAGAAGAGACAAGTATTCATAAAAGTGAGGCATAGTAAAAGTATTCACAGGCAATTATGGGACTCTAAAAACGATTATACCCGAGAGACATCCATCATCTGCTTAATTTGATTTTTCATCTTCTCATTCCGGTCACCTAAAAAACAAAAGGCTTTCTTTCATTGCTTTTTCTTCCCTTGCTTTTTAAATCTATATTTTCTTGATTTACCCAAAACTAAACAATTGTCATGTTCAAACATTTAAAGAACAAACAAAAACAGAAAAGGATTAGACTGACTTTTAAGAGAACTGCAAACTTAAGACTGAAAAAGTGAATTCCCATTTGTACAATAAACATGTTATACATGCCATTATTGAGCAAGAAGAAACATGTGAGATAAAGCTCTTTCTTCCATCTGGGCTTAGTGTCTTATTCAGAAAGATTCCCTCCTATTCTCCTCCAGAATCTACTACCAGGTGTGGTTTAAAACACCCACTACACAAGCAATATCCAACTTGAGAGAGGGCATCTAGAAACATTTTCCTCATCAGTAAACACTGCAACACTATAGCCTCCACTCTCATGGCCTTAGTTTATGGATCCAACCACCTCAGTACTCTCAAAACCAGTTGTGGTTTTCTTTCATGGCCTTAGTCAGTTTATGCCTCCAACCACCTCAGTACTCTTAAAACCAGTTGTGGGCCTTAAAACCACACAGCTACTGAGATGACAAGTTTTAAAATGTTATCTCCATGAAATTGAAAAACAAGTTTCTACTACTGTATGTGTCCAATACTTAGAGGTGTAAGACATGACCAGTGCAGCTCCCGTGCACCCTTCTAGTCTCAATGTGAAAACAAAGTCAGTGTTCACTGCATGCTTACTGCTACACCTCACCCTAGCAATCCACCTCTGCCCAATGCAAACAGACACACATTCAAATCCAATGTATTTACACCTCGAAAGCTTAAGAGGAAATGCAGCCAGCTGAAAAGTAGCACTGGTGCACTTAAAGACAGGAAGGCAAAAGGGGTCCATCCTCCTTGAGGCTGATCTTACCTCCCACTTCTCCATTTGCTAATTCATCTGAATCATTTCCACCTTTATTTTGACCCTCAGATTCAGATTCACACTCTAACAGATTCAACTGTGTAATGCAGTTAGTCAAAGCCTAGAAAAGAAGTAAAAGGGCATTAAGAGTCTTTCCATTTAATTCAACAGATTTGATAATTCACAAGAATTAAGCTTGTATTCATGAACGCACTTACATTAATATTATCATCCTTGTGAGTAAGAGCTACTTCCAAATCTTTCTGAGACTTCTCAAATGATTTGATTTGCTCACTGAGCTCAGCATGTAATTTACTCCAGTCTTCGATTTCCTGCTGCAACTGCAAAGTTAAAACACATGATTCCCACAGGTTAGGGCTTTTGCACTGGAGACATTAGGACCACATGAATGAGACAGGTAAATAAGGAACCATGCCTCTCCTTGGCCTATCACTATGGGCTAAGACCTTGGTTAAGTGGGAGGAGACAGTGGCCCCAACCCTCAGAGCTGTAGTGAGAACATCAGAGCTATCAAGGAAATTGATCTTGTTTATTGCATCCTTCAGAAAATTGTAGCCAATTCAAATAATTCACTTCCAGAAGGAACAGAAGGGCTCATCCTACTATCTCCCAAGTCCACACTCCTGATCATGTAACCTTCCCTTGGCTAGTGAAGCAGTAACTACTCAAAGGAGGGTTATAAAATATCTAACTCTTGGGTCTAAAAAGCCAATCTACTACCCACTCGAGGCTACTCAAGTTAATAGCAATTGGTGTCTGACAAAACAAGACTACACACTCTGATAGCCAAAATAAATTGTACAGAACAGAAAATCCAGAACAGATAGAGAATGTATACCTACACTCAATTTTGGAAGCATAGTTTAAACTTTGCATATCTAAGAACAGAATCCTGCACATATATTACCCTAAAAATAGATCTGAGTAAAGGCATTCATGAGGTATGATACTGAGTTCTCTATTTTACATGACCTGGGACACGCACTTTCCTTTACCTGCTCTTTTTTCTTCTTAAGCCTAGCATTTTCTTCTTGAACCCGATGGCATTCAGACTTCACCTTCTCTTCACTAAGCTTAGCTTCATTAAGTGCAATCTGAACCTAATGCAAAACACTCCTATTAGTGAATTAATTCCAAAGAAAACCAGAAAAAGTTACTTTTCCAACCCAACATCATGTAGTTTTCATTTTTTGCACATTTTAGCATATATCAAATTTTTGCTCTGCAATCAAACTATGATATAGTATTAATATCCTGCAGGAATTACAGTCAGCTTTACCTCTGAAAATTCTGAGGCATTCATTGAAATAACATCCTTTAACTTCTCTATAGATTTCTTGTTTTCTGATATCTGCCATGTAAAAACAGAACACAAAATGCATATTAGGATTTTAGTAGAAACACTGGGATACATACTAAGAAGAAGAAACATCAACAAAGTATGTCCCAGAGCCATCCCCTATGTTTCAGGTAAAAGCAGGTGTTTCAGTTTTGCCCTCGGGAAAAATCAAGAACTTAAAGAGGTAAGGGAAAATAATCAAAGGCATAAATATTTCACAGCATACACAACCTTCCTGGTTAGAATAAAATGTGGTAGATGACCAGACTAAAAGGTGAAAGAAAAGAAACTGAAAAAACTTTTAAGTAAACCAGTTCAAATCAATGTGACTTTTTTTTTTCTTGTGGCAAGAGAAAAAAATAATCCCCAAGGTACTTTAATTTAGTACAATTTGACAATTGTTTTGTCAAACACCAATTGCTCTTGCCTAAATTAAAAATGGTAGGATTGGAGTGAGAATAGACAGATCACCCATATAGAATTCTAGATAATTTATGAAGATTCTGGCTCCTCAAGAGGATGGAGCATAACCCTTCACTTTTTAACTGTGGGCTGCGATAGTAACTTCCTTCCAAAGAGTACAATAATGCAAAAAGTTTAAAAAAAAAAAAAGTAATTTTACAGTGAAGAAACCTGGCAATACTACCTCAACGAGGTCATCAAGATTAATAGGGTGTGGGATTTATGGAACCCTCTCTACTATCTTTGCAACTTTTAGGTCATTCTAAAACTATTCTATTAATAAAATAAAATGTTTATAGCAAAAAAAAAAAAAAACTTTGCAAAACAAAACAAAACACAAGGACTGTTCAACTGGGTTTCTTAGTTGTTCCACATGTTTCGGAGGGCAGAGCCAAGCAATATGACAATTACCTAGGGTTGAGAACCAAAATACTTCCTAGGCCTGTAAGAATAATTTCTTGTGTAAGTACTTAAAATTCCACAAAAATGGACAGAAGTAGGTTCAACTTCCCTGACTCGCACTCTTACTTCACATAACAGCATGGAAAATAAAGAGTTCAACTCAATCTACAAAAGAGTTCAAAACCCAAATTATTAGTAATACTTAGCAGCAAAACTCTTACCAAGTCCTGATTCTTGACATTCTGTTCTCTCTCAGATTCTAGCATAACACGAAGATTTTTAGCTGTGTCATCCAGAATTTCCTGATTTTTTTCAAGTGTCTTGATTTTATCCTACAAAAAAGATATTAAGGTTAGTTATACTCATTACTTTTACTTTTGTTTTAAAATGTAATCCCCAAAAGAAGTTTTTACCTTATATTTAATTGCTTCATCAGAGAGAATCATATTTTGTTTCCTGGTTTCCTGAACATGTTTCTTTGATTCCTTGATCTATATAAAATAAAGCATTCAGAATCCAGAAATATAAAGTATAGTGCTACCAGAACTTATTTTCAAGTGACTGACCTCTTACAGAAGAAAACAGTACTTTACACATATGACTGCTTAAGATCTGGATGGTTTATAGGAATTAATGTAATAATAAATACTATTTAAAAATACCATAGTAACTGAACTATAAGATAGGTGACAAATAATTCAAGCTGGGACCATGAAAAAAAAAAAAAACAAAGAATAATCATACCTTCTGTTCATAATTTGACAATTTTTGTACAAGTTCTGTATTTTCTTTCATGATAGTCTTCAACTTCTCAGAAATTTGCTGTTCCGTGACTGAAAAAAGAAAAAAATAATAAGGTTATTATGATCACTAAATGAAATTGAATTACCCAATGTATCAGCAGCAAAGACATGTTATCTTGCACTATGACAAAAAATAACTTCTCAGCATAACTATTATGGTTTTAAAAAGTGATATGGTTTGGTTCTGTGTCTCCATCAAATCTCATAACAAATTATAGTACCCAGTGTTCAGGTGGGGCCTGGTGGAAGGTGATTGGATCATAAGGGTAGATTTCTCATGAGTGGTTTATCACCATCCCTGTGGTGCTATTCTGTGATGGTGACTGAGTTCTTGTGGAATCTGGTTTTAAAAGTGTGCAGCACCTCCCCGCTCACTCTCTCTTGCTCCTGCTCCCACCATGTAAGATGGCCTGCTCTCGCTTTGCCTTCTGCTGTGAGTAAAAGCTCCCTGAGGCCTCCTCAGAAGCAGATGCCGCTATACTTCCTATAGCCTGCAGAAACATGAGCTAATTAAACTTCTTATAAATTACCCAGTATCAGGTATTTCTTTTTTTGAGACAGGGTCTTGCTCTGTTGTCCAGGCTGGAGTTTAGTGGTGCAATCTCAGCTCACTGCAAAGTCCGCCTCCCAAGCTCAAGCAATCCTCCTGCCTCAGCCTCCTGAGTAGCTGGGACTACAGGTGTGTGCCACCACACCCAGCTAACTTTTATATTTTTTTTATAGAGATGGGGTTTCTCCATGTTGCCCAGGCTGGTCTCGAACTCCTGAGCTCAAGCAATCCTCCGCTTTGGCCTCCCAAAGTGTTGGGATTACAGGCATGAGCCACCACACCAGGCCTTGGGTATTTCTTTATAGCAGTGTGAGAACAGATTAATACAAAAAGCAATCTGCTAACAAGAATAAGGATGTAAAAATACGGTTAGAATTTAAGAAAAATATAATAAGAACCTTTATTTCAATGAGAGTTTAATTTATTTCCAAGATGGGAAATACAGTAAAATGTTATAGCTCAATATTCCTCCCTGCATGAAGCATCTTTCTTCTCAGAAAATGGCATCACTTCAAATATGTCATTTGCAAAGAGAAACAGAAAATGCAGGCGTGCTGATTTATATTTCTAGTTCTCAAATTATCTACTTAAATAAATATTTAATGTACTGACTAAATCATTAGCACAGGGACACTGGTCACATGTAATAAATTGGTACTACATCAACATTTAAGGTCAATCTGCCCCAAATTAATGATCTTCTCCCTACTCCCACAATTCGTTCCTCCTCATCTCCCATCTCAGTTGGTAGCATCACCATTTACTCTATCATACAACCTGGCAACCTAGGAACAGTAAAGTTTTCAGAAGCTATAAGTCAGTCAGACATCAGAAGTTACTAAAACTACTTATATATAAAATCCATATCAAACACCAATACAGAGGGACTAGTACAAATAACAAAAAAGCCTAAAGATTTACCTTGATATACTCTATCCTTCACCTAGAAAAGAGAAATAAAATTAAATTTGATGTCAAACATTTTATTAATAGATGTATATAGTTTCTAATACAACTGTCAGAATTGTAACCAAATGAGAATTTAATAAAACTTTGGTTTAGCATAATGAATCCTCAAGATGAAAAAACTTAAAAAGGTTAAAAAGCATTTCAAATTTAACCAGTAGTGATATGTTGTGGTCTGACAGATAAAGCACTGAGGTAAATATCTTACTTTGCACAGCTAAAGATATGTTTATATATCTAAATGAGCACCAGTCTTACGAAATGAGCACTTAACTTGAATAACAGAAATGGCTAATATTTTTGTAATAAATATATTAACGTTTTATTTACTCAAAGTCACTTATTTGACAACTCCAAATAGCCAGAAAGAAATCTAAAAACAACGACTACTCAAAAAGACTCTGAGGAAACATAATTAAAGGTATGATCTTCGTACTAAGATACACACCTCTTTTGCTCTCCAGAAAACATCTCAGAAATCCTACTCAAAGTTGACTACTGGCTGAATTTAAAAATAATGCTATAAATACTAAGCTAGATTATGTGATTTTCCTAGACCACTAAAAACAGTGCTCATAAACCTGACAGGGAAGAGAAGACTACTAGAGGAAAATGCATAAGCAACAAGAGAAATGACAACTATCATCTTCCTGAAAGGGCACCCAAATCATCCCCCAAAGACAGCACTAAATTATAGGACAAGAAAATCTAAGCAGTAACTAATATTGTAAAAAGAATATTACTAAATTTCTTTGCAACCCAGAACATATTTTCCCTTTCAAATGTTATGTTGATGAGATACTAACACCAGTCCACAAATCATCCATAAGCTCAGTAAATATACTGTTTACATAATATACTGTATTACTGTATACAATAATTAATATACTGTATACATAATAATTCCAGTATCTAAATCTCACTTATAATACCATTGTTATAGGAATATGCATTCAGAAAATTCCAACATGGAAAGAAATTACTATCTCTCTAATGTCATGGCCTTGCTAATTCCTCTGCTCCATTTCACCCAAACTAACAGGCAAGCAGAGACCAAGGTTCCAAAAGTCAAGTGCTGAGGCTGAGGAACAGCAGTTAGGACACAGAGCCTATATAACTTTCTGAAAAACGAAAAAGGCGTTAGAATTTTTTTATTAACAAATAGGAGAAACAAGAGTGGGAAATGTAAAATGTTTTCAACTTTTCCCCTTCCATTTACCCTTTGATTCTCCCTTTTTATCTGAAGAAAAGCACCAGGAGGTTAGAGAAGGCCTCACAGGAAAAAAGACCCTTCTTTTTAAGTAATTTTACAATCAATTGTGAGAGAAAATTTATTAATGATGATATATGTGATATAATTATGAAATCAGAAAAAGAGTACTCAGTTTTAGAAAGATTTGCATCCAATAATTTTGGCCATTTTAACTGTGAAGTTTCAATACAAAGCTTTTCATCTGCAAAGCTCATTTACACAAATAATCTTCTCCCAATTATGTTAAATAACTATGCAGCTGAATGCTATATAGTATAATCATAAGGATGTACAAGTATGAGTATACACACTTATACAAACATGTTTAAGTCTGAAAGGCAAATTCTGCACAGAAGATAAAAAAATTAACGGTGTGTCTTTACACATGATATAATTTGCATTTCGAAATAAAAAGATATTTTCTGAGTAAAATAGTACATGATGAAATCAGAAAATCTGGAAAATACACATTTTTTAAAAACTGAAAACTTACCTCATCTCCTAGATATAAGAATTTTTATCATTTTATTGTATTTCCTTGCAGCATTTATTTTCTGTGTGTATGTTTATGTAATATACAGTTTATCTATACCTTAAAGTCTTGGTTTCTACTTTTTTTCTACTTCATGTTAAATTGTGAGTATTTGTTGTGCTCCTATGTCTTTGAATTATATAAAGCAGCCTAATATCCCATTATATGAACATACAATAATTTAACAATTTTCCCACTGTGAATCACAGTAGGTTGTGTCAAAGTTTTCACTCTAATAAATACTGTTCTACTGAATGCTCTCATGTAAGATATTTAAAACTTTTTTTTGAGACAGAGTCTCACTTTGTCGCCTAGGCTGGAGTGCAGTGGCATGATCTGCTTCCCCAGTTCAAGCGATTCTCCTGCCTCAGCCTCCCAAGTAGCTGGGATTACAGGCTCCTGCCACCACCCCCGGCTAAGTTTTGTATTTTTAGTAGAGATGGGGTTTTGTCTTGTTGGTCAGGCTGGTCTCAAACTCCTGGCCTTATGTGATCCACCCGCCTCCGCCTCCCAAAGTGCTGGTATTACAGGTGTGAGCCACCACGCCCGGCCATGTAAGATATTTAATGCATGATTGGTTATTTCTTTCTTTCTTTTTTTTTTTTTTTGAGATGGAGTCTCACTCTGTCACCCAGGCTGGAGTGCAGTGGCACATCTCAGCTCACTGCAGCCTCCGCCTCCCAGGTTCAAGCGATTCTCTGCCTCAGCATCCCGAGTAGCTGGGATTACAGGCATGTGCCACAACACCTGGCTAATTTTCGTATTTTTAGAAGAGATGGGGTTTCATCATGTTGGCTAAGCTGGTCTCGAACTCCTGGCCTCAAGTGATCCGCCTGCCTCGGACTCTCAAAGTGCTGGGATTACAGGTGTGAGCCACTGTGCCGGCTGACTGGTTATTTCTTTAGGATCGATTACTAGACATGACATTAATACAATATAAAAGGATATAACCATTTTTAAGGCTTATCATACACATCATGAAACTATTTTTCAGGATGGCTCTAAGAATTCCTAGTTCTACTAACAGTGTACATATGACCTATCTAATTCTTTCTTTTCATCCTTTGTGAGTTGAAATACAGACCCACCTAATTCTTAAAATTTAGACTTTGATATGAGACATATAAACTGAAGTTTTCCCACTGAGATTATACATGTTGTCTTATTCACTTAAGAATTTACCAACACAAAAATTATACTAAATTATTTTACAAGGTTAGCTTGAATTAAAAGCATTAATTTCTGTTCATATTAGAAACTGAAAAAGAAACAAAAGGACTGTGATTATAAAACCATACTTGAATTTATGAGTTAAAGTATGCATTAATTTACTCACAACAAGGACAGTTCTCCATAAGAAAATGGCAAACGAAGCAATTCCCAAGAAGGCAGTGATAAATACAGGTTTCCATGGCAGTCCATAAAAATCAGGCCCAGGCTGAACATCATCAGGCAATGTAGCAACTAGCTGAATGTTAGAAATAATGTTAGAAATAATGAGAAACCTTAAAGAAGCTTACCATAAAGCAGTCACAAAGACTCATTCACAGAAATTCTAAACCAACTCTATCAGATACCTATCCCCTCAAAAATCTTCAGTAGCTCTCACTGCTTTAAGAAAAACAGGATACTGGGAGTCTCATACTTATTGTTTGGCCTGTGGTGTTTTGAAGTACTATGACTCTAAATGTCTTTAGGTTGGGCATATATTTCTAGTTTCAATAGGCCCTGATACAATATGTTATCTAAAACATGGCTGGAATCTCTCTGCATCATACTTTTGTCTTGAATAAATTGGTTTTTATTGCTTAAAAAACCACATAAGACAAAAAACCTTTTATATACAAGTAACTAACTTTTTATGGCTGCAAATAAAACCAATATGATGATAATGAATATCACAAATAACGTTTTATTCCTCTAAGATTTAAAATCTTAAATCGACTTACATAAACAAAGAACAAATGCTGACTAAGTTCGGATAGCTCCTGATAACTGATCTAGATAAACCGCTTTGAATTTAGTGCCTTAATTCTAAATGTTTCCTTGAAAACAGTGCATTAAACACCTGTCTGCTCTATGCTGTTTCCACAGCCCTTTACAAGTACACTATCACACTGGTCCCATCCCACAACAGAGCCGGGGGTTATGCAGAAAAGACCTGTAGGTTCTCTGTGTTTTGATCATGACTTCACACCAGAACATAAAGTGCTGTCACTTCGTAAGTACTCAATAAAAAAAAAAAAAAGAGTGACGAAACCTTCTCAAACACACTCCCACCTGCCTCCCTAAACAGCATAGAAACGTCTTGCTTTCCTCGGATCTGACACACTCCATTTCTCCTTTGCACAGACAATCAGTGCACCCACTCTGCTTAGAACTCATCCACCCGCCTGTGACAGCTTGGGTCCCTCCCCGGGAATCGGGACTGTCACCTCCAGCAGCTTGGCTATGAAGGCTGCGTAGAGCACAGACAAGGGTCCCACAAGTTCCGGGTCCCCCGGGGTAGCGGCGATAGAAGGCACAGTGGCAGGTACTGAGTCCATTGTGTAGAACAGCTGAACGCAAGCGACAATTCCCTGCGGAATGGCACTGGGCCCCCTGTTTTTCAGAGCTTCCTCCTCCGGAAAGGCCCCAATTCAGGGGGCGGACTCTGGGATTGAACTTCGCCTTCCACAGCTGCCTGCACTTTCGCTTTATGCCGCCTATAAAACACGTCATCAGCCACTGCCCCTGGCGCACCTCAAGGCACCAAAGGAGCCGGCCGGCGAGGGCGGGGCCAGAGCGGACGGAACCAACTATCGAGGGGACGGGAGAGAAGAGCGAATAGGGCTAGAGCGGAAGAATCCCAGTAAAAAGAGGCGGAAGTGACTGGCGCTTTCGCCAGGAACCGGCGACTTAAAGAGCCCCAGAGTAATGAGGCCAGGGATTTACCTGGAGGAGGATTGTGGGCGGCAGCTGGGGAAAAGGAGAAAAGCAGGTCTCTCGTGCCGGCCCGGAGCTGGCCCTTCCTGTCACAGCGTGGAAGGACCACCGCTCAGATGGGGCGCCACTGCAGTGCGCGGCCTTTCTTCCTTGCCCACTCAGTCCTCTGCTTACTGTTCCGCCTCCAGACCTCCATTGCGCTCGCTGTCTCACATTCTTGCCGACACTCTATTAAAAAGTCTTACCCAGGAGTCATGTCATCGTGTCACCCCCATGCACATGGGTTGAGTTATGGGTCCCACTTTTTTTTTTAGATGGTGGCTGCGGGGAAGGGGAGGGAGTCTCCCTATGTTGCCCAGGCTGGACTCGAACTCCGGGGCTCAAGCCATCTAAGAAGCTGGGACTACAAGTGTCCGGCCACATCTTAAGGTTATATGACTTGTGGAAAAGGACAAGGATAATGAATAGTATGGAAATCACGTTCCAAAAGTTGAAGAAACCGGGGACATTTAATCTGTGGGGAAAAAATGGTATCTGTAGATAAAAAATACCATTTTTAGACCTTTAAAGGTCTCTCTTCGAGTTGAATATAAAGTCAACTCAGAGGAACAATCAAGCAAGAACAAGCAGGAAAACCCTGAGAAAGAAGAGCAGTGAAGGGTGTGGTACAAGAGGAGGGCAGGATCTGTAATAACAGTATGGTACTGGCCCAAGGATGCAGACCGACCACGGGGCAGAATAAAAAATCCAGAAATAGACCCAACTGCACTGGAAATTTGCGATACAGCAAGGCAGCTGGTTAACAGACTTTTTAATAAGTGGTATTACATATCTAGATAACAATATGGAAAATGATAAAACTGGATCTTTTTCTCATTGTTCATAAATTCCAAGTTAATCAGAAACCTGAATGTAAAAAATGAAAACAAACAAGTTGAAAAAATTGAGTGACTGTCTCTATGTATTATGTGAGTGGGCAAGACCTTCCTAATTATGTATCAAAATCCAAAAGCAACAAAGGAAAATATTCGTAAATTTGATTACTGGAAAACCAAAAAAACTTGCCCAACCCCATCCAAAAAAATTGCAAAATAATCAAACTTTGGCAATGGTAACCTAAGAAAAAATATTTGTAACATATTATGAAGGATTAATATTCCTAAAATATAAAGTGCTTTACAAATAAGAAGATAGCCGCTAGCAAACCTATAGAAAAATGGGCTGAGGTAATGAACAGATCCCAGGAAAAGAAATGCAAATAATTTAAAAACATATGGAAACATGCTCTGCCTCACTCATGATACAAGAAATACAAAATGAACCTACAATGAAATATGATTTCTCACTTATCTTGGCAAGATCCAAACATTTGACAACACACTCTGTAGGTGAGAGAATGTGGAGGAAGCAGGCACTCTCATGCTATGCTGATCTTTATATAAAATCATACAACCCCTATGATTTGGCAACGTCTCCTGAAATAACTTGTGTATTTACCTACTGACTCAACAATCCTACTTCTAAAGATCTATCTCAAAGATACTGGGGATATAACAACAAATGCTGAAAAAATATATGCACAAAACTATATTATTCCAGCATTACTTATAACAAAAGACTAGAAACAACCAAAATGGCCATGAATGAAAGACATATTAAATACAACAAAGTATACTGTGAAGCTATAAAAGAAAATAATTTTATATACTGCTAGGGTATGCTGTCAGAATACATTTTTTTTAAAAGGTAGAGAAAAGTAGAGACTACTACTTTTATCTAAGAAAGTTAGGATTTTTTTTCTTTACAGCTTTGAGGGAAATATGACATTCAATAAGTTATATGTATTTAAAGTGCACAGTTTGATCAGTTTTGCATATGAATACGCCTGTGAAACCATCATCACAACCAACATAGTGAACCTCCCAAAGTCTCCTTATTCCCTTGGTAATCTGCCCCTTTTCATCCCTCCCTGCCCCTGAAGCAGAATGTCTGTCATAATACATTAGTTTGCATTTCCTAAAGTTTTATATGTATGTAATAATGCACGATTATATTTTCTCTGGCTTCTCTCATTCAGCATAATTTGAAATTCACCCACATTGCTGCACATATCTATAATGGTTCTTTTTTTAATTGCTGAGTAGCATTTCATTGTATGGGTATGCCATAATCTGTTTATCTGTCATCTATAGATAGATATTTGATTTTTTCCAGTTTTAGGCTTTTATAAATAAAACTTCCAAGACTATCACAGAGATGAATCTGCCGCAGCTAGAAATGCTCAAGAACCAGCTGGACCAGGAAATGGAGTTCTTGTCCACCTCCATTGCCCAGCTCAAAGTGGTACAGACCAAGTATGTAGAAGCCAAGGACTGTCTGAACATGCTGAGCGAGAACAATGAGGGAAGAGAATTACTCCTCCCACTGACGAGTTTAATATATGTCCCTGAGAAGCTGCATGATGTGGAACATGTGCTCATTGATGTAGGAACTGGGTACTATGTAGATAAGATAGCCGAGGATGCCAAGGACTTCTTGAAGAGGAAGACAGACTTCCTAACCAAGCAGATAGAGAAAATCCACCAGCTCTCCAGGAGCACACCATGCTGTCATGGAAATGATGAGCCAGACGATTCAGCAGCCCAGAGCCCTGGGGGCAGCTCAGGCTACTGCTAAGACCTGAAGAATCTGTTGCAGAAATGGGGCAGAGGGATACCCCTTGGGCATGGCTTCCTGGTGCCAGGGAAGGGAAGGGTCTTATATTTAATGCCAGTAAATGTGCCAGCTGGGCAGAAAAAATAAACTGTCAAAAACATTGACCTACAAGTCTTTCTATGCATGTATAATTTATTTTCACTTGGGTAAATGTGTCTCAGGTAAATGTTTAGGAGAAGAATGGCTGGATCATATGACCAGTGTAGGTTTACCTTCTTAAGAAACTGACAAGCTGTTTTTCAAGATAGCTGTACCACTTCACATCCCCATCAGCAGTGTATGATACTTCCATTTCCTCCACATCTTCTCCAACACATGGTAAAATCAGTTTTTGAAATTTTAGCCATTATAGTAAGTGTGTAGTGGTAACTCATTCTGCTTTAAATTGGCATTTCCCTGATAATTATGGTGAACATTTTTAAATGTGCTTACTTGCAATTGGTATATCTTCCTTGGTAAAGTGTAATTTTACTGCATTACATTTTTTTAGATGAATTTTGAGAGTTCTTTATGTATTCTGAATACAAATATTTTATCAGATAGATGCTTTGCAGTGACTCTTTCCCAGTCTGTAGTTTGTATAACAGTGTGTTTTGAAGAGATGTTTTTATTTTGATTAAATCCAAATAATCAAATTTCTCCTTTATGAATCATACTTTTGATGTCAACTGTAAGAAATCTTTGCCAATCCAAGTTCAACAAAATTTTTCTCTTAATTTTTCCTAGAAGTTTTATGGTTTTAGGGTTTACATTTAAGTCTATTATCTGCTTTGAGTTAATTTATGTACATCATGTGAGGTATGGATCAATTTTTTGCATATAAATATCTAATAGTTTTGGTACCATTTGTTGAAAAGACTTTCCTTTGTACATTTAATTGTCTTTCCACCTTTGTCAGAAGTCCACTGTCATACATGTATATTTCCAGATTTTCTATTTTGTTCCAATGGTCTATTCATCTGCTGTCTTACTTACTAGAGCTTTATAGTAAGTCTTGAAATTACATGATGCTTGGGCTATTCTAGGTCCTCTGCATTTTCCATATGAATTGTAGAATCAGCTTGTCATTTAAAAAAAAATCCTTCTGAGATTTTAATTGGGGCTATGTTAATGCAAGTGATCAAATTGGGGAGCTTAACAATATAGTCTTCTGACTCATAAACAAGGTCTATCTCTCCATCTATTTAGGTCTTCTTTAATTTCTATCAGCAATATTTTATAGTTTTTAATGCATATGTCTTACACACTTTTTGCCACATTTATCCATAAGTACTCCATATTTTTGATACTATTGTACATGGAATTTAACTTCAATTTCCAATTGTTCATTGCTACGATATATAAATACAATTGCTTTTAGATGTAAATCTTTATCTAGCAACCTTACTAAACTAGATTTTTTTCTACATCCCACCAGATTTTATGCATGTTGTCTGCAAAAAAAGACAATTTTACTTATTTCCCAATCTGGATGCATTTTATTTCTTTTTCTTGCCTTAGTGCACTGGCTATTGCCTTATAACACTGAACAGATGTAATGAGAGTAGACATTCTTGTTTCACTTCTGGATCTTGGGGGAAAAACATTCAATCATTCACTATTAAGTATGATGTTTAAGTCTTTCATAAAAGTGATTTAAGTTCCCTTCCATTCCTAGTTTGTTGATATATTGTTTTTTAAATTACATAGTAATCAATTTTAGATTTTTTTCAAAGTGGTTTTCTGTGTTTGTTGAACTGAACATATGGATTGTCTTTTTAAAGTTTGTCATTATGGTTAATTACACTGATTTTCAAATGTTAAACAAACTTTGTATTCTTGATGTTAACCCTATTTGGTCATAGAGTATTTTCCTTTTTATATATTGCTGGATTTGATTTGCTAAAATTTTTGTTTAGAATTTTTGTACCAATGTTTATGAGAGATACTGGTCTGTGGTTTTCTTTCTTACTTGTCTTTGTCTTTGCCTTGTTTTGATATCCTGGTAACATCAGCTTCATACAATGAGCTGGGAAGTATTTTCTCCTCTTCAGTTTAATAGACAAGTTTGTGTAGAATTTGTAGTATTTCTTCCTCTTAAGTTTAATAGAATTCAGCAGTGAAGCCATCTGGGTTTTCTTTGTGGAAAGGTTTTTAGCTGTAAATCCAATTTACTTAATAGTCATAAGGTTATCTGTTTCTTCCTGAATGAGCTTTTGCAGTCTGTGTCTTAGATAGAATTTCTTCATCTAAATTGTCAAATTAGTTGACATAAATTGCTCATAATATTCCCTTATTATAATTAACATCTGAAGAATATGTGGTGATGTCTCTCTGATTGCTGCTATTGGTGATCTGTATTCCCTCTCTTCTTTCCCTGTTCACTTTGGCTATAGGTTAATCAGTTTTATTAATCTCAAAGAACCAGGTTTTGGTTACATTGATTTTCTCTCTTTTCCTTTTGTTTTCTATTTCACTGAATTATGCTCTTATCTTCATTATTTCTTTTCTCCTGTTTACTTGAGGATTAATTTGCTTTTCTTTTTCTAGTCTCTTATGGTGGAAAATAAAGTCACTTATTTGAGACCTTTCCTTTTTTTTCTAATATAGGTAGTGCTATACATTTCCCACTCGTTCTTTGGCGACATTGTACACACTTGATATATTTGTTTTCATTTTCTTGTCTTTATTTTTTTTTCTTTTCTTGAGACAAGGTCTCATTCTGTCACCCAGGCTGGAGTGCAGTGGTACAATCTCTGCTCACTGCAGCCTCGACCTCCTGGGCTCAAGCAACCTTCCCACTTCAGCCTCCTGAGTAGCTGGGACTACAGACACGTGCCACCATGCCCAGCTGTGTGTGTGTGTGTGTGTGTGTTTTGTAGAAACAGGATTTCACCATGTTTAGGCTGGTCTTGAAGTTCTGGGCTCAAGTGATCCTCCTGCCTCAGCCTTCCAAAGTGCTGGGATGCCACTGCGCCTGGCCTGTTTTCATTTTCATTCATCTCAAAATACTAATTTCTCCTTTTCCTTTTAAACTCATAAGATGTTCAGAAAGAAGTGTGTCACCTAGTTTCCAAATATTTGGGGATTTTCCAGATATTTCCATTATTCATTTCTAACTTAATTATATTGTGAAGAGAACAGACTTTGTACTACTTGAATCATTTTATATTCATTAGACTTGTTTTATGGCTGATAATATAGTTTATTTTGGTAAACGCTTCATGTGCACTAAAAAGTATATAATATGTATTCTGCTCTTCTTGGGTGGAATGTTCCATAAACATCAATAATGTCAAGTTGGTTAATGATGATGTTCATAACTTCTAGATCCTTATTGACTTCCTATTCTATCAGTTATTGAGAAGGGATACTGAAATCTCCAATTATAATTGTAAATTGATCATCAATAAGAATAACTGGCCAGGCATGGTGGCTCATGTCTGTAATCCCAACACTTAGGGAGGCTGAGGCAGGCAAATTACTTGAGCCCAGGATTTTGAGACCAGACTGGGAAACATGGCAAAACCCCGTCTCTACAAAAAATATAAAAAATGGTAGCACACACCTGTAGTCCCAGCTACTCAGGAGGCTGAGGTAGGAGGATCACCTGAGCCCAGAGAGGTCGAGGCTGCAGTGAGCCATGATCACACCACTGCACTCCAGCCTGGGAAACAGGGTGAGACCCTATCTTAACCAAAAAAAAAAAAAAAAAAAATTATTCTTGATTGGATAGAAACACACCAAATATTTTTAAATCCATGACAGCATAATGATTATTAGAAAGAGTCAGAAAAAAACAAAACCCTTTGGGCATCATTTGATAATGCCACGAATGAGTTGTCTAACTCGTTATTTTGAAAACTGTTTAAATAAACAAAAAGAATCAAATATTTACCCTGCCTTAACTATACAAGCCAAATCTCAGTGTAAAGAATACTTGATCATAAGTTTCTCTTTGTAGAAATACCCCAGCCTTTAAATGAAGGAGGAACAATATAAAGAGAATTTTAAAAAAAGAGGGACACCCAGATGTTAAATGCCTCCTGATGGAAGTACATAACATCTCCTATTAAGTATTCTTGACAAACAAAATTGAATCTGAATTTGACTACTGATGCAACTATCAATTCCCAGGAAATATAAAGAACCAGAGAAAAATGTTAAAATACACCAGGGGGATGTAGTCAGCAAAATCTAGACCATCATATACCTTAGAAGCCAAACAAAACTGTTTCTTCAATGAATGCACTGCAATAATAACAGAAAGAACTCCATAGACAGTAACTGGTATGAGACTCACCCTCCCACTGAAAGCAACAAGCAAACTAAACAAAAGATATTTAAAAACTGTTTTTCATATAGAGAACAACAGGCAGCACACAATTGTGACCCCTGAGAGAAAAGAAACAAATAGGTGAGCTCTACAACCTCCCAGCTTTCTACCTGGCGGTACTTTCTTGACTTCAGTGCAGGGATAGGGAACCCAAGCAGAGTACACCAATCTTGCAGAGGAGGCAGAGATTAAAGCTCGGGGAGACTGAGGCATCTGAAATATGCAGGAAAAGGTACCAGAAAGATGGATACTATGGGCTGGGCACAGTGGCTCACACCTGTAATCCCAGCACTTTGGAAGGCCGAGGCCGGTGGATCACGAGGTCAGGAGTTCGAGACCAGCCTGGCCAAGATGATGAAACCCTGTCTCTACTGAAAAATACAAAAATTAGCCGGGTGTGGTGGCGGGTGCCTGTAATCCCAGCTACTTGGGAGGCTAAGGCAGGAGAATCGCTTGAACCCGGGAGGTGGAGGTTGCAATGAGCCAAGATGGCACCGCAGCACTCTAGCCTGGGCAACAGAGCAAGACTCTATCTCAAAAAAAAAAAAAAAAAAAAAAAAGATGGACACTAGGAACAAGTAGAGTTCCAGAAATATGCAAGGAGGTCTCTCCTTCAGCCTCAGCCTGAATTCTAAACAGCTCCTGTGTAGGGTAAGATTCCTTGAGGATGGGCAAAGAATAACTAAAGGAAAAAAGAACAACTGTAAGCTAAACAATTCCCAGAGTTGTCACAGGGCTGCAAGACATTTAAATTCCAGCTAGTCAGAGTGAACTGACACACAAAAAACTATGGCCAATAAGCAGTGAAAAAGTGCTCAATATCATTAATCATCAGGAATTACAATTAAAACCAGAAAGGCATACCCACTACAATGGCTAAAATTTAAGACTGATAATACCAAGTGTTAGGGAAGGTGTGGTCAAATGGAAGTTTCATTAACTGCTGATGGAAGTATAAAATGGTACAGTCACTTTTGGGAATTATTGGGTGATGGTCCCACGGATTCTCTGCTTTTGTATATTTGAAATTTTCCAGGATAAAATGCTAAAATAAATTAAAGTATAACTTCAAATATTTAAAGGATTACTATGTAAAAAGAAAACTAGATTCTATAGAGGAAATCATCTGGAGGAAAATTTGGAGTCAGTATAAGAATGAAATAGGCAACAAAGGAATGTATAGCCTTGCAAGGTAGGCGGCTTACACTAGGAACCGGTGACGCACAGGTCCCAAAATGGCAGGGTTAGAGTACAGGGAATTGCTGTGACTACTGAGAAGTTGGACTAGTAGCTTCTAAGGTCTCTTCCAACCCTAAGATTCCACTAACTATTCATCAATTATTGATCTACGAGTCTGACCTCTGGTATAGTTTTCCCAATAAAGTCAGCACCCCATTACTCCAAAACCCTATGAAACAATTATCTATATGAACTACTTGATACTTTGCATAAACTATTTCCTATATTCTCCACTTTCTCCAATTTTCACATGTATTTGGTAAACTTTTTTTGAAGACTTTCAAAAGTCAGAATTACACTTTATACCTCTTGGAATCTTGTATTCCTAGCACAATTTCTGGTACATATTTAGCCATCAAAATGCTCTTTTGACAATCCCTCTCAAGTCGGCATCTTATAACACTGCGCCCTTATATCTTGCCATTCATGTCTGTCATTCCCTGTTATCCCCTGATCACAGATCGTATCCTACACCACTCCTATATGCCCCAACCCAGGCCTAGAAGAGGGCTCTGTGCGTATCTAGAAATACAATGAATAAAGAATTCCTTCTACAACTGGGGCTGTTAAATTTTTCAAGTGATAATTTCACTCTGAAAACCAAATTCTGAATTCTGAGACTGTCTTAATCCCTGAAAACTTCATTATTCCAACTGCAAAGATAATACACACCTTCACCCAGGTGGCTATCACCAGAACAAACATGAATAATACTGAAAAATGGTTTGGTTTTCCTACTTGTTTTCCATCCTGGTGGTCTTTCTCCTGAAACCCTCAGGTATTCAATGTCTTTATATGCCCTCTGACCATCCAAATGAGAATTAGGTGAGGGATGAGATCTTACAAAATGCCAGTTGCTACACCAGACATTTTACATTATCATGTCATTTAATTCTTACCAACAATTGGAGTATGTATTATCTAAATTTTTCAGATGAGAAAGTTGAGGTTCAAAGTTTAGTAATTTGCCCTAAACTTCTAATCGATAGCTTTGGGATTTGAAATAAAATCATCTTGGCTTGAAACCCATGGATTTTAACAGAAAAACAACAAGAACGCTCTTTCCTATTCGAGTCTTGAAATAACAGAACCTAAAGGAAATGGCTTTGGTGAGAAGCATACTTTCTCTGTAGCCCTAAGGGCAACCTGGCCTCCAACTTCAAGAGCTTGCTTAGTCCTCTAATTTACCAAGAAAAAAAGTCCAATTCCACCGAGTACCACAAGGGGGAGCTAAGTCCTAAAAAGCCTAGATAAGCTTCTAGACATTAAATGTCTCATTTGGAGCATGGCTCCCTTTAGAAAGATCTGAATAAATATTCTGCCATAAGTGACTCTTTCTAAGAAACAGACCTGACAATCCCTTTCCTGCTTAAAATCTTCCAAGGATCTCTGCCAACAATGGTCTGACCACTCACTATGGTGTACAATTTCCTTTCTGACTTTCCCTGAGTCCCTCCAACAGACCTTCTCCCTCCTAACTCCATACTTTTTTATTTTTATTTTTTCTGAGGCAGGGTCTTGCTCTGTCGCTCAGGCTGGAATGCAGTGGCACGATCTCAGCTAATTGCAACCTCTGCCTCCCGGGCTCAAGCTATTCTCCTGCCTCAGCCTCCCAAGTAGATGGGATTACAGGTGTGCACCACCCTGCCCAGCTAATTTTAACTCCACACTTTAACAACACCAACTGGCCGGGAATGGTGGCTCACGCCTGTAATCCCAGCACTTTGGGAGGCCAAGGTGGGCAGCTCCCATGGGCTCAGGAGTTCGAGACCAACCTGGGCAACATCACAAAACCCCACCTCTACAAAAAATAGCCAGGCATGGTGGTGCACACTTGTGATCCCAGCTACTCAGGAGACTGAAGCAGGAGGATCGCCTGAGCCCAGGAGGCAGAGGTTGCAGTGAGCTGAGATCACGCCAATGCACTCCTGCCTGGGCAACAGAGCAAGACCCTGTCTCAATTTAAAAAAAAAAGAAAAAGAAAAAACACCAACTACCCACGCTTCCCTGGCTTCCCCAAATAACCTTTTCTTCATGCCTCCATTTCTCTGAATGTGTTATTTCTTCTGCCTGACTGCATGCTGCCCGCCCCCCTGCCCACATCCTTCCCCTAGCCCTTCTATTTGACAACTCCAAGTCAAGCTCCCATCTCTTTCGAATCTGCTTAAAGCATATCTCAGCGAATTTCTGGCCTTTCCTATCACTCTCCCTCCACGATGAACCAATTTATGCCACAGATTGTTCTACCATCAGGTAAATACTTCTCTTCCTGCCCATTATCATGTTACATTTCAAGTGACTGTCTTTCTCTCCTGGCTAAACTGAAAGGTCCCTGAAAGGAAGAACCACGTTTGACAGGTGTGCTTGTGCCCAGCTCCAGCATGCAGCAAAGCCTCCTCATGTGCTGAACTAAGAGCCCATTAAAGCCACACACCTGTGGCTCATTTCAGGGTCTCTCTTCAAAGGATCAGGAGTCAGGTTCATAAAGACATTTTAAGTTCTTCACCTCATGCTCAAAATCAACTTAAAAACTGTAATAATCAACATTTTAGTTAAAAAAAAACTATGTTAAACTTACCGACTTAGTTAAATAAAACATGAATGAATATATTAGAAGGATTGCGTTTTCCAAAGGTGTGACACTTGCCGGCTCTTCGGCGGCTGTCTCTGGTTGCTTGTTTGCATCAATAGCATCCATAGGAGTGTCTTCTGTTGTAACTGGCCCTGGAATTGGGAGGAAAGATAGACATTTTGTGCTTTAGAATAAGAATTCTCTTTAAAAAATACTTATTGAGTATCCACTAAATATTAGGCACTGTGCCTGGAAAGTAAACGTTCTCATCTCTCACTGGATGTTTACTGTGCACTGTGGTGAAATACTCTTTGTGTCGGTCTATCCTGGACTATTACACACTACAGTGTTCTGTACTGTCTCCTATGAGCTTATGCTATAAACATACTTGGACCCCTTCACTGTATTTTAAGAAGTTTTACTTACCATGTCCAGATAGCAAATCAAAAAAAAGAACTGCATTGCATTGTATTTTATTTGGAAAGAGAGGGGTAAAGTAGAGGAAAAACAGAATTTGTGAGTTTTAGAGCAGTGGTTCTCCAACTGTAATTTGCATCAGGTCAGTCTTTCCTGGAGGGCTTGTTAAACACAGATTGCCGGTTCCACCCCCAGAGTTTCTGATGCTGCTGGGCTGGTTGAAAACTACTGTTTTAGAGCATAAGGCCTTTTAAGAATAATATTTTAGATTGAAATAATTTACACAAGATAGTGACAGCCAAACATTGGTTTGTAGGTTAGTTATAGTCTCTGGTGTCTTTCCTATTTTTGATCTCCATCTGTCTTGACGCCTGCTTTTCTCTCAATTAGCTCTGGGATCCTTTTTTCCTTTGAATTTAACAAGTCTCTAGCTCCTGCCTTTGACAATGAATCTCCTAGAAGGCCTTCTTTATGATTTCTCCACTTTGTAGAAAAAAATTAGCAGGCTTTACCTGGGTCCAGGTCTTTCTCAGTATTTGGCTTCTGTGACACTTCTGAGGCATGAGTGTCCCCAATCACACGTTGGTCCAAGTGGGTGGGTTCTTCAGGAACCTGCACATTAAGTTCTGCTGTCTTCTCTCGTGAGAAATTATCTTCATGCAGTGGTTGCATCTCTAGGGTGAGAAGAATACACTGGGCTAGCACAGCTTGATGACACTACCTGTTAGGCTAATCCCACTGACCACACCAGGGCACCTCAACATTGACCTCCATGCATGGGCATCCCATGGAGCACAACTGGGCAGGGAAATAAGAGTTTCAGTTTCTTTTATTCCATTTAAAGGATGACTAATCTACATAATAAAATCTACAGAGGAGTATTTCATAAATAAATACATTTATGGTAGGGACTTCAGTAACATCTTTCCTTGGCAAATCAGCCTACACCCACACAAATAAATGTGCAAATGAGAATTCCACTCAAGAGCAGAAATGTGAAACATCTATTCTGCAGAGAAGTAACATGAACTCTTGCATACCCTAGCATGCCTTTCTCACAGAACTAGTACAGACAGGGACATTCCACGCCAAGGCAGCTTGCTGAGATGTCTTTCGAATACTTTCAAAGTACCTCTAAGAGTCAAACAAAGTGAAGCCATCTCCTCTCCTAAGAGGCTTAGGGGACAGTCCAATGTGATCCACAGCAAAGGTGAATTTCCTTGTAGCCTCATATTTTACCCTGAAAATTCATCTGAATATTGCCTTCTTATCCAAAATATATGTTTTAATTAAATGCAAAAAAGTTCTCCTCCCCCATTTCTTAGGAAAAATTAGCACTCTGGAGTAATACGTTTTCCTGTGGCTTCCTGTCCCCTTGGTACTCTCAATTCAGATACATCTGTCTGAAAAGCCTGGATATACCAGGTGCGGTAGCTCACACCTGTAATCCCAGTACTTTGGGAGGCCAAAGTAGGAGGGTCACTTGAGGCCAAGAGTTCAAGATCAACCTGGGCAACATACCAAGACCCTGTCTCTACAATAAATAAAAATTATTTGGGCACAGTGATGCATGCCTGTAGTCCTAGCCACTTAGGAGGCTGAGATGGGAGGTTCGCTTGGGCCTAGGAGTTGGAGGCTGCAATGAGTTATGATCATGCCACTGTACTCCAGCCTGGGTGACAGGGTGAGAGCCTGTCTTAAGAAAAAAAAAAAGAAAAGAAAAAAAGAAAGAGGAAGGAAGGAAGGAAGGGCAGGTGGGCAAAGGGAAAGAAAAGAAAAGAAAAGAAAGAGAAAAGCCTGGATGCAGAGAATAGAACAAGGAACTAGGAATCAGAATGCTTATGTCAGGATATTGGCTCGGGGTTAATTCAACTGAATGGCTTCCACGCATCAAGCACTGCATTCGAAGGCATCCCTGTCCCAATCTTGATTAATCTGCATGCAAGAACCTTACGGCCCAGGAGGGTTTAACTGGAGTAAGTGCTCCCAAGAAACAGGAAGAACAAGCCATCCACAAAAGATAAAATTGGGGAGAACGTAGGAATTTAGCCAAGGCATTGATCTAAAAGTTATACCAGTCAATCCATGGTTACAGAGCAGTTATCTGACGACTGAAAAATTGTGTTCAATAAAACCCTTTCATAATTTTACATGACATTTGTATTTTGTATATTACTTTCTGGTTTATATCTTTCTCTTTAGCTTTTTACAAAGTTTCCTTTTGAAAATGCTAACCAGTCTCAACTATTCTAAGGGAAACGGCAAGAAATTCTTCTCCATGCTCCAGCCTAAAAGAAAGATGGCAGGAAGGAACATGTGGACCTCCCTGTGTTGTCCCTCTCCTTTAGGCACATTGGAAACTGAACAGAGCTTCACAAGATAGGAGGCACCTCAGCGACCCACCCACCTGCTTCTCCAGCCCTGTTCTACAAGGCCATAGGCATCTCACCTTCCATTGCTCCACCCAAGCCTTCCTCTAGAGGTGGTGCCATCACCAGTGTGGCTGTCTCCTCTGCTGTGGAGTGCTTGTACCTGACAAAATAGATGAGGTCTTGAATGTCATCAAGCACTGCAGCCTCTTCAAATATGTTATTTTCGTTCATTCCCAGATCTCTATTTTCAGCCACACGAGTATCAAGCATTTTTTCTGCTATGCTCAGAATTTGTGACTCAGAAGCACGGAAGACCTTATCTAGGACTTTTTCCATATTATAGGGCAGGCTCTCCTGCTGCGCTGACTTCAGTTTTGATGACATTTCTTGTAGCAAGGCTTCCAGCTCATGGACATTAAAGTACTTCTGGAACCGCTGCAAAGACTGTTGTTCTTTAAAGAAGCTGCTTATGATAAGTAAGTCCTCCCTCTTGTCACTATGCCCTGGCTCTACACTTGTATGTGGAGTCCAGTGGAACGAGTCATCTTCAGGTTCTGCAGCAGCAGACCCCTGGCTTTCTGTGCCCATGTACTTCTCTGTGTTCTCATGGTCCTCTTTTGAGAGTTCTCCCTCAGGCTCCCCTGCAAGCCCTGAGGTCTTCAGATGTTCCTCAGGGTTGTCGTTCTTCAGATAATCAGAATCTTTATTCTGAAACACTTCACCTAATTCTGGAGTCTGAATTTTTATGCTGTCAGAAAAGTCACTTCGTTCAAATGGTCTCTGTGCTTTCTTATCTGCCAGAGGGCGTTCTTTTTCCACCATTGTATTTGGTTCCCTGCCTCCTGTGTTGACCCCTTTGGCAGCAGTCTCACTTGTTTTTTCGCTATCCAAAATCATACTAGTTTCTTGCTTGCTTTCTTCAATTTCTGGATCTGGATGAATGGTCCCTAAAACTGCTCTGTCAGGGACTTGCAGATTAACATCAAACTGCCTGCCCTGATTCCCAGGGTTTTTTTCTTTAGACCGTTTTGCATTTATAGCGTTTTCATCCTCTAGTAGTTCTTCAGAGGGATAATCATCCTCTTCTACTTTAGAAAGGAAAGCTGGTCCTCCTGTGCTGTCAGTTTGGTCTGTCTGTCCTACCTCTGTGCCCTGCATTGCCTTGTGATGAAAAAACTCTTCATCCAAGGAGTCCTCTTTGGCTTCTCCCTCAGAGAGCCTTATCTTCTCACTCATTTGCTTACTGGCTGTGGCAGCCACATCTCTTTCTTGTTGCCAGGGAAGATTTCTTCCCAGAATGGGAACCTCGTCTTCCAGTTCTCTGGGCAAATCAATCTCATCTGGAGAGGAGAATCTAGGTTGGTTTTGAGTTTTAAGAACTAATTCCTCTTTCAATTCCTCACGTTGATGCTCCACTGAAAGCGTGTGCAGTTTGGCCCCATTTACCAAAGCGTCTCCCTCCACACTGTCTCTGGATGCGTTAGGGTGGTCATCTCCCATGAGTGGTGCACTACCCAGGGATTCCTGTTGAATCTTTCTGTCATTCATTTGATTCCCTGCAGCTTTCTGTGCAGATTCACTCTCTGAGCCACCTTCCAAAATCTGCTCTCCAGGCTTTTCTTCGTGGAGCATTCCTTTTGAGATATGAATAGCTGCTCCTTTTAGGTCATTTTCTGTATCATCATAAGCTGATTTTAATGTGTCTTTACCCTTTTCAGCAGCTGGCATAGAGTTGAGGTTATTGCTGTGAACAGAACTGTGCACAGTCATGCCTTCTTGATTTTCATCCTCTAATTCTGTCTTATCTTGTACCAGGCCCCTCTTGGATTCCTGAACTCCCCTCCCTTTTCCTTTAATGTGATGTTCTGCGTTTACTTCTTTGTCATTATTTGTTTTAGGAATGTCTACAATAAAAAGACCATCATCTACATTGTCAGGGTCACTATAATCTGTTGCTGACTGTGGTTTCCCCTGTTTGCTATCTGGGACTAATGCATCATCATCATCTTCTTTTTCTTCCTCTGAACTAGAGCTCTCTAAATCCATCGTATCTCTTGTTTCTTCACCTCCTGTGACAATAGAGAAGATAGTGTCCCCCCAGGTTGTTAGTATATTTTTATCATCATTTTTGATGCCAGGGGGCACAGTTAGCTGAACCTTGTCCTCTTCATTTGAATTCTGCTCTTTATCTGTTGGATATTTCTCAACGCCAGACTTTGCTGGAGTTTTCATATCTTCCCCATCTGTAAAGGTAAGTAATGGCAACTCATCAAAGTCTTCTTGGTTCTCCTCATCTTCCTTTCCAACTGCATAATACTCAGTATCCAATTCCTCATCAAAATCATCTTCTAATGAAGTAACGAGTCTGGTTGTCTCATCATCAGATACAAGTGCATCAGCTGTTGAGCCAAATTTGGTTTTCAAGTCTAGAGTCATTTCTTTTTTCAAAAGTTTATAGGCATCAATCTTATCCTGTTCATTTGAGACCTGAGAACTATTGCTGGTTTTGTTGTTTTCACTTTCTGGCACTTTTAGTTTATCTTGCAGCATTTCTTCAAAAGATTCAAATGAAGCCTGCTCTCCCTGAGCATGATTTGCTTGGCTGTTTGCATGGGAGTGGTGCTTCTGAGTTGTAAACTGTTCCTGAAGATCCTCAGTGTTTTCTGAGAATACACTATCACTTTCCTCTGAGTTGGCTTCTACTGGTTCAGGTTCAGGTTCCCTTTCCTTAGATAATTCAGGGTTTTTTTCCATATCCTGTAAAGTTTTTTCTACAGCTTTCTCAGAATCTGTAGCTGCAGAATTGTACAGTTCCAAAAACCCTAAAAGTTCTTCTACATTATAATTATGAAAATCATCTCTTCCTCCATCAAAACAAACAAAATCCGTCTCCTGTAAGAAAAAGAAAAACATTAGTCTGTCAATAGCCAAGTGTCACCAGAGCAAAGTCTTATCCACGTTAATGATTGAGATAATCTCGAATTCACGTTTGGCTCTAGAGGAGCTTTTGCGTCAACACTGGGCACTGACTGTTCTTGGGCAGTGGGTGGATAGGAGGCTGGAACCCACTTTCCCATCTGAGTAATACTCCTGGCTTCCCTTCATTCTCTCTTCCCCAGGGGAAGAATGATTCATGTGGCTGGTGAGTTTGCTCAGTCCCAATCCTGTTTTCTGTTTGGGACCTGCTGGAGAGGAAACACATATTCTGTTCCTCCATGCTGTCCGTTTTACAGGGACAGTCCCACCTGGGGAGACCCCTATTGGATAGCTCTGTCTGTGACTGGATAAGTCCATCTTAGTTTAGACCGCAATGTTAGAAAGCCCATTATTTCTGCATACTCCAAACAGCTTTATCAGTAAATAATGGGGTCATTTTGATCTCCTATTTGCCCAACTCCTGGGTCTCTCAATTTTGTTTTGAGCACAGGTGGGGAAAAGTAAGGTGTCATTTATTGGGTTCCCCAACTCCCATCATCTATGCCTGATGTTCTGGGAATTCACCTTATAACCCATCCAGGAGGAGCTGAAAGACCATCAGCTTCTCTACATTGTGCCCTCTATGTCATACTTCTCTGCTCACCCAGTCAGAAACAGGCAGAATCACCTGGCTGTCAGGCTCTCAGTCTACATGGATTTGGGGCTCATATTTTCCTTGGACTGGGAAAGAAATCAGCTTCAGAAGGAACTTACTGAGATACAGGTGCATGAGATATAAAAATGTAAGAGAACAAAGAATGGTGTAAAGGAGGCTCCCCATTTTCATACTGCCACAAGAACAACTTGAAAACAAGATTCAGTAAGGTAGGTACCTAACTCCAAATAAGGATTCTAGCCAGTCACTAAGATCTGCTTTCAGGACTGTCAAGTAAATCTGTATTTTTCCCTTCCTCCACCAGTAAGCAAATTGACATACAAGGAGCCATAAAATGATGGAAAAGTTAAAAAACCAACAAAGATAACTTTCTTCCCCTAACTAAACATTCACAATCTTCTGGTGAGAACTGTCCTGTGTACTGGAGATGAATGACTTCCCTCTTTCCATCATGCACACTTCTGAGCCAATTTTTTTAATATTAAGGGAATCATGCAGTGGGAACTACAATTAGTATACAGGTCAGGTCTCTGTGACCAATGAATTGCTGTCTCACACTCAAATCCCGGGCAGTCTCTTCATCAGGAGTGAAGCCAAACAGGCAATACGATTGACTATATAACCCCTGAGAGCGTCGAGAAATTTTAAGCATAGCAATAGCTCTGTGACTTCACTCTGCCAATCTCTTCTAAGAACTGCCCTAGCCCAGCAGCTTGCACGCTCTGCAGCAACTCCAAAGAGCTACTCAAAGACTTTTGAATGAAAGCAGACATCAATTACTATAAATTCTAAAACTCACAAAACAATCAGATGGGGGGCTGGGCATGGTGTTTTTTATATATATATATGAAAGGCAGCCTGTAATCCTAGCACTTTGGAAGGCCAAGGCAGATGGATCACTTGAGGTCAGGAGTTTGAGACCAGCCTGGCCAACACGGTGAAACCTCGTTCCTACTAAAAACACAAAAAAATTGGCTGGGTGTGGTGGCAGGCGCCTGTAATCCCAGCTACTCCAGAGGCTGAGGCAGGAGAATTGCTTGAACCTGGGAGGCGGAGGCTGCAGTGAGCTGGTATCGCACCACTGCACTCCAGCCTGGGCGGCAGAGAGAGACTCTGTCTCAAAAAAATAATAATCAGATGGAATGCAGATTCTAGAACACAAAATCCTTCTAGTCACGAAGCCATTGTGCACTATAGATAAATGCTCTACAGAATGTGTAGTTAGCGCCTTACAGATATGAGACTGGACCTCACCTGAAACTCTCTGGTTCCCTTTTCCAAATCTATAACTATAATCGCTTAAATCACTACAGAGTCAATAATAAGAAAACCTTTGTAAGTTTGCATTTCTGGCTCAGTATAAAATTAGAGCTTAATTAATTTAACCTGATTTCTATATCCTTAAAATGTCTAACAGCTATCCAATAAGTAGTTTTCAAATTTCTCCTTTTGCTTGTGAAATGAAATTTTTTGCCTTCTAACATTAATAAGTAAATATAAAACTACTGAACTCTTAATTTTTCACATATAAAGCAGCAAAGAAAAGCCTTGTATAAGAGTACACGGCCTTGGCCGGGCGCAGTGGCTCACGCATGTAATCCCAGCACTTTGGGAGGCTGAGGCGGGCGGATCATGAGGTCAGGAGATCGAGACCATCCTAACACAATG
Organism: Homo sapiens; assembly: GCF_000001405.40. Classification (NCBI taxonomy): domain Eukaryota; kingdom Metazoa; phylum Chordata; class Mammalia; order Primates; family Hominidae; genus Homo; species Homo sapiens. Next base: position 222,625,206 of record NC_000001.11, on the reverse strand, counting down.
AAACCCCATCTCTACTAAAAATACAAAAAATTAGCCAGGCGTGGTGGTGGGCGCCTATAGTCCCAGCTACTTGGGAGGCTGAGGCAGGAGAATGGCGTGAACCCAGGAAGCAGAGCGTGCAGTGAGCCGAGATCACGCCACTCCACTCCAGCCTGGGTGACAGAGCGAGACTCCGACTCAAAAAAAAAAAAGAGTACATAGCCTTATATAAGAACATCTATTTCCATATATTAGATAACTATCAGATTATGATAAAATCTCATTTAAATTCTTTTGAAATTTTTCTTTTTTTCTAGGTAGTCACTTATAAGCCAACTTATAACTGAGAACAAGACAGAAATCCACAACTTACATCTGTTGGAACTTGTAGCTCTTCTTTGGTATATTCATGAACTACCTGGATTAAATCTTTTGGAAAATATCCAAAAGTGCGTCCAACCTACACAAAAGAATGGGCAAAAGGGACACATATCAATCAAATTCTGTATGAGAAATATGAACGATAGAGCTGCAAACCTCAATCTACAGCACATATCAAGCAATCAACTTTTTCTTGTAATGTCATTACTTTTCTCCGCTATTTGAGACCACTTCCAACATCACTAGTGACACTTTGTATGGGTCCCAGAGTGTTATTCAAGGTTTACAGTATTGCACTAAACACAAAAAATACATGAGAACCACAAGAGATCACTTTTTACTCACTGTACAATTTACTGGAGAGATGAACTGCTCACGTGGAAATGATTAGCGTCGCATGGCATTTTAAGTGGATACTCACAATACTTGAGCTCACTAGAATAGCAAGAGGAGGTGGCTACGAACTATTATAGTACAGTAGGTAGCACAATTAATTTATGCAATTATGATTTAATATTTTATCTTTACGTTTGTTTATATTTCTCTCGACTGCAAAAGGTGCCATGTAAGATCTGAGTTTGTGTGTGTACGTTTTGATAAACTGTAACTTTTTATACAGATTTGTGTATGTTTTATGGTAGTAAAGAATAAAATACACTAGGATCTACATATGGTTTACATGTCAATAACATACCTTTTTCTTAATTTTTTCAGTATTTCTAGGCTATGCGGTCTGAGAGTTTTTAACAAATTAATGCAAACCTCCACAAAATTTTACAATATATTTATTGAAAGAAATCTGCATTATAAGTGGACCCACACAGTTCAAACCTGTGTTGCCCAAGGATGAACTGTATTTGCACATATGATGTGCTATACTGCCATTTTCCAAAACGATATTACAGGTAACTGGAGACAAAACAAAATTACAGTGTAATACACACTAATCTGCCCACCAAGCTTTCATTTCATGCAAACCAAAATCTCTACAGAAAATAATTCCATTCATTTTCAGCACTAGTAAAATGTGCCCTCTTGAGAAACACACAGTCTTTTACTAGCTACTGTCTGAAAGGAGAGGTAGATCTCCCAATCATTAAAGGAGGAGGCTGGCATGTAAATCAAATGCACAAAAAGAAAAAAAGGCCATCTTATCACTAATTCATAAAACATCTCCATTCATGAGTGCTCTTGATCTGAAAACTATCTGAAAGCCAGTATTAGTAGTAAAATACTGCCATGGAGATTAGATAAGGGCAATTAAACTCTGTGTTATTGGCAGATCAAGTCTAAAATGCTAAGAAACCAAAAAAGACTGCAGAATGAAAACTAAGAAACAAATGAGAATCATTTTGAAAGCTGAAGACAGAGTTTTTAATTTCCTAAGAATAAGGTTCATCAAATTAGAGGGGAGACTATTTTAAGGGAGAACCTGGAAAAAGGAAACAAATCAGAGGTAGAGGTATATAGGGAAAGGGAAATACAATACATTTACCTTCCTTAATCTTTGTCAGTTGGGACCACAGGTGGCATCTCATTTCTTATGATTTGACCAAAAAAAAAACAAAAAAAAAAACATAGGCTCACATGACAAGAAAAAATCTTTATGTCTAATTTTGCTTTCATACATCATTTCTGCCAAGGTACTGTTGATTTCATTTGGGCGGGGGGTAGGAGGGAAAGTAGAGTATCGCCTTAAGAGAACAAATTCTGCATAAGATAATATCAGGACAAATATAAATAAATGCCACTGCCTCGTCAGGAAATACTGAAAAAGAAGACAGATAAGGCATGAGCCTTTCCATTAAAGAGTCTTTCACTTTACGTGAGCTAAGACAGTACACAAATTAACTGCCATACAAAGCAGTAAAGCAAATGCCACATGAACAGTGCAAACAAAGTGCCACCTAAACAATCATCAGGCAGCAAAGATCCCTTCTGGCTGGGTGCTGAAGGCAGCGTTCCTTAAGAAGGCAGGATGAGAGGTGTGACCCAGAAAGACTGACAGGACATCCAGAGATGAAGACGTGAATGAGCAAAACTGCAGTGGGAGGAAAATGTTAAGTCAAGTTCATTCATCCAAATGCTCAAAGATGAGGAGTGGAAAAAAAAACTTAACTTTTCTATGAAAAAACGCAGCCTAGGTACATGGAAAAACATTTCCAAGAGTAAAGATTATCAACAAATCTCATTAGGTAGACTTGAAGGAAATAGAATAGATTTGTTTTGGTATGGAGCAAGTCACTTGGGATGCTCTCTAAATAGGAGAGCTGAACCTGACCAGTTGTTGTTTCCCAAGATTACTCCCTAGGAACCTGGAATGCCAACAAAATCAGTCTATTTTCCCCAAGGGGATTTCTCAAGCCTTATTTTCTCTTTGTTTGTTTGGTGTTTTACTGACAGTGAAAACTTTCATAGTCGGGATGGGTATTTCTCTAAGTTGGGACAATCCTAAAGATATCGAGGACCCTTACTACTTGAAGTAAAGACACAGTCCACATATCACGCTTTCTAAAAAGGAAAGGACAATAACTCATAAGACAGGCCTCTCAATCAGGTCACTCCCAGTGAATCTCCTCATTAAAAATACCAAAGCATGATGCAGTCATTGATTGCCAGGTCTGATAGCAGGGTACCCATAAAATCAGCTGGGAATCAATCCCCTGGGGTAACCTCCAGACACAAGTGTCTGAAAAGCAGGACAAGGATGACCCCAAGGCTGCAAACAAAAATACAAACAAGAGGCTGGTTGCGGTGGCTCACGCCTGTAATCCCAGCACTTTGGGAGGTCAAGGTGGGTGGATCACAAGGTCAGGAGATCGAGACCTAGCTAACACAGTGAAACCCCGTCTCTACTAAAAAAATACAAAAAATTAGCCGTGTGGTGGCAGGCACCTGCAGCCCCAGCTACTCGGGAGGCTGAGGCAGGAGAATGGCGTGAACCCGGGAGGCGGAGCTTGCAGTGAGCCGAGATCGCGCCACGGCACTCCAGCCTGGGCGACAGAGCAAGACTCCGCCTCAAAAAAAAAAAAACAAACAAACAAGAAAGCACACGAGAAACAACATTTTGCTTTTTTACAGACTTATAATAGCACAGATGATTAGGGAACTGTTCCCAAGACTGCCACTTTTTCATAAATAATAATATAAACAAAGAAATACACATAAAATCAACTTTAAGCTTACATGCCTGAAACACTCTCTCACATATAGTTTACAGGAGTAAGTCTAATTCCTATGAATACTTCCTTTTTAAAGCAATGAAGTATTTTTCAGCTCTTACCATTTCAACCTCTAATACGTATGCAGCATCCTAGAGGTTGACCCTGAGGGGAACTTGCCAGAATCAGTTCTATTTCAGAAGGCTCTGCTGAGCCCCTACTCTGTGCAGACCCAAGGCCTGCTGGGGACACAGGGCCATCTTTTTTCACAGTCAGGCAGAGAGGACAAGTTAACTCCATCAAAGGTCCCAAGAAAATGCAGTCATTTAACTCTACAGTGCTAAAGAAGCCAATAAAAATTAAGCAAATAAAGTATGTCGATATTTTACTTACACTTCCAGCCCAAACTTCAGGCCATCCTCTTGCCAGTTTATAGTAAACATATACAGGATCACCTTTTTTAAAATTCACAAAACGACAATCCGGGCCTGTGAAATCTTCAAGAGCCTCACCGCGGTACATTAACACTGTATATAAAGAGAGAGAAAAAAAATAGCCAGATATCAGGATTCAGTGTTCACAGTGCATATTGATTTATCAGGAAATATAAGAATCCCACTATAAACAACAACCAAGTTTTTCCAGTACTCTCTGGAATTTCTTTCATATGCTCAAAGTATCTCAAATCCTTTGAGCTTTACTGCTATAAATCATACCTTCTGCAAGCAGACAAGGGAAAGGAAAACCTTCTCTATTTTTCTCTATGGATAATACTGAGAAACAAAAAGCAATGTGCCAACTACCACACATGGCTTTTCTCACCCAAGTGAAACTCTCGATTCCCTCTCTAACCTTCTAGTCCTCAATCTTTTCTGTTTCATATTCATAAAAAGCTTCCTTTTGCAAATGGGTAAATTCAAGCCCAGATGATGATTAACTTAAGCATGGCTACATGAACGGGTAATAGGGAACTAGAGTACCCAGGAACCCCCAAGAGGTCAATTAACTTGAACTAACCACTAAAAGGGTCTATCTTCAAGTGACTGTAACCAGTACTATGTAGCAGTAAACACTGTCAATTTCATTTGCAGCCAAGTTGTTCCCTTAGTACAGTGTCTGGATAAATTAATGGGAAAAGATATCTATCACACCCTACTATAGATTCAATTACATCACAAGGCAATATTTTCTGAAAGTAAATAATGTTGACTGTATCCAAAATTAAGTTTCAAAACAAAGGAAAGAATACCCTTATGTATATTTTTCTATAAACAAAATCAAAAGTCGACATCTCATTTGGCTGGGACTAAGCAAAACTATGAGAATAGGTCAGTAATTCAATCACGCTTGATCTAGAAACTGGCTGAAGCAGTACTTTTATTTTTGTTGACCACATACACAGTTTCCCATGTAAGATGAAATGGACAATAAATACATCTAAATAGCAGAGACAAAGAAGGACGAATAGAAATAAGATTTTTTCCAAAAGCCAATTTGCAATAAAATACATTAAAAACGTGCCTTTAAATGGCTATACACGCATATAGATTTGGAAGGGGCTACTTGTTTTTTGAAGCTAAACTCTGATTACTTTCCAACATGTCAGCTTTGTAGCTCAGATATAATTGAGTGTGAGGCCAGGTTTAAGATGATGGACAATTTAAGGTTGGGAATAAGATCAGAATTGAAAATGGCAATGTTTCTTTTGCTCCCCCTTACAATAGATCATAGAGGATTTATAATAATATTTGAGATGCCAACAAAATGCACCCTGTGGAACAGCTATTTGAAAACCACACAAGGGCACCGTACATACTCACATTACTAAACACTTTCTACAACACAACACAGACCCATCTAGACCTTGCTCCTGTTGATGCCTATTGTATTTGGTTTCCTCTGAACACGTACCATTTCTCAAGTTATGTTACAACCGTGAGCTCTTCTAACATCATGCCTCAGTACTGAAGAAGCATCAGTGATGTGATGATTCTCCAGGTAACCTGTTTTGAGGAACCCAGGCAGGGCAATGCTTGCAAGCAAAGAATACCAACTATCTTGCCATTGCCAACGGCAAATGGGTAACAGCGTGGCTTTGACCCAAGAAAACTAAAGGGAAAAATCATGGCAGTTGTACCGCTTTTGTAGTGTTTATTTACATCAACCACAGGGTTATCTCTAGGAATGGCTTCACACTCATTAGAGATCTCTTTTCTTGATTAGTGTTGTAGAGATACAAACAGTTCATATTATGAAATTCGGTTTTGATAACATCAATTTGAATATAAATAGCTAAACCATAGAGTTCTTGGCCTTCTTAAAATGAATACGTTTCTATAGGCATTGCTTAACAGTGTATGAAAAACCGTTTCTGCAGTGGCTATCAGTAAGTTACAAGGTTGAGACGGTCTGGGAGGCCCTAAAATGATCCTGGTCCGGCGAACATAGAGGGAAGAGGTTTCAACACGCAAGCGGCTAAGGCTAAACCAAGCTTGGCTTATGAGACCCTTGGAGTATTTACTGTCATTCCTGTAATAACCTTCTTCATCTGAGCCTGAAGATCTGTGCCCTCTCCACCGCCCACCTCCAATCCCAGACTGGAGAGCAATTCCGCTTCCTGCGCACAGAAGAGGAGGCTGCCGGTCCCAGGTGGCCGGTGCAGATCCTCGGTCTCTGCAGAGCGAAAGATTTTGGTCTTCCTGCAGTCCTGCCTAGCAGTCTGCAAGGCGGCTTCCAAGCACAGAAACGACAGGATTGATCAAAGTCGGGGCAGAGACCTCGGAATACAATGAGTGCTTGGACTCCAGACTCGTCCCAAACCTAAACTCCCAATTCCTGTTCAAAAGGCGGTACAAGCCCAAATCCCAATAAAGCAGAAGGGCAAAGGAGCAGCGCCAGGGAGCCTTTCCAAACAAACCCCACCATCAACCTGCCACTGGGAAAACGCCCACCGAGCCCTTAGCGCATCTGCCGGGGTGATGCACCCACCGAGGTCCCCGCAGCGCGGGCAGGAAAGCTTTGGTTGCGGCGTGGGGAGCCCAGACGCGCGGCGCGCAACCACATCTACCCTCCGAGCCCAGGCGGATTGGGGGGGTGGGAAGGGGACGCTGTGAGCCACTATTGGGGAAGCCGGGGACCACCGCAAGCAACCCCCCGCCTCAGCAGAGGAAAAATAAAACGCTGGCAACAAGTGGGAGGTGCAGCCCCCATGGTCAGGCCCGAGGGGCCGGGCGCAGGCAGAGCGGGAGAAGGCAGACACAGGGACCCGGAGCGCGCCCACCCCCGCGTTCAGCCCATCCCGCCTGCGACCCCCGGGCCGGCCAGGGGCTGCGGAACTCCCGTCCCCGCACAGCCCAGGCGGCGCCGCCGCGGAGACCCCCGGGGCCGGCGGAGACCCCAAGGCCAGCCGCCCCGAGGCCAGCCGCCCCTCCAGCGCACTCACTGCTGCATTCGTCGTCCGCGCAGAGTTTGTGCTCCGAGAACCGCCGGCCAGTGCTGGGGTCCAGCTGGCCCGGCACCCGCCAGGGCAGCCGGAGCACGAGCAGCCAGACGAGCAGCCCAGGCGCCGCAGCCATGTTGTGGTCACCTCGGGGAGCCGGTGACGCGGAGGAGGAGGCCGGGGCGGGCGCAGAGGGGCGGGACGGGGGCGGGGACGGGGCGGGGACGGGGGGGCTGGGGCGGGGGCTGGGGCGGGGACGGGGCGGGGACGGGGGCGGGGACGGGGGCGGGGGCGGGGGCGGGGACGGGGCGGGGACGGGGGCAGGGACGGGGGCAGGGACGGGGGCAGGGACGCGGGCAGGGACCAGGCGGAGCGCCGGGGGCATGTGGGAAGACAAGCGCAGAGGGGCGGCGCCCGCGAAGGTCTGAGCAGTTTCCGACTGACACGTCAGCAGAGGCTCTAGGAGGGATGCGGGAGACCTCCAGGAGGAGGACTGACAGCAGCCTCCTCCTCTCCTCGAAGCCTTCTCCTCTGGTCGCTGCCGTGGCAACCAGGACTCCCTCGCCCAATCACCTGCCTTTGCCCCAGTCCCTCGCAGCACCTCCGCGTGACTCCATTCTTAGTTCACCCCTCCCCGCGCGCTTGGGTCCCCCAACCCTGCGCCATCTCAACAGGTCCCTTCTGGCGCCTTCTCGCAGTTTCTGGTTTGTGGCCTGTCCCGAACCAGCCCCCCACTTCACCCCGCTACTTCACCCCGCTACCCCCACTCTTGGCATGGTACCTCCTTTTCTGAACTGCCAAATCCCACCCGCGATTTGCCACTGTTAGTCTCTGGTTTCAGGCTCCCTCCTTTTCAGCCTCCCAGGGCTTCCTTGGGGGCACCATCCCGTGGTGCTCTTTGATTAAGAAAGGGGGAGGTGAGTGGAATAGGGGGCTGAGGATATAAATCAGAGCCCGTGGCCTGCTTGGTCGTTGATAGAAATGGGTAATGGTCCTTGGGCTGAGATCTTGAGATTCCTAGATCTATATCCATAGGAAAAAAGTAAATTAATTTAATAACAGTGTGATGAGCTTCCATTTTATACTTATTTCATGCCAGAATTAAGATTAATCTTCACAACAATCGCACCTTAGAGTAGTAGGTCCTATTATGATCCCCATTTCAGAGATGACTACCTTAAGGCATTCAAACACCTAGTGAGTGATGGAGCTAAGATTCAAACCCAGGTAGTATGCTCCTTTTTAATCACAGCTCTGTAAAGCCTCCATCAAGCAACAAGCAATTTTTGTACTTTCTTTCTGAGCAGGGAAGCAAAATCTTATTTAAATCATACTATAACTGGATGATTTATATGTGCAGTTAAAAAAGCGGGGGACTGCATGAGCAGGTCAGCCCAGAGAAGAGTGGCTACAATGCTCTCCAGAAGAGTGGCTACAATGCTCTCCAGCCCTGGTTGAAGAACTTGGCATCTGTCTGTGACCAGCAGCTTCTCATTGCAATCTCTAAGGTTACTCATCAACCTTGAACAACAAACCCAGCAGCTGGTTTCCCAAACAAATCGTATTACTTAAAAGCAAGAAGAAAGAATGTGGCTTGTCTGTGCAATCCATTATATCGAATAAGGAAAAAACGGTAAACAGATGCTCACAAATTTTTGTCTGTAGGAGCCGTGAGAGTTCCTACTGGGCCAATGTAATTCCAATGCTGTCTTGAGAAATATACATTTGGTAAGGTCACGGACAAGCACTTTCTATCCAAGTAGTAGTTCTGTTCATTCTTCATTTCTTTTCTACTGTGTATTTATTTGTTTTAATATCTTAGATGTGTCTAATAGGCATCTCTAACAATATGTTGAAAACCAAACTCTTTATCTTTTTCTCTCAAACTCTGCTCCTTTCGGTCTTCCCTATTTGAGGAATAGGAATGACAATTTAATTCCTATCTTCTAGGTGCTTAAGCCAAAAACATACAAACCATCCTCGACCTCTTTTTTCTCACACCCAAGTCCAATCCATCAGACAATCCCATGTCTTTTTTAATAGCTTTGTTGAAGTATAATTAACCTACAATAAATTGCACATGTTTAAAGTGTACAATGATAATTTTTGACATATGTCTACACCCATGAGACCATTACCACAATGAAGTTAATTAACATATTCATCAACATCACCTCTGAAAGAGTTCTCATGATCCTTTATAATCCCTCCCTCCCTTGTCCCAGCTGTCTTCAGACAACCTTCTGTCACTGCAGATTGGTTTGCATTTTCTAGAATTTGATATAAATGGAATAATATCGTATACATTCTTTTTTTGTCTGACTCTTTCACTCAGCATAAACATTTGAAATACATTCAGAATCTGACCACTTCTCCCCATCTCCAGTGCCAGCAGTGCAGGCCAGGCCACCCATCTCTCACCTGAATAACTGCAATAGCCTTGTCATGTTCTTGCTTCTGCTCTTGCCCTTCCAAAGTCATAGTCTCAATAGTAGCTAAAGCAATTGTTTTATGAAATAAATGTGGTCATGCCTCTCCCCTGCTCATAACCTTCCCATGGCTTCCCATTTCCAAGTAAAATGCAATTACTTTTTTATGGAGTACACTGTCTTATTTAATTTTACTCCTCTGCCCTTTTACCCTCATTTCCTAACACTCCTCCCTTGCTCTGTTGGTTCCACTCAGATACACCAAGCCTAATCCTGCATTCGTGTATCTGCACTTGCAATTTTCCGTCAGCCTGGAATAATTCCCCAAATAGTCTGCCTGGCTAACTAGTTTCCTCACTTCATCGTGTCTCTGTAACAGTGCCATATCTTACAAGTGAGGCCTTCCCTGATACCCCTACGTAAAACAGAACTCCTTCTCATGACTAGCTGGCTCATCACTGTGCTTTATTTTTCTTTAGAGCGTTTACCACCTGCCTTATGTTTATCTACTTTACTGCCACCCAACCTCCAATATAAGCTCCATGGAAGCAGCGGATTTGTCTGTTTTGTTCACTGCTGTAATATCAGTGCCTAGAACAATGTCTGGAATATATAAGGTACTCAACAAATGATTTGTTGAATAAACCCACAGATCTTCACACATTATAAATATATTATGCTATTAACCTAAATAAAGCCTCCATAAAATGAATAGTACCAAAAGGGAATATACCATGAAAACAAGGCATTTGGTGTCTTCCCCTCAGTAGCATCCTTACCGCCAAGGACAGAACCTGAAATGTATTTACTGTTGAATGAGGGTGTATTTGTTGCAGAGGGAGTGGATGAAATAGCATGTATTTTTTCCCAATATACTACCAGAATATTAAAGCAGATTTAAAACATGATTTTATCTTATTTCTCCTTAGATTAGAATTAATAACAATTAATTGATGAAAAAAACAAAACTCCAACATGATCTAATCGAATATTATTACTTTACAAAGTGAATAATATTCACTTTGACTAATATTTACAAAAGCTTTTACATGAAAGGTCAGAGCTCTCTGTTACTGAAGAACTAGCTACTTAAGTGTGTAGATTTTATAGGGTTTTGATTTATTTACATTTTTGAAAAAATCATTTTCTTAAAAAGATATTGACAAGCCTGGTGGATAATTAGAAGACAGTTCTCAGCTGACCATAGTGAAGGTAGGGGTGGTGGTTCTTCCTCCTAGCATATATAAAATTAGGGGATGAATCAGAATTCATTTTCACTCATAGCGTTTGAATATGTGGCATTGATGTTTAACATAAACTCTAATCCTACATGTATTATTTGGTAACACTTCAAATGGAATTTTCAAATGGGTAAAGATTAAGTAAGAGTTAAAAATAAATTTGCCTAGTTTTGGGTGGAAGATACATAGAAATGTAACATTGGAGGGTTTCTGACCTCAGGGAATTTGCAGTCTAAATGAGAAAACAAGAGATAACTGAAACAAATAGGAGACATCGCAATAACATATATCATTGTAAACTTGCCATGGTGCCTAGCCATGAACATCCAGAAGGTCTAACACTGAAGTTACCAGTAAGAACCTAGAATCTATTGCCAATGATAAAATCTATTGCCAATGATAGAATCTATTGCCAATGATAAAATCACTCAGTGTTTAGAGAATGGAGTCAAACATTTATTGAGGACTATAGCTTCCATCCAAGATGGAGTAACAGGGACAGGATTTACCCTTTCACATTAAACATCTAAAAATCTGGACAAAATATAGGAAATACTGTCAGACATTGGACAATAAGCAATATAGAACAGTAATCCCTAAGATAAACTTGACAGATGAGATGAGTGCTATGATTGCCCTTGCTTACTGCCTGGAGAGTTTCCAGGACACAGCTAGGGAAGGGAAACTCAAATAGGAAATCTTCTTGAGTTAAAGAGACAGATTTGAGAGTTTGAGGAAGCCAATGTAGCTAGAGTTCACAGGGCAAAGTCCAAGAGAGGAAAAAAAAATGCTACACGGAGAAGAGAAAATTGTACAGAGAGAACTCCAGAGATCTACAGAGGATTTCCTTCAAGTCTTCAGCTGAGTAACAATAAGCATATGTGTGTGAGGAGCTAGCTGATGCCAGGAAAAGAACACCAGGGAGGAATGGAAGAGACAATTGTTAGAGTGCAGAACAGTTTGTATTATCACCAGCCAGAGTAGAAAAATCTGTAATAAACAGGGCATCAAGTATAATATTCAGTAAGAGGGAAAAATTAGCCCAAGATTAGAGGCTACCCTGGTCCTGCCTAGCAAAACTGAAAAGCAAGCCTTGAAAAGATCAAAATGCTTCCAAGTAAATTAACTGCATTCCAGAATAAACTTCTAGCATATTTAAAAGAATACAAAAATATCTAACACTCAACAAGGTAAATTCATGATGTCTGGAATGCAGTGAAAAATTATAAGGTATGCAAAGAAGTAAGAAAATGCAACTCATAATGAAGAGAAATCGATCAATAGAAATGATCAAAAATGACACTAGTGATGGAATTATTACACAAGGGTATGAACACAGTTATAGTCCATATGTTCAAAATGCTATAGGAAAGCATATGTATATAAAAGAGAAACAAGATATAAAAACAATCGAATTCAAACTTAGGTGAAAAAAACCAATGCCTGAGATAAAAAATACACTGGATAGGATTAACAAAAGATTGTATACTACAGAAGACAATATTAGTGAGCTTGAAGATGTAGCAATATAAACTCTTCACAATGAAACCCGTAGGTATGAGCTGACAGATGTACAAAGCAAAAAAAGAAAAACAAAAATTTTTAAAAAGACAAAAAAATCAAACAATGAAACACAAAGAGTAAAGAGATGGAAAGAAATGAATAGACCATCAGTGTGCACAACTTCAACCAGTCCAATGTATGTGTAATTGGGGTCTCTGAAGGAGATGAAGAGACAGAAAATATTTTTGAATAAATAATGAGTGAAGGTATTCCAAATTTGATGAAAACTCACAGATTCAAGAAGCCCAACAAATCCCAAGCACAGGAAACATCAAGAAAACAACACCAATGCACATCAAATTGGCTAAAACCAGTGGTAAGGAAAAAAACTTGAAAAGGATCTACAGAAAATATACATAATATATAGAAAGGAGCAAAGATAAAATGACTGTATACTTCTTGTCAGAGCCATGTCAGCCAGAACATTTTTAAAGTTCTGAAAGAAAAGAAAGGTGACATTCTGGAATTATATACCAAAGATGAGGTAGTCTTTCTTCAAAGATGAAGTAAAGTCTTTTCAATGAATGATGCTAAGACAACTGAATATCCATGTGCAAAAGAATTAAGTTGAACCCTACCTCCTACCACATATAAAAATTAACTCAAAATGGATCACAGACCTAAATGTCATAGCTAAAACCATAAGACTCTTAGAAAAAAACATAGGGGTAAATCCTGGAATAGGCAATGGTTTCTCATCTATGACACCAAAAGCACAAGGAACAAAGAAAAGAATAGATAAATTAGACTTTATCAAATATAAAACTTCTATGCTTCAAAGGTTACCATCAAGAAAATGAAGAGACATTATATCAAAACAAAATTTAAAAAAAGAAAAATGAAAAGGCAGTCACAAAGAACAGAAGAAAATATTTGAAATTAATATATCTGATAAAGGACTTGTACCTAGAATATATAAGGAACTCTTACAACTCAATAACAAAAAGATAAATGAATAACCCAATTTGAATATGGGCAAAGGGGCCGGGTGCGGTGGCTCACGCCTGTAATCCTAGCACTTTGGGAGACCGAGGCAGGTGGATTGCCTGAGCTCAGGAGTTCTAGACCAGCCTGGGCAACACAATGAAACCCCATCTCTACTAAAATACAAAAAAATCAGCTGGGCATGGCGGCATGCTCCTGTAATCCCAGCTACTAGGGAGGTCGAGGCAGGAGAATCACTTGAACCTGGGAGGAGGAGGTTGCAGTAAACCGAGATCACACCACTGCCCTTCAGCCTGGGTGACAGAGCTAGACTCTGTCTCAAAACAAAACAAAACAAAAAACAGAACAAAATGGGCAAAGGATTGGAATAGACATTTCTCCAAAGAAAATATTCAATGGCCCATAAGCAAATGAAAGGATAGATACTCAACATCATTAGCTAGTAGAAGAGTGTAAATCAAAACCACAATGAGACACTACTTCATACCTACTAGGTTGGCTATAATATAAAAGAGAATAACAGATGTTGTCAAGAATGTGGAGAAATGGGAACACATATACGTTGCTGGTAGGAATATCAAGTGGTACAGGCACTTTGGAAAATAGTCTAGCAGTTCCTCAAGAAGATAAACATAGAATTACCATATGACCCAATAAATCTACCCCTAGTTATATAACCAAGAGCAATAAAAACTTATATCCACACAAAACCTTGTCTACCAATGCTCATAATAGCATTATTCATGAAAGTAAAAAATGGAAACAACCTACGTGTTCATTCAACTGATGAATTAATGGTAGGTATAAAATATGGTAGGTATATCAATACAATGACAATTAAAAAGGAATGAAATAATGATACATACTACAACATAAGTGACCCTTGAATGGATTATTCTAAATGAAAGAACTTAGCCACAAAAAGCCCCATACTGTGTGGTTCCATTTAGATGACATTTTCAGAGTAGAAAAATCTATAGACACAGAAAGTAGGATGCCCAGGGCTGGAAGAGGTGGGAGCTCAATGATTGACAGATGAAGTGTACAAAGTTTCTCTTTGCGGTGATGGAAATGTTCTAAAATTGATTGTGGTGAAGGCTACACATCTCCATACTAACAACCATAGAACTGTACACTTCAAGTGGGTGGATTGTATGGTATGCGAGTTATAGGTCAATAAAGCTGTACCCCTCCAAAAGACTCTCATGTCAAAAAGTAAATTTCTAAATATGCAAAATAAAGCAAGACAAAATATGGTAAAATACATTTTCACATGCACAAATGCTGAAAGAATTCATCACTACAAGATCTACAATTCAAGAAATGTTGAAGCCCTTTAGGCAGAAAAAAATAACAGATGGAAATCTGGATATACGAAAAAGAATAAAGAATGCCAGAAATGTATATATGTGGGCAAATATAAAATATTTTTCTATTTAAAATATATAAAACATGTTTCTTATTTTAAAAATCTCTTTAAAAGATAATTAACTGTTTAAAGCAAACTAATAACAATATATCATGAAATATACACTATATGTACATTAAAATGAATGACAACTAAAGTATAAAACCAGGAGAGGAGAAATAGAAATAAAGATCTTAAACTATAGATGAAGTGATAAAATATTCCATGAAGGTATAGTATAATAAATTAAAGATATATACTATAAACCCTGAGGCAACACCAAAAAAAGCACAGAGTTATAGCTGTAAGCTCACAAAGGACATAACCTGTGGTTAATTCAGAAGTAGATGATAAAAGAGTAAAAGGGAAAAAAAACAGATGGGACAAATAGAAAGGAAATAACAAGACCCTGGATTTTATCAATCATATCAATAATCACATTAAATGTAAATGGTCAGAGGCAGGACTGTTAGATACAATTCAAAAGCAATACCCTACTAGATGCTGTCTACAAGAAAACACAATTGAAATATAATGACACAAATACATTAAATGTAAAAAAAGATAAACCATGCTAACACTAATCAAAATAAGCTAGAGTAGCCATATTAATATCAGACAAAATAGATTTAAGAGCAAAGAATATTACCAGAGATAGCTATTTCATAATGTTAAAGAAGACAACTCATCAAGATGATACAACAATTTTAAATGTATATACATTTAATAATAGAGCTTTAAAATTCATGAAGCAAAAAGTGATAAAACCTAATAGGAGAACTGCACAAATAGTTGGAGATTTCACCACCTTTCTCTCAATAATTGATTGAACAAGAACCCAGATAATCAGTAAGGATATAGAAGGCTTAACACCATCAATTAACTTGTCCTAATTGATATTTGTAGAACACTCCACCCGACGACAACAGAATACATATTCTTTTTAAGTTTTTGTGGAATAGTTACAACAATGTCATGGGCCACAGAACAATTTGAATTTTCAAAAATTCAAATTATGCAAAATATGTTCTCTGACCACATGGAATTAAATTAGAAATCAATAACAAAAAGGTATCTGGAAGATGTCCAAGTTTTAGAAACTGAATAGTATGGTTTAGCTCTGTGTCCCCACCCAAATCTCATCTTGTAGCTCCCATAATTCCCACGTGTTGTGGGAGGGACCTGGTGAGAGATTATTGAATCATGGGGTGGGTCTTTCCCATGCTGTTCTCATGATAGTGAATAGGTCTCACAAAATCTGATGGTTTTAAAAACAGGAGTCTCCCTGTACAAGCTCTCTTTTTGTCTGTTGCCATCCATGTAAGACATGGCTTGCTGCTCCTTGCCTTCTGCCATAATTGTGAGGCCTCCCCAGCCATGTGGAACTGTGAGTCCAATAAACCTCTTTCTTTTGTAAATTGCCCAGTCTCAGATATGTCTTTGTCAGCAGCATGAAAACAAACTAATACAGTAAGTTGGTACCAGTAGAGTGGGGCATTGCTGAAAAGATACCCAAAAATGTGGAAGCAACTTTGGAACTGGGTAACAGGCAGAGCTTGGAACAATTCAGAAGGCTCAGAAGAAGATAGGAAAATGTGGGAAAATCTGGAACTTCCTTGAGACTTGTTGAATGGCTTTGACAAAAATGCTGATGGTGATATGGACAATAAGGTCCAGGAGGAGGTGGTCTCAGAGGCATATAAGGAACTTGTTGGGAACTGGAGCAAAGGTGACTCTTGCTATGTTTCAGCAAAGAGACTGGCAGCATTTTGCCCCTGTCCTAGAGGTTTGTGGAACTTTGAACTTGAGAGAGATGATTTAGGGTATCTTGCAGAAGAAATTTCTAAAAGAAAGCATTCAAGAGGTGACTTGGGTGCTGTTAAAGGCATTCAGCTTCAAAAGGGAAATGGAGCATAAAAGTTTGGAAAATTTGGGTGGGCACAGTGGCTCACGCCTGTAATCCCAGCACTTTGGGAGGCCGAGGTGGGTGGATCACGAGCTCAAGAGATCAAGACCATCCTGGCCAACATGGTGAAACCCCATCTCTACTAAAAATACAAAAATTAGCTGGGCATGGTGGTGCACACCTGTAGTCCCAGCTACTTGGGAGGCTGAGGCAGGAGAATCACTTGAACTTGGGAGGTGGAGGTTGCAGTGAGCCAAGGTCGCGCCATCACATTCCAGCCTGGTGACAGAGCAAGAATCTGTCTCAAAAAAAAAAAAAAAAAAAAAAGAAAAGTTTGGAAAATTTGCAGCCTGACAATGTGATAGAAAAGAAAATCCCATTTTCTGGGGAGAAATTCAAGCTGGCTGCAGAAATTTGCATAAGTAACAATGAGCCAAGACAATGGGGAAAATGTCTCCAGGGCATGTCAGAGACCTTTGTGGCAGCCCCTCCCATCACAGGCCTAGAGGTTTAAGAGGAAAAAGTGGTTTTGTGTGCCTGGCCCAGGGTCCCTCTGCTGTATGCAGTCTAGGGACTTGGTGCCCTGTATCCCACCTGCTTCAGCTGTGGCTGAAAGGGGCCAGTGTAGAGCTTGGGCCATGGATTTAGAGGGTGCAAGCCTCAAGCCTTGGCAGCTTTCATGTGATGTTGAGCCTGCGAGTGCACAGAAGTCAAGAATTGAGGTTTAAGAACCTCCACCTAGATTTCAGAAGATGCAAGGAAAGGCCTGGATGCTCCGGCAAAAGTTTGCTGCAGGAGTGGAGCCCTCATGGAGAACCTCTGCTAGGGCACCACAGAAGGGAAATTTAGAATGGGAGCCCCCATGCAGAGTCCCTACTGGGGCACTGCCTAGTGGAGCTGTGAGAAAGAGCCACCATCCTCCAGACCCCAGAATGGTAGATCCACTGACAGCTTGCACCGTGCACCTGGAAAAGCCGCAGACACTCAGTGCCAGCCTGTGAAGGCAGCTGGGAGGGAGGCTGTACTCTGCAAAGCAAGAGGGGTGGAGCTGCCCAATACTATGGGAACCCACCTATTCCATCAGCATGACCTGGGTGTGAGACGTGGGGTCAAAGGAGATCGTTTTGGAGCTTTAAGATTTGACTTCTAGCCCCTTTGTTTTGGCCAATTCCTCCCATTTGGAATGGCTCTATTTATCCAGTGCCTGCACCCCCATTGTATCTAGGAAGTAACTAACTTGCTTTTGATTTTACAGGCTCATAGGTGGAAGGGACTTGCCTTGTCTCAGATAAGACTTTGGACTGTGGACTTTTTTTTTTTTTTTTGAGATAGAATCTCACTCTGTTGCCCAGGCTGGAGTGCAGTGGCACAATCTTAGCTCACTGCAACCTCCACCTCCTAGGCTTAAGTGATTCTCCTGCCTCAGCCTCCCAAGTAGCTGGGATTACAGGCATGTGCTAGCACAGCCAGCTAATTTTCGTATTTTTAGTAGAGATGTGGTTTCACCGTATCAGCCAGGCTTGTCTCAAACTCCTGACCTCAGGTGATCTGCCCACCTCGGCCTCCCAAAGTGCTGGGATTACAGGTGTGAGCCACCATGCCCAGCTGACTGTGGACTTTTGAGTTAATGTTGGAATGAGCTGAGACCTTGGGGAACTTTTGGAGAGGCATGATTCGCTTTGAAATGTGAAGATACCAGATTTGGCAGAGGCCAGGGGTAGAATAATATGGTTTGGCTCTGTGTCTCCACCCTAATCTCATCTTGTAGCTCCCATAATTCTTGCATGTTGTGGGAGGGACCTGGTGACAGATGATTGAATCACAGGGGCAGGACTTTCCTGTGCTGTTCTCATGATAGTGAATGGGTCTCATGAGATCTGATGGTTTTTAAAACAGGAGTATCCCTGTACAAGCCCTCTTTTTGCCTGCTGCCATTCATGTAAGATGTGACTTGCTTCTCCTTGCCTTCCACCATGATTGTGAGGCCTCCCCAGCAATGCGGAACAGTGAGTCCAATAAACCTCTTTCTTTTGTATATTGCCCAGACTCAGGTATGTCTTTATCAGCAGCGTAAAAACAGACTAATACACTAAATAACAAACTTTTAAATAATGCATGAGGCAAAGAAGAAATCCAATGGGAAATAAGAAAGTGTTTAACAGTGATTGAAAATGAAAAGAAAACATAAAAATTTGTGAGATGCCACTAAAATCCTGCTTAGAGGTAAAGTTATTGCCCTAATTTGCCTCTATTAGAAAAACCAGAAAGGTCTCAAATTAATATCCTCAGCTTCTACCTTAAAAAACTAGAAAAGGAAAAGAAAATTAAAACCCTAGTGAGCAGGAGAAAGGAAATAATAAAGATAAGATTTTTAAAAACCAAGAAAATGAAAAACAAAAAGAAAATAGAGAAAATCAATGAAACTGAAAGTTGATTCTTTAAGAATATCAATAAAATTCATAAACTTCTAGTCAGACTGATCCAGCGGTTAAAAAGAGAGAAGATACTAAATAACAATATTAGAAATGTGAGAGAGGACATCACTACAAATTCCAGACATTAGAAGAAGAAATAAGTTAGATAACTTAGATAAAATATTTAGCCTCTGAAAGACACAGACTACCAAAGTTCATTCAGTTAAAAACAAGGTAACCTGAAAAGCCCTATATTTATTATAGAAATTAATTGGTGGCTAGAAAAAACAACCTTCCAGGCAAGGCACAGTGGCTCACGCCTGTAATCCCAGCACTTTGGGAGGCTGAGGTGGGTGGATCACCCAAGGTCAAGAGTTGGAGACCAGCCTGGCCAACATGGTGAAACCCCGTCTCTACTAAAAATACAAAAATTAGCTGGGCGTGGTGGCACACACCTGTAGTCCCAGCTACTTGGGAGGCTGAGGCAGGAGAATAGCTTGAACCCAGGAGACAGAGGTTGCAGTGAGCCAAGACCGCACCACACCACTGCACTTCAGACTGGGTGACAGAGCAAGACTCCATCTAAAAAAAAAAAAACCAAAAAAAAACCAAAAAAAAAAAAAAAAAACAAGAAAAAGAAAAAGAAAAAGAAAAAACAACCTTCCAACAAAGAAAACTCCAGACCCAGATAAATTCAATGGTGATTTATACTACACATTTAAGGCAGAAATAATACCAACTGTCTACAAACTCTTTCAAAAAATTCAAGAGAATGAAATATGTCCATATTAATTCTATAACACCAGTACTACTCTGATATCCAAACCGGAAAACAACCTTATAATAATGACATTACAGAAGACTTCATGAACACACATGCAGTAATCCTTAACAAAATTTTAGCAAGTTGAACCTATCAGTATATAATGATGGTAATGCATCACCACCAAGCAGATTTTATCACAGCAATGCAAGGTTGTTTTATCATTCAAAAGCCAATCAATGTAATTTATCTTATTAATAGATTAAACAATAAAATCTATATGATCATCCCAATAGATGCCACAAAACATTTGACAAATTCCCTTCCTTCCTTCTTTTTTTTTTTTTTTTTTAGACCAAGTATTCATGCTTGTCGCCCAGGCTGGAGTGCAATGGTGCAATCTCAGCTGACTGCAACCTCTGCCTCCTAGCTTCAAGCAGTTCTCCTGCCTCGGCCTCCTGATTAGCTGTAGCTGAGATCACAGGCATTTGTCACTACGCCCAGCTAAATTTTGTATTTTTAGTAGAGATGGGGTTTTATTGTGTTGGCCAGGCTGGTCTCAAACTCCTGACCTCAGGTGATCCGCCTGCCTCAGTCTCCCAAAGTGCCGGGATTACAGGTGTGAGCCACGGCACCCAGCCCCCACATTTATTCCTAATAAAAACTTGGCTAGGCGCGGTGGCCCACACTTATAATCCCGGCACTTTGGGAGGCAGAGACAGGTGGATCGCTTGAGGCCAGGAGTTCGAGACCAGACTGGCCAACATGGCGAAACCCCGTCTCTACTAAAATAATAAAAATTAGCCAAGCGTGGTGGAGCATGCCTGTAGTCCTAGCTGCTTGTAAGGCTGAGGCACGAGAATTGCTTGAACCTGGGAGGCAGAGGTTGCAGTTAGCTGTGATCATGTCACTGCACTCCAGCCTGGGCCACAGAACAAAACTCTGTCTCAAAACAAAAACAAAAACAAAAAACTCCCAGCACACTGAGAATAGAAGGAAACTTTCCCAAATTGATAAAGAGCTTTCACAAAAAATCTACTGCTAGTGTCAGTCATGTTGGTGGTGATTGACAGAAAACTTTCCTTCAAAGAAGGAAAAAGTCACAGAGGTCTGCTTTTACCACCTCTACTTAACAATGTAATAGAGGTTCTAACCAGTGAAATAAGGCAAGAAAAACATAAAATGCCTACAAATTGGAAAGAAAGAAGTAAAAATTGCAGACAAAATGATTGGCACTGTAGAATATCCTAAAGAATCTAAAAGCCACTAAATTAAAAAGTGAGTTTAGCAAAGTTGCAGAATAAAAGATCAATATGCAAAAATTAATTGTGTTATTACACACAATAAACAATTATGACTTGAAATTAAGAGTAATGCTATTTGTAACAGCATCAAAAAATGATATACTTTGGAATAAATCTGACAACAGATGTGAAAAACTGAGCACTGAAGAACACAAATCATTGCTGATAAAAAGTAAGGAATAATTAAATGGAAAGCTATGCCATCTTCACAGACTAGAAGACTTAAATGTGTAATGATGTCCATTTTCCCCTAATTACTTGATGGATTTAATACAAGCCCAATCAAAATTCAGCAGGCTTCTTTGTAGAAATTGACAAGCTAATTTTAAGATTTACATGGAAATCATATAATAAGGACAGAGAATAGCCAAAATATCTTTGAAAAGAACAACAAAGTTGGAGGAGTTACATTGCCTTTACCAAGATTTATTATTAAGTTATATTAATTAGAACAATGTGGTATTGTTGTAAACACAGACATACAGGTCAATAGAACAGAATTGAGGGTGTAAAAATTGACCCACACATATATAGACAACTGATTTTCAACAAACATGGCAAGAGAATTCAACTGGAGAAAGGTAATCTTTATAATAAATGGTGCTGAAACAATTGCATAGCCATAACTAAAAAATAAATAAATAACTTCAATCCTTGCCACATATGATATAAAAAATTAACTCAAAATAGATCATAGACCTAAATGTCAGAACTAAAGGTATAAAACTTCTAGAATAAAACATAGGCAAAGATTTTAAAATACATACAAAAAAGCACAATCTCTAAAAGAAGTAAATTAATCTATTGGGCTTAATAAAACTAAACACTTTTGGCTGGGCATGGTGGCTCACACCTGTAATCTCACTCTTTGGGAGGCCAAGATAGGAGGATTGCTTGAGCCCAGGAGTTTGAGATCAGTCCTGGCAACACAGAGAGACCCCACCCCCCAACTCTTCCCCCCAAATTTAAAAAGCTGGCTGGGCATGGTGGCACATACCTGTGCTCCCAGCTACTCAGGAGGCTGAGGTAGGAGGATCACTAGGGCCTGGGAGGTTGAGGCTGCAGTGAGCCATGGTTGTGCCACTGCACTCCAGCCTGGGCAACAGAAGGAGACCCTGTCTGAAACAACAACAAAAAACTTTTGCTGTCTCTACATTCACTGTTATGAAAATGGAAAGGTAAGCCATAGACTAGGAGAAAGTATTTGCAAAACATCTACTCAAAAAAAGAATGGTATTTACAGCATATAAATAATTCTTACAACTTATCAATAAGAAAACAATCCAGGCAGGGCGCGGTGGCTCACGCCTGTAATCCCAGCGCTTTGGGAGGCTGAGGCGGGTGGATCACGAGGTCAGGAGATCGAGACCATCCTGGCTAACACGGTGAAACCCCGTCTCTACTAAAAAATACAAAAAATTAGCCTGGCATGGTAGCAGGTGCCTGTAGTCCCAGCTACTCGGGAGGCTGAGGCAGGAGAATGGAATGGCATGAACCTGGGAGGCGGAGCTTGCAGTGAGCCGAGATCGGGCCACTGCACTCCAGCCTGGGCGACAGAGCGAAACTCTGTCTCAAAAAAAAAAAAAAAAGGAAAAAGAAAAGAGAACAATCCAATTGGGGAAAATTGGCAAAAGATTTGAACAGACATTTCGCCAAAGTAGATCTGCATATGGCAAACATATACATGAAAAGACACTCAAAATCATTAGCCATTAGTGAAATGCAAATCAAAGCCACAATATTATTATTACACATCCACTAGAATGGCTAAAATTGGAAAGGCTGATCATAACAAAGATTGACAAGCATAAGGGCAATTGATATAACATTGCTAGCTAGAATTTAAATGGTACAATCAGTTTGGCATTTTCTTTAAAAGTGAAACCACATCTATCATACGAACCCAGTCTTTCCACCCCTTGGTATTTATTCCAGAGAAATAAAAGTATTTGTCCACACTAAGACTTGTACACACAAATGTTCATAGTAGCTCCATTTGTAATAGTTAAGAACCCCAGATGCCCATCATCAAGTAAATAGATCATAAATTTTAGAACACTACTGGGCAATAATAAGGAACAATCAATACTAGCAATAGGGAGGTTGAGTGAAATAAACCAGACAAAAACAATACATCCTACATAATTCCATTTATGTAGAATACTAGAAAATTCAAACTAATTTATAATGACAGAACACAGGTCAGTTGCTGCCTGGTGAAGGGGCAAGGAGGCAAGATAAGGAAGAGATGGACACAAAGAAATTTGGGTGTCCTCCCCGTCTTGATCATGGTGATGGCTTCAGGTGTATATGCATGTGTCAAAACTCAAAACTGTACAATTTAAATACTTAAATATCCTTTATACTGAAGTAGACTTGTCAAAAAAACTTATGTAGTGAAAATTTTTAAGTTAGACAGAAAGAGATAAAATTCAACTATCCTTAAAGGTAACTTAAGAGTTACAAACCAAGTAAATCCTGGTAAAGGTCTTAGTAAAAATAAAAACACTATGATTGGTCACAATACAGTGAGTCAGAAAAATGATAACAAACATACATTTCTTTATTCTATCAGGTCAGCCTGCAAAATCTCATTTCCTGCTGGGCGTCATGACGTCTCTTTCCTTTCTTCCCTCTTCTGCGAGTTCTCGCTTTTTGTGTGTGTTTGGCCAGTGTCTAGAAGATGGGTCCACCTTTATGCCTGTACCCAGGGAGCCCTAAATTTGGCTCCATCCCTGAGGGTGGAGGATGACTCTGAATCCTCATCCATATTCTTCAGAGTGGGAACTCCTAAAAGATAAACAAGCCTCTCTTGCTAATACCAGTTACTTCTCTCAGTAAGAATAAGTGGGTGGGGCATCAAAGAACCCTGTCCTGCCACACAATAAGTGCTCAGATGTGTTTTACTACAAATTCTAAGCACTAACGAATTAAAAGAAGGAGGAAAGTAAGTGATGGTGGTGGAATTTGAACTGAGCCTTAGTGAATACATAGAATTTAGATTCTAAATAGAGAGGACAGGGCAAATGAAGAAAACAAGATAGGAAAAGACACAGCAGTAGCAGAAAGCAATTTGTTTAAAGGACGGTACAGAGACCTAAACTTACTAGAGTGAAAGAGTTCTATTAGAAAAGTGGCAGACAGGCTGGGTGTGGTGGCTCACACCTGTAATCCCAACACTTTGGGAGGCCGAGGCGGGTGGCTCACCTGAGATCAGGAGTTCAAGACCAGCCTGGCCAACACGGTGAAACCCAGTCTCTACTAAAAATACAAAAAATTAGCCCAGGTGGTGGCTGAGGCAGGAGAATAGCTGAACCCAGGAGACAGAGGTTACAGTGAGCCGAGATCGCGCCACTACATTCCAGCGTGAGTGACAGAGTGAGGCTCCATCTCAAAAAAAAAAAAAAAAAAGAAAAAAAAAAAAGTGGAGACAAGTTTGTGTGGCTAGGATGGGTCAGATTATTGAGAGCTCTTGAAAAGCATGAGGATTTAGATTTAATAGAATAAAATACAGAAAGCTATCAGATTTTAAGTAAAGGGAGCATATAACTGCAGGGAAATTTATGCAAGTATCTTGTTCTGAAAGCCAGTAAGAACAGAAGTTTGTGTTGGGCATGGTTAATAGGGAAAAATCCCTCCCAACAACTAAAAAGTCATGTCAAAGGGTATGATCTATTGGGAATGAGTCATCTATAATATAAGGTCTTTCAGCCTGTACTATTTGTCTAGTCATGGCAAATATTATTCCAATTTCTATTGTACAAAGAAAGAAACTCAAACATTTCAAATTGCTACTAATATACAGACATATATGCAAGTTCCTGTTTCCGGTTCCACCTAATTTACCTTGGCACCATTTCCACAGAAGTCAAATATTTGGTGCTTTGAAACAAATGTACAACAGATTCCAGGGTGTGGCCTGTACAACTCAATTTCCACAGTTTGGCTTTTCCATGTAATTTTCAGATATAAATTACTTTCCTACCAGGGCAACAGTGGAGGCAGGGAATAGAGTCAAAAGCATTGGCTAGGAATCAGAAGTCTAATTGTGTGACTATAGGCAAGCCATTAGCTTTTCTGAGTCTCAGATCTCTCTTCTAGAAAATTGGGGCTAAAGTCAAAACTTTATAGTGTTTCTTTGAGAAGGCAATCAGATACTATATAAAAAGATTGTCCACTTATGTTATATAAATAATTACATAGCAAAATTGCAAGCTGCTACAGTCAAGAGATGTTTGATGATGCAAGAAGAATTGTTTGATGGCAAACCACTTCTACACAAAGGAGACATTTTTAGATAGTACCTTCACTGGAAACTGTTTTCTTCTTACTAAAAGTCAGCAAGGCTGGAACAGCCTCCCAAGCTGTGGTTGGAAGATTGAAACTGCATTCTAGAGGAGACACTGAGAACTGAGAAGGAGAAAATAGATTTCTGAGAATATCATACAATCACAGCTGATTTGTTATAGATCATACATTGAGACAAACCTCCTGAATCTTCAGCGTTTTAATTGATACATGTAGGATAAAATTAGAAACAGGAACATAAGTACCATTATGAAAGCTATACTCAAGTGTGGATACTGATCAACTGACACAGAAAAAATAAGAGTACTCTGTAATTGGTATGGAAGTTCACTGCTATCTAAATCCATGCGGAATGTGAAATGGTGTGGAATACATAAGAGGATCAGTGAATGACATCCAACCAGAATGATTAAATACAGCATCTAAACATGACCTGCTTTCGCTTATTTCTCACTGATTCCCTAGTACAATGCTGTCCAATAGAAATGTGTTAGCTACATATGCAATTTGAATTTTCTAGAAGTCACATTTAAAAAAGTAAAACAAAATAGGTGATCTTAACTTTAATAATATGTTCTATTTAACCAAATCTATGCAAATTATCATTTCAACTCATTATCAATATAAAAATTATGAGATCTTTTACAGTCTTTATTTCACATGGAGTCTTTGAAATCTGAAGTGTATTTTACATTTACTGCACATTTCAATGCAGACTAGGCACATTTAAAGACAGCCACAGCTCTAGAAACTAGGGATTGGAAATTAACACCAGATTCACACTATATATTTGTACATTATTTTCTATACACTATTTTTAAAGAAAAGCAAAGCTTCAACTTGCATTTAGTATTTAAAATATTTCTGGCCAAGCTCTCTTGGAACTTCTGCAGAAGAGAGAAAGAATGATGATGGCTATCTGAAAAACCTTAGTTTTTGGTTTGCAATCAGAGGTTGAGATATTTTTTGGGACATCTGAGGATTTTATCATCATTTCAGATGAATGTGAAGTCTTCCATTAAAAAGTATAAGCTAGAAGCCATCATTAAGCTCCTATACTAGTCATGCTTTTATCGCTTCTCATAATTATCTTGAATACATTTACTATTCATGACACATAAAATAATTAAACATTGCATTTAAATGGATAAGAAAATAATGTGACTTCGGGAAAGCCCTTATCCCTTTAGACAGAACTGTAGGAAAACACAGTTACAGTTAGGTAAAGGACCAGAGCATGTTATTTGTGCAAATGTGTAACATCCATGCCCTGGCCATGAACTTTTCGTAGCATCCCTAGTCATGATAGCAAAATAAAAATTGCTCCCATGCATTTCCAAACCCCCCTTGGTGGGAATGATACCACCCTCCCAGTATGAGATGCACTGCTTGAGACTTTTCTTAAAATTTGATCAGTTAACAAAGCACCTGTGGTTGTAAATATTCTGTTTTCTGTAGTTTCTTTTACCAGCAAAAAGGAAAAGATTATAACATCAATGTAAAAACAAAAACAATAAAACCCAAAGAAACTCAAAAGTCTTTCTAGATTCAAGTGACTTTGCTTCACAATTTTTTTTTTCATTTAAAGCTAACATCACCTTAAAGGATGTCTCACACAAAAGTCTTTCTAGATTCAAGTGACTTTGCTTCACAATTTTTTTTTCATTTAAAGCTAACATCACCTTAAAGGATGTCTCACACTTCTGAATTTATATTTCCTGACCTCCAAAAGGGATCCTATCTATTATTAAAAAGTCAAAAAATAAAAGATGCTGGTGAGGTCGCAGAGAAAAGGGAATACTTATACAATGGTAGGGTGGATAAGAAAATGGAATACCATGGAAGACCACGGAATACTATGCAGCCATAAGAAAGAATGAGATCATGTTCTTTGCAGCAACATGGATAGAGCTGGAGGCCATTACCCTAAGCTAACTAATGCAGAAACAGAAAACCAATTACTGTATGTTCTCACTCATAAATGGCAGCTAAACATTGAGTACACATGGGCACAAATTAAGAACACCACGGGCTACTTGAGGGTGGAGGGTGGAAGTAGAATGAGGATTGAAAAATTACCTATCAGGTACTATGCTTATTTATTAGTTGGGTGTTGAAATAATCTGTGCACCAAACCTCTGGGACACACAATTTACCTATATAACAAACCTGCGCATGTACCCACTGAAACGAAAATAAAAGTTAAAAAAAGAACACAAAAGGGGTCTTATATTGTTCTACTTCCATATTCCCACATTTATTCCCTCTTCTGCACTATCTTACCTCGAATTTACATCTTAATGAGTTCTATTGTTAGTGTGTGTGTGTGCATTAATAGTTGAACCATGGATACAATTTGACCTATTTGGAATGGATGTGAAGGACTTTTTCTTTAATTAAAGCACATGTTTCTCAATTAGGACCTAGGGAATATAGGTTGAGACGTAGTACATAGTCATTAGAATGACAATTGAAATTGAAATTAAATAAATATGTATCAATTCATGATGGTTGATCTCATTTACCCCATTATAATCAGTGCCCTTCACTACAGAACAGCAAACTCACTTCTAGCATTGACATCTACTAATTGTATGTTAGAGATTGCAGAAGAAGCAATGTAGAGTTAATGACTGTCATAATGATGGAGATGCATGATGACATCAGTAATTTTTTTAGTGAATCTCTTTTTGGACACAAAAATCACCACCAATATGGCTATGTATCTTTAAAATTATATTTATGTATATATGTATATATATACATATTTAGATATATAGCACAACCAAATGTTTATGCTCTATTGTGAGCATAAACATTTATAGGTACTCCAGAGCAATGGTTAGCAAACTATGGCCCACGAGCTAAATCCAGCCTCACATCTGTTTTTGTAAACAAAGTTTCAATAGAACACAGACATGCTCATTCATTTACATATTGTCTGTGGTTATTTTAATGCTATATAACAGCAGAGTGGTTATGACAAAGACTGTATGACAGGTAAATCTAAAATATTTATTCTCTGTATCTACAGAAAATGTTTGCTGACTCCTGATATAGATTGTAAATGAAATGTCAGCAGAATACATGTGCATTTTTTCTTTTTTTATTGCTAGAATGGGTTGTATGAAATGGGATCAAGGAGCTGCTAATTGTTGGGACCAACGTCTCCTCCATACAGGGCTAGAAATCTTGGCACGGTGTCACGTCAAAGGTGAAAAACAACGAATGAAGTTCATTTTGTTGAGGTTTAAGAAATGTCTTTTCTAGGGCATTTTAAGGTGTATCTAATCTTTGGGTTGTAGAAAATGACAATGGTTTTCAAAATAGTTGGAAAGAATGCTTTAATCTGTTATGTTCACTAGTATTTTATAATAATTTCAGAACTATCATCTAATATATTAAAGTATCATAAAAGACTGTATATTGAATTGCAGTAAAAAGTTTTGAGTCCATCTATTAACGTTTATTTTTCTAGTTATTGTGGATTTCATGCTCATAAAACTATTGGTAAAACATATGATCATTTAAGTCACATTACCTCACAAATTTTGGCCAGCTTATTTTTCATAGACCCATGTTGGTTTACTCCTTCACCTGATTTTGGTTTCCATGGACATTAAAAGAGACACTACAGAGTTTCTCTATAATTTGCCCTGTTTAATGAGTGTCTCCATCACAAATGATGGAAAAGTGTATAAGGAAGTTAGTACGTTCACTTTGAACCATGACTGAGTTACCTGGTACTGGACTTGCCTTCCTGTCACAAAAGAGTAAGAAACTAGAAAAACTACTTAAAGCAACTGTTTTCAGGCATTGATAAACAGGCAGCACATGACTGATCCATGAGAGCAAAACACACAGGTGAACTCCATAATCAGGAAGGAGAAACTTAAGTAAAGGGGTGGCCTTGCTGAGTTGAGGAGGAAATTATCAGAGTTCAAGCTTGTTGGAATGGCTGAAATTTTGTAGGCTAGAATATCTGAGCTCTCTCTCTCTCTGTGTATGTGTGTGTGTGTGCGTGTGTGTGTGTCTGTGTGTGTGAGAGAGAGACCGAGAGAGAGAGAGAGAGAGAGAGAGAGAGAGAGAGAGGAGAGCGAAAGAGACAGAGGAGAAAGGCGGGGGGAGGGAGCAAGAGAGAGAGAGAGAGAGAGAGAGAGAGAAAGAAGTGGGTAATACTAAAAGCCTGTATGGAAATTCACTGGGGATACAGATGTGCCAAGCGAGACCTTGCAAGACTTAGCAGAGCTTGCCTGCTGTAGGTGGAAGGCTGAAGAGTGATACTAAAGGTCATGCAGTGCTGGAAGACATTAGATTTCCAGCCCAGCAGTGCAGCAACTTCACTAATACCTTGAGCACTTAATTGAGAATCCAGAACCAAGTCTTAGGAGAAAGAATCACACAAAAGAGTAAGGGGAATATGCTAGGACTAAATTTAAAACCAAATAAGACTCATACTGAAAATGAATAATACCAAATTTGACATGACCCAAAGAATCCACCACTAATTAAGCTGCATGCCACACAAAACCTAATATCGTTTAAACAAGCCAACATAATCCAGATTCCCTATAATTATCACCTACAAATGTCCAGCATACTATTAAATTTTATCAGATATCCACAGAGACACATGTGAATCATAAGAGAACACGCAGTCTATTAAAAAAAATGTCTGTGAGATGATCCAGATGTTGGGATTAGCAGAAAAAAATTTAATCTAGCTTTTATAAATACTTTCAAGGACTTAAAGGAATAGAGTCATAATAAACGGGATATCAGCATATAAATGAAAACCTTTTTTTAAAAAAGACGTATTTCAAGAACTAAGAAGTATAGAATTTGAATTTAAAAATTCACAATACGGGCTTATCAGTAGATTGGACACTGCAAAAACAACAAAAAGTTAACTTGATGATATAAAAGTATTCAGTCTAAAGCTCAGGTAAAAAATTAATCGAGTCTTGGTACATAGCAATATGCAGTGGTCTTACATACATATAATTGGAGCCCCAGAAGGGGAGCAGAAGCATAATTGCACAGAAAAAAATATTTAAGACAATAATGGCTGAAAATATCTCAAATTATCATAAAAGAAATGGACAAATCTAGGAAACTCAGTGAATGCCAAATAGTCTAATTACAGAGAAAATCACACCTAGACACATTATGGTCAAACTGCAAATAACCAAGTATTGGGAAAGAAAAGTTTTGCAGGCAGTCCGAGAAACATAATACATTACACATGGACAAAAATAATAAAGTGATAGCTGACTTCTCATCAAAAAGAAGAAGTTAACATCATCAGAGGGCTTAAAGTGCTGATGGACAAAAACTGCCAATCCAGAATCCTATATCTAAAGAATCCTTCAAAACTGAAGGCAGAATAGACATTTTCAGATAAATAAAAACAGAAAATTCTACACCAATAGACCTCCACTGTAAGCAATGCTAAAAAAAATTCTTCAGGATGAAAGACGATGACATACCAGATGGAAACTGAAATCTGTAATGTTTTAGTTATTCTTTTGATGTAATATATTTAGTAATTTAAAATAATAATTATTTATTATTTCTACCTATTCTATAGCTTTGCTTACCTGGATGATTCTCCTGCTCTGGATATTATTGGCTGGGGTCACTCAGGTGGCTGCATTCAGCTGGATGCTTAGCCAGGGCTGGAACTTCCAAACTAGCTTCATTCACATGTCTGGTAGTTCAGCTGTGTGGCTGAAATGGTTGGGATGGTTGGCTGAAATGTTTTTCATTCTTTAGTAATCTACCCTAAACTTACTTATTTGTTGGCCAGCTTTCTAGAGGATAAAAGTAAAGGTGTATGGCTTCTTAGGGGCTAGGCCTAGAATTGGTATGACATCATTTTCACCATGTTTTGTTCATCAAAGTTAAAAGACCAGCCCAGATTCAAGGGGTGGGAACACAGACTTTATTTCTTATTTCTTTTTTTTTTTTTTGAGACAGAGTCTCGCTCTGTCACCCAGGCTGGAGTGCAATGGTGCAATCTTGGCTCCCTGCAACCTCCGCTTCTCAAGTTCAAGTGATTCTCCTGCCTCAGCCTCCTGAGTAGCTGGGATTACAGGTATGTGCCACCACGCCCAGCTAAATTTTTTTTTTTTTTTTTTTTTTGTATTTTCAGTAGAGACAGGGTTTCACCATGTTGTTCAGGTTGGTCTTGAACTCCTGACCTTGTGATCCACCTGCCTTGACCTCCCAAATTGCTGGGATTACAGACGTGAGCCACCATGCCCAGCTGATTCTATTTCTTAAAGGGAGAAGCAACATGCACATACAAGAATGTGAATACTTTTTGACAGCTATTCTTAAAGATAATTCACCACAAACAGGAAGGAATGAAAAGAACTGGAAATAGCAAAATGTAGGTAAATACACAAAAGGTAATATATACTTTTCTTCTCTTAATTTCTTTGCGATACATATGACTAAGGCAAAAATAACAATGTGCATAGATATGATATATATGACAACAAAGCACAAAGGACTTGGGGAGGTGGTAAGTAGAACTTTACTATTGCAAGGCTCTTTTATTTTACATGAAGTATCATAATTTTAACTCTAAGGCTGTGATAAGTTAAGAATGTATATCATAATTCTCAGAAACACTGTAAAGCAATAATGCAAAAAGATACAGTTAAAGCCAACAGAGGAATTAAGATGAAATATAAAAACATTAATTAACCCAAAAGAAAGCAGGAAGTAAAGAACAAAGGAACACAAAACTGAATGGGACAAATCGAAAACAAATAGCAAAATGATAGACAAACTCAACTATCTGTTGTCTATAAGAGAAGCACATTAAATTAAAAAACACAGGTTGAAAGTAAAAACATGGATAAAAATATACCAGTAAACAGTAAGCTAGGAAGGCTGCAGTGGCTATACTAATATCGGATGAATTAGACTTCAAGATAAGGAGTATTATCAGCAATAAAGACATTTCATAATGATAAAATGGTCAATTCATCAGGAAGACACACGAACCATAAATGTTTATATGCCCAATAACAGAGCTTCAAAAATGCAAAAGAAAAGCTGACAAAACTAAAGTAAGTGGCAAATTCACAGCCATAGTTTAAGTTTTACACTCCTGTATCAATAATTAATAGCAACACTACACATAAAACAATCAATACAATATAGAAGATCTGAAGACAACTATTAACCACCTTAATCACGTTGACATTGATGGACACAATGCTCAATAACTACAGAATACATATTCTTGTCTAGTGCTCACAGAACATTCACCAAGATAGACTATATTCTGGGCACAGTAAGTCTCAAAAAAATTTTAAAGTATCAAAATTTCAGAGTTTGTTTTCTAACCATGGCAGAAATAAACTGGTAATTTCCAATAAGACTAGTCATAAAAAAGATAGAAGATGCAAATGATCAATGTTTGTGTTTCATTTATCTATTCCTATGTAAGAAATCACTGCAAACTTCAGTGGCTTAAAATAACAACCATTTTATTGCTCACAGTGTTGTGAGTCAGGAATTTGTGTAGGACTCACTGAGAACAGCTCATGTCTGCTCCATGTGTTGTCAACTGGTCTCACTCATGTAGTTAGATTCAGCAAGTGCCTGATTTAGGATACACAGTCTGAGATGAATTTCTTCACGTGTCCGAAACCAAGATGCTGACTGTTGGTTCCATGTGGCCTCTCTTTCCATGTGGTCTTTCATACTGCAAGAGCTCTTTCTTCACGTGGCCACTGTCTCCAGCAGGATAGACTGGTCTTCTTTTTGTAGCTGCTCAGAGTACTGAAACATGAAAAGAAAAAAAAAAGAAAAAGGAAGAAAAACCTGTGTCTTTGAGGATACAGTCCCTGGGGTGGAATTCTAGCCCATGTATTTTGGTTTTCTCTATATTATTATCTGAGATGTTTTTATTTTTATGCTTTCATGCCACATTCCTTTTTTATTCTCGTTAGCTGTGATATAGGATAGTCTATTTATGATGAGGTCTCTTCAACTGTTTGGCTATGTGAAGTTTGTTCTTTAATAGATTGCACAGGAAGCGTTCATGGAAATAATATTCCTTAAATGACAGTTTGCAACTTTAAAAACAACATAATTCATCACCATATTAAGTTGCTCTGTAGCACAAAGTAATTGTAAGAACATGTTTTTCTTAGGACATGTTTTCTTATAGATTGAAATCTAGAAAAGTCTTTGCATGCTTTATGTTTTCATATTTGTCATGCCTTTTTTTTTTTTTTTTTTGAGACATGGTCTTGCTATGTTGCCCAGGATGGAATTGAACTTTTGAGCTCAGCGATCTTCCTGCCTCAGCCTCTGGAGTAGCTGGGACTACAGATGCCTGCCACGGCAACCTTCCCTCCTTCCTTCTTGTTTATGCTATTGGATGTGATCTAGTTGATTTTTTTTATCTCTTCTCTCCAACACATTTTCTGTCAGAATTGCAGCATGGGAAAGAAAAAGCATAGGTAGGGCACGTTTCCTACTGCTCCTTAGAGCTGTTTGAGAACTTCGAGGAAAATCTGAAAGCTCTTCCTCATTTTCGGGAGAACATAAACTTTTTTCCATGTAAAATCATTTCTGGGCTGGTTTTGGTGAATTTACACCTCAAGCCAATGGGAGAAAAGTAGCCAGACTAAGCCTCTAGACAAGAAAGTAATGATTATGTATGTTATTTTGTGTGTGGTCTCCTGGACTACGCATAATTTATGTTAGCCCTGCCTGTAGAGTTAGAGCACAAGCTTGAGTGAGGACTCAAGAACTAATGACAGAGAGAGCAGCAGAAGGAACTTTTCTTGCAAGTCCTTAACTACTGCATATTGTTTTATGCAGAAGACAACATAGAATCAACTATTTGTAGCATTTTAAGGAATCCATGTACAAAATTTTTTTTGACAGGGTCTCATTCTGTCGCCCAGGCTGGAGTGCAGTAGGGTGATCACAGCTCACTGCAGCCTCGACCTCCCTGGGCTCAGGTGATCCTCCCACCTCATCCTCCCGAGTAGCTGGGACTAGAGGCATGCATCATCACCCCAGCTTATTTTTTTTTATTTTTATTTTGTAGGGACGGGGTTTCATCATGTTGACTAGGCTGGTTTCGAACTCCTGAGCTCAAACTTTCCGCCTGCCTCGGCCTCCCAAAGGGCTGGGATTACAGGCATGAGCCACCGCGCCCGGCCTCAAACTCTTACCAGACCCTTTAATTTCCTCTCCGATACTCCGATTCTACTCAAACTGTTCACCTACACAGAGGAAACTCAGTGATTCCTGGGGGAGCCTATGCTATATTTGTGCATCCTCATTTGTGGACAAAATTCTTTCTTGCTGTGACTTGAAAGCAGCCTCCCTTTACCTTTCACTTATTAGTCCTAGTTCTGTTCTCTGCTGCTAAGAAAAAGGGTCTGATCCTTCTTTCACTGATCAGCCCTCCAAATATTGGAGAAGCACACTGCGTTTCCATGGGCCTGCAGTCCTTTTCCGGGATCATCTTCCCTAGAACCCCTCAACTGTCTCTCATTTCACACGGTTTAACCATCTTACCTTTAACCCATATTTCATTTGTTTGTCTCAATGTCCCTCATGAAAGTTGACCCAGACGGGTCCGCAGAACAACTTTTGCTGAGAAGGCAAAGGAAATTCTCGCCCAAATTGTGGAGAAGGCAGTCGAACCAATTAAACCTAAAGCTAAAACTGTAATAGAAAAGAACTTTCAAGCTCGCAATGAAAAGGCTATGCATGGATTTATCTCATCACAGCCACTAGCCACACCTCCACTCGTGCAGTGCGCCTGCGAGCCGAGCAGAAACCAATGGCCCATCGTAGTGAATTTCTCGGGTAAAGTGACATTCTCCGCTTTTGAATGCTCCCTTCGCCCAGCCGCCAACCCCTCGCCCCAATTTCCATTTTAAATGAAAGTCTCCCACTTTCTAGCTGAGACAGACAAAAATAAAACTCGGGCAAAACCAATCGCAGAGAGGCAGCTCACTGTCACTTCCTGGGTCACTTCCAGAAGTCACTTCCGGGGTCGAGGCGAGGCCAACGATACGCCTGCTGCAGCAGGAGGAGTTACGAGCCGGGCCGCGCGCTGCCTAAATACCTAAACCAGGTTTAGCGCCTGCTCATATAAAGCTCTCCTAACTCGTCTTCCGGTGGGAATTTCTTCACGTGGGCCGGAGTCGGAGACTGAGTTTAGCTTTACTGAGGAGCTCTAAATTTAGGCGGGTAAGTGCCGCAGATATCGCCCGTGGTTCCTGCGTTTAAATGGAACGGGAAGGGGTGTGTCAGGATTCATCCATGTTCTCCTGATATTTCCTCCTAATACCTGAAACCCTTGGGGTCTGAAAACGAAAGAAGGGGATAGAGAAGCTTTGGTTGCCGTGGCAACTGCGGGTCACCAATTTGGGTTTTTGAGGATTTGGAAAGGGAGGATTTGTGTAACTACTCCTGAAAACACGTGATGGGTCGGATTCAAATTCAGTTGTTACTTATAATTCATACTCCTAGCCACATGCTTTGAATTTAGAAGGTTTACTCTGGGTATAATGCAGAGATGCAAAATCTGAGCCAGGGTAATTGTTTAGAAAGCTGATGCGGTAATCTAGGCACTGTTTGAAGGGGTCTTGAACTAGAGTAGTGCTGTAGGATTGAAGAGGGGAAATAGGGGAAATTTGGAGGTAGTATCAGGGGCACTAATACTCGATTTCATATGGGTAATGAGGAAGGGGCCCTGAGCATCTTTAGGAGTAAGTCTAAACTCACCTTGGCTTATGATGATTTTTCTAGGTTCGTTTCTCACCTTCCGCACCCCTCCTCCACACGCACCTCGAATTCTAGTCATGCCAAGTAGTTTGGTGTTCTATTTCCTAGACTATCGTCCTCACCATTTTTTGTGAT
This sequence comes from Homo sapiens, assembly GCF_000001405.40. Classification (NCBI taxonomy): domain Eukaryota; kingdom Metazoa; phylum Chordata; class Mammalia; order Primates; family Hominidae; genus Homo; species Homo sapiens. The sequence continues at coordinate 222,589,054 of NC_000001.11, read as the reverse complement.
GTTAGGCAGGTTCCATCATTTCACTAAGCCCCTCAGTTTTTTCAACCTTCACATGGAAGAAAGTAATAGTACCCACCTCAGGATTGCTGTGGGGATTAAATTAGATAATTTATACTTCTAGTGCATAGTAAGGGCCTAATAAATATTAGCTGCTACTTCTATTCTTACTGTACTTTTCATATTGTTTTGTTATTATACGTTTTGCTGTTTCTTCGTCTAGACTTGAGATTTTTTAAATTAGAGGGGCAGTATCTTATTTATCTTTACATGGACTTGAAACATTAGTGGTTCGGTCTTTAATGGATCATTCATTTTGGCTGTTGCTGACATAGTTAAATTCATTTTTTACTTTAAAAGAGCTGACAGGTATAATGCATTTTGCTAATCAAATTATATTTATTAGATAAAAAGATAGCCGTTTTTCTGTACAACTCAGAAGACTGTGGATTAAGATGTACAGAAAGTAACTGATATCTCATCTTGTAATAGGTATGAGTGATTTCAGTGAAGAATTAAAAGGGCCTGTGACAGATGATGAAGAAGTGGAAACATCTGTGCTCAGTGGTGCAGGAATGCATTTTCCTTGGCTTCAAACATACGTAGAAACTGTGGGTAAGTAAAATAATAACATTGAGCCATTTTAACTTTAAGGAGGTGGTAAGATTCAATAGGGATACAAAATGAATAACCAGACTGGTTTAATTTTCAAGAGGAATATGTGGAGGGTTTTTTGGCTAAAAGCCAAAAGAAATCTTTTTTCTTTTAGAATTCTTTGCCCTTGGATTAATAATAGATAGTCTGTATTATGCTAGATACACATTTTTTCCAGTAATACTTACTGAGCACTTTTATCTCTGGCATTGATTAAATATTGGGGAGTCATAGGTGAAGATATGGTCTCTGCCATTGAGGAAAACATGCCTAGGAAGTGTTCAAGAAGTTGCTGTTGAATTGCATTGAAATTATTTCGAATAGAATTGATCGTGTAATAGATTTTTTTTTTTTTTGAGACAGAGTCTTGCTCTGTTGCCCACGCTGGAGTGCAGTGGCTAGATCTTGGCTCACTGCAACCTCTGTCTCCCAGGTTCAAGTGATTCTACTCAGCCTCCCGAGTAACTGAGATTACAGGTACCAGCCACCACGCCTGGCTAGTTTTTGTATTTTTAATAGAGACAGGGTTTCACCATGTTGGGCAGGCTGTTCTTGAACTCTTGACCTCAAGTGACCTGCCCACCTCAGCCTCCCAAAGTGGTGGGATTACAGGCATGAGCCACTGCACCCGGCCTAGATAAAAGAGCATTTTCCCCCATTTTTATCTAATGTAAATGCAAGCATGATTTTCTATGGGATAAAATTTCCCCCATTTTTATCTAATATAAATGCAAGTATGTTTTTCTATGGGATAAATTCCCTATAAGAATATATTTAATATAAGTATAAATAAAAGAAGCTATTATCTGTATGCTGGCATATTGAGTGGTATAGTCCTGGGATTACATTTGAACCAGCATTTTACTTACTGCCCTTAAATATGTGTTTTTTTGCCCAGCCTTTTCTCCCCTTGACAGAGATTCCTTGGCTCCTAAAATTTCGCTTCCATTTTTTTCTTTTGATCTAAGTATCATCCCATTTAATGATCTCAGTAAATTCTCAATAAATTTTTATGCTAGGCAGTTTAGGTAGGATGAAACTGAATCTCAAAGACATTAAACTCTTAAGTGGTATCAGGAGTCAAATCCAGGTTTGTCTGATCTCAAAGCTTACACTTTTAACGACTGAGATGCATTTTTAAAAATGAGACAATATATGTAAAGTACCTAGCATAGTATCTCATGCATAATGAGTGTTGAAAAATAATAGTGCCTTTCCTCTCCTCATTTTATTTTTGCTAGATTAATGCACATGGCTTAAGGCAGATTTGAATGAATGATACTTCAGAGGTAGTGCTACCGCATCCCTGGTAGGGAACAAACTAGTAATTTAAATTTCCTATAGTTAAGTCATACTTGGGTATGTTTCTGTTACCAGTGTTCTATAGAAAGTCTGAGTCAGTCTGCAAGCAGATAGGTTTAAGACCAAAGACCAAAATTTACATGCTTAGGAATATTTTATATGTCATGGATAGCCTGTTAAACCGAAAATACTTTTGGTCTGCAATGAGAAAATACTTGCAATTAATATTGACATTGTGCTGGTAATTAACCATAATAGGAAAACAAAATTGCCTAACAATTGTTCTATTTATTTTTTATGCTGGTAGATATCTTTTGGCTTTTTGAAGGGCATGCCCAGCAACCCCCTTAGAATAAAAACTTTGAAGACAGGGCCAGTCTGGATTGAAGCTGTATGATGAGTACCTGCGATAGTGCTTGGGACACAGTGGTGCCCAAAAAATACTTGTTGACAGATTGATAAGTTTCCAGATTCTTTGAGTAGCATATTAGAAGTTAGGTTGATGACACTAGTTCTTTATTGTACATCTCTATTCCATGTAAAAATGTGTTTTCCTTGACAATTTTTTTTTCTTAAAGTCATCAGGATCAAGTAAGACTATCTTTTGCTCATTAAAGAATGAAATGAGAGGAGAACTTTTCCTGAGGTAGCTAGGCTAGGTTGGAAGACAAAAGTATTTTCCAAACATTTAGGTATAGTTATCTAAAGTCAATTTATAATCTCAGTTGTGAAAGCTTGAGCGATAGAAGGGAGCTTAGCCTGAGAACAGTTCTCTCCTTTAGGTAAATAAGGGATGTTTTAAGGACGAGGTGTTTTGTCAGTTTCCTAGGCTAGCTGGCAGGTATTGCCACTGATGCCGAGCAGCTTTGGTGTAGATCTTATAAAATGCAGCTTCTGATTGAGAGAGCTGGGCATAGTACTCTGTAGTTGTAATGAGATTCCAGGTGATACTTCTGCTGCATGCCAGGACCACATTGAGTAGCAAGGGCAGGTCCCCAGGTGATTTGTATGTACATTCAAAAGTCTGAGAACACTAGTCTAGCACAGTAGTCTTCAAACTTTTCACTTTTGTATCCCCTAGTTTTTTCTGAAAAATTGAGTACTACCTTGCATAGTTTTAAGGAATCATCTGAAAAAATTTTATTGTATGTTTAATATTTGCAAGAGATAAAATTTCCAGCATGTTGGTATTTTTAAATGACTATATATTACTTTATATGTGATGGAGTCCAAATAGCACAGGAATGGCATAGGGTTTTAATACCTTGCGTTATTCATTTTAAAAAAAATTATGAACAAGCTTTTAATAGATGGACATTTTATGTTCCTCTTTGTTGTACTTCTTGCAATAAAAGTATGTATCAATATTTATACTTTTTTTGTTTATATCCTGTAAGTTTTAAGAATTAAAACTTTTTCTAGGTTGAGACATTGCTATCATTAATAGTTGTACACAGCTGATCAATATAACGTGTATTAAACGTGTTGTTGGCCAGGTGTGGTGGCTCATGCTCATAATCCCAGCACTTTGGGAGGCCAAAAGGAAGGATCACTTGAACCCAGGAGGTCTAGGCTATGGTGAGCTGTGATTGTGCTAGTGCGGTCCAGCCTGGGTGACAGAGCAAGACTCTTTTTTTTTTTTTTTTAATAAAGTTATCTAAAACTTTTCCCCAATTTTTTATGTATTTGTGGGTGACTTTTATGTATTTCTAGAATGAGAAAACATTTAGCATTGATTCTGCTATTTTTTTTAATTGACATAAATTCTGAGAAACCTTAGTCACATAAGTAAGTAGATGGCAGTGAATGGAGTTTAATTATAGCCGTGTATCAGGTCTGTGAATTTTTTCTAAATTATTGATGAAAAATTGCATAATGATTTATTGTAAAAAATTACGTTGTTCTGCAGTTTTGATGAGCAAAGAATTGGGAATTGCCTAACTTGCAAAAGGAGATGTTAGAGTTATTTACTTTTTCAACACCTGTGTTTTCACCTTCAGATAGTGTGTAATGATTTTGATTGTGAAGCTTTGACTATGTAGGCACAGCTGTCTAGGAGATTAACTTGTGGAAAGAGTATGTAAGGAAATCAAATATCTGCAAGTTAATTGTTTTAAAAGTATCTTTGTAAAGTACCTGTTGGTCTTTGTGTACTTACTGGGGTACAATTACCCAGCTGGACTAGAGGGGTCTCATAGTTACGTGGGAAGATAAGAAGATGTAGCAATGTAACTAGTCATTCATATAATAGCACTGTATCTAAGCCCAAATGTTCTTAACATTGGGATTGCCAATACTTTAGAGATATAAATGCTAATTTTTGCAACTGTTTTAATCTCATTTGTATATAATATCATTGAGTTACTAGGAATTTGGTCCTTAAAAAATAAAAGCCCACTTGGGGTTTGCAGAACATGGGTAGGTAATAAAGACCATGTTTGCCTAGAATGACCCTGACATTTTACCCATTCTAAATACCTGGGACTGTGCTTTTGGGGGCCTGTTTGAGAGATTCTCCGCAAATTATTTGGTACAAGGATGAAAGGATGATTGAATCAGATTTAAAGGATCTGGTGACTCTAGTAGCCCCAAAACATCAAATTAGAAATGTTTTTATCTGCTAAAAATAATTAATATAATGTAGAAGGGTTTGTTTCAAGTGAAGCTGGCTTTGGTACTGGGAATGGGCTGGGTCAAGTAATGCCTACTGTTTACTTGTTAAAACTTCTTATCAGAAGTAAGTTTTTTGAATAGTTGAACTGGAGCCACTTGGATAAAAACTCTCTTCTTTTTCGTTTTTATAGCCATTGGAGGGAAAAGGAGGAAGGATTTTGCTCAGACAACAAGTGCTTGTTTAAGTTTTATCCAAGAAGCTCTGCTGAAGCACCAATGGCAGCAAGCTGCAGAATACATGTACAGTTATTTTCAGACCTTGGAAGATTCAGATAGCTACAAAAGGCAGGCTGCACCTGAGGTAAATAAAATTTGAGTTTGCTGGAAGAAATGATAGATTCCCAGAAGTTTATGCCTACAGCTTCACCTACAGTAGCTTTTACAGAATCTCAGTGATTTTGCTAAAAGCTACTAAAACTACTTTTGAGTGGAGAGTTTGTATTGGGACCTTTTTTGCACACTTCTTTTTACCTCTTATTTTAAAGGGGACTAAAATGTTCATTCCAATAATTCTTCCTTTTCCCCCCTCTTTATGGATGTTTCCCATCATCATGTAAAAATTTTGTTATTCTATCTTTTTTTTTTTTTTTTGAGACGGAGTCTTGCTCTGTCGCCAGGCTGGAGTGAAGTAGCGCGATCTCGGCTCACTGCAATCTCTTACCTCCTGGGTTCAAGTGATTCCCCTGCCTCAGCCTCCTGAGTAGCTGGGACTACAGGCATGTACCACCACGCCCGGCTAATTTTTTGTATTTTGGTAGAGACGGGGTTTCACCAGGTTGGCCAGGACGGTCTCAATCTCTTGACCTCGTGATCCGCCTGCCTCGGCCTCCCAAAGTGCTGGGATTACAGGTGTGAGCCACCATGCCCAGCCTATTCTATCTTAAAATCATCTCTTGACCCAAACTTCCCCCATAGACTATACTTCATTGTTTTACTCTCTTTCAGCAAAACTTCTTGAAAGAGTTGTTCTCTTTTTCCAACTAGAGTGATCCTTTTTTTTTTCGTTTTATCAAGACGTTTTTTATACGCCATCACCCACTTAAATTGTACAATTCAATGTATTTTCATACATTTACAGAGTTGTGCAACCAACCATTACCACACTCTAAATTTAGAACCTTTTTTTTCTCCCATGAAACCAAAACCCTGTACCCACTTGCAGTCCTTCCCCATTCCTCCTCACAGCTGCCGGACACTGGCAGCCACTAATCTATTACTTTCTTTTTCTTTTTTTGTTTTCTTTTGAAACGGAGTCTTGCTCTGTTGCCCAGGCTGGAGTGCAGTGGCATGATCTCTGCTCACTGCAACCTCCAGCTCCTGTGTTCAAGTGATTCTTGTACCTCAGCCTCTTGGGTGGCTGGGATTGCAGGCATGCACCACCACACCTATCTAGTTTTTTGTATTTTTAGTGGAGACTGGGTTTCACTCTGTTGGCCAGGCAGGTCTTGAACTCCTGGCCTCAAGTGATCTGTCCACCTCGGCCTCCCCAAAGTGCTGGTATTGCAAGCGTGAGCCACTATGGCCAGCCTAATCTATTTTCTATTCTGGACATTTCATATAAGTGGTTTTGTACAATATGTGGCCTTTTGTAAATGATTTCTTTCACTTGGCATAATGTTTTCATGGTTTATCCATGTTGTAGCATGTATAAGTACTTCATTACTTTTATTGCCAAATAATCTGTCATATGGAAATACCATGTTTTATTTGTCCATTTATCAGTTGTTAGACACTTAGGTTGTTTTTGCTTTTCGGTTATTGGAAATAATGCTTCTGCGAACATTTGTGTACAGGTTTTTGTGTGGACGTTTGTTTTAATTTCTCCTGGGTCTACACCTGGGAGTGGAATTGCTGGTCATATGGTAACACTATGTTTAGCCTCTTGAGGAACTGCCAGACTGTTTTCCAAAGTGGCCATACCATTTATATTCTCACCAGCAATATCTGAGGCTTCTAATTTCTCTAATCCTTGCCAATATTTTGTTATTGTCCTGTCTTACTGATAATAGTCATCCTTGTGGTTGTGAAGTGGCATCATCCTGGTTATGATTTGCATTTCTCTAATGACTAATGATTCAGAGTGAGCTTTTTAAAACATATCAGATCATGTCACTCCTCTGCTGAAAACACTGTAATAGCTTTCCATTTCATTCAGTAAAAGCCAAAGTCATAATTGCCTATAAATTCCTATGTGATGTGCTCACTTCCTTTCCTTGTTTGACCTCTCTGACTTCATCTCCTGAAACAGGTGGAGCATTCCGAATTCAAAAATGTGAAAACCAGAATGCTTCAAAGCTTTTTCATTACTGACATGAGATAGTGACACCTTTGCTTTCTAATGGTTCAATGTATACAAATTTTGTTTCATGCACAAAATTTTAAGAATATTATATAAAATTACCTTCAGGCTATATGTATAGGTGTATATGAAACATAAGTGAATTTCATGTTTAGCCTTTGGTCCTATCCCCAGTCTCATTATGTATATACAAATATTTAAAAAGCGGAAACAATTTCAAGTCTGAAACATTTCTGGTCCCAACGATTTCAGATAAGGGATACTCAACCTGTATTATCCTGCTTGTTTTTTCTTTTCCATCCTCACTGGTCTCCTTGTTCTTACTTGAATGGGCCAGGCATATTCCTGACTGATTGCCTTTGCCTTAACCAGTTCTTGGAAAGCTCTTTCTTCAGCTATCACTGCAGCTACCCTCCTTCAAGGCCCCTTTTCATTGAGGCCTACTTTGACTATTTAAAATTGCAATTGCCTTACTCCAACTGCAACCTGCACTTTCTGAATGGCACTCCTGATCTCCTTGTCCTGCTGCATTCTTTTCCTCTAACAGTTGACAATTTAATTATATTTCTTGGTTATTGTTTGTCTCTCTACATAGAATGTAAATTTCACAGGGCAGGGTTAAAACAGTGCCTGGCATATACTGCTAAATTTCTTCAGTAAAAGACAGTTTACCCACAAATAACTTGACATGAGTGTCTCATAGGTTTTACTAACACAGTCACCATTGCATCAATTAGTTATCTTCTAGAGCAAAAAAAATAAAAAAGAGAAGCTGAAAAAAAAGTTTAACCATTCATTGAAAATTTAATTTATGGACTTAAGTTACATACTCCTGTAAAACATTGAACATGTTACAGCCTCTTGTTGTCCAGATTTTGTTTTGTAAAATGAAGGAATTGGATCAGTGGTTTTTGAGCACTTCTTTGGCTCTCTTTGGATCACCTAGGGCTTTCATTCAAAGTATAAATTCCTTTACTCCACCCCTGTCTATTGAGTCAGAGTATCTTTTATTTGTATTTTTTTATTTTTTGAGATGGAGTCTCACTCACTTTGTCACCCAGGCTGGAGTGCAGTGGCACGATCTTGGCTCGCTGCAAGCTCCGCCTCCCGCCACGACGCCTGGCTAATTTTTTGTATTTTTAGTAGAGACGGGGTTTCACCGTGTTAGCCAGGATGGTCTCACTCTCCTGACCTCGTGATCCACCCGCCTCGGCCTCCCAAAATCCTGGGATTACAGGTGTGAGCCACCGCGCCTGGCCCAGAATACCTATTTTTAACTGGTGTCCCATGTAATTACTGTGTACACTGGTGGTGAGAATAGCTATCATAATCTCAAAGTTTTCTTTTTTTTTTTTTTCCTGCTTTTCTTCCCCCCCTGCATTTACCCATCCCTGGTGGTAGGTGATCCAAGACCCAGGTTTTCTTTAAGCTCCCAAATACTACAGTGTGATATTCTACAAATGAAATCTTGATATCTCTGAGTTGGGAAGATGAGGATCCTTATATCAAATGATAATATGTGTATCATATATAACTATAGCAGTGATAGTGTGTGTATCCACATATAACCAATATGTATGTTCATAGAAATAATTGATTTACAGTTCAGTTTAATTTACTTTGAAGTTGGTATTATTGATTACTTTAAATTGAGGTTAGCGAAATAGAGATTTGCTCTCATGAAAAAAGAGCTCCAAGTTCTGCCGCCAAAGTTTTGGTGATCTGAGGATAAAATATTTTTTTATTAAGATTTGTCCATAGCTAATCAAAATTCTTAAATTGGCATTCTAAATATAGAATAAATGTAGTCAATAGTTGTAGAATTTGATGGGCTCTCAGGAAATGTGTAGTTTGTTGCCCTCATTTTGCAGATGATGAAGAAGAGGCTGAGACCAATGAAGAAGCCAATATTATTAGAACCCAAATTTTCTGACTTTAATATTCTTCCTTCCATACCAATTAAACATTTTATATTAAATATGTATCTTAACTGTCTACTTTCTTTAAACTACTAAATTAATAATGATGCTATTATACTATCTGATATTTTAATAGAAATTTGAAAGGTTAAAACTATTCTATCACATAAGGAAGTAGTATTAATTTTACATGGCAAAGTAGAGTAAAATGTTGACGGTAGTGGTCTCTGGAAAAGGAATCACAGGTTATTAATGTTGTAATCAGGAAAACAATATCTTAGACAGAAATTGGTTAAGGCAAAAATTTTACATTTTGGCAGTAATTTCTGCTTTGACAGATTATTTGGAAGCTCGGAAGTGAAATTCTATTTTATCATCCCAAAAGCAACATGGAGAGTTTCAATACTTTTGCTAACCGGATGAAAAATATTGGCGTCATGAATTATTTAAAGGTGAGAATATGGGCTTTGTGAATTTACACTTGCAGTATTCTTTTTTTTTTCTAATTGCTTGTGTCAGTGATAAGGTAGTTAACCTAAAAAATGTGGGACAAGGATAAGACATTCTGGATAAATAAGAGAAACTGAAAGAAAAGAGCGTTATGAGAACCATTTACTTCTTGATTTTCAGGCGCCTCCTGTGTTCTCTGACTAAAAATTCCTTTTCTTTGTATATTTCTTCTGGCTGCCAAAACCAGTTATTCAGAGATTGCAGTGGTATGATGATGGGCCAGATTCTAAAATGTTTGCTGAAGTCACTTGAGCTTAGAGTTGGTGTTTAGAAAAGGAAAGAGCTAAACAAGTTGGGAATTTAAATACGTGAAAATATTTTAATACTTCTAATGTTTAGGTGGAATCTTCACCTCCAAGTTCATATATCCTTTTGTAAAAGTCTTATCCAAAAAGATTGAGACATTTTCAAAATATTGTATCTCCCTCTCTATGTTTTTGTCTCAAAGAGCACTTTTTCAATACAGGTTTGTAAATGCTTTGCTTTAAAAAAATGTTTTGAGTGTCTATTTGTGTGCCAGATGCTCTTACGATTTTGTTCTCTGGTAGACCAGGTATACTGTGAGTGGAAATTAAATGGGGGCAGTTTACGGTTCTACTTAAGAAAAAGCTTTCTAACTAAACAATTGGAAATGGGAATGGCCTACCCTGATGTGTGCTCTGCGTCTCTTTTTTCAGGTCTAAACTGGATAGCCATTTAATTAGGGAGGGAGTGTGAAGAGTAAACTGTTGGTTAGGTCCCTTTTGGCTCATAGAATCTACTCAGTTGAAGTAAAGAAACTGAAAGGGAACCTCATTTCTCAATAAGAGTCTGAGAGTGATAATTAGGATAGATAATACAATTTTTTTTGTTGTTAATAATTTTAAAAACACTTATTGCCGCTTACCAGGCAATATGCTAGACATGGTTCTTATAGTAGAGGAAGATCATGTAAATGGAATGAAGTGTTATGGGTACCATAGTAGAAATGTAACAAATGGTGAGAAGATAAAGGAGAAAATGGCCAGTTCTCTGGAACTAGAGAGGGTTGGGATTTAATGGGTAGGGGAATCAGGAAAAGAATGAAAGTGATACTTGAGATAAGTTTGCAAAAGCAATTGGCCATTCACTAGGCAGATTAGGGGAAAGGGCAGCCCTGCATGGCGGGGGTTATAAAGAGTTTAAAAGCCCTACATCCAATAATTTAGTTACTCTAAAAATCACTTGGGTAGAAGTTGGGGGAAGTAGGCTGGGCCCTGTGTGCCATACCCAGGGAACTTGGATTTTAATTCTGTAGTCAGTGGGAGCCATTGAAGGAGTTTATGCAAATGACTAACAAGATGAAATTTCTTTGGTAGCCACTTGAAAGATGGATTGTAGGGAGGCAGGAATGGAGAGGCCAGTTGACAACTTATTGCAGTACTTTGGCTCTACCCATATGATTAATTGTAGTTCTCATTATTCTCCTCTTTAATGTCTTCCCTTTTTGTAATACTCATTCTTTGTATAATTTTTCTTCCTGCTTCTCCTGTATCAGGGATACACTTTCCTCTCCATCTGAACTGAAGCCATTCTTCAGCATCCCTTATTAAGATATTTTCTCTAAGCTTATATAACATGTATAAAATAGTAATATTTGTTGAATGTCTGCTATGAGCCAAACTATTAGGTGATTTGCAAGTATTATCTCATTTAATCTTGAAAACACCCTTCTGAAGGGGCAGTAATGTTCCGTAAAACAAATGAGACTCACAAAGAGTGAATAATTTACCCAGGTTTATTTAGTTTTTAAGTGGTGTATGAACCAAGACACTCATCTTCAAAACCTCTTTTTTCCCCACTATATCACACTGTCTTTTGTTTGTAAGTTTACATAATTTAGCTCATATTTACATAGTGTTAATTGTTTCCTATGTCTTACTTCTTTGCCAGATTGTACCCAACATCAAAATTTTCCATGTCAAGTTATTTGTATCCTACCAAGGTCTTTGCCCAGCATGTATTATATATTTACTGAGCTTTTTGACTAATGGTTATCTAATGGCTTAAATGGCGGTGTACCCTTATTATTTTTGCAGATCTCCTTACAACATGCATTATACCTTCTGCATCATGGAATGCTTAAAGATGCTAAGAGAAATCTGAGTGAGGCAGAGACATGGAGACATGGTGAAAATACGTCTTCCCGGGAAATATTAATCAACCTTATTCAGGCCTATAAAGGGCTTTTACAGTATTATACCTGGTCTGAAAAGAAGATGGAATTGTCAAAGCTTGGTAAGTGAATACAGGTAAACTTTTTCTTATGATGAGACTGAGGGGCAGAGGGATCTTAAGGAGTAATCTAGTAATTTCCCTATTGACTTCATCCAGATATTATGGAGAACAGACTTTTTATGGATTTAAAATTCTTGATCCTTTATAATATTTCTGATATATAAAAAGCTTCAATCATAAATTAGATGGTTCATAATTAAGTTCATGATCATTTTAGGTTCATTGCTGTTTTGAATGTGATTTAGTCCAGGATAAACACAGCCAGACACAGCAGTGGAGACAGGTTTGATTCAGTAACTACTGACAGGAGGAAGAGCTAAACTCCATTCCAATTTCTATGGAGGTGACTTGGGGTTGTAAAGGGTGGGGGTGGGGAGCTTAAAAAGCAGAAGGCAGAACCACCAGTAAATTCTTCTGGAGTTTTCCCAGGCAAACATTTCAAGAGGGGCTGGGGTCATCCTGGGGATGTGGCCTTGAGCTGTTAGAAACTATGTTAGTGTTCTAGAAACTATGTTCAAGTATTTATTGGCCAAGTTTGAGGCCTAGTCCAGAAGAGAGCTCAGAGGAGCCTGGCTGGAGTTTGGTCAAGAAGAAAGTCTTTGCCAATTTCTAAGAAAGGCTACAGATTTTCTTCAGCAGTCATTATTACATATAATAAACATTTCTTCCTGTGTGCCTAGAATGGAGTTTAATTTACTTTGTAATGTTATTTCTCAGAATAATATGTTTAAAGAATAGGTCAAGATGGTCATTTCATTTTTGTGTAAAGGTTATAATGGACAATTTTCTTGATTTATTGACTATACCAGAAGTTGACCATTCAGTTCTCAAACTGATTCCCCTTCTCTTAACCTTCAATGGTGTTATCATCTTCATTTATGCCCAGATTTGCATTCACTGGAACTGTATGATTCTTTGCAATTCGCTTGCCTTGTATAGTTTCTCCGTAGGGGATAATCCTCGAGATTAACCTAATCTCTATGATTAACCCCTTTCTGTTTTCATCCTCCTCCATATCTTAGTCCTACTATTTATCACTTCTTATGTGGTAAGCAGTATTTCCTTATTATCCTTATGTGATAAGTGGTATTTCCTTGGTCTCTGGGCATGTAGTTTCACTAATTTCGATTCCCTTCCCTCTTCTTTCAAGATACTCTGAAATGCTCTCTTCATCATGATAATCTTGTGAGGCCTTTGTAGAGTCTCCTCTTCTAGAATGCTCTCTATTCTTCAAGACTCATTGGATCGCTGTCCCAAACCCTCATTCTTACACCTTAAACTTAATATATCAGCTGCATGTTCAGCCTGAATCATTTGGCTATTCATCTCTTGCTTTCTAATTGTGCTAAGTTTTTTCATGTGTATTTTATTAGTCCAGATATCTTCCCGTTTAGACTAATCAATGTTTGATGTAATATTCCTCTATTTCTTTTGTTAGTCTTGTCATATTTTCTGGTGTAATAGTTCTTTTTCAAAACTTACTCATTGATTAGGTTAGTTTTAAAGTCAGTATTTACTTTTCTTCTTATACATGGTTAGGTAAAACTCAAGCAAATATCTGATGATTAAAGCTGTTGGAACATCGCATTTGTAATGTTACTCTTGTGGATAGATGGTTCAGTACCTTTCCGTAGCTGACAGTTCTGTAGCAACAATAGATGATGATGGGATAATATGTAGAGCTCTTAGATGATCATTCACCTCAAGTGTCTATTTAACGAGAAAAAAAGTTAGGACTAGTTCTTTATAACCAAACTCATGGGCACTTACCATGTGAACTTGTACTTGGAGTCAGCTTGGGACTTTCTTGCTGTTATGTGGCTCTGTCTTGGTTGGGATTGATGCACTTGGTGACTAGGAACCTCCTTCTATAATAAATTCAAACCCAATTTATACTCAGGGATCTGTCTCTTTCTCTTTGAGGCAGAGTCTTGCTGTCTCAGTCTGGAGTCTCTTGCTGTCAGGCTGGAGTGCAGTGGTGTGATCACGGCTCATTGCAGCCTCGACCTCCTGGGCTCAAGTGATCCTCCCACCTCAGCCTCCCAAGGACTTGGGACTACAGGTGTGCACCATCAATTTTTTTTTTTGTGAAGATGGGGTCTTACTGTGTTGCTTAGGCTGGTCTTGAACCCCTGGGCTCAAGCAATCCTCCTGCCTCAGCCTTCCAAACTGCTAGGATTACAGGCGTGAACCACCATGCCCAGCCCTTTTTTTAAAAAAAATTTTTTTCCATATAATGTCTTACCTACTTTCCTATCACCTCATTTCTAAGTTCATATTGATATGTATTTAACTGATCCACTGGGAAAAAGATACCAGTGCCTCTGTTTGGTTTGCAGTATCTTGTGCTTCTAATAGCTATTTTTGAAAGACTTGAGTAACTTTCTTTGTAAACCTTTAAGATTGAGAAATAGATACAGAAAAAGCATATAAAACAAATGTGAGATATAATGAATAAATTTAAAATGGACATTCACATAACCACCACCCAGATTAAGAAACACAAAATACTGTCACCCTAACCTAAAATTCTCCCTGTGTGCCTTCCTGACTGCATTTCCTCCCATTCTCTCTCAAGAAAATCCCTGTCCTGACTTATGTTAATCACTCACTGGTTTTTCTTTATACTCTTTCCACTCATGTATACATTTGTAAACAATGTGATTTAGTTTTGCCTATATCTGAATGCTGTATTTGGAGTTGTACTGTATATATTCTTTTAGGCCTTGCATATTTTGTTCAAAATCAGTTTTAAGATAATACATGTTATTGGATGTAGCTCTAATTTATTCATTTTTTATGGTTATAAAATATTTTATGATAGTCACACTATTCCTTCTATTACTGATGGCCATTTAGGTTACTATTTTGGGCTATTATAAATAATTCTGCTTTGAAATGAACCCCTATTAATTTCTGTATACCGGTGCACATAAGTATGCATTTCTAGGAGTAGAATTGTCATAGAATATGTTTTGTGCGTCTTTAACTTTGGTACATAATATACTAAACTCTTTCCAAAGAGGTTACCAATTTGTACTTTACCGACAATCTGATTAGAGTTTTCTTTTGTTTGTATTCTCCTCAACATTTGTTATTGTCAGAGTTTTCATATCAGCCAATTTGTTGGGTGTAGTGATCTCTCATGGTTTTTTTTCTTTATAGCTTTATTGAGAATTAAGATATAATTCACATACCATACAAATTCACCCACTTAAAATATACAACTCAGTGGTTTTTAGTATATTCATAGAGTTGTAACCATCAGTACAATATTAGAATATTTTCATGACCCTAAAAAGAAACCCTGTGCTCTCCCATTTCTCCCCACCCCTCCAGTCCTAGGCAACCACTAATCTGCTTTCTGCCTCTAGAGATTTGCCTGTTCTGGACATTTCATACAAATGGAATCATACAGTATGTGGTCTTCTTTTACTTAGCATAATTTTTTTTTTCCCTAACAGAAAATTTTGACAAAGAAAGCATAATGTTTTTAATGTTATAGCATGTAATGGTACTTCATTTCTATTACTGAATAGAATTCCATTGTTTGTATATACTATATCTTAGGTATCCATTCATCAGTTGATGAACAATTAGATTGTTTCTACTTTTGCCTATTTTGAATAACATTGCTGTGAACATTTATGTACAAGTTTTTGTATGGACATGTGTTTTTATTTCTCTTGGGTATATACCTAAGAGAGAAATTGCTGGGTCATATAACTCTAAGTTTATCCTTTTTAAGAACCACTGGACTGTTTTCCAAAGCAATTGCACTATTTTACATCCCCAGTAGCGGTGTATGAGGGTACAAATTTCTCCACATCCTCACCAACACTTGCCATTATCTGTCTTTTCTATTATAGTCATCCTGGTGGGTGTGAAATGGCATCTTGTAGTTTTGATTTGCATTTTCCTGGGTGTTAATGATGTTGAGCATCTTTTCATGTGCTTATGGGCCATTTGTATATCATTTTTGGAGAAATTTTCATTCAGATCTTTTGCTCATATTTTAATTACCTGCTTTTAGATTATTGAGTTTTGTAAGAGTACTTAGTTGTTCTAGACAGAATTCTCTTATCAGATATATCAGATTCATGACTTGGAAATATTTTCACCTTTTCTGTGTGTTTTCACTATCTTTTTATTTTATTTTACTATTATTATTTTTTGAGACGGAGTCTCACTCTGTCACCGAGGCAGGAGTGCAAGTGGCGCAATCTCAGCTCACTGCAACCTCTGGCTCCCAGGTTCAAGTGATTCTCCTGCCTCAGCCTCCCGAGTAGGTGGGATTAGAGGTGCCTGCCACCACGCCCAGCTAATTTTTGTGTTTTTAGTAGAAATGGGGTTTCACCATGTTGGCCAGGCTGGTCTCGAACTCCTGACCTCAAGTGATCTGCCCACCTCAGCCTCCCAAAGTGTTGGAATTACAGATGTGAGCCACTGTGCCTGGCCTTCTTTTCACTATCTTGATGGTGTCCTTTGAAGCATAAAAGTGTTTCATTTGATGAGGTTTAATTTAACTGTTTCTTCTTTTGTTGCTTGTGGTTTTGGTATCACATCTAAGAAGCTGTTGCCTACTGCAAGGTCGCAAAGATTTTCACTTCTTCTGAGAGTTTTAAAGTTTTAGCTCTTATATTTTGGCCTTTGAGTTAATTTTTATGAAGTAGGTAGGGGCCCAACTTTATTATTTTGTATGTGGATATCCAGTTGTAGCATTTATTGAAAAGTCTATTATTTTCCCACTGAATTGTCTTGGCACCCTTACTGAAAATTAGTTAGCAGCCGGGAGCAGTGGCCATGCCTGTAATCCTAGCACTTTGGGAGGCCAAGACAGGTAGATCGCATGAGCCCTCAGGAGTTCGAAACCAACCTGGGCAACATGGTGAAACTGCATCTCTACAAAAAATACAAAAATTAGCTGAGTGTGGTAGCGTGTGCCTGTAGTCCTGGCTACTTGAGTGGCTGAGGTGAGAGGTTCACTTGAGCCCAGGAGGTAGAGTGAGGCTTCAGTAAGCTGAAATCATGCCACTGCAGTCCAGCCTGGGAGACAAAGTAAGGCCCTGTCTTACACACACACAAAAGAAAATTAGTTACCTATAAATGTAGAGGTTTACTTCTGGACTCTAAATCTTCCATTGATCTACATGTGTCTCTCTTTCTGCCCATATCACACAGTCTTGATTACTACAGCTTTGTAGTACTTTTTTTTTTTTTTTTTTTGAGACTGAGTCTTGCTGTGTTGCCCATGCTGGAGTATAGTGGCAGGATCTCAGCTCACTGCAATCTGTGTCTTCCAGGTTCAAGCGATTCCTGTGCCTCAGCCTCCTGAGTAGCTGGGACTACAGGCGTGTGCCACCACGCCCAGCTAATTTTTTCGTACTTTTAGTAGAGACGGGGTTTCACCTTGTTGGTCAGGCTGGTCTCGAACTCCTGACCTCAGGTGATCCACCCACATCGGCCTCCCAAAGTGCTGGGATTATAGGTGTGAGCCACCATGCCTGGCCATAGTCATAGAGTACATTATCCAACTTTGTCCTTTTTAAAGATTCTTTGTTCTTCTTTGGTCCCTTGCATTTTCGTATGAATTATAGAATCAGCCTGTCAACTTATGCAAAAAGGCCGAGTTTTTGATAGGAATTACATGTATCTGTAGATCAATTTGACAATAGTAAGTCTTTCAACTGAACACAGAGTGTCTTTTCATTCATTTAGGTCTTAAAAAATTTTTTTTCAACAGTATCACTTTTCAGAGTAAAATTTTGCATCTCTTTTGTAAAATTTCTACCCATTTTGTTACTTTTGATGCTTTTGCAAATGGCATTGTTTTCCTAATTTTATCTTCTGCTTGTTCATTGCAAGTGTATAGACATACAGTTGATTATTGTGTATTGATCTTGTACTCTGCAACCTTTGTGAACTCATTTATTAGTTCAGTAAATTTTTAGTGGGTTCTTAGGATTTTTCTGTGTACAAGACCATGTCATCTGCAAATAGAGATAGTTTTACTTCTTCCTTTCCAATCTTGGATATCTTTTTGTTATGTTCTTGCTTAATTGTCCTGGCTGGAACCACCAATATAATGAACAAAAGTAGTGAGAAAAGACATTTTTGTCTTATTACTGATTTTAGGGGGAAAGCATGCAGTCTTTTATCATTCAGTTCAATGTTAGCTATGAGTTTTTCATAGATGCCCTTTATCAGATTGAGGAAGTTCCTTCTGTTCCTACATTGTTGAGTCTTTTTATCATGAAGGGTTATTGTGTTTTTTCAGATGCTTTTTCTGTGTCTATTGTGATGATCATGAGGTTTTGGTCCTGTATTCTTTTGATTTGGTTTAGATCAATAGATCTCTATTTTATTATTTGCATTAATTGATTTTCAGATGTTAAGCCAACCTTGCATTCCTAGTATAGATCCGACTTGGACATGATGTATAATGCTTTTTATATGTTGTTGGACTCAGTTTGCTAGTATTTTTGTTAAAGATTTTTGCAGCTATATTCTTAAGAGATACTGATCTGTAGTTTTATTGTGTTGTCTTTGGTTTTGGTATCATGGTAATACTGGCTTAGAATAAGTTAGGAAGTATTCTTTTCTGTCCTTTTTTTGGGAGAATTTGTGAAGAATTAGTATTTTCCTTTAAATATTTGTTGGAATTTACTGTTGTAGCTATCAGCAACTGAGTTTTTCTCGCAGATAGTTTTTTAAATTACTAATTTAACAGAGGTCCTCAATGTTTAATGAATGTTAAAAGATCTTGTATCTTTGGGCAGATAAGGATGATTATGCTTACAATGCAGTAGCCCAGGATGTGTTCAACCACAGCTGGAAGACATCTGCAAATATTTCTGCATTGATTAAAATTCCTGGAGTTTGGGACCCTTTTGTGAAGAGTTATGTAGAAGTAAGTAGAATTTTCATTAAATTTATTGGTTTTATTTTGTCAAAAGCCTATACAAAGACTGCATGCCTAATCTTTATTGATCAGAAAGAAACTAATGGAAAAAATTATTTAAAAGAAAGCAAAAATACGGTGTCTCTTTTTTGGTCTGAATTTGTTTATTTTCACCACTGTATAACCCGTCGTGGCCAAGTATCTATAAAATAAATAGCAGTATAGTTGTAAATGTTAATTCAATCTTATTCTTGTTGAGCTTAAAAGAAATGCAGTAAGATACCTTATGATTTGGTGGGATATAGAAGGAAAGAGGACAAAAATCTGAAAAAATGGGTCATACTATATGAGGTGAAGAATGATGGCTTTTTGGAAGTTCATAAGAATGTCCTGTCATCCCAGAGTCATTGTAAAAGGACTGAGGGCCTTGGTGCTAGGCACTAGGAATAAATCTTCAAAATAATTTGCTTTGTGAAAGTTAATGAGTGGCAAGTTGATAATTGTGTTGTCAGAAGATAATCTCCAAAATCATAATCTGGAGATTCCTGTGTAAGGATGGGAACAGGATGAAAGGAATTACAATTCTCATGCACTCCTTTTGTGGCTGCAGTGATGTAGGGCACTGAGGTTAGCTGCATCACATTTTCGAGCATTAGTGTTCCCTGCTTTGAGGACTCTTATTTTTTATAGGAAGAGAATTTATGTTGAGGTTGCTGCATTGTTTATTAGTAGTAACAAAATACAGGGAAAAAATGGGAACCCTGTCAGTTTTGTGATTTTTAAAAAATACCCATCAGTAAACTTATGCTGTGTATTATTTTTCGTATAGCTGTCTTACAGAATTCAGCTAAGATATTATGATTTATTTTATATAGATGCTGGAATTCTATGGGGATCGAGATGGAGCCCAAGAGGTACTCACCAATTATGCATATGATGAAAAGTTTCCATCAAATCCAAATGCCCATATCTACTTATACAACTTTCTAAAGAGACAGAAGGCACCAAGATCAAAATTGATAAGTGTGCTTAAGGTATAGAATTTTTATCTCGATGTTTGACCAGGGTTGGGAATCTACATTAAAACATTCTTAGGCCATTGCTTTCTAACTTTTATAGCATCTACAGAAAATTTCAATAATGTACAGTACACTGAGATAAACAGAGAAAGTTGGCTCCAGCTGCCATCTCCATGTATGTATCATCCACACTATCCCCTGCTGCCCGGATGAGACTGAGGAGAGAGGATCAGAAGTCTTGTGCAACCCTGGTTGGAATACTCTGCACTGATATTTTTTGAAAATCAACTTTATTGAAATTTAGTTTTCAGAGAGTAAACACACTTATTTTAAGTATGTGCTTGGATGCGTTACATTCATGAACCACCATGGTAATCATGATATAGAACATTTCTGTCGCCCCCAGAATGCCTTTCATTTCCCTTTGCAGCCTGTCTGTCCCCACAACCATGGCCCCAGACAATCACTGATCTGCTTATTGTCACTATAGATTAATTTTTATCTCTTCTAGAATTTCATGTAAATGGACTCTTATGTAGTCATTTTAATCTGGCTTCTCTTGCTCAGCGTAACATATTTGAGATTCACCCATGTTATTGTGTATATTAGTAATTTCCTTATTACTGCTGAATAGTATTTCATTTTTATACATTCACTTCTTGATGGACATTTGGGTAATTTTTACTTTTTGGCTATTGTGAATGATGCTGCTGAGAACATTCATGTACAAGATTCTGTATACACATATATTTTCATGTTTCTTGGGTAGCTACCTGAGAGAGGAGTTGCTGCCTAAGAGTAGTAAGGAAAGTATATGCTTAACTTCCTAAGAAACTGCCCAGCTGTTTTTTGAAGTGACTGTACCATCGACATTCACACAGCAATATGAAAATTCAGTTTCTCCACATCTGTGCCAACACTTGGTATTGGAGGTCTTTTGAATAATAGCCTCTTGTGGGTGTCCCATGTGGCATTAAATTGTATTTCCCTAATGACTAGTGATGTTGAGCATCTTTTAGTATGTCTATTGGCCATCCTGTATCTTCTTTTGTCATGTGTCCAACTACTTAGTCTATTTTTGGGGGGATCAATTGTCTTCTTACTGATTTGGAAATTTTTATATAATCTGGATATAAGTCCTTTGTGAAGAATATTAATTATGAATATTTTCTCTCTGACTGTGCCTTGCCTTTTGGTTTCCTTAATAGTATCTTTCAAAGAGTAGAAACTTCTAGTTTTGATGTTCAGTTTGTACATTTTTTTTTCTTTTATGGTTAGTGCTTTTTGTCTAAGAAATATTTGCCTATCTCAAGATAATGAAGAGTTCTTTTTTTTTTTTTTTTCTAGATGTGTTGTATAGTTTTATGTTTAGGTCATGGTAGATTTTTAGCTATTTTTTTGTGGGTAGTGTGTGGCAAAGGTCAAGGTTCATTTTTTCCCATGTGGTTGTTCCAGCATTATATTGAAGACTCTCCTTTCTCCATTTAGTACATTTGGAACTTTGTTGAAAACCAGTAGGCTGTATATGAAGTCTGTTGTGTTCTAGTGATGTATATTTCCACCTCAATAGATGAAAATTCAGTTTCTCCACATCCTTGCCAATACTTCATATTGTAGGTCTTCTAAATGTGAGTTATTGCCATTCTAGTGGGTGTGTAGTAATATCTCATGTGGCCTTAATATGGTTACTGTAGCTTTGTAGCAAGTCTTGGAATCATATCATGAAAGTCATACAAATTTGTTCTTTTTCAAAATTGCTTTTGGCTTTTCTAGGTTCTTTAACTTTCCATGTATATTGTATAATCAACTTACCTGTTGCTACAAAAAGGTCTTGCTGAGATTTTGAATCTATAGATCAGTTTGAGAGAATTGACATCTCAACTGTATTGAGGTTTCCAAAGTGTAAACATGGCATGTCTCTCCATTTATTTAGGTTTTTAATTTCTCTCTGAACTGTTTTGTAGTTTTTAGTGTATGTATTTTGTTAAATTTGTCCCTAAGTGTTTCATGGGGTTGTTGTATATAATATTGCTTAACATTTTAAATTGTGGGAAAATATATACAAAAATAAATGTTACCATTTTGATCATTTTTAAAGCATATAATTTAGTGGCATTAAGTACATTCATTCACAGTTTTGTGCAACCACCATCACTGTCTATTTCCAGAATGTTTTCGTTATCCGAAGTAGAAACTATTCATTAAACAATAACTCCTCATTGCCTGCTCCTCCCAGCCCCTGAAAACCTCTGTGCTAATTTCCATCTTCGTGAATTTGATTATTCTAGGTACCTCATATAAGTGGAATCATATAACATTTGTCCTTTTGTGTCTTGCTAATTTCACTTAGCATAATGTTTTCAAGGTTCATCCATGTTGTAGCATATATCAGAACGGCCATTTTTATTTAAGGCTGAATAATATTCCATTTTATGTACCTACAACATTTTGCTTATCCATTTCTTGGTAGACATTTGGGTTGTGTTTGTTGTTTGGCTATTATAAGTAATGCTGCTCTAAAGATTAGTGTACAGGTATTTGTTGGAGTTCGCTGCTTTCACTTCTTTTGGGTGTATACTCAGGAGTGAAATTGCTGGATTATATGGTAATTCTTTTAACTTTTTGAGGAATTGTCAAACTGTTTTCTACAGCAACTACACTATTTTACATTCCTACCAACAATTCCACATCCTGGCTAACAGCTTCTATTCTCCATCCCCTTTTTTGATCATTGATATCCTAGTGCAGGGATCCCCAACCCCTGGGTCATGGACCGGTATCTGTTTGTGACCTGTTAGGAACCAGGCCACACAGCAGAAAGTGAGCATCAGGCAAGTGAGCATTACCTGAGGTCTGCCTCCTGTCAGATCAGCGGTGGCATTAGATTCTCATAGGAGCCCGGACCGTATTGTGAACTGCACATGGGAGGGATCTAGGTTGTGTGCTCCTTATGAGAATTTAATGCCTAATGATCTGTAACTGTCTCCCATCACCCCCAGATGGGATCATCCAGTTGCAGGAAAACAAGGGCTCTCACTGATTCTACTTATGGTGAGTTGTATAATTATTTCATTATATATTATAATGTAATAATATAAAGTGCACAATAAATGTAAAGTGCATAAATAATGCAATCCCGAAACCATCCTTGACCCTCACACTGGTCTGTGGAAAAATTGTCTTCCACGAAACCAGGACCTGGTGCCAAAAAAGTTGGGGACCGCTATCCTAGTGGGTGTGAAGTGGTATCTGTGTCTCAGTGTGGTTTTGGTTTGCATTTCCCTAATGTCTAGTGATGTGTATCTTTTCATGTGCTTATTGGCCATTTGTTTATCATCTTTGGCAAATGTCTATTCAAGTCCTCTGCCCTTTTATGAATTGGGTTGTTTGGTTTTTGTTGTTAAATTATAGGAATTCTTTGTATATTTTGTGTTCAGTTTTTAATCATGGCATTTTAGAGGTGAAAGACAAAGGTCCTTTCAACCTAAAGAAATGATAGAGAAAAGTTCTTATCTCTGTTTTCTTTTAAAAGGCCAATTATCTTTATACTTTCGTGATCAAAATTGGCATTATCAAACCTTCAGATGTGGAAACTAAGTTTTATAAATTTTTCAACAGGCTTTGTTTTACTAAACAATCCTTTGCTGTTGTTGTTGTTTGAAACAGGGTCTCACTCTGTTGCCCAAGCTGGAGTGCAATGGCATGATCACGTGAGGCTCCCTGTAGCCTCCACCTCCCTGGCTCAGGTGATCCTGCCACCTCAGCCTCCCGAGTAGCTGGGACTACAGGCACACGCCACCATGGCTGGCTAATTTTTTGTATTTTTGGAGAAACAGGGTTTTGCTATGTTGCCCAGGCTGGACTAAACAATACCTTTAAAGTTGCTATTTTTATTTTACTCTCTTAAGATAGCTTTTGGCTCATTTATATTACAAAATATTAAGGATTGTGTTTAAAACAAAAGCAAGACTGTGCTTTCAGGTTATCAATCACTAATGGTGTTTTTGAAAAGATTTTTTAAAATGCTACAGAAAATAACTGTTGAATACTTATCTCATATTTATATTCAAGACAAGATGGATTTAGAGAAATTCTGTTTTTCCTTTTGAAAAATAGGGTATTTGGAATTAAGATCTCAATACATGGGTTTAATAGCAGATTGGACATAGCAAAAGAGAGGATTAATGAACTGCATAGAAAATATCAGGCTAAACCATGGAGAACAAAAAGGATGAAAGGTGCAGAAACGAGCATACAAGTGAATTGGTGAAAAGATCTGACATACCTGTCATTGGAGTCCTAGGTGGAGGACCTCTGAATAGAACAGGGCAAAAGCAAGCAAACTAATTTTTTAAAAACACTGGCATTTGAAGGGCTCATGACTAAGACTTTTTCAAAACAAATGGAGGATTTCTAGTGTTCTGGTGATGTGCTATTATTTGATCTGGGTGCTGGTTACCTGAGTGTTTAACTTTGTGAAAACTGACTGGTGTCATGATTTGTATGCACTTCTACTACATGTTATATTTCAATAGAAAAATCTAAGTGAATTGAGCCATATACAGAATTCTATAAAATCATGAGACAAATGTGACTTTCATAGGAACTGAATTTCAATAATATTCTCTGATATTGGTGTATTGATCTTGATTGATCTTTTTAAAAATGATTAAGAGAAATTAACAAAATTTACTTTTAATTTTGTTGGAAATTATTTCAATGTAAGGTCAAAGTACTTTAGTAAGCAGAATGAATTCATTTCTAGTATTAAATGTATTAAAATGAAAAATACAGCTTTACTTTAAATTCCATTTTTTGAATATTCATAAAAATAGTCCTTCCTATTTTTTAAAAGAAAAATCTTTAATTTTTTCATTGTGTGAAAGGTTGTTAAAATATTTACTCATATAACCTTAGTAAACTGTTCCTGAGCACAATCTGTGAAATTAACTCCCAGCCTTTTTAGCTTTTTTGCTTTATATAAATATTCTGTGATCTCTTCTGTTTAGTAAATAAGTATATTTTCTGTGTGATAATTGATTTTTTTCTTTTTTTCTTCAGTCCTGGCTTCTGAAAGAAATCGTTTTTAGTTGTTGAGCGTGGTAAACAGTATAGATATGTATAAGGAGCAAATAAAAAGTCCCTGCCTATTTTCCTCACTTCTCCTGACTATTTTGTTATCAGGGCCTTTTTTTTTTTTTTTTTTTTAAGACAGCTTTACAGAGAATGCTTTTCTATACTTAGATTGAAACTAGATAAAGAGCCAGGGTATTTTTAAAATACTTAATAAATTTAAAGGGAGCATATTAGACAGTAAGAACTTTATTTTGAAAGTAAGCTGAAATTTGAGAAATGCTTTTACAAGTATGTAAAGATTACAAGACTGTTCTTTCTTTCAGATTTTGTATCAGATTGTACCATCTCATAAATTGATGTTGGAATTCCATACATTACTTAGAAAATCAGGTAATAAATAAATGTTGTTTTATACCTTGTGTAGACAAGCTATAGACTAGGGACCAGCAAACTAGTTTAGCCCATCGGCTAAATCCACCCCTTTCCTGATTTTATAAATCAAGTTCTGTTGGAGTCCATCTGTTTCTGTATTGTCTGCGGCTGCTTTTGCACTATAGTGACAGAGCCGTGTAGTTGTGACAGAGACTGTATGCCTTGCAAAGCTTAAAATATTTATTATCTGGGCCTTTATAGAAAAAGTTTGCCTACTCCTGTTACACAATGTGAAGGCAGTAGTTTGCAAAAGAGAAATGGCTCGATTTTATATAATTCACTCCATTTTAATCCCTGCTACATTTCAGCACACCATAGAAGAGAGCATGCTCCTTCATAGAAGAAAATCAGCTGGCTAAGCCCAAGCTGGTCCTAGGACTGCCTAGGTTCCTCTCTGAATATGAAAGAACATGTATAAAATGCCCAAACAGGGCAGGTACTTTAAATAATGTCCTTAGTAGAGGAGTGTAACCCATATTGAGATCAAATTCACCACCATTACCTCATTAGCAGGGATTTTTATTGAGTTTTTCAGATTCATTGCAGGAGTAAGAGCATAATGAATTTTTAAAAACTGTTAACCAGAAGGCTTATGATTCAGTATTTTATCAACAACATATATGTAAAGTATATATACAGTTGATAAAATGTATACATGTAAATTTTAGCTTTGTACACTTTAATACCTTATGTAAACTTGAACTGTTAAAACCATTGCAGAAAAAGAAGAACACCGTAAACTGGGGTTGGAGGTATTATTTGGAGTCTTAGATTTTGCCGGATGCACTAAGAATATAACTGCTTGGAAATACTTGGCAAAATATCTGAAAAATATCTTAATGGGGTAAGAAACATACAGTGTTTATTACTAGGTCATCATAAATAATATTTCCCAATATTTTAGCTAATATCAATTTTTAAAGATCTTTGCTTATGTTTTATAATTTCTTGAATTGTGTCTTCAGCTGTTTTCTGAGTACATTTTCTTCTGAAGCAAAGAAATACAGAGTCATAAGGAGAACATACAAAAATTCTATCAATTTTTTTATGCCATCAAAATAAATCCTGTACTTAGCACTACTGCTTGCTAAGGAATACGTATGTGTTTTCCATTTGGAAATAAAGACTAGCAGGGATCACTCTTTGCTAAAGACTCTTTGTGATTTGTGCGTCATTAACTTGTAAGATCACATGGGAAGCAGCTTTCCTCCTACCTGTGTTTGATCATTTTCAGTGAGTATTTTTAGGACCTGACAAGATCATCATACACTAGTCATTTAACAAATACTCATTAAATCCATTTTGACCTGGGTATCTAAAAGTGTACCTCTGATCATAATATTGTTAGTGTCACATTTTGAGTAAAAGAAAATGAATTTCCTGTTATTTTTACTTAGTGTGTGAGAAGAAGGGATATTACAAAGTTGTTTCATATATTTATTATATCCAATTTAGTTGTTAGGCAATTCAGTGTCAGTTGGAAATTGTTTCAGGCTTCAGATCTGACTTGTCCCGATGGGACAGTGCTGTTTATAAAATGGTTTTGGTGTCATATGTTGACGCACTCACTGTAAAGCATTTTCTAAATCTGAAGCCCTGAATAAACTTCTACTAGATCATAAGGTCCTTGAAAGCAAAGAGGTTCATTTTTTCGAACCTCTATTTGTTCTACCATAGGGGGCACATGGGTGCCAATAAGCATTTGCTCAATTAAATTATAGAGATCTAATGTGCAACGTAGACTGTAGTTAATATTGTATTGCATATAGGAAATTTACTATGAGTAGAGTTCAGGTGCTCCCACCACTCAAAAAAGTTAACTATATGTATATGAAACATGTTGTATACCTTAAATATATACAATAAAAAAAATTATTCACAGACACACAGAATTGCCTGCACTTAACAGTTTAACATATGTCTTAATGTATTTGTATAATAATGGTATCTCCATTTGGATAGTAATTCATGGCAGCATATAATTTTAAGTAAGGTTTTACTTAAGTAATAGTAATAGATAATATTTATTGAACATTTACTATGTACCAGACACTATGCAAAGAGCTTTATATGAGACCTGCTGTACCCTACTACTAGAATAGTTTAATCTTAATAACATTCCTATGAGATCAGTACCACTAATGTCCTCAAGGGCACTGAAGCTCAGAGAGGTTCAGCAACTTGCCCAGGATCACATACATAGTAGATGGAAGAGCTGATATTTGAATCCAGGATTCTGGCTTCGAGTCTGTTCTGTAACCACTGTGCTAAACTGTCTGTTTAGTGAAATGGAAAATGGGATATGGAGATGGAAGAGAACAAAAAAGGATTTGCTTTCCTGCTGTTGCCAATCATGTGTTATGCCTTGGCCATATTGAGAATTTAGCTTGGAAGCATCTTCCTTGTCATCTTTCTGTAGACTCTAGTTAAGTCTAAATTCTGATAATATAGATTTGTTTCCATCATTGACCCTCTCTTTTGACATTTTTCTTTTCCAGAAACCACCTTGCGTGGGTTCAAGAAGAGTGGAACTCCAGGAAAAACTGGTGGCCAGGCTTTCATTTCAGCTACTTTTGGGCAAAAAGTGATTGGAAGGAAGATACAGCTTTGGCCTGTGAGAAAGCTTTTGTGGCTGGTTTACTGTTAGGAAAAGGTACAGTTTTTATTTTCGTTTTATCTAGACACAGCTTTGGCTGATTTTGAAATTATGAAGTATGGCCTTCATTTAGAGCTTACCTAACATGGTACCTAAAAATATTAGGTGCTTAAGACATAACTGCTCAATGGAAGAGTGAATCCTGAGTTGGGACTATGTGCTTAGATTAGAAGCAGTGATTTCATATTGATTGTGAACGGTTTTCATCTCCTGACTTGAGTGTTGTTAGGGGGCCATTAAGATACATGATACAGAGTTTTCACAATAATTGACCATTTGGCCTTGTTTTATAGAAAGTTTACTGAGATTTTCAAGTGTCAAAATATTCTTTATTGACCTCACTGTTCTTTAATAGCTTCATATTATACTAATATTTACTTACCTGTTTCTGTAAGCGTGAAACATTTCCTCCACTTAAGAGAAAGAATACCTCCTACTAGCATATGAAAAAAATTCTCTTCAAAGAAAAGGGATATTGATTTTTTCTTCAAAGAAAAGAAATATTTTGGGTGGTAAAATTCTTACCTGCTTTCTGCCACTGAAATTATTAAAAGGTGGCCAGTACCGAAATGAAACTACCACAGAGTATGTCCAGAAATGAAGAAAATAAATCTTACAGTGACCACTAGTAAGCAGTCCATTGCTAGGGAGCTTAAGGTGTCCTGAAGAGATTCTCCAATTCACTTTTGAATATGGTTTCTATTATTTTGGAATTAGTAGTCTCAGTGAATGTAATACAATGTTGATTAAGAAGAAAATAAAAATCAATACACTGATGACAAGGAACAGAAAGGTGATTTGGATTGTCATTTTTCTACTTTATGAGTAGAGCGGCATCTAGCACAATTATCAAGAGGTCTCTTTGAGCAGAGTAGGAAGATCTGGGTTAATTTTCCAATTCACTCCCTTGCTATCTAACTT
The DNA here is from genome assembly GCF_000001405.40 of Homo sapiens. Classification (NCBI taxonomy): domain Eukaryota; kingdom Metazoa; phylum Chordata; class Mammalia; order Primates; family Hominidae; genus Homo; species Homo sapiens. The sequence goes on along the minus strand of NC_000001.11, from coordinate 222,560,439 downwards.
AGGTCAAGCAATTAACTTTTAGGAGCCTTTTCTATGAAGTGGGCATTGTAACACCCATCTTATTGTTGTAAGTATCATGTGAACATCGCATCAAAGTGCTTTGTAATTTCTAAAGTGCTCTACAAATATCAGGCATCAGTTACTCCCGCAAGAGCCACATCTCCTCTCAGGCTGTTAGTGTGGGGTTGAGTCAGTCTATTCATTAGTTAAGCTGGGTTTTCTTCTTGCTCTGGTTACCAACCTTACTTTATAGGATTCAAATTCTGGGTGTGGTCTGCCTTTGCTTTGTGCTTTGAGTGGGGTATGGTGGCTCTCTTTCTTTCCATGCTGCACTAAAAGCAAGCCAGGCCCATTTCTCCTTGGAGGGGTCTTTCCTTGTTGGGATTGAAGCTACTTGGTTGCCCTGTGACTTCAGCTCTCATGGACTTGAGAGTTAGTTTATTAAGCTTTTTCTCTATGTTAGGGTGGGAACGAAATTCTTTCCAGCTTTCTATATAGGTACAGGCAAAAATCTGTGTGCAAAGTATTTTGTTTTTTACTAAGGTAGTATGATATGTTTAGAAATACAAATTATTTTAGTAACACTACAGACACCACTGCTTCCCAGCTAGTAAAACGTTACTAGCTGGGTGCGGTGGCATGCAGTGTGCCTGTAATCCTAGCTACTTGGGAGGCTGAGGTGGGAGGATTACTTGAGCCCAGGAGTTTGAAACCACTTTGTGTCCCATAGTGAGACCCCATCTCAGGAAAAACAACAAAACAAAGATGTTAGCAATTCTGGCATACTAGTTTCAGGAATAATAAAAATGGTTACTATAGGTACAGTATATGTCCTTGCATTTTCTCAGAGAA